>NC_000002.12:218114618-218739618 GCF_000001405.40 Homo sapiens | reverse complement strand
ATGACTGAGAACCTCATTTGGTTTGGAAAAAGTAGGAAAGTCACAGGCTTCAACATTTGGTGCTCACAATTCTTATTTCTCTCCTGGTTTTTACTTAAAATAGGGGTTGGCGAACTCTTTCTCTAAAGGACCAGAGAGTAAATATTTTTGTTTGCAGGCCAGTCGGTTTATCACAACTACTCAGCTCTACCATCGTAACAAGAAAGCAGCCACAGACAACTGCAAATGAATGGACAAGGCTGCATTCCAACAAAACTTTATTTACAAAAGCAGGCAACAAGCAAGATTTGGTCTGCAAGCTATAGTTTCCCAACCCTTGCCCTGAAGTGAAAACCAAAAATTCTAGGGCAGCTAAAAAATAAAACCAACCTTCAGAGGTACAGGGTCGGTGCCACCCCAAATTATGGTATATACATTCTACTGCTCTAAATGAACCAAAAACATTGCCAACATACCTAATATCCCTATCAGATGAGTCCAGCTCCCTGGCCTCCTCAGGTCTCTCCTTCTCAGACTGGCCCAGCTGGATGGAAGAGAGGCGGGTGGCCACGTTGGCTATGCCAAGAGTTTGAGGAAAAGGGGGACCTGGAGCTTTGCCTTCTCCAAATGCTGAGGAGTCAATTACAGATTCACAGGCAGGGTTGTGATTGAGCCCACTGGCATGTGAGGCAAGGAGGTGAATGCTGATACGCTTGGTACAGAAGACTGTATTGTCCAACCCCAAGGTATCTGAGGCACCAGGGAGGACCCGCCTGACCGATCCAGCATCCTCCTGAGGAAACTGCTGATTTACCGCAGGAGGTTTCCACCGCCTGCTCCTGTTGAGGACATTCCACTGGAAGCTGGGGTTCAGGAAACTAGACTGTTCAAGCTGGCAGCCTTGCCTCGGCATCTTCTCAAAGCCTCTTGCGGTCAATTTCCTCACGGCCTCAGTGAACCGAATCTCCTTAGTTGGATCCTGGGAATCAGAGCTGTCATCCAGAGCACAGGAAAGTGGCTCTGCCCTCATGGCTAAGTTATTCCGGTTATACCAGGAAGAGGCAACACTGGTGGTGGATGTGTCGTGGGAGCTAGCGGTAGACAAGGCGATATGGGCACTGGCATCAGCTGGGACAGTGCCAATGCTTTTGGGCACCTTATGGTCAACAGGCTGCGGTGCACAGTCTCCAGTACCCCCTGAATGATGCCAGGAGACAGGCTGGATCTTGGGTGGCGATACTGGCTTCAGGCCCTGTGTGGTCTGCAATAAAGGCACTGGCGTGCTATTTGGCCACATGAAGGAATTATTATTCAGCATGGGCTTATAGGAGGAAGAGAGTGGAGATGGGATCTTCCCTGAGATGGCAGAGGCCAGGCTCTTCCCTGAAGGGTTTTCCCCAGCCGCTGCCAAGCAGAGGTATGGTTCTGTGGATGAGGAGGCCATGGGCTGGGCCATGGAGAAGACCATGGAAGAAGTGGCCTTGTTGGCAGTGAGACTGACAGGGAGGCTCTTTTGAGGGAGAGAAAAAGGGCTTTTTTCTGACGGGCTCGAACGCAAGCAGAAAGACTCCAGTTGCTGGTACGGTTTTTGCCTATAGCTGGAGCGGCGGTATAGCAGGGTGCTGTTGAACAAGTCCGGGAGAGAGTGTAGGTAACAGGAACTGCTGTGGCCTGCAATGACAGCCGTGGTCCCAGAGCTACATAAAGTGCTGGGGCAAAAGAAATATGCTGGCTGGGGTGGGACGCCCAAGAGGCCTGGGCCCAACCCTGCTGACAGTGTCTCCACTTGCTTCTTTTCCAGCTTCCAGATTGGCTTCACTTGCTGATGGGCCTGAGGCCAGACTCTGCCCTCCGAGGGTTTCTCAGGTGGCGTGGCAGGTACTGTGCCTGAGGGACCACTCTGCTTGAAGCTGTTTTTCTGGCGGAGGCCAATACTATAGTGCTGTGTTCCTGCTGAGGCCATGAGGGGCCCACATCATGGCCACACGGTCTCATGGCCTTGCTGAGGTAAGGTGCCACACACCTCCGGTAGTAGCAGCTGCATCCTTGAAGTCTGTCAGTCTGAAGTGGAGAGAAATGATAGGAAATGTTACAGTGCCAGGAGAACGGACACCATGCTACAGTGGTCCTCAGGTAAGCAGTACAGTCCCACTTCAGCATTTTTGGGCAACCAGTCTTGGTCGTCATTTGGGGCACTGGGAGAAGAACACCAGATTTCCAGGGAGTTTTCAATGATCTTCCTACTGCCCTCATAGGATCAAAGCTGGCTTCATTACGGACTAAAACACTGAGGTGCCACCACCACTGTGAAGCTGCTTATGAGTCCCCACTCTGTCACTCAGAAAGCTTTCCTCTCTCTCCAACAAAAAATACATCTTTCTGTCTCACCGCCCACAACTTTCCATGAGGGGCTACCTTCCCTCACCCAAAACCAGTGTGGCTAGGAATAAAGCAAATCTGAAGTGAGAGAGAGGACTCAGTATCTTCCTTCTCATAAATCAATTCTGAAAGATTAAAGATTATTTGAGTCCAGGTGAGGCAGCTCACACCTGTAATCCCAGCTTGAGCCCAGGAGTTCAAGACCAACCTGCCCAACATGGCAAAACCCCGTCACTACCAAAAATTAGCTAGGCATTGTGGCGTGCACCTGAAGTCCCAGCTACTGGGGAGGCTGAGGTGGGAGGATCGCTTGAGCCTGGGAGGCAGAGGTTGCAGTGAGCTGAGCTGGTGTCACTGTACTCCAGCATGGGCAACAGAGTGAGACCCCATCTCAGAAAAAAAAAAAAAAAAGACGATCTGAAAAACTCATTTTACATCTACTGCTCCCTAAATCAACTCAGCTGCCTCTGATTTAGTCTGCTTTTCATGGTTAAATAGGACAAGTTCAGACAGGAGAAGAGAATTCCCTTGCTGATCCCGGAGTTTATTCTGGAGCTGAGACAGCAATTTCATCTCTGCTAACTATACAGATTTAAATTCCATCCTGTGTGTTGGTGGGAAAAAGAAGAAAGGAAATTGAACTAAACACCAGCATTATTTTTACTTAAAGTGACTTTATTTCCAGCAGCCATACTGGGACAGGAGAGTTCAGGGAGTAAGAAGAGGACAGAAGCTTTCTTTACTCCAAAGCCCAGGCTTAAGTTTGGGCTGATCTCAGGGAGGAAGAGCCTGTCTCTTTTGCATCTTCTCAATCAGTGTTTCCTTTAATACAAAACCTGTAAGCCAGCCTTCTGGGTCTCAAACTGTTCAGCATGGTCACTTACTTTCTAAATCAAATTCACAAAATATTCTCCAGTAAGGAAAGGTGGGCCTGCTTTCATGGCAGCATCTGGGGGAAATAACAAAAACTGTAAAAAGTCATTCGTGGCCAGGTGCAATGGCTCACACCTGTAATCCCAGCACTTTAGGAGGCTGAGGCAGGCAGATCACTTGAGCTCAGGAGTTTGAGACCATACTGGGCAACATCGCAAAACCCCGTCTCTACAAAAAATACAAAAATCAGCCAGGTATGGTGGCGCATGCCTGTGGTCCCAGCTACCTGGGAAGCTGAGGTATGAAAAACGCTTGAGCATGGAAGGTGGAAGTTGCAGCAAACCAAGATAGCACCACTGCTCTCCAGCCTGGGTGACAGAGTGAGACCCTGTCTCACAAAAAAAAAAAAAAAAAAAAAAAGGCTGGGCACGGTGGCTACATCTGTAATCCCAGCACTTTGGGAGGCCAAGGCAGGTGGATCACGAGGTCAGGAGTTCAAGACCAGCCTGGCCAGCATGGTGAAACGCTCTCTACTAAAAATACAAAAATTAGCCATGCACGGAGGAGGGTGCCTGTAATCCCAGCTACTTGGGAGCCTGAGGCAGGAGAATCGCTTGACCTCGGGAGGCGGAGGTTGCAGTGAGCCGAGATCGCGCCATCGCACTCCAGCCTGGGTGACAGAGTGAGACTCTGTCTCAAAAAAAAAAAAAGGAGTCATTTGTCTGGGATAATTCTGAATGGAATCCTGACATTCTCATCAAGTGTGTTTTCAGAGTAGCTAGAGGGAAGGAATTTGCAGAGAGGTTTTGTTTTGTTTTGAGGGTCTTGCTCTGTCACCCAAACTGGAATGCAGTGGCACAAACATGGCTCACTGCAGCCTCAGACTCCTGGACTCAAATGATCCTCCCCCTTCAGCCTCCCAAATAGCTGGGACCACAGGCATGCATCACCACACACAGTTGATTTTTTTAAATTTTTTTATTAAGATAGGGAGTGGCGGTATCTCACTATGCTGCCCAGGCTGGTCTCGACTCCTGGCCTCAAGCGATCCTCCTCTCTCAGCCTCCCAATAAACTGGGATTACAAGCCTGAGCCACTGAACCCAGCCCTAGGAGAGATGGTTTTTTCGCTTAAGTTATATTTAAAATGCAAAAATGGGGAGAGTACCTTGTATTCTGATTAACAGTGTAATGGCCAAGGAAGAACTAAGATTCCTGTCTACAGCCACGAATGAATACCACCAACAAACACTGCAGAAGCCATGGGATATCGCCCTCTTTACCTGCAAAGGCTGACCTACATGGACTCTTTCTCAAGGGGAGTACAAAAAATCACAATGCAGCACTGCCAATATTCAAAATGATAATGAGCTAAAAACAGCATAAATGCTAAAACTGGATTTTGAGGCCAGTCACCTCAAAATGAGGTTACAGAAAATGGACCACCACACAAATCCAAACTATGGAAATACCGTGCTTGGAACAATTACAGCGTGTGTTTGTGGTAGAGAAGCATAGAGACAAAGGGAAAAGTCAAATCCTGCCATTCACTTTACGAGACTACAAGCACGCATGCATGTGTATTAAGTACACTCAAAATAATTCATAATCCCGTCACTTAATCCTCTTTCGGGAAGCCACATTTTCCCCACCAATGCAACACAACAGACATACCAAAGTGGTAGGAGAATGCCTAGGGAAATGAAAACTCAGGCTGGTCCCCCTGAAAAACAGCCCCACTATTGATTCCCACGTGCATCATGCTAGCTCAGCTCTTCATTCCCTTACAAGTGCTGTTCCTGGAGCCCTTTCTTCTTCTTCACCCAACTTAAAAAATCAGCTGCAACATGACCTAGGCAGTCTTCCCTGACTCCTGAGTTTGAACAGGATGCCTCACCTCTGCGCATGCCACCATCACTGCTCACAGAACATTAGCTTCAACAATGAACTAACTCATCACACTAGGAGCAAGGAGCACATTCTCCTCCAGCTGATGTCCCCAACACAGTGACTGATACACAGGAAGTGCTCAATATTCTGTTGAGTAAACAAACTGGAAAAGCACAGTAAATGAAGGGGAAACAAACTTGAATACTAGTTTGGGCACCTAATGAATGTCTGGTACCATGCTAGGCATTTTATCCATATTATCTCATTTAATCCTAAAAAAAACCTTACATTCAGTTTACTGATGATGAATCCAAGACTCAGAAAAGTTAAGTAACTTTCCTATAATTAAATAACCAATAAGTAGCAGTGCCTAGATTAAAACTCAAATCTGTCTGAGTCTACAATGCCTATTAAACAGAATGAAACACATATTTAGACTCCATCCCCTCCATTATCTTTAATCTTTAGGTACCAGACAAAAGCCAGGTTGGAAACACTCCTCCATGTTTATACCAAGGCCCTTTGTGGAAAGTCCCTAAAAGCACATCACTGACTTCTCATCAACACCACAGCCAATCCCACTCTCCCTTGTAGCCACAGGCACTCACTGCACAACACTTCCTTTTGCACACACATTGCTCAATGTTTGCCTTGCTACATCCCACCACATGAACCCTCAGTGCCAAGCACATGAACACAAATAGCCCAACACCCAGCTGGCTTGGCTTTTAATCCAAAAGAGGAAGAGGGAGGACAAGGATACATGCCTACCCTCCTCAGAAGCTGCAGGTGGCCTGCTCCCAGACAAAGTGTTAAACAACACACCTGGGCAGGTACTAGAGTAGAGTGGATTCTCTTCTCTCTAAGGTATTCCAGATCTCATATCTCTGCAATGGTCATTTCCCACTTCTTGTCTCCTCTCATAGTCCCTATATGGTTTGCATTTGTGTCCCCACCAAATCTCATGTTGAGTTGTAATCCCCAATGTTGGAGGAGGTGACTGGATCATGGAGGCGGATTTCCCCCTTGCTGTTCTCATGATAGTGAGTTCTCATGAGATCTGGTTGTTTAAAAGTGTGTAGCACCACCCTGCTTTCTCTCTCTCCTGCTCTGGCCATGTGAAGACGTGCCTGCTTCCCCTTCCGCCACAACTGAATGTTTCCTGAGGCCTCCGCAGCCATGCTACCCATACAGCCTGCAGAACCATGAGCCAATTAAACCTCTTTTCTTTATAAATCACCCAGTCTCAGGTATTTCTTTATAGCAGTACGAGAACGAACTAATACAGTCCCCATGATGTGTAGTATAGCAAGTTGGATAAGGGCCACTGTCTTCCTAAAGAAATATGTCTGGACTCAAGGGCCAAGCAGGTGAGAGGATGTTTCTGTAACTCTCTTTCTGGGAAATAGCTCCAAAGTTAGTAAGAGATATCCAAGGTTGGATAAGATGGCTGTGTTAGGAATTACCAAGCAAAGACAAATTTGTTGCATCAGATACTCTGCAGAGAGTAACTTCAAGAATGCCAAGTAAACAGTATCACTCACGACAGTATCACATACAAATGCTCCAACCTAGTTTCAGTGTTTGAGGTTCAGAAGTAGTGTCACGTTAAGACAGGGAAATGATGGTTGCTAAAAACAACTTCCTTCCTTCTCCTTATAGAGATTCCTGATGAGATCAAAACCTCAAATGGTTGGGAGGCAGAGGCCTAACTAAAGCATTCAGGCAGCTTGGGTCCCAGACCCCCAATCACTGCCACAGGTCATCTTTTCCCGCATCCTGCCCACTGCCCTACAGGAATGCAAGTGACAAACTTTAAAAAGCTTCTGAAGACCCAAAATCTAAGAAGTGAAGGAAGTGAGAACCTTGTTTTAAAAGCTAACATAGTGAGTTCTGCCATAAAGTCAAAGTCCAGAGAGGCAAATAATGTCTGGCACCCAGACCCTACCGACAGCACATACTCGAAGGGCAATTTTCAGCAAAGTCATCAAGCCCATTCCCTGTGATATACTCTGCCCTCCTACGATGACACCTGGAAGACCTTTCTCCCAGTGTCCCTTATATTTCTAAGTGTACTGTGATAATGCACACTTTGTGTATATGTGCGCCTCTAGGATCCAAAAGGCAGACTGCTCATCTCCCAGGAAGTATTTTAGGAAGAAACATCAAAAGAAAGACAACAGGAGAAAAGGTATTTACATATGTAGAAGGCTATGTACTGGCTACTACTGGAAGCCCATTTCAAAAACTCCCAACTTAAACAAATCTAAACTTATAAAGAGTAATTGCTGACTATGTAAATTATAAAGGATTAACTACATATTTATACTACTTAAAGATAGCTCAAGACATTCATACTTACTCTCTGTTACTAAGTCCAAAGGATCTACCATCAGCTGACCCTCCAATCAGCAGCTTGCAAGGAACTTACTTTAGGGGCCAATAAATTGACCTCACCTGAAAAATGATATTTTGAATAATCTAACATTTTATGGAGCAATGATCTAATGTGTTTCTTGTTCCTACACAGGATCCCTAGGGAACAGGAGGGCTTAAGGGGCAAACAGGGTATAAACACTAAGCTATAGCAGGCAGAGTTCAAGTTTAGAAGAAAACAAGCCTATTTCTGTAGCTAAATTCCTCAATCTAGGTCCTCCTCACAGCCAGGCTGCATGAGCAGCTACGGCCTTGTGGTGACTCATGACAATCAGAGCACTGATCAGTAGTGAATCACATGCAACTCTGAAACCGCACAGCTGGAATGTTCAGGGAAAGACAAGAGAAAGGAAGTACCATACCCCGACTGAAGTTGTGGGAGGTGAAGTTTAAAAATTCGCATAAAGCACACAAAAAGCACAGTGGCTCCCAGTAAACGTTTGCAGCAAGGTAGTTACAACTCTCATTCTCACTGGCACCAAATGATCTATCTCCCCTCTGCCCCTTCATAAGCTGTGATGAAGGCAGAAAAATACAAGGAATAGGCAACAATTATTCCACTACAAAACTTCAGCGAGGACAAGCAATGTTCTTTTGTAAAACAGAACCGTCTTGTTATTTGGGAGCTTTTGTGAAATTTTTTTTTTTTTTGGAAACAGAGTCTCACTCTGTTGCCCACGCTGGAGTGTAGTGGTACAATCTTGGCTCACTGCAACCTCTGCCTCCCGGGTTCAAGTGATTCTCCTGCCTCAGCCTTCCAAGTAGCTGGGATTACAGGCACCCGCCACGACGCCTGGCTAATTTTTGTATTTTTAGTAGAGATGGGGTTTCACTATGTTGACTAGGCTGGCCTCGAACTCCTGACCTCAAGTGATCCACCCACCTCGGCCTCTCAAAGTGCTGGGATTACAGGTGTGAGCCACCGTGCCCAGCCAATTCTTTTTTTTTTTTTAGACAAGGTCTCCCTCTGTCACCAAGGCTGGAGTGCAGCGGTGTAGTCATAACTCACTGCAGCCTAGGACTCCTGGGCTCAAACCATCTGCCCACCTCAGTCTCCTGAGTAGCTAGGACTACCAGTATACACCACCATGCCTAGCTAATTTTTTACTTTATTTTATTTTTATAGCAATAGAGTTCCACTATGTTGCCCAGGCTGGTCTCAAACTCTGTCCTCAAATGATCCTCCTGCCTTGGCCTCCCAAAGCTCTGGGATTATAGGCATGAGCCACCACACCCGGCATGGTGGTGCACACCTGTAACAGATAGTATTTTAAATACTATCTGTTAATAAAAGCAGCCAGAGCTCCTTGAAAAATGGCTGATTCCAAGGTTGGGGCAGGGAGAGCAGGAGATGGGAATGGAATATTTTGTGCTGCCAAAAAGTAAGGAAGTGGTCAAAATTTGATAGAGACATGTCAAAAGACCATAGATACAGCTAACATCATACTTAATAGTCAATTATGAGATGCTTTTCCTCTGAGATTAGGAATAAGACAAGGATGTCCACTCTCTCCATTTCTTTTTTATTTTATTTATTTATTTATTTATTTACTTTGAGACAGCGTCTCGCTCTGTTGCCCAGGCTGGAGTGCAGTGGCATGATCTCAGCTCACTGCAACCTCCCCCTCCCAGGTTCAAGTGGTTGTTCTGCCTCAGCCTCCCGAGTAGCTGGGGCTACAGGCACGCGCCACCACACCCAGCTAATTTTTTTTCTTTTTTTTTTTTTTTTTTTTTTTTTTTTTTTTTTTTTTGGATTTTTAGTAAAGATGGGGTTTCACCATATTGGCCAGGCTGGTCTCAAACTCCTGACCTCGTGATCTGCCCACCTCGGCCTCCCAAAGTACTGGGATTACAGGCATGAGCCACCATGCCTAACCTCCATTTCTATTAGACCCTATACTAGAAATTCTAAGCAGTTTGACATGGCAAGAAAAAGAAATCAAAGATACACAGATTGGAAAGGAAGAAGTAAAACTGTCATTATTTGTAGGACATATGATCTTGTACATAGAAAATCCTGGCTGGGCACATTGGCTCACGCCTGTAATCCCAATACTTTAGGAAGATGAAATAGAAGGATCACTTAAGACCATGAGTTTGAGAACAGCCTGAGCAATATAGGGAGACATTATCTCTACAAAAAATTTTAAAAATTAGCACAAGCCTGTAGTCCCAGCTACTGAGGAGGCTGAAGTGGGAGGATCACTTGAGCCTGGGAGGTCGAAGCTGCAATGTGCCATGATCACACCACTGAACTTCAGCCTGGGTGACAGAATAAGATCCTGTTTTTTTTTTTTTTGTTTTTTTTTTTTTTAAAAAGAGAGAGAAAAGAAAATCCTAAAACATTTATCAAATAAAAAATCCTACTAGAACTAATAACCAAGTTTAGTAAGGTCACAGAATACACAATCAATACACGAAAGTTAGTTTTAGTTCTACATACTAGCAACAAACAAACAACATGTAAAAATGAAATACACAATTCCATTCACAACAGCACCAAAAAGAATAAAGTATCTAAGAATAGGGACTTCTGGTTCCAAAATGGCAGTGTAGAAGCAAGCTGGCTTCACTCTTCCTCACAGAAAACCAAACACAAATACACAGCACCAAGATTATCACCAGTAAAATCCCAGAACTCAAGTATGAAGAGGAGACCGTTCCTGGGACCACAGAGAAGGGAAAAAATTCTGACAAGGTGGTAAGAAAACTGGACTTCCACATCTGCAGCATCCCCTCCCTCAATCTTCCTGGGACCAAGGACATAGAAAACCTGCCCCCAACTCACAATTTCTAAAGTGGAAAAAGTGATATCAAGATAGACAACCAGGTTGGGCGCAGTGGCTCACGTCTGTAATCCCAGCACTTTGGGAGGCCGAGGCAGACGGATCACCTGAGGCCAGGAGTTCGAGACCAGCCTGGCCAACATGGCGAAACCCCGTCTCTACTAAAAATATAAAAAATTAACCGGGCATGGTGGTGGGCATCCATAATCCCAGCTACTTGGGAGGCTGAGGCAGGAGCATCTCTTGAACCTGGGAGGTGGAGGCTACAGTGAGCCGAGATCATGCCATTGCATTCCAGCCTGGGCAACAAGAACAAAACTATGCCCCCCCCCGCCAAAAAAAAAAAAAAAAAAAATAGACCACCAGCTTCCCTGTCCATGCCTCAACCCACAGAAAGCATCAAGAGTGCCTGAAGAGAGAAACATCCCTAAAGACAGACAGAAACAAAGCAAGGTGGGACTACCATATTCAGCCCTGGACTCTCTGCTCTGTAACTCAGCCAAAGGAGATACCAAATCAGAGTGGCTGTTCAGCAGCACTTCTCTCTATAGGAGGTATGTTCTACAGGTCTCCTGGGCACAAATCCCTAGTCAGCCTTCCCACATTGCCAGGATATTCCTTTTGGGACCTCTACCATTTGGGACCTCCTCCATTTGCGAAGGGCAGTGCTCCAAAGCAGGGTCCCCAACTCTTGGGCCACAGATTGGTACTGGTCCATGGCCTGTTAGGAAACCAGGCCACACAGCAGGAGCTGAGCATTGGGCAAGCGGGCATTACCACTTAGGTAAGCATTACCACCTGAGATCCACCTCCTATAGGCTCAGCGGCAACATTAGATTCTCATAGGAGCGCTCACCCTATTATGAACTGCCCATGTAAGGGATCTAGGTTGCATGCTTCTTATGAGAATCTAATGCCTGATGATCTGTCACTATCTTCCATCACCCCCAGATGGGACCATCTAGTTTCAGGAAAACAAGCCCAGGGCTCCCACTGATTCTACATTATGGTGAGTTATATAATTATTTCATTATATATTACAATGTATTTACAGAAATAGAGTGCACAAAAAATTTAATGTGCTTGAATCATCCCCAAACCATCGCCTCCCCCACCCACCCACCCCAGTCAGTGGAAAAATTGTCTTCCACAAAACTGGTCTCTGGGGCCAAAAAGGTTGGGGAACACTGCGCTAAAGCCAAGACAAACCTGGGGCCAAGATGCCATCTAGTGTTGAAAAAGAGGTAGTGACCTAGTGATTTAAAAAAAAGATAAGTCAACAGGTTAAGTTACAAAAAATCTCTAAACAAACATATCCAATAACAAGCCAGACAGAGAAGACTGGAATAAATAATCCTTCAGTGTAAAGACATACACATATATCCACAAGAAATAACAGCAAACAGAGAACTATGACAAAGCAAGAAATGGACAAAGCAAGAAAACAGTGACTAACTCTAATGAGGCAGTAATACATGAGCTCTCTAACCAGGAACTCAGAATAGCAGGGTTTTTTTGTTTGTTTTTTTTTGAGACAGAGTCTCACTTTGTCTGTCGCCCAGGCTGGAGTGCAGTGGTGTGAACTTGGCTCACTGCAAGCTCCACCTCCTGGGTTCACACCATTATCCTGCCTCAGCCTCAGCCTCCTGAGTAGCTGGGACTACAGGCGCCCGCCACCATGCCCAGCTAATTTTTTTATTTTTAGCAAAGACAGGGTTTCACCGTGTTAGCCAGGATGATCTCGATCTCCTGACCTTGTGATCCACCCCCCTTGGCCTCCCAAACAAAATAGCAGTTATAAGGAAACTTGGTGATCTCCAAGATAACACAGAAAAGCAAATTCAGAAATTTATCAGAGAAATTTAACAAAGAGATTGTTAATAATAATTTTTAAAACAAATCTTAGAACTGAGAAATAAATTTGCTTACCTGAAAAATTTACTAGAGGCTCTCAACAGCACAATGGATCAAGCAGAGGAAAATATCAGTGAGCTTGAAGACAGTCTATCTGAAAATACACAAAGGAGAAAAAAGAAAACAGAATGAAAAGCAACAAAGATAACCTATAAGATACAGAAAACTACCTCAAAAGACCAAATCTAACAATTACTGGTATTCAAGAGGGAGCTAAACAAGCTACAGGGGTGGCTTACTAAAAGAAATTAGCAGTCTGGGCACAGTGGCTCACACCTGTAATCCCAGCACTTTGGGAGGCCGAGGTGGGTGGATCATTTGAGGTCTGGAGCTTGAGACCTGCCTGACCAACATGGTGAAACCCCATCTCTATTAAAAGTACAAAAATTAGCCAGCATGGTGGTGCACACCTGTAATCCCAGCTACAGGCTACAGGAGGCTGAGGCAGGACAATCACTTGAACCCGGGAGGCAAAGGTTGCAGTGAGCTGAGATTGCATCACTACACTCCAGCCTGGGCGACAGACTGAGACTCCATCTCAAAAAAAAAAGAAAGAAAGAAACTAGTTACTGGTCTATAAGAAATTTCACAAAAGAGGCCAGGCGTGGTGGCTCACGCCTATAATCCCAGCACTTTGGGAGGCTGAGGCAGGTGGATCACTTGAGGCCAGGAGTTCGAGACCAGCCTGGCCAAGACAGTGAAACCCCATTTCTACTAAAACCAGAAAAAATTAGCTGGATGTGGTGGCACACGCCTGTAATCCCAGCTATTTATGAGGCTGAGGCATAAGAATCGCTTGAACCCGGGAGGCAGAGGTTGCAGTGAGCTGAGATCGTGCCACTGCACTCCAGCCTGGGCCTGACAGACTGAGACTCTGTCTCGGAAAAAAAATAAACAACAGAAAACTTTTCAAAACTTGAGAGAGATACATATATCCAAGTCCAAGAAGATCAGGGAACACCAAACAGATTCAACCCAAATAAGACTACCCCTAGGCATATAATAATTAAACCTCTCAAGGTTCAAGGGCAAACAATATTTTAAAAGGAGCAAGAGAAAAGAAGCAAATACATATAAGGGAGCTCCAATTCATCTGGCAACAAAATTCTCCTCGGAAATTATCCAAGTGAGAGAGTGAAACATTTCAAACTGCTGAAAAAAACTACCCTCCAAGAATACTGTATCCAGCAAAACTACCCTTCAAATATGAGAGATAGTCTTTCCCAGATAAACAAAAGCTGAAAGAATTCACTACCACCAGACCCGTCTTAAAAGTAATGCTAAAGATAGTTCTTCAATTTGAAGGGGAAAAAAAAATTAACATGCAAAAAGAAAACATTTGAAGGCATAAAATCCACTAGTAAAATTAGGTAAATGGACAAACTCAAACAGTCTAATACCCTAATTATGATATGCAATCTAATCATAACTCTAGTATGAAGCCCAAAAGACAAACTTGTCAAAAATAATAATAGCTACAGCAACTTCTTAAGAAATAGGCAAATAAGGCTGGGCATGGTGGCTCACATCTGTAATCCCAGCACCTTGGGAGGCTGAGGCGGGCAGACCACTTGAGGCCAGGAGTTCAAGACCAGCCTGGCCAACACGGTGAAACCCCATCTCTACTAAAAATACAAAAATTAGCCAGGTGTGGTGGCATGTGCCTATAATCCCAGCTACTTGGGAGGCTGAGGCAGGAGAATTGCTTGAACCCAGGAGGTGGAGGTTGCGGTGAGCCGAGATCACGCCACTACACCCCAGCATGGACGACAGCGTAAGACTTTGTCTCCAAAAAAAAAAGGCAATATAAAAAATATGTAAATTGAGACACAAATAGTTAAAACGCATGGAGGACAGAGTTAAAGTGTAGAATGTTTTTATGGTTCTTTATTTGTTCACTTCTATTTTTTGGAGTTCAAGACCAACCTGGGAAACATAGTGAGATCCTATCTCTACAAAAAAAAAACCATAAAAAATTAGCTAGGCATGATGGCACATGCCTGTAATCCCAGCTACTTGGGAGGCTAAGGTAGGAAAAGCGCTTGAGCCCAGGAGATGGAGGCTGTGGTGAGCTGTGAATACACCACTGCATTCCACGCTAGGGGACACAGCAAGATTCTGTCTCAAACAAAAAAAGTTATCATCTCTTAAAATGACTTGTTCTAGGGTGGGCGCAGTGGCTCATGCTTGCACTTTGGGAGGCCAAGGTGGGAGGATCGTTTGAGCCCAGGAGTTCAAGACCAGCCTGGGAAACATAGCAAGACCCATCTTTACAAATAATAATAAAAAATAAAAATTAGCTGGGTGTGGTGGCATGTGCCTATGGTCCCAGCTAGTCGGGGAGCTGAAGTAGAAGGATCGCCTGAGCCCAAGAAGTCGAGACTGCAGTGAGCCATGATCACGCCACTGCACTCCAGCCTGGATGACAGAGTGAAACCCTGTCTCAATAAAAAATAAAATACGAAAATAAAATAAGTATAAGCTGTTTTTTATAAGTCTCACAATAACCACAGATAACCACAAAAACCTGTAATAAATCCACTAAAAATAAAAAGCAATTAATTAAACCATACTACTAGAAAAAAACTACAAAAACAGTAAGAAAGAGGAGTTACAAAGAAACCACAAATCAAGCAGCAAAATGGCAGTAGTAAGTCCTTACTTATCAATAACAACACTGAATGTAAATGGACTATGAATAAAGGAAATGTGGTATATATACACAATGGAATATTATGGAGCCATAAACAAAGAATGAACTCCCATCATTTGCAGCAACATGTATGGAACTAGAGGTCATTATATAAAGTAAAATAAGCCAAGCACAGAAAGACAAATACGGCATGTTCTCACTCATAAGTGGGAGTTTAAAAAAGTGGATTTCAGAATATAGAGAACAGATTGGTGGTTAACAGAGGCCAGGAAGAGTAGGGGGAAGGGTAGGCCTGTTTCAGGTAATGGAGCAAGAAGTAAGTCCATTTGCTTGAGTCATTCACTGTTAAAATCTATTTCTACCAGTATAATTTCAAAGAAAAGTTGAAGTTGATTGGTGTGCTACCTGCCTTCTGGTCTGAGGAAAACCAAACTTCCCTTTAAGTAGTAATGAGGTTTAAAAAAATTTTTTTTTAATTTTGCAATTATCTCAGACTTGCAAAAAGTTACAAAAATAGTACAAAGAATTCCTGTTTACTCTTTCCCCAGATTCATCAAATGTTAATACTTTACCACACTTGTTTTATTATTCATTCATATTCTCTCTCACATATATCTCTGTGTGAACTGGTTTTTGAAATGTTTGAGCATAAGTTGCAGACATGATACCCCTTTGCATCTGAATACTTCCTAAAAACTTCCTAAATGTTTGCTAAAACCAGGATATTCTCTTATATTCAAAAAATTAGCATTGATAATACTATAAACTATATTACTATTATCTAATACACAGATCTTATCCAAATATTGCCAACTGTCCCATCAATGTCCTTTATCTGGCCCAGGATCACAAGTTGTATTCACCTTCATATCTTTTTAGTCTCCTTTAATCTGTAATAGTTCCTCAGCCTTTATTTTTCTTTAATGAGCTTGACACTTCTGAAGAATACAGACCAGTTATTCTAAAGAATGAAACTCAATTTGGCCTTGTCTGAAGTGATGATATATCCTTAGTTGCATCTTATGATGAGGCCCATGTCAATTTGTACTATTACTAATGATGATATTATGTGCTTCATGATATGATGCACTTAAGGATATATCATCACTTCTGCAATTTCCAAACAAAAATGCATCATCTTGAATGTGTATTTGCACCCATTAATCAACCTCTCTCAATGGCCAGTGAATTTGTAAACTCTGGCTCAAGGGGAGTTCAAGGGAAGGCATATTACTCAAGCCTGGCAGATAAAGTTTAATGGAAGCACTTTCTCTAGGACCCATCAACATACAAGCTGGTAGGAGGTCTCCAATACTTAGAGGGAAAATGCTATTTAAATGTGATTCTGTGTAAAACCTCACATCCCAATAAAACACAAGTCCTTGTTGTGCCCTCAACTGAGAAAACAGTTGCTGTCAGCACCCAGCTGAGAAACAGGAACCTAGAGGCTGAGATAAGGATTTTAGGGCTAGAGTCAAAGAAACAAGGAGGGCACTGTGGCAAGCTCAAGGGTTCTATAACCACTGTTATTCAAAAGAAAAGAACATGTTATCTGTTAATCTCCTTGAAAGTAAGGTGGGAATGTCAGATTCTAACCAAGTCATGCTAGGGGAAAGTGAGAGAAGAACAGATCAATCACATTCCCCTCTTGTCCAATTAATCTTTCAGAGTCAGGGCCAAGAAATAAGCTGTAATTGCACAAAGAAGACTTCAATAAAAAATATTCAGGCAGAAGGAGCTTAGTCCCTGGACAGGCCTCCATACAACACAGAAACTCCCGACATGCCTGTCATAATGATGCTTTCACCCTGACCTCAGCAGATCTTCAATTCCACTTAATCCATCAACAAGTCCTTCCAGCTTCAAATATATGTCTTTGAATCTGGCTATTCTTCCCCATTTCCACTGTCATTACCTTAGTCAAGCTACCATCATCTCTCAACTGCTGATTTACTGGCTTCTATATCATCTATTTTCCAGACAGTGGCTACTTTTTCAAAACACAGTACTCTTTTTAAAACACAGCTTAAGATCATCTGATGGCTTCCAGGACTATGTGATCTGATTCCTGACTCTCTGACCTTATCCAGAGCCACTCTTCCTCTCATGAGGAACGTTCCCACCTCTGGATCTTTGTGGTTTCCTCTGAAACACTCAGATCTTTGAATGGCTGGCTTAGTTCTTTCACTCAGTATTCAACTAAAAAGGCCTTCCTTGTCAATCCTATCTAATATTGTCCTACCCCAATCATTCCCTATTTCATTACCTTGTTTTATTCCCTCCATTTCATTCCTCCACTATCTAAAATTATTATATATTTATATTTCCTTACACTTGGCTCAAAAAAAAAAAAGATGAACAAAGAAGCTGGTAATTTTTTTAAAAACTACCAATGAGGTTGGAAACAGACAAAGATGACTTATCTGTGTATACCTTTTCCTACAATTTTAATTTCTTTTTGTTTGTTTGAGACCAGGTCACTTGGTCACCAAGGTTTGACCTCCTGGGCTCATGGTCCTCCTATCTCACCCTCCCAAGGAGCTGGAACTACTGGTGTGTTCCACCGCACCCAGCTAACTTTTTTATTTTTTGTAGAGATAAGGTCTTGCTATCTTGCCAGGGCTAGTCTCAAACTCCTGGGCTCAAGCGATTCTCCCACCTCAGCTTCCCAAAGTGCTGGGACTGCAGACATGAACCCCTACACCTGGCCCTAATTTTAACTTCTGAGTTTTTTAATTTTTTTTTTTAAATAGAGACAGAGTCTCACTATGTTGCCCCAGTTGGTCTCGAATTCCTGCCCTCAAGTGATCCTCTTGCCTCAGCCTCTCAAAAGTGCTGAGATTACAGGTATGAGCCACTGGGCCTGGCTATTTTAAAATAAAAACCTCAATTATTTATGCATTTCTTTGCTATCTGTCTATCTTCCAGAATGAAAGCTTTGAGCACAGGGACTTTTTCACAGAGCTTATGTATCCAGCCCTAGAATGGTAATCAGGGCTCATTAAATATTTGCTGAATAAACAAATGCATCTACAACAGCTATGACCAGCTAAGGGGGAAAAAACTTTTTTCACTCCCTTACATAGTCACTCTTAACACAGTACAGAATATTTCACCTCTGGTCATCAAAATGTGTGAGGCACACACACCAAGGAATGCTCCAGAGGCCACCAGCTGGATATCCTATAATTCAATTCTGACACTATTTACCTAAAGATAGCATCAGATCTCACAGGTTAAGGGCTCAGTACCACAAGGCTGCTTCCACTTCAGATTCCAATTGCAAGGCACAGGTTGTGACCTGTGCTTCTGATTGATTTGCTATAAATTGGTGTTCCCTGGCCAGGCGCGGTGACGCACACCTGTAATCCCAACACCTTGGGTGGGGCGAATCGCTTGAGCCCAGGAGTTCAAAATTAGCCTGGGCCACATGGCAGAACCCCACCTCTTAATTAATTAATTAATTAATTAATTGGGGGTAAATTGAGGTTCCCAAAACCCCCCCATGGGGTTTGATCAATTTGTTAGAACAACTCACAGAACTCAGGGAAACACTTCACTTACATTTACCTATTTATTACAAAGGATACAGATGAACAGCCACATGGAAGAGATACATGATGCATAGGGCAAGGGATGGGGAAAAGGGCTTGGAGCTTCCGTGCTGTTACCGGGAGTGCCAGGTACATTCATGTGCTCAACAATCCAAACCCTGTCCTTTTGGGTTTTTATGCAGGTTTCATTAATAGGCATGACTGAATAAATCACTGGCCATTGGTAGTCAGCTCAATCTTTGGCTCCACTCCCCTTCCCAGAAGGTGGGGGATGGAACTGAAAGTTCCAACCCTCTAATCACATGGTTGGTTCTCTCGGCAATCAGCCTCCCATCTTGAGGCTATTCAGGAGTCCCCAGCTATCAATCATCTCATTAGCATATAAAAAGACACTTATCACTTACAAGTTCTGAAGGTTTTAGGAGCCAGGAACCAGGGGCACACCCCAATTATGTATTTCTTTCTTTTTTTTTTTTTTTTTGAGACCGGAGTCTCACTGTGTTGCCCAGGCTGGAGTGCAATGGTACGATCTCGGCTCGCTGCAACCTCTGCCTCCCGCGTTCATGCAATTCTCCCGCCTCAGCCTCCCGAATAGCCGGGATTACAGGCACCCGCCATCGTGCCCGGATAATTTTTGTATTTTTGTAGAGACAGGGTTTCACCATGCTGACCAGGCTGGAGTATTTCTTATTATATCACAATATCACATCAGCAAAGCCACGAGTTGGACCTATTCATATGAAAAAGGCGTTCCCCTCTTACCACCATCTCCTTGTTGCTATTTTTTACTCAGTGCGTGCACTCTGCCACAGCTGTACCCAACCCCTTCAATAGTGTCTTTCCTCCTCCTGAGGCCAATCCAAAATCCTCCAGTTCTTTCATCCTCCCCCACATCAAATCAATCTCTCTCACAATGTCAACTATTATCTGCAGAAGAGTCATTTTGCAGATTTGTCGTCTCAAGTTTCATGTCTGCATCACCAACTGCCTGTTCCACCTTTCCAAATGCATGTCCAACCACTTCAATCTAGTGTGTCAAACTAGCTCTCCACTCCTGATCGTCCCATTTCCTTGAGTGGACCCTTCTTTCTCCAAATCACCTAAGAGGAAAACTAAGTTATTTCTGACTTTTTCCTTTACTTTATTTCCCCAAAGGGAAACCAGTCATGAAATTTAAGACACTCTGTCTACTTAGCATTCTTCCTCCTTTTATTATTTCCACCATGCCCCTAGATCTGGACTTACTGCAACAGCACTGACTGAAGCATGTGTCTCCAAGGTGTGCCCTTCCTAATTCCACCCTGCAGGCAACCTCCAGATTAATTTTGCTGTATTGCTTCATCAGGTCAATCCCTTTTCAAAAACGGTCCATGAGCACTTACTAAACACTGTGGTGGCCCACCTGCATCAGAATAACCTGAGATGCAAAGTCCTGAGATTCACCTTCAAGAGGATTCAGTTGGTGTGGAGTAGGGCCATGAGTCTGCAGTTTTAACAAGCATTCCAGATGACTGTCATGTGAGATTTCTTAGCTTTGGTCCACAAGACTCCATAGTCGACCCTTAATCTTTTTTTTTTTTTTTTTAAGGCTTATTTCCATTTCCTCCTACCTTGAACTCTGTTATGTGAACTGCGCTGGTCTTACACTAAATTCCTGGAATAAACCTTTCAAATGCCTGTCTGCAGGGCTTTACTCCACTAAGCTTCTTCCTTGTGAATCCTTACCATATTTTATTTACCTTTTCCAGACCCAGCTCAAGACCCACCCTCTCCACGAGCACCTGTTGTGTGTCCCTCTCACGTGATACTTTCCCAAGGCTATCTCACACCACTGTTCACTTACCCTAGTGATATGCCCTATAAGCTTCATGATGGCTTTTATAGGAAATCTCTGGGGATCTTTAACCTCAAATACAGAGCCACGCTGGCAGAAGGGGGTGGGAAGAACCCTGGTCCAGTTTGGCCTCCTATTAGCAATATTGCCCAAGTCTCCTCCCCCAACAACTTTATGGAACACTAAGTCTTCCTAGAACAAAAGTTTTTAAAAAATTGACTTAGAAACGATGGATATGTTCAATGTGAATTATACCTCCACAAAACTGTTAAAAATAAAAATAAAACTTGAATAAAGGGGTAAGAGTGAAGAATAAAAAACTGCAGAAAGTTGTATGGATCAACAAAATGGCCTGAAACATCCCCTTCTATTTGCATGGCTGCCTCAGCCCAGTCTCCAACCCCTCTAACACCAAGTGCAGGACTGTTAAGGTAAGCAGCCTGACTGATGTCCCTGGCTCCAGACTCTCCCCTTTAAAACACCCATTCTCAGGAATCTGAACATCCTACTTTGTCATCTTCATGCAGCATTTGGAAACTGCCTATACAGTTCTGTCCTCCAATCTTTATGGGGTGATTTTGCCTCAAGTTTCCTCCTTAAAGGAGTGTGAATGATTAGTAGCCTATGTTAGAAAATCTATTGCTGGCCGGGCGCAGTGGTTCATGCCTGAAATCCCAGTACTTTGGGAGGCCGAGGTGGGCAGATCACCTGAGGTCGAGAGTTCGAAACCAGCCTGAGCAACATGGAGAAACCCCATTTCTACTAAAAATACAAAACTAGCCAGGCATGGTGGTGCATGCCTGTAATCCCAGCTACTTGGGAGGTGGAGGCAGGAGAATCGCTTGAACCTGGGAGGCAGAGGTTGCGGTGAGCCGAGATTGCGCCATTGCACTCCAGCCTGGGCAACAAGAGTGAAACTGCGTCTCAAAAGAAAAAAAAAAAAGAAAAGAAAATCTATTGCTGCTGTCGCAAACCAACAAGTCTCCAGGGACCAGGCCCAGACCAACTTGGACAAGGTATCTATTTCTAGAGAAAGCAATTATTCATTACCCACTAATTAAATCACTCTCCTACAAGAGAGTGTGGCTCTTGGGAAATGCAGTTTCCCTTTCCTCCTTCAACTAGGTGTTTCCCTCGGTCACCAGGGAAACTCAGGACATCAGAAATGGTTCAGTCTACAGTCCACAAGATCTCTGATGAGATTACCTCAACTGCTCAACAGTTATGTTAGAAGATAGAACTGACAGGCTCACGCCTGTAATCCCAACACTTTGGGAGGCTGAGGCAGGTGGATCACGAGGTCAGGAGATCAAAACCATCCTGGTTAACACGGTGAAACCCCATCTCTACTAAAAATACAAAAGGCGTGGTGGCAGACGCCTGCAGTCCCAGCTACTTGGGAGGCTGAGGCAGGAGAATGGCCTGAACCCGGGAGGCGGAGCTTGCAGTGAGCCGAGACTGTGCCACTGCACTCCAGCCTGGGTGACAGAGCAAGACTCTGTCTCCAAAAAAAAAAAAAAGAAGAAGATAGAACTGACTTGCCTGGAACCAAATAGAGAGGAGTGTAGGAATCACATTAATTTTCTCTTATGAGATAAATCCCAAGCTCTCTCTCCCTAAGGAAAGGTGGAGGAGCAATATATCTCTCCTAAAGCCCTACTAAGAGAGGAAGGTCAAGAATACAGCCTAGTGAGAAGGGTGGGTCCGTATAAGTCAAGATTAGTGAAATTACAGGTAGCTCTTGTAGAGCACAGTTTAGCAATGCCAAACAAGTAAGCAAACCTGAGGAAAAGATACAGGTTATGGCAGCTGGAGCTGAGGGAGGTAAACCTATAAATTACTGAAAAGTGAAACCAGTGGAAGGGTTTATGTAATGGGGTGACTCACTCTCCTGAAGCCTTGCCCTTTATCAGCTTCGGGAAGGAGGCTCTTTCCTCCTTCTCAGGTGGGCTCTGGAGCAGCAGTTCTCAAAGCATGGTCCACAGACCCTGAGGGGACCCTAAGATCCTTTTGGCGGTCCTGCTACATAGAAAATATTTTCATAACAAAACTAAGAGGTAGCTGGGTGGGGTGACTTGTGCCTATAATCCCAACACTTTGGGAGGCTAAGGTGGGCAAATTACTTGGGCTCCAGAGTTCAAGACCAGCATGGGCAACATGGTGAAACCTTGTCTCTACAAAAAAAAAATACAAAAAATCAGCTAGATGTGGTGGTGCATGCCTGTGGTAGGAGGATCACCTGAGCCTGGGGGGTGGAGACTGCAGTAAGCCATGATCATGCCACTGCACTCCAGCCTGTCTTCGGACAAAAAAAAAGAAAAAGAAAAAAACCTAAGATGTTATTTGCCTTTTTACTGTGCTGACCTTTCCACTGATAGAGCAAAAGCAATAATGAGTAAAACTGCTGGTGACTTAGCATGAATCAAGACGATGGCACGAAATTAGATTCTTACCCACTATACTTTTCCACCACACAGTGAAAGAATACAACCAGGTTTACTTGATGGCACAGTGTAAATTTTTTTTTTCTTTTTGAGACAGAGTCTCGCTCTGTCGCCAGGCTGGAGTGCAGTGGCACGATCTCGGCTCACTGCAACCTCCGCCTCCTGGGTTCACGCCATTCTCCTGCCTCAACCTCCTGAGTAGCTGGGACTACAGGCACTTACTACCACGCCCGGCTAATTTTTTGTATTTTTAGTAGAGACAGGGTTTCACCGTGTTAGCCAGGATGGCCTCGATCTCCTGACCTTGTGATCTGCCCGCCTCGGCCTCCCAAAGTGCTGGGATTACAGGCGTGAGCCACTGCGCCCAGCCCGACACAGTGTAAATTATATTAAATCTCATTAAAAAGTGTCCTTGAGTATGCTTTTTAATATTCTGTGTGATAAAATGTGAAGTACATATAAAACATTTATGCTGCATGCAGAACATGTTGATTATCTCTAAAGCACTTGTGTGATTGTCTGAATTGCAGGATTTTTCTGTGGAACGCCATGTTTACTTGAAAGAATGAATGACACATAAGTAATAGTTATTCCGACGTCATTATTTGGCAAAGGTTCTGGAAAATGAAACAAAGTAAGCCTGTCACTTCAAGGAAACCAACTGACTGTACTTGTTGCCAATGATAAAATTTGAGCTTCCCAAAGAAAATTAGAATTTTGGCAAAATGGTATCTGCCACCACGAGTTTGAGTGCTTCCCAATATTTAACTACTTCTCTGAAGAGATTGTGGTGATATGATTTTTTTGACACTATACAATAAACTGTGACACGTGGGAGATCTGCATAACTCAGTGAACCAGTATTTTCCTAACAGTCATGCCTCACATAATGTTTCAGTCAACAGATAGTCCCCATAGAAGACAATGTCCCATAAGATTATCATTCCAGGCCGGGTGTGGTGGCTCACGCCTGTAATCCCAGCACTTTGGGAGGCCGAGGCAGGTGGATCACGAGGTCAGGAGATCGAAACCATCCTGGCTAACATGGTGAAACCCCATCTCTACTAAAAATACAAAAAAATTAGCCAGGCGTGGTGGCGGGTGCCTGTAGTCCCAGCTACTTGGGAGGCTGAGGCAGGAGAATGGCGTGAACGAGGAAGGTGGAGGTTGCAGTGAGCCGAGATTGCGCCACTGCACTCCAGCCTAGCGACAGATTGAGACTCCCTCTAAAGAAAGAAAAAAAAAAAGATTATCATTCCTTATTTTTACAGTAGCCTTTTCTATGCTTCAATGTTTAGATGCATTGTGTTGCAACTGTGTTGCAACTGCAGAGAATACTCATTATGGTGACATGCTGTTCAGGTTTGCAGCCTAGGAGCAATAGGCTATACCATGACTGTGTAGCATGACTGTATCACATGTTACAGAATCATGTATGGATCTAAGACCCAGTCAAAGTGAGACAGATCCATGGATTTTAACATAACAAAGTATGAAATGTTCACTGATATCATTTCAGATTCCACACTGTAACTAGCCTTTACAAAATCATGCTTTGTTTTGCATAGTACCAATACCCACAACTATCTGAGAAGACTACTGAAATACTTCATCCTTTTCCAGCCATCTGTGTGCAGCTGGATTTTCATTATTCAATCAAAACAACTATCACAATAGACTGGAGAAACATATGAAAATCCAGCTGTCTTCTATTAAGTCAGACACTAAAGAGATCTAAAAAACAATGCCACTCTTCTCACTAATATTTTTAAAACAGTAGCATTTTTTAAATGAAAACATTAAGTGAACTTATGCTAACCATAACTTAGGTTAGAAATGCTGTTTGTGTTAACTAACTTACGTTAGCATACAGTTAATGTAAATTGTAACATACGTAAAAATGTTATTCATGTTAGTAATGGGCTTATTACTTCTAAATGAATATTTCAGTTCCTAATATAATATTAAAATATAGGCTAAGCGCAGTGGCTCAAGCCTGTAAGCACTTTGGGAGGTTGAGGCGGGAGGACTGTTTGAGTCCAGGAGTTCGAGACCAGCCTGGGCAATATAGTGAGACCCCATCTCTAAACAAAATTTAAAAAGAAAAAATTGAATATTGAAATATATATATATATATCCCTTTTTTTTTAACTGAAGATTCCAAAGAGCTTTTTCAAGTACATAAAGAAATCCTGAGCCCAAAAACTCTGAGCTCTGAGCACTGCCGGTCTAGAGAAGCACTATGCTTCTCTAGCATATCTATGAGGGCTCCGAAGGACAAGGTCCTTTGTATTGTAAGGCCTAAGAGAAACGAGCACTCTCAGTATTTGTTCCCAACTCTGCCAGAAGAAAAGGTAAGAAGTAAAAGGCATTAAAGGAAAAGCTTTTCTCTGTAATTTACTGACTTTTGGTGATTTACCAAAGCACCTGATCACAGGCTAAAATTCAGACACTATGATCAGACAATTCCAAGGTCATAGAAGGAATCTAGTGAGAAAGCTAAATCCAACTCCAAAACATGAGTATCAGATGGATTCTGAAGTTAAGGCTTCATCTAGATACAGATTTTCAGCAAATGACAACTTCCTATTCACACATTCATTTCTGCATTTGGTTATGTATTCTCTCTGTCCCCTTCTTCCTTCCTCTTTGCTCTACCCATCCTTTCAATGCTGGTGTTGCTCTGAGTTCAGACTTCTCACTTTGCCTGGCACACAGTGAGCACTCAACAAGTGGCAGCTGCCATTATTACCTCTCTCCCAGAGCAATCCCTTCCACGTCACGGCTTCAACCACCTCCTATATTCTCAACTCTATCATCACCCAGGCCTCTCTTGTGAGCTCCAGACCTACAGAATGAACTCCTGGGCCTTTCTACCTGGATGTGCTGCTGCATCACCACCCACATGGTCACTGAAATCAGAAACTTACAATCATTCTACACTGCTCCTTGTCCCATTCTTCTACCTCTATTCTGCCACCAGGTTTTGTCAACACTACCATGGTTAACATCTCTCTAAACCCTCTCCATTTCCACTAGAGCAAACATAAAGCCTTCATCATCTCTAGCCTAGGCCACTATAATAGTTTTCTCATTGGCTCCCTGCCTCCAGTCTAAAATTCTTCCTATTCAACCAACATATTGACACTACAGTAATCTTAAATACAAATCTGACATGATTTTCCTGATAATTATCTTTCTGTGGTTTTCCTGGAACATATTCTTTACATGATTTTACTAATGTATCCCTGAAAGAATTTTTAAAACTATGTGTTCCTTACATATAAGGTAACGTCTAGGCCAGACACAGTAGTTCACTCCTGTAATCCCAGCACTTTGGGAAGCTGAGGCAGGAGGATCACTTGGGCCCAGGAATTTGAGACCAGCCTGGGCAACATAGAGAGACCCCCATCACTACTAAAAATTTTAAAAAATTAGCCAGATGGGTGGCGCATGCCTGTAGTCTCAGCTACTCAGGAGGGTGAGACAGGAGGATGGCTTGAACCCAGGAGTTGGAGTTTACAGTGAGCTATGATCACACCATGGCACTCCAGCCTGGATAACCTCCTGGGCTCAATACATCCTCCCACCTCAGCCTACAAATAGCTGGGACTATAAGAGCACGCTACCATGCTTGGCTAATTTTTACATATTTTTTTTTGTAGAGAAGAGGTTTCGCCATGTTGCCCAGGCTGGTCTCGAATTCCTGGGTCTCAAGCGATCAGCCTGCCTCAGGCTCCCAAAGTGTTGGATTTACAGGTGTGAGCCACAACACCCAGTCTTAAAATAGGTATTAACTATCTTACTGAGTAACACACACCTGAACTAAAAGAAATCTCTTTAAAAATTTTACGCAAGTTTTATCCAAATAACTTAAAAATTCCATTGTCCCAAAAGACATTCCCGTTACATTTAACTGTTGTGTTCTTTTCAGAATATCTTAACAAAGAATACAGTTTACACGAATGGGATTGTGTATTGGCAAGCCTTCTGGGTTGGGAGGTAACTTAAATCACTAAAGGAGGTGTTCCTGAAAATAAATATTTCCAAAGTAGTCCTTATTTGTATCTGAGGACATTTTTACACTCAGGCCAATACACCATATTAAAATTTGGGAAGTGTGAGGGATTTGCCACACACAGCCTCCTACCCTTTTTTTGTAAGGGAAGTTTTAGAAAAAGAGTTCATTGGGGCCGGGCGCGGTGGCTCACACCTGTAATCCCAACATTTTGGGAGGCCGAGGCGGGTGAATCACGAGGTCAGGAGTTTGAGACCAGCCTGGCCAAGATGGTGAAACCCCGTCTCTACTAAAAAATACAAAAAATTAACCGAGCGTGGCAGCATGCGCCTCTAATCCCAGCTACTCCGGAGAATGAGGTAGGAGAATCGCTTGAACCCAGGAGGTGGAAGTTGCAGTGAGCCAAGATCGTGCCATTGCACTCCAGCCTGGGTGACGGAGCAAGACTCTGTCTCAAAAAAAAAAAAAAAAGTTCACTGGGAAGCTGAGGATCTGGAAATGTATTCATGTTAAGCTAGACGTGCAAGTGTATCCCTTGGAAGTCTACAACCCTGATTACTCCAGCTTGAAAACCACTGCTCCAGGGATATAGTTCTAACTCAGCAAAACATCCAAGGCCCTTTGTGATCTAACCCCTATTAACTTCACTCTTTCTATTTGTTACTGGATGGCTCCCTCCAAATCTAGCCCAGGTCTGTCAAACTGTTTCCAGTTCTCTTTTCAGGACTTGCTGTCCCTTTCCTAAAGCCACTGTGTATCTGGAATGTCCTCCCACCTCTCTATTCGCAGAAAACACTTGATAATTTTTCAAGGATTGATTCAGTCCAATATAAGTAGCTGCTAACTTTCTGAGCACAAAGTGGGTGGTTTAAATGCAAACAGTGTCTCAGTATTCAGTGCAAGAAACAGAAGGATGGGATGGAACACTGTCCCAAAGGGTCCCCCAAATGCTAAATCAACAGGTGCTGCAGTTAAAGAATAGGTGATTTGTAGTATCTGAGAAAGCAAAGAAGATTTCATCAAGGAAGGATTAAAATATTTCCGAGATCCAGAATGGGAATGTGAAGACCAGGAGGAATGGCAATAATGTCGTTTTCTAAGTAAGTCCGGATTAAGTATTTCCTGTTCTATCACAGCACACACCACAGTATGGCAAATGCTCGTTTACTTGATTAATAATCTCCTAGACTGTAAATTCCGTGAAAACATGCTTGTCCTATTAGCCACTCTATCCCCTCAATCCCTCCCATTGTACCCAGGCTCATTAAATATTTGTCAATGTTTACTAAAAATTGTTTAGTGAATGATTAAATAAAGGAATTGATGAATGAAGAATTAAATTCCACAGGATCTCAGATCCTGTTTGAATCTGTGGAGTTTAGGAACGTATTCTTCTACAGATACTGAGGATGGAGAAGTGAAAAAGCAGATATCCATGTTAAATTCGGCCCTGGAGCCTGCGAGGAGCTTGGGCTCACACCCAGAGGGAATTTAAACCTCAGCGCGGCAGGACAGAGGAAGCTCGGAGGCCATAACTAGGGGATGAGGCAGTGTTCGGGCACCCGGAGGCGAGGCCGACTAAGTTCGCGGGGCGTGGCGGAGAGGAGAAGGGCTCCGAGGAGGCGCGAAGTCCCGGCCGGGTAGGAGGCCGCGGCTCCCTGGCCTCCCGGGGGATGAGAGGTGGCGGGAGGAAGCGGGGCTAGGGTGAGAGTGGCCGGAGGGCTGGGGACCCGCGCGAAAGGACTCAGGTAGAGGGAGGTCGGGAGCGTGGGACCGGCGGAGTGTCTGGGGTCGGCTCCCCTGGCTCCGCAGCCGCACTCACCTAGGGGATCCAGCTTCGCCCCGGCTCGGCACCGGCTCCACGCTACTTCCTCCCTCGGCCTGCTGGGCTACCCGGCAGCCTCAGGCGCCCCTAGCAACCACGCACCGCCACGCGTGACAAGCGCACTCGGCCGCCAGCGCCGCTGCCGCCTGCCACACACCGCGCGCGCCCCCAGCGGACAGACCGAGAGTCTGGAAGAAGAGGGCGGGAGGCAAGCGCGGGGAATCTCGGGGGTTCTGGGGCCTGTAGGGGCGGGTCGTCACCTGACTCGCGCACGCGCAGTCCCTTCAGTGCGGTGGGATCCGGCGAGCGGAATTCTGGGAGATGTAGTCCCGTGGTTAAAGCTCTGAAAGGCTCCATTCGGAGCATCCAGGACTCTCTCTTTCTACTCTAATTCCACCTACTCCCTATGGACTGTTTTCTTTTTTAGAGACAGAATCTCGCTCTGTCGCCCAGGCTGGAGTGCAGCGACGTGATCATAGCTCACTGCGAACTTGAACTCCTGCTCAAGCGATCCGCCCGCCCCCAGCCTTCCGAGTAGCTGGGACTACAGGCACGCCACCATGCTGGGCTATTTTTAAATTTTTTTTCTCAGGACAGGGTCTCACTATGTTACCCAGACTGGTCTTAAACTCTTGGCCTCAAGTGATCCTCCTGCATCAGCCTCCTGGTCGCTGGGATTACAACGGGAGCCCCCACGCCTGGCCTGGACTCTTTGGCCTTGCCTCAATTGAAAATCAAAGGGCCCAGGCTCAGTTGAAGGATTTCTAGAAAAAGCCTTTGAGTTTGACCGCAGGAAAGGGGAGATTGCCCGATTCACTCTGCCTCCCTCTAACCCATCCTTCCCTAACCCCAACCCACCCAGCGGGGCAAAATTAAAACCACCTGCCTGCTTTATGGGCTTCAAGTGTGAACGTTAGGAAATACTGACTCAATTCCTTATCTCGTTAGCTCCCCAGGCAAGCCAGATCGCGCTCCTGCCTCAGATGTCCGTAGACCTGAGAGATTTGGAGATCTAAGAAAGCTGGAAGATGAAAGGATCTTTCCTAGGCAATTGGCTACAGAAATAAAGGGGACAAAGATAAAACTAATCTGATGAAAACAGTCTGGACCAGAGGAAGGATCTCAATAAATAACTTATTTAGTCAACAGTCGTTGATGGATGCTAAAAGTATTAGATAATTTATGGGAGAATTTTACACTGAAGGATGTACACTGAAGATAACCTACATGTACTAATCAATCTTAGATCACGAAACATGGGACAGCTGAGCATTGTTTCTTGATGTGATGCAATTGAACAGAAATATTTATGAAGTATAGCGTATTTTTGTAAAAAAAAAAGTTGAGTGACTCTAATCAAGTTTTGGCTGTAATTTCCAGTTAACAAGAAATAAAGAGAAACAACTGTATAACACTACAAGAAAGCAATCAAACAAATCCAGAATGTGAGCCAATGTACAGAATAAATGACCTCTTCTTCCTTCAACAATTTTAGGGTATAAAAATGAGGAGAGATGTTTTAGATTATAAGAGATTTAAGAAATATATTCAAATGTTGGCCAGGTACAGTGGCTCACACTTGTAATCCCAACACTCTGAGGATCACTTGAGGTCAGGAGTTCAAGACCAGCCTGGGCAACATGGTGAAACCCCGTCTCCAACAAAAAATACAAAAATTAGCCAGGCATGGTGGTGCACACCTGTAGCCCCCAGCTACTCAGGAGGCTGAGACAGGAGAATCGCTTGAACCCAGGAGACAGAAGTTGCAGTGAGCCAAGATTGTGCCACTGCATTCCACCCTGGGCAACAGAGCAAGACTCCCTCTTGAGAAAAAAAAAAGAAATATATTCAAATGCAATGAGTGCAGCTTGTTTGGATCCTGATTCAAACAAACTGTAAAATGACATTTTTGAGACTGAGAAATAAAAATTTTAAGTACCACCCCAACCAACTTAATGGACCCCATCGTGGCTAAGGGGACACTAGAGCAACCTTAAAAACTGAGTTCCCGGCCGGGCGCAGTGGCTTACGCCTGTAATCCCAGCACTTTGAGAGGCCAAGGCGGGCGGATCACGAGGTCAGGAGATCGAGACCATCCTGGCTAACACGGTGAAACCCCACCTGTACTAAAAATACAAAAAATTAGCTAGGCGTGGTGACGGGCGCCTGTAGTCCCAGCTACTAGGGAGGCTGAGGCAGGAGAATGGCGTGAACCCGGGAGGCAGAGCTTGCAGTGAGCCAAGATCGCACCACTGCACTCCAGCCTGGGCAACAAAGCAAGACTCTTTGAAAAAAAAAAAAAAGAAAGAAAAAAAAAACTGAATTCCTGGCTATGATGAGATGGGAAGTCCAACACACCTCAATATGCCCCTTCCTTATTAACCTTTAAACAGAATTCTTTCCTAAGGAGTAAGCAGAAACCAGCTCTAGAAATCAAGAAAGGGATGATTAATCCTTCATTGGTTTTAGAGGCCAGAACCAGACTCCCTACTCTTTGCACTTTCCTTTTCTTTTCTTTTCTTTTTTTTTTTTTTTTTTTTTGAGAAGGGATCTCACTATGTCACATAGGCTGGAGTGCAGTGGCATGAACACAGCTCACTGCAGCCTCAAACTCCTGGGCTGAAGCAGTCCTCCACTTGAGCCTCCCAAGTAGCTGAGACCACAGGCACAAACCACCACACCTGGCTAATTTCTAAATTTTTTGTAGAGACAAGGTCTTGCTATGTTGCCCAGACTGACTTCGCAGTTTCAAAATGACAGTTCATCAGTTTCACTATGCATCTCTTCCTAAAACTGACCATCATCTCCAGATGGGTTTTGGAGAGGATGCACAATGAGGGTTTTCATTTCCTGCGCTTTACCTTTTGACATCAGAGGGCTGAAAACTCCACCCTAGGATCATGCGAATGCAGCCGTTTTTTGCATATGCAACCCATGAAGAGGCATGAAGCTCAATTGTGCATGCACTTGTTTCTTTCATTATCATGACTCCTCCTATAGCTTATTAAATATGTGTATTTAGCCACCCCACTCTGTGTAAATTCCTGTTCCCTTTATCCCTCCCTCAAAGTACTTGCTTTCAGCTTCTGCCAGAAACTACACTTCCCAGCCTGTCAGAATGGCCACCTTGCAGGCTGCAACCCTTTATAAGAAGTAAAGCTCTCCTTTTCAAATTTATGAGCCCGAGATTCTTTGTTGTCAAGACTATGGAAAAATCTGAATAAGGATTGGGAATACTAAGAACATAGCTGATGTGCTAGGCCCAATGGCTCAAGTCTGTACTCCCAGCTATTCGAGAGGCTGAGGTGGGAGGACTGCTTGAGCCCAGGAGTTTGAGGCTGCAGTGAGCTAATACTGCACCACTGTGCTCCACCCTGGCAACCCCCTCTCTACAAAAAAAAAAAAAAAAAAAAAAAAAAGCAGCATAGACAATATTAAGAAACCACTGTTTATTCTCTTATTGTAGGGAGCTGAATGGTGGCCACCCATTCAAAAGATGTATCTGTGTCCTCATTCCAGGAACTTGTAAATATTACCTTATCTGGTTGAGGGAGTTTAGGAAATGCCACCCCAAAACATGACACTTTGGTATGTTGATTACTTTGGACAAAGGGCACAATAGCAGATGCAGTCGGGGGGTTTGTCTGAGTTCCTCCAAAAGGAACTCAACTGGTATGAATCCTTTCCCTGAGAATATTATCAACAGGGAAAAATAAACTCAGATCACAGGAGAGGAAACTGGAGGTTGACGCTGTGCCCAATCACCTATTCTCCTGAGGGCTACTGTGAGATCATTTTATTTCCTACAGAACAAGACCACTTTCATTAACCATAGAATTCCTCCCCTCACCATCCCATAACTTGAGTCTCCACCACCTCCCAGAAGTCCCAAGTTCCTATGCCTTTCTGTAGCTCAGGATGCTATATAAGCCTAGAACATCTGACCCTTCTTTGAGTCTCATATTTTGTAGGACACTTATGTGTATGTACAAAATTAAATGTGGTTTTTCTCCTGTTAAACTTTTTTTTTTTTTGAGACAGGGTCTCACTCTGTTGCCCAGGCTGGTGTGCAGCGGCATGATCTTGGCTCACTGCAGCCTCTGCCTCTTGAGTTCAAGCGATTCTTGTGTCTCAGCCTCCCAAGTAGCTGGGATTACAGGCATGCATCACCATGCCTGGCTAATTTTTGTATTTTTAGTAGAGACAGGGTTTCGCCATGTTGGCCAGGCTGCTCTCCAACTTTCAACCTCAGGTGATCTACCTGCTTCAGCCTTCCAAAGTGCTGGAATTACAGGCGTGAGCCACCATGCCCAGTCTTTTTTTTTTTTTTTTAAGATAGTCTTGCTCTGTGGTCCAGGCTGGAGGGCAGTGGCACGATCTGGGCTCACTGCAACCTCCACCTCCCAGGTTCAAGCAATTCTCACGTCTCAGCCTCCCGAGTAGTTGGGATTACAAGCGTGCACTACAATGCCTGGCTAATTTTTGTATTTCTGGTAGAGATGGAATTTCGCCATGTTGGCCAGGCTGCTCTCAAACTCCTGACCTCAAGTGATCTGCCCGCCTCGGCTTCCCAAAGTGCTGGGATTACAGGCATGAGCCATCACACCCAGCTGATAAATTTTTAAAAGGAATACGGTACGTAAAGCCAAAATATTGATGATAGTAGGGCAAAATGCTGATGACAGCTGAATCTGTAGGATCAGGGTCTGGGGGTTTATTATGCCATTCTCTCTACTTTTATATGGTTGAAAACTTTTTAGTTCCCCATTACCACCAAAAAAGTTAAAACACATACCTGTTTATACATACAAAATCAAACACAGGCACAAATCCTCAAACCTTCCAAACATTCTCTGGATTCCAGGCACTACACAAAACATTCACTCCAAATTCTCTTAGTACTCTGTCAGTCCCTTGTGCAATAATTGCTAGAAGTAAAATTGTTGATACGGTATTTCTAATCCTTCAGATTGAATGCTTTCAAGGACATGGATGTGTTTTCTTGTTTCCGCATAAAATGATCAACTATTGCTTTATGTGCTAGATAGTCTAAAAAGTTTAGGTATAAGTTTAATTGCTTTTTTTTTTTTTTTTTTTTGAGACGGAGTCTTGCTCTGTCACCAGGCTGGAGTTCAGTGGCGTAATCTTGGCTCACTGCAACCTCCACCTCCTGGGTTCAAGGGATTCTCCTGCCTCAGCCTCCTGAGTAGCTGGGACTACAGGCTTGTGCTACCACGCCCAGCTAATTTCTGTATTTTTAGTAGAGACGGGGTTTCACCATGTTGGTCAGGATGGTCTCGATCTCTTGACCTTGTGATCCACCCGCCTCGGCCTCCCAAAGTGGCCGGGATGTCATTTATTCCATTACAGTATTCTTCCTGTGGGATTACAGGCAGTTTAATTTCTTTTTAGCAAATTGTTTATGTACCAGATAAGAATGATATTTCAAGCTAGTATTTAGTTTATTATTTGAAAAAATAAATAATTCTTACACAAGGTAACTCCCCTTAGTTTATCTTTTAGGAAAACAATCTAGATTTTAAAATACTGTATTTGCCTAGACAGGTCTTAGTGAAGTCAAGAGCATGGCTGACTGACTGCCTGGGTACAGGAGATTTGAGCAACAGAATTTACAAGAAGAAAAGTGTTTCTAACATCTTCATCTATCCAGAGCCAATGAACAATTTAAAGGAAATAGGAAGAATACTGTAATGGAATAAATGACATCCCAATACATAATCAGCCAAATCTAATGTGAAGAAGCCTACTGCTCAAATGATCTGGTTTATTCAATGAAATTGTACCTCCCAAAAGTAGAGGGAACTGTTTTATATTAAGAATCTTGGCCGGGCGCGGTGGCTCATGCCTGTAATCCCAGCACTTTGGGAGGCCGAGGCGGGTGGATCACCTGAGGTCAGGAGTTTGAGACCAGCCTGGCCAACATGGTGAAACCCCATCTCTACTAAAAATACAAAAAACCTAACTGGGCATGGTGGTGTGTGCCTGTAATCCCAGCTATTCGGGAGGCTGAGACAGGAGAATCGCTTGAACCTGGGAAGTGGAGGTTGTAGTGAGCCAAGATCATGCCACTGCACTCCAGCCTGGGCAACAGAGCAAGACTCTGTCTCAAAAATAAATAAATATATAAATAAATAAAATATTTTTTTCAGATCTCAGCAACTTCTAAAAAAAAATTAAAAATTTCATTCATTCTACCCTGATATTAAGAATCTTACAAGCAAGTCAACCAAATGCAGTAAGTAGACTTCATCTAGATCTGTATTTGAACAAACTAACTACAGGCCAAGAAATACTAAGGTCAGCTGAGATATTTAATATTAAGCAATTGTTAATTTTTGTCAAGTACAGTACTATACTGTGGTTTTGATAAAAGTGAAATACAAAAGTCCTGATCTGCCGCAGACGTATACCTAAGTATGTATGGATAACACTGCCAGCCAGGATTTGTTTTAAAATAACCTGAGTAAGGCTGGGGCAGTGGCTCACACCTGTAACCCCAGCATTTTGGGAGTATCACTTCATCCCAGGAGTTCCAAACCAGCCTGGGCAACACAGTGAGACCCCATCTCTATAAAAAATACAAAAATGAGTCGGGCGCCTGTAGTCCGAGCTACTCGGGAGGCTGAGGTGGGAGGATTCCTTGAGCCTGAGAGGTCGAGGCTACAGTGAGCCATGATCATGCCACTGCCCTCCAGCCTGGGTGACAGAGCGAGACCCTGTCTCAAAAACAAACAAACACCAGAATAACAAAATAGATATGGTAGCTGCTCAAGTAGTGATGGAGTACACTGAACTATCCTCTACCTCTGTGTGTGTTCAAACATTTCCAACTGAAAGACAAGATGTTCACAATTGAACTCATTCCCACCCATTATCACTCCACTGCTAGCCTTCCCCATTTTAGTGAATGACAATTCCATTCTTCCAATTGCTCAGACCAAAAACCTTGGAGTCATCCCTGACTGCTTTCTTTTGGTCATACCCTCACCTCCAATCAGTCAAGAAATCCTGTTTGTTCCATGTTCAAAATATATTCAAAATTTGACTACTTTTTTATCACTCCATAGGTATCACCCCAGTCGCCATCCAGGACACCATTGTCTCTTGCCTGGATTATTATAACAATAGCCTCCTAACTGCTTATCCTACTTCGCATTCTCCCCTACTCCCCATAGCCATTCACAAGACCAGAATGAAGAATGATCCGTTTAGGATGCAAGGTAGTTCATAAAATTCTCTGTTCAAAAGCCTGCAATAGATGCCTCCTTCATTCAAAGTAAGAGCCCAAGTCTTCACCAAGGTCTACAAAGCCTACAATATCTGGCCCCCACCATTACCTTCCTGTCTCATTTCCTACTATTCTCCACCTTCTTTACTCACTTAATCCATACTGGTTCCTCATAGCTCCTCAAGCATGCCAGGCATGCTTTCATCTCAGGGCCTTGGCTTTTCCCCAAAATAGGTGCACAACTCACTCCCTCGCCTCCTTCGAGTCTTTTCTCAAGTGTCACCTTCTAGTGAGGCCTACCCTGACCATCCGACTCAGCACTCCTCATCTCCTTTCCCTGGTTTCTTTTTCTCCATAGCTTTTACCACCTTCCTACATACTATTCTTTTAATAATTTCACTATCTCCCCGACCAGAATGGAAACTCTATGATGGGCACTGTTTTATCTCCTGTACCTAGAATAGTATCTGGCATACAGAAAGGACTCAAAAAATATACATTGAACTGAATTGAGATAATCTGGATAGAAGAAAATTATGGTGCTCCCTAGAAAAATATTATTTTTGCTAAAGTATAAACACTGTGGACAATGAAGATGAGGGTTAAACAAAATTTCTTATAAAAATAAGGGCACTTTACTTGTCTTTCATTTCTAAAACAACTGGAATTTAAGGAAGGACAGAAAGGAGTCTCCTCATTTTATGGATGGAGAAATCAAGGCCCTGGAAGCTTGTTCTAAGCCATCCAATGAGTTAAGGTTTTCCAATGCTTCCAGTTAGATTATAATTCTAACAGGTCTGACTAAAAGCCCTTTCTGGTAAATTGTACAATCTTTAAAATAGCTATCCTTCTACAGCAGCTTGGAGTCCCTACACATTAGAACTCCACTAAATATTAAAATTAGTCACTAAGTCTGAGCAACCTAATTGACCGCTCTGTTGAATCTTACCCTTTCCTATTTCAGCTCCACCGGCCTTGACTTGAAAGTAGGTAACCAAATATAGTTCATCTAGGAAGGGGGAAATTGGTAAAGGCAAGAAATGATATAAATAAGCTGCCAGACCAGGATCTTGTGTGAACACGATACCAGCACCTCCAACACCACATAGAAGCTGAAAGAGGGGTTGAGCCTCTCAACCCTTGTCCTGGGAGCTTCAAGTATGGTGAGGCACAACTTTTATTAAAAGAGTTTACAAACAGAACTATTAAACACACACACACATACACACACACATATACACACACACCCCAAAAAAAGATACACTCTCCACGCCCACCCACAGATAGGAATGTTGGCTAAGGGATAATCCCTCAATAACAGGGACTGATGGCATTGATCCCCACAGCCTAGAGCTGAGACAGGCTCTGTCTTCATCACTGTCCTGGGGCCAGCACGTCTAAGGCAAAAACCTGCTGGGAAGATTAAAGGAGCTCCAGAAAGGAAGAGATCTTTCAGGTTGAGGTTTTTCCCTAAGGTCCGTGAGGCAGGTCCCTAGAGTTAAAGGCACATTATTGGAGAAAAGGCCCCTGGATGTAGAGAAGAAAGGACTCTTCTCTGGCACCAACAGCAATAAAATTTACTGGTTGAAAACATCCTGCATCTGGGAGAAGGAAGAAGCTTTATATATAAATCTCTTCTAGTTTCTTGTTCTCAGTTGAGTTGGCAGCTTATCTCTTTTCTAGTCTCTTTAGCTCTCAGTTGAGTTGGCGGCTTGTGTAGTAGAATAAGAAAGAGCTGGCAACCAAAGTTGGAGGCTGGACCGCAGGAATCTGGAATCACATGCTATGGGCTGGCCTCAGGAGGTGAATGAGTTTCCTGCAGTGTTTGGCAGAGGCAGGCCTAGGACTGCTGTGTGGCAGTGACTGATTCCCCAGAGAGAGCAAGGATAGTTTCTCACTGGCACCCAGGGACACCAGTACCTGTAGGATAGAGAACAGATGATAGAACAGAACATGAGGCTCAGAAATGGTGGTGTCTGGGGCAGGTGCGGAGGACTCTCATTTACCCAGGAATTCCCACTCGAGAAGAGGAAGAAAAAGGAAATGGGCTCTTGGGGACTTGGAATAGACTGAATGGCAGAAGAGAAACCTTGGAGATAGGAATCATCAGGACCAGAAGTCTACTTCCATTCTCTTTGGTTATAGACCATGAAACCAAGGCACTAAGGGACACATATACTTGTCCCCAGGAAGACTTGATGAATGCAGCAGTAACTCACAGTAAGCCAAAAGGTCTAATTCCTAGCCTTCAATGCAGACCAGTGAGTTCTAACCTCATTACCACCAAGAATCCCATTAATTATTTTCCCCATGGATTGCACAAGATTCCTATAGGATCTTCACCATCGGCCAGGCAAGGTGGCTCATGCCTGTAATCCCGTACTTTGGGAGGCCAAGGCGGGCGGGTCACGAGGTCAGGACATCGAGACCATCCTGGCTATCACGGTGAAACCCCGTCTCTACTAAAAAAAAAAAAAATACAAAAAATTAGCTGGGTGTGGCGGCAGGTGCCTGTAGTCCCAGCTACTCGGGAGGCTGAGGCAGAATGGCGTGAACCCGGGAGGCAGAGCTTGCAGTGAGCCAAGATCGCGCCACTGCACTCCAGCCTGGGGGCGACAAAGTGAGACTCCGTCTCAAAAAAAAAAAAAAGATCTTCACCATCCTCTCAAATTTCTGCTCTGCATGAACTTCCCAATGCTACCACTTTGAGATGTCATAATTTATATTACCATATGTAGATATCTGTGATTTCCAATGGGCTTTTTTTTTTTTTTGAGACAGAGTCTCGCTATGTCACCCAGGCTGGAATGCAGAGGCATGATCTCCGCTCACTGCAACCTCCTCCTCCCAGGTTCAAGGGATTCTCTTGCCTTAGCCTCCCGAGAAGCTGGGATTACAGGCGCCTGCCACCACACCCAGCTAATTTTTGTATTTTTAGTAGAGACAGGGTTTCACTATGTTGGCCAGGCTGGTCTCAAACTCCTGACCTCAAGTGATCCGCCCACCTCAGTCTCCCAAAGTGCTGGGATTACAGGCAAGAGCCACAGAGCCTGGCCTACTGGACTCTTTATATACTGAAAATCGCGGTCAGGCAGGGTGGCTCACACCTGTATTCCCAACACTTTGGGAGGCTGAGGCGGGTGGATCACTTGAGGTCAGGAGTTCAAGACCAGCCTGGCCAACATGGTGAAACCTTGTCTCCACTAAAAATGCAAAATTAGCCAGGTAAGGTGGTGTGTGCCTGTAATCCCAGCTACTTGGGAGGCTGAGACAGGAGAATCACTTGAACCTGGGAGGCAGAGGTTGCAGTGAGCCAACATTGTGCCATTGTACTCCAGCCTGGGCAACAGAGCGAGACTCCATCTTAAAAATAAATAAGTAAATAAATAAATAAATAAATAATAAAAATACAAAGATTAGCCGGGCATGGTGACAGGCACCTATAGTCCCGGCTACTCAGGAGGCTGAGGCACAAGAATTGGCTGAACCTGGAGGCAGAGGTTACAGTGAGCTGAGATTGCGCCACTGTATTCTGGCCTGGGCAACGAGTGATATTCAGTCTCAAAAAAAAAAAGAGTGGCTCACGCCTATAATCCCAGCACTCTGGGAGGCCAAGGCAGGTGGATCACCTGAGGTTGGGAGTTCGAGACCAGCCTGACCAACATGGAGAAACCTGTCTCTACTAAAAATACAAAATTAGCCAGGCGTGGTGGCACATGCCTATAATGCAGCTACTCGGGAGGCTAAGGCAGGAGAACTGCTTGAACCCGGGAGGCAGAAGTTGTGGTGAGCCGAGATCATGCCATGCACTCCGGCCTGGGCAGTACGAGTGAAACTCTGTCTCAGAAAAAAAAAAAAGGAAAAAGAAAGTTGCGCAGAAGAGGAAGGATAAAGTAGTGGTTAAGAGTACGGGCTCTGGACTCAGACTTCTGAGTTCAAAAGCCCAATCCTACATACTGTCCTTGTAATTTGGACAAGTTATTAAATTATTTGTGCCTCAGTTTCCTCATCTGCAAAATTAGGATAATAATAGTTTAAACCAGATAATAAAGGTAAAATGCTTAGCATCGTGCTTTTCTCATGGTAAGTCTAAAAAAAAAATAGTCAGCACCTTCATGGCACACAGAGTAAAACTACTCTATCTCAGCATCTCTTAGTCTTCCCTCATCTCCCTCCTGCACAGCCTCTAGAAGAGATCAACTGTGGTCCTTGAGATCTCAGACATTTCCCAGCCCATTGGAGCCCTCTTCTAGCTCCCTTCCCTCCTCCAAGGCAGGAGATGTAACTAGAAAACTCACTCCAAGACACTGTCCCTGGGAGAAACACGGCATAAGTTTCTCCATGTCCCGATTCCAATTCCTTACAGATGATCTCAGAGAAATGTTGTCAACTATAGGGGCCCTGATCATCATGGTTCATAAGTGCTGTAGGGTATACCTGATGGATGCCAGGCTCCTGTTGCAGGCTCCGGAGGGCAATGAGGGCAGCCTCCTTCACATTTGGCTGGGGGTCTCCACATGCCATTTCTAGGAGCCGCTGGGGTACTTCGCACTGTAACAGCTCCTCTCCCAAACCTTCAGGTCCCAAGTTGCCCAGAGCTGATGCAACATTGCGCCGGATACCAGCCTGAGGATCTCCAAGCAGCTGGGTCATACTGGGCACTGCAGCTGCCAGGGCAGGTCCCAGAGGACCAGCCTGGTAGGCTGCATTGCCCACAGCAAAGCTGGCACTGCACCGCACAACAGGATCCTTGTCTCCAAGCCCAAGCAGCAGAAGGCTGAGCAGTCCAGACTGGCTCTGCAGTGCCCCACGCAGGGCCATGCTGTGTTGGAGCAAGTGTCCCAGGAGCCTATAAGTGTGTGCCCGCACAGAATTCTCTGGGTGGCCCAGGAGGCTGCGCAGGGGCCGATAGGATTCATCAGAGCCAGCCAGAAGCTCTTGGATAAAGGACAAGTGGCTGGGAGACAGGACCCTGGCAGTATGGGCCAGCAGAGAGAGAAGGTCGGAGGTCAACAGTGGCTGGTCACTCAGGAGGGCAACTGAGAGAAACGAGACGATGGTTCTAGGGGAGGCAGACACTGTGTTCACAAACTGGTTGAGAGAGGTGGGATCCATGAGGGCCAGGCGTGTGAGAAGGCTGATGGGCAGCTCCACTTGCATCAACGGAAGATGGTAGCAGCAGACCTGAGAGAACAGGAGGTAAAAGGATTCAGGGAGAGAGAGAGTATATGCAGCTATAAAGAAGCCCAAAACCTGGGAGAGAGAAAAGCCAAGCTATGGTGAGAAATGCCACAGAGAGCTGGAAGTCCTGCCCCACAGCACTCCACATGAGACACAACGTGGAGCCTGAGAGAGCAGGTTCTTTCCAAGATCATTCCTTACTTTGCAAGGGCTCAGTCTCTGCCTTCAAAGACCCACTGTGAAAAAACAAAAAGAAACAACAAAAGAACAAAGACCCACTGTGCAATGCCAAGAATTGCCAGAAACATGATTCCTGGCCAAGGAGGTGAGTCTTCAGTGCCTAGACTAGGATGTTCTCCCCAATGAGCACCAACAGAACCAGGTGATGGACTGATGGAGAGGAGGAGGCACCAACCCAGCTCCCACCACATGCCTCCACCACATGCGCAGGTCTGAGTACTGTCTCCACGCCAACTTTTGAGTCAAGCCAGCTGTTCCATGCTTACAGGGGCCTAGAAGAGCCCTGGAGCTGCTGGGAAGTAAATTAGAGGATACAAGGTTGGCTATCTTCCTCTCCCACCTTCATGCTAGCTGCCCAAGTACCTGCAGCAGATGGGCTGCAACTTCTGAGTCCCTGAGGTCGGCCAAGACACCTATAAGGAGGTCAGCATCCATGTCCAGCGCAAAGGGGAAGCAAAGGAGCTGGCAGACAGAGAGCACCACGACAGGGAGAAACTCAGACCCATGAGGCCTAAGGAGAGGAATGTCGAAGAGACTTGGTCTTGTTCACTTAACCTTTATCATTCCTCCCTCCCTCCTCCAATTCCTTTGCCCAACTCCCCTTCTACAGTCTCAGCCACTACTTAGGTTTCCAGCCTAAACCTGATCTCATCTTTCTTGCTTTATAGCTCAATCTGTCAGTAACTTCTTTCCTGCCTTCTTCTTTCTCCCTCCCCGTTGCTGACTCTGTGGCTCTCTTCTAGCTCAAACTCACGCCTGGCGCAGTTGATTCAGGAAGCTGGGGCAAAGCAGATGCTTCAGGATGGACATGAGGATACTTCCATGCTGGGACAGGCAGCTCAGGCATAACTGGGGCTCCTGGGTAAAGGTGGCCATGGCCAGGCTCAGCAGGGCTGCCATGCCTGGTAACACCAAAAATGGAGACCCAATGGAACAGGCAAGACGCCCAGATACCCCTGCTTCCCCACAGCTCCCAGGGCTACACCTATTCAGTCCCTTCCCCATCTTAGAGCAGCTCTAGTGCAGACACTGCTTCCTGTCCCCAGGCAAAAGCAAAAAAAATAAACCTCTGTGGGTTAACCCAGTTCTGGGCTGCCTCCTCTTGAAGAGAGATCAATGCACTCCCAAAAAGGATACTGATAGAAAGATACCCTGGGGAGAAATCAGTGTCCAGTCTGGCTCAGGGCTTGGTGGACTGGATAGCGAAAGCTCCCCTTCCTGTGCAGATGCCTCCTCGGGGAGCCTCAGGACCATGGAGAAGCGGTGCCACAAAACGGTCCACATTTCTGAACTGGACATATCCCTGATTAGGCTAGCCTTCCCCTGCTAGAGATAAAAGTGAAAGAGGGCGGGGGGAAAGACAGAAGTCAGGAATCCAAATGCTTTTATTCATTCCTGTCCCTGACTTACAAGTAAAGGAAGTCCCAGAAATAATTCCTTCCGCTTTCCCACCTAGTATTTCCCTGTCGTCTTATTTCATTTTCTTATCAAACCTTAACCCTCTGACCTCACAACTCATGTGTATGTCTGCTGAAACCCAGGGAATTCATTTTATCTCCCACTGGATCCCAGGGGACGCAGCGAATGGTTTCCTTCAAAGGGTCAGTACTGAGGGCAGGCGGGGAAGTTCCAAGGCTATCACAGGCACAGTAGCTTGAGAGGGAAGGCTGTGGGTTGCTTCTTCATTCCTCTGGTCCAGAGGCTCCCCAAAATGCCCAGTTCCTCTCTCTTTACTTCCCATCCATCCCAAGATCCATCTGTACCTCAGTGAGGAGCTGCAACAGAAGGATAAGGAGGCCATCATAGAATCCACAACTACCTGGTGGAGTCAACCGAACCTGTCAGAGAGAAACATGAAGAATGCAGGTGCCTAAGAGGAATGGGGTGTCCGTTAAACCAAGGCAGGTCAGTGATGGTGCCATGGAGGGAACAGATTTGAGAGTCAACCGGAAGGTAGAATATATGGGGCCTGGGGGAACCATTTCGGTGGGGGAATAATGGGGAAGAGAGAACAGTCACTGATGACTCCCAAAGTTCTGACTTAGACTTCTGGATGAGTGTTAGTGCTATCACTAGTGATACAACCTCTCTGAAGGCTAACTTAGTCTAGAAAAAGCAGATGAGTATTATTACATTGGTGTGTCTATATTTCAAGTGTGTTGTGGGATAACATGTGAAAATGTTTTATAAATTATAAAGAATTCAGCCACTGAGGTAGCTCACGCCTGTAATCCCAGCACTTTGGGAGGCTGAGGCGGGGGGATCAGGAAGTCAGGAGTTCCAGACCAGCCTGGCCAACATTGTGAAACCCCGTCTCTACTAAAAATACAAAAATTAGCTGGGCATGGAGGTGTGCACCTGTTGTCCCAGCTACTCAGGAGGATAAGGCAGGAGAATCGCTTGAACCCAGGAGGTGGAGGTTGCAGTGAGCCGAGATCACGCCACTGCACTCCAGCCTGGTGACAGAGTGAGACTGCATCTCAAAAAAAAAAAAAAAAAAAAGAATTCTACATATATAAAGATGGCAGGCTGGGCACAGTGGCTCATTCCTGTAATCCCAGCACTTTAGGAGGCTGAGGCGGATGGATCACTTGAGGTCAGGAGTTCGAGACCAGCCTGGCCAACATGGTGAAACCCCATCTCTACTAAAAACACACAAAAAAATTAGCCAGGCATGGTGGTGTATACCTGTAATCCCAACTACTTGGGAGGCTGAGGCAGGAGAATCACTTGAACCTGGGAGGCGGAGGTTGTAGTGAGCCAAGATCGTGCCACTACACTCCAGCCTGGGCGACAGAATAAGACTCCGTCTCAAAAAAAAAAAAAAAAAAAAAAAAGACTGGACATGGTGGCTCACACCTATAATCCCAGCACTTTGAGAGGCCGAGGTGGGCGGATCACATGTGAGGTCAGGAGTTCGAGACCAGCCTGACCAACATGGAGAAACCCTGTCTCTACTAAAAATACAAAAATTAGCTGGGCATGGTGGTGCATGCCTGTAATCCCAGCTACTCGGGAGGCTGAGGCAGGAGAATCGCTTGAACCCAGGAGGCAGAGGTTGCGGTGAGCCGAGATCGCGCCATGGCACTCCAGCCTGGACAAGAGTGAAACTCCATCTCAAAAAAAAAAAAAAAAAAAAAAAGGGATGACAATAATTTGATTATAAAGTCTATCCTTCTTTTTACAAAATGAAGGAAAGATGAGTTCCAAAGGGTCTAAAAATGAAAGGAAGAAAAGTCCTGGGAAAGGAGAAAGCAGAAAGAAGGCTACATAATGGACTGAGTTCCTGAAGAATTCACAGGATGTCAGCCACCTTTTCCATCTGTTAAGAAGAACAAGTGGGGAAAGCAGAGTGGAAGCTGCAGTCAGAGGTGAAATTATGCATTAGGAAGGACTCTGCCAAGAGCATGAGCTTCTGGAGGAGGAGAACGAAGCAGGCAGGGTTCTCACACTACTCAGAAAACTCAGGTTAGTCACCCTTCCTCTTCCCTTCCCTCCCTCACTCTCTAGAAGCTCTGCATATTAAAAAGAAATCTAAAGTCCAGATCAATCTGGGCTCAGAGGGGCCTATCATCCGGCGACAAATCTAGAAAAGGAAGGGCTCCTTGATTCCTTTTCCATTCCTCAGTTTACTCCAGGCTTGCTGGCATTTCAGTCTTTTCCCCTTGAATGCAGTCCTAGTGTCTGACTCAGAGAAAACATGTCTGTGCCCTCCCTGGGGGGCCTCACCTCTGCAGGGGCAGACAAGGCATGTGTGGCTGCAGCCATCCATTCCATGGGCTGGAGGTCAAAGGTCACCCCTTGCTGACCAAGCTGTCCCAATAGACAGGCTGCTGCACTCTGTGGGAGAGGTAAAAGAGGAGAAAGAATGTCCAAATCTAAATGGCATTCAGGACAGGCAGAGAGGATTTATGTCTCTGTCCTGGTCCAAAAGAATGCCTCCAGAAACAGATGCAAATTGGATAGTGACTCCCCCACTTCCACAAGGGGTAGATGCTAGGGTGAAAAGGGGAGGAGGGTGAAGGTTAAAAACTTACCACAAGAGAGACGACATGCGAATGGGTAAAGAGAGTAGCAACGTCACTGCCTAGCTTCTCCATTCTGGAATAAAGAGATACATCAAGGGATGCAGCAGTATTAAAGGAGGTTGGTAAGCGGCCTCCCCTCTCCCTTGCATGGTGTTCTTCACCTAGGCTGCATGTCTACCTCCAAGGCACAAAGTTGATGGGAGTCTAGGTCTGTTCTTTGTAGAGAAAGCTTCACGCTCTCTATCCCAATTCCTCCTAAGGATATGCTGTAGGGTACCATTCCCCATACTCTTTGTGAGGGTTAGCTATGTGGCTAGAAGACTTCTGTGGAGACACCCTACTTTATGACTTACCCACAAGGCAGGTTTTGGAGCCGAAAGACAAGAAGGGAGAGGAAGTAGAGTGTCACTTCAGTAGACTCTTCCCAATCTACTACTTTTACCTACAAAGGAAACCTAAGATATCAGAACAACCTCTGGCTGAGACAGTGGGGCTGCCAGGGGAAGCTGGCTTACCTTGCCCTGAATCAACATAAACAGGGATTCCAAGGCCAGGGGCTCCTGCCCCAGAAGACGGCACAGGCCCTCACTGACAAGGCAGCAGGAGTATAGAACCTGAGGGAGAAGGAAGGAGTCTGGCAGTGAGGCAGGGCAGGCCCCGGGCTCCAAGATTGAAGGCTCAGCGGAAACACCGGCCAGCCCCTCAAAAGATCTGGTACCCACACTTGGGAGTGTGAGAGAACCCCCTTCTGCCTCTTGCTATGAGATAGTGAGACAGGGACCCTTCTCGGTTCCGCTGAGGACTGGCTAACAGTGGGGTCCTCTCAGTTGAACAGATTTAAAAGCAGAAAGGAGTCTTCCAAGGGGGTGTCTCAAATGGTCTCTCTCAGTCTCTCTCTCTTTTAGTCCTCCTCTCTTGGTCTGTTTCTCTGCTTCTCTGTCTGCACTGGGAGTTAAAAATAAAGCTGTGATGCCAGGAGTTAAGAGGATTACCTTGAGAAGGTGCAGGCACAGGATGGGATGCTGCAGGCCAGAGATGAGGGATGGCCTGAGCTGGCTGCTGTCTTCAGTTAGCTGATTTGCCAAATGCCAACAGACCTATAGAGACATACCTGAAGGCTCAATCCTATCCACATGATTACAACCCTATTCCTCACATATGTCCAAAATGATCAGGACTCTCAGTCTCTTCCTAGTCACTCTTCCCACATTCACCAGAAACCTCAGACCCCATTCTATTCCCAGTCTTCATCACCAATAGAGAACCAAAAGTCATGGCCTAGTTTGGCCCCAGTGTAGCCAGGTACAGAGGAAAGGATTACCGACCAACAGGGATCAGGAAAGCTGAATTCTCAGCCCTTGAGGAAGCATCACTGGAGGCTTCAGATCAGCTGCCCCACCATCTGGGCAGTTTATCACTGTGCTCTCTCCCTCACCAACTGGCCATGGGCTCTGGGATTCTGGCTATATCATGTTCTACAAATGGCCCAGGGTGGGAGCATCTGTTTCTGGAAGTACTAAAGGAGGGGCTTAAAAGCTTGTTTTTCTGCCTTTCTGAAAAACTGGGGCTAGCCTCCTCAATTCCTCTGGCAGTAGGATGAGAGGAACAACCAATTGTAGCTCGGACCTGCTCCTTGGCATCCCAGCAGTCGGGCAGTCCCACAGGAGCAGTGCATATGGCTGCCAGGGCAGAGGAAATGGCTCCAGGTATATCCTCACTCTGCTCTCGCAGTGGCTGGCTCACTTGCGGGGCTCCTGTGGAGAAAAGCAAAGAGTAACTCCAAAGGCCTGAGGCTCTTGCCCTAGACAATAGCACCAGTACTCACCGACATGGCAGCAGGAGTAGGGAACCTAAGGGAGTGGGAAGAATGCAGGATGAGGTCTGTTTGTTTCCCTCAGATCCCCATTCATTCTCTCAGTTCACAGTTATTTATTGAGCACCTACTAAATGCCAGGTGCGATCTAGGTGATGGCAATAGAAAGAGCGGAGCCTGACCTATGCAACAAGTAAGTCAAGAGAACCTCCCTTCTCCACTCTGGTTACCTTGGGGAGTGTGGACAGGGAGCTGTGGAACTGTCAAGCCATGAAGGAGCCCATCCAAGACAACCTGCTGTGTCGTCAGCAAGCTGGAGTAAAAGGCTTTGGAGATGGCCCGGCTGTTCCCATCCATGGCTTCGCACAGGACAGTAAAGCACTAAAGGAGAGAAGTGCAGAGGTAGCATCAGGGCATCAGAAGACTGGGCTTAGTGTAAAAAACAAGAAAACCCTGAGGATCTGAGGAAAGAGGACAAAAACCAAAGCAAACACATGTCTAATTTTAAGCATTCTTCACACCAAAAATGCATTAGAACTGCTTTCATTCATGCTTCAAGGACAATAATTTTAGGTGTCAATCCTTCTATTCTCTGATCAGATGCTCCCTAGATGATGTTTCTCAAAGTATTTTTTATAGACTGTGAGTATAAGAATTCCTAGGGGTCAGGTGCAATGGCTCATGCCTGTAATCCCAACAGGGGATTGGGAGGCCGAGGCAGGTGGATCACTTGAGCTCAGAAGTTTGAGACCAACCTGGGCAACATGGCAAAACCCTGTCTCTACTAAAAATCCAAAAAAAATAGCCAGGTCTGGTGGTGTGCACCCATAGTCTCAGCTACTCAAGAGGCCGAGATGGGAGGATTGCTTGAGCCCGGAGGGTGGAGGTTGCAGTGAGTCAAGATCATGCCACTGCACTCTAGCCTGGGTGACAGAGAGACCCTGTCTCCAAAAAAAAAAGGAAAGAAAAGAAGAAATCCTAGGGATTCCTGGGTCCCTCCCAACTCAGTCCTACTGATTCAGAATTTCAGGAGGTAATTATTCCAAACTCCCCATTCTATTCATAGCATATGACATGAGAAGTGCTGGCCAATAGCATGAGTCACTGCTGGCCAAAATTTAGGTTAGACAGTAAAAGCTTTCTGACTTGAAAGGGTGAGGGATATTAAAACAGGATCTCAGACCAGGAAAGTCTGAGTGAATGCTAGCTAAAGGCAAGTAGTAGTCCAGATCTATGTTCCCAATTACCAGTTTTAACAATGACCAGGCAATTATTTACTTCCTTACAAATATATGTTCCTCTCTATCTCCTCTGAGGTTAGTCAGAACACAGCTATTTTCTCATTCAATCCTCCATTCTCCTGTCCCTTACCTCCAGGATCTAGGGAAAAGAACTGCATAGTCTACTAATCCTCAGGACAAACGAGGTTAGACAATACTAGATGATCTGCAAGTCTTTTCAAGAAGAAGTCGTTCTATTTGTGGTCCCCTGAAATATGCCAAACTGCTTAAAGCCTCTGGGCCTTTATATATGTTACTCTTTCTGTATAGAATTTCTACTTTGTGCCTCATTTACGTGGCAAACTGCGATGTATTCTTCAAATGCTAGCAGAGATGATTTCCTTCTTCGAGATTTCTTCTATGATACTCCAAATAGTGTTAAGTGCATCTTCTGCAGTGGTTAACTGCATCTTCTTCATAAAATACAGCAGTGCTCTTGTATTATATGCAAAGTTCTAATGTACTTTTCACTGTTGTCCTTAATCCCTTTACCTCTCCCCTATTAAATTATCCCTAGTCCCTTGAAGGCAGGCACTTTTTCTTACTCACATGGCATATGGCATGGTGGGAATTTAACAAATGTTTGTCATATTAACTTGATCTGACCCTACATAGTCATAAGAAAGGGGATGGGAGAAACACGGAGAATGATAGGAGACACAGAAATCTGGAAGTGGGAGCAGATTACCATAAGGCTGTCCCTCCGCAAAGTCTGCTCAGAGTCATCTGGTTGGGCCAGCAGTTTCCCCAACAGGTCCAGAAAAAGGTTGGCAGCCTCCTGAAACACCTGCAGGCTGGGGGTGGAAAATGAGCCCATGATTTCTTATCTCTCTACTAAAAGCCTGGATGTGGTGAATGGGTCAGTCCTGGGCAGGTAGGAGAATCTCTGCAAAGGGACACATCAGAATGTTCCTCCCTTCTCCCTTGCCACACACACACATACACCCTCCAAGCCCCTTCTTTGCCATTTTCTCTAGGTTATTCGCATATTTTTTTTCTTTCTTTCTTTCTTTAATCCAATTGGCTTCCTGGAATAGGTTATTCACATCTTGACCCTTCCATTTTAGGACCATGGTGACTGCTGACTCTTAGAAACTGTAAGTCTTGAGGCCAAGTTGGAGCTGTCTTAGGGTCCTTAAAAGGACTATGAGTGGCCACTCAGCTGATTCCTAAACCTGTAACAAATCACAGCTTCTTCATACTTGGCCTGTTCCTAAATGGGAAGGGCACTTGGGGTAGAAACAGAAGCCAAACTTGCCAACAATGCAAAAGCACTTCTTATCCTACCTGTCACTTGTCTGGCTCCTCTCCAGATTGAAGGTACAGGCAAAGTAGGCCTGAATCACAGCCATCAGGTCCTGTAAGAAGGTCCCATACCAAGATTGCTGCCCAGGAAAAGGAGAAGAGAGTAAGGGCAATGTGAAGGATGGAAACAAAGAATAGAAAAAACAGTAGAAAGGGTGTATAGAGACCCAGTCAAGTTGATCAAACAGAAAGGGACAGAAGAGAAGTATAGGCAGAGAGAGAGTTCTAGGGGTAACAGAGAATCTGCCAATGGGCTGTGAACAGCCTGGATTAAATGTGTCTTGTTTGGCCTGAATAGCATTTTGGAGTATAGGAGGTTCTATTTTTCAAAAATCTTTTTCTCTAAATTCCTTAAAATCACCCAAGATTAATACTCATCAACAAAGTGCAGCTTTCCAGCTGCCTCATCCTAGGCCCTATTAGGCATTTACACTGACTCTGAAACATTCCCCATCCTCTCAGTCCAGCTACCGTAGGACACAGCAGGGGGAAGTAGAGGTTTGGCCCCAAACACATTGAGTCTCTATCCCAGCTCTTCCACTTGTTATCTCTGTGACCATTTACAAATTAGTGACTGTGTATGAGTTACCTCTGAATTTTAGTACTCTGCTCTGTAAGATCAGGTCAATGAAGCCTAGGATCTAACATTTCAAAGCACAGCGCTCTAAATATTTAAAAATTACACATAAAAATTTGGGTTTCTACCTTTTCTTAGAAAACTAGAAGATCTGGCTAGTTTTCTCAGGCCCATATTTCCCTGTGGCAACAATGGGCTGGAGGCTGAGGAAAGGATGCCTCTACTCTATTTAGAGGAGGCATGTGAACTCTAGTTCATCATATTCCCCACAACTCATATAGTCACATGCATAGCCTACTTCATGGCAGACCTTATCTGCCTGGCCCCAGAAGGCATTAGAGTTTGCAATTAATAGTCTACTAACTAGAAAGAGGAGGAAAGAAAATAAAAGGCAGTCAGACCAAAGAGAGATGGCAATCTGAATGAGATAAATCCAAGAAAAAGAACCTCTGTAAGTCTTCAGAGGCTTCTGGCCTGGTGCTTACCTGCTGGAGGCTGTTGCTCTCCTGACTGTGCCTGAGTAGACTCAGCAGCAGCCCAGGAAGCCCTGCCTCCCGGCAGAAGGAATACAAGGCAACAGAATCACTGCAGCTGGAGAGAAGACTGCTCAGGACCCGGAATGCAGGCAGGATGTGGGAAGCACCCTCCAAGATGCCTTTCAGGATCTGGGTGACATGAGGGAAAGAGGCAACGATTGATATTTTCAGAGGTAAAAGAAGGAGAACTACACATACCAAGCATCCCCAAGGAGCTGGGAAAGCAGACCACATGCTTGCATTCCTTTCTTTGCAAGTCTAAAACACAGAGAAGGAAAGCAGGGAAATAGGGGAACTGTACCAGGGAAGAAGACAATAGATGGTCAGGTTACCTAACACAGAACACCAGTGACCAACGGATAGGGGCCTCTCCTCAGGATCTCTGTCAGACTAAGTGCCATTCCCATCTGCTCCCTCCCTTCTCCAGCCCTTCACCTTAAAAACAAAAAACACGTGCACCGCACATGCTTCTGAAAATTCAAAACAATGCATATAAAACAATATTATTTAACCACAGAAAGACAAAACAACATTATTCAACTCTAGATCAGGGTTGACAAACTATGGCTCACAGGTCAAATCCAGCCTAACATTTATTTGTATACAGCCTGCATGCTAAGGATAGTATTATATTTTTATTTATTTTTGCCCTTTATTTATTTTTCGAGACAGAGTTTCACTCTTGTCCTCCAGGCTGGAGTGTAATGGTGCAATCTTGGCTCACTGCAACCTCTCTGCCTCCTGGGTTCAAGTGATTCTCCTGCCTCAGCCTCCCAAGTAGCTGGGATTACAGGTGCCCACCACCACACCTAGCTAATTTTTGTATTTTTAGTAGAGATGGGATTTCACCATGTTGGCCAGGCTGGCCTCAAACTCCTGACCTCAAGTGATCCTCCCACCTCAGCCTCCCAAAGTGCTAGGATTACAGGCGTGAGCCACCATGCCTGGCCAGTATTGTATTTTTAAATGGTTATTCTTCAAAAGAAGAACATTTACACCAAGTATTTTATAATATTCCATTAGCTGTTCTAAATGTTGGCATCTGCTCATTTAATATTTACAATAACCCTGTGAAATAAATAGAATTAGCCATTTTATAGATGAAGAAACTGAAGCTTCTGCATAAGTCAAGTAAGTAGTCCAAGATCACGCAGCTAATGAGTAGTGCAGCTGGAATTCCACCAGAGGGAGTCTTATCCCTAAAGGCAGAGCTTTCAGTCTGCCTCCCCACACTGCAAGTTATCCAACACTAGGAGGAAAACGTGTTAGCGCCAAAAGACAAGTGCAAAGTGCCAAGCCAATTCAATGAGGAAAGGAGAGTTCTTTTCCACAAATGGTGCCAGGACAATTATATATCCACATGCAAAAACGATCAACTTAGATCCTTTCCTCACATTATATACAAAAATTAGCTCAAGATGGATCAGAAACCTACATGTAAGAGCTAAAACTATAAAACTTAGGAAAAGAGAAAATCTTTAAGACCTTGCATTTGGAAAAGATTTCTTATACACAACATCAAAAGTATGAACCACAAAGGGAAAAAACAGTAACTGAACTTAAATCAAAATTCAACATTTTTTGCTTCAAAAGACACTCTTATGAGAAAGAATGAAAAGACAAACCACAGACTGGGAGAAAATATTTGCAAATCACCCATCTGATAAAGGTCTTATGTTGACAATATACAAAGAAGTCTTACAACTCAATAACGCAAACAACCAAATTAAAAACTGAGCAGAAGATTTGAGATATTTCACCAAAGAAGATATACAAATGGTGAATAAGCCATGAAAAGATGTTCAACATTCATCATTAGTGGAATGTAAATTAAAATAACAATGAGATACTATCTCACACTTACTAGAATGGCTATAGTAAAAAAGTTAGACAATAACAAGTGTTGACAAGGATGTGAAGAAACAAGGACCCTCATATAATACTGGTGGGAATGTAAAATGGTACAGCCACTTTGGAAAATAGTTCAGCAGTTTCTTAAAATGTTAAATATAAATTTACCATATGACCAGCAATTCTACTCCTACGTAGTTACCCAAGGGAAATAAAAACATTTATCCATACATAGACTTGCTTGTGAATGTTCATAGCAGCATTATTCATAAAAGCTAAAAAGTGGAAACAACCCAATACATCAATATCTAATCAACTAGTGAGTGGATAAACAAAATGTGATATATCCATATAACGGAATACTAACCAGCTATAAAAAGGGGAATAATGATTAACTGTAAATGGGGGCTGGGGGCAGTAGCTCATACCTATAATCCTAGCACTTTGGGAGGCCAAGGTGGGAGGATTACTTGAGCCCACTTGAGCCCAGGAGTTCCAGACCAGCCTGGGCAACATGGTAAAACCCTATCTCTACAAAAAATACAAAAAATTAGCTAAGCATGGTGGTGCACGCCTGTAATCCAAGCTACTTGAGATGCTGAGACATGAGAATCCCTTGAACCAGGGAGGCAGAGGCTGCAGTGACCCAAGATTGTGCTACAACACTCCAGCCTAGATGACAGAGTGAGACCCCATCTCAAAAATTAAAAATAAATAAATAAATAAATTTTAAAAAGGCTGGGCACGGTGGTTCACGCCTGTAATCCCAGCACTTTGGGAGGCTGAGGCGGGCGGATCACAAGGTCAGGAGTTCAAGACCAGCCTGGCTAAGATGGTGAAACACCATCTCTACTAAAAATACAAAAAAATTAACCGGGCGTGGTGGCACGAGCCTGTAATCCCAGTCACTCCAGAGGCTGAGGCAGAGAATTGCTTAAACCTGCGCGGGGCAGAGGTTGCAGTGAGCCGAGATCACACCACTACACTCCAGCCTGGGTGACAGAGTGAGATTCCGTCTCAAAAAAAAAACCGTAAATGGGTATGAGGGATTTTACTGGGGTGATGAAAATGTTCTAAAACTGAACTATGGTTAACAGTTTTTAAATTAGCAAATTTACTAAAAATCATTTATCATTCATCAAAAAAGTGTAAATCTTATACATAAATTATACCTGAATAAAGTGATATAAGCAACACAGTTTGGCGAGTACCCAGGAAGGAAAAGCACTGTGTTTCAGAGGAGCAAAGTAAGGTTTTGTAGGAGGGAACACTAACTTTACACTAACTTTGAATGCTAATTAAGCAAAATGTCATTCCTCTCCCCCGCAAAATAACCTCATTCTTCTCACTAGTGTACCTGTAGTACAAAATATTGTATATTTAATTGTTACATTTATATTTTTAATTTCATCAATAAAAAATTAGTGAAAATGTGTTTTCCCTCATTATGTAAGTACTTAACATAATATCCTCCATTTTTGCCTGGTGGCTCACAATGCCTAAAATATTTATCATCAAAAAAGTTTGATCCCTATTCTAGTAGGCATTTTTCCCTTCAGAAAAAGAAACCTGAGGGCTGCTCTTTCTGTGTTACTAAAGGAGGTTGGTAAACCTCCTCAAACTAAGCAGATAGACTGAAGAACTGGAAAAGGACAAACTTTCTCTTTCTCCTGAAGTCAGTGTATTTCAATGCTCCATCTGTGAAAACAGTCTTGATCCCATCCACAGTGTCTTTCTCCCCATTACCTGCCCTCCAGCTTCATGCAGCTGACTCTGGATGCGCTGGCAGAAGTCAGGATTACACAGCAAGGTGAGAGGAGCCTTCAGTTGAATAGGCACAGGCTCAGTGGTCTCTAGCAGGTGCTGCCACTCATTGTCACTGTCTGGCTCCTGAGGCAGAGGGGAGTGAAAGGGGTCAGGAGTAGTGTGTAAGTCTAAGGTAGTAGATCCCAACCAGTAGAAACCATGGGGAATCATGAAGTAACTGCAAGGAGCCAGTGACCCCTTTAGCACAGATGTATATCTTCAGTCACCTGCTAAAAAAGGTACAGCTGGCAGTCTGTGAGGGGTCTGGAAGAGTCTCTTGGAGAACACCGGCATGTGTGCATAAAGAGATACCTAGAAAGACGTCCGCTGCAGCATGGTTTGTAATAATTTTAAAAAGGAAAAGATCATAAAGTCAGTCACTAAGGGAATAATAAACCAGGGTCCATCCATATTAGAAAATACGATGAGGTTATTAAAAAGATTGTGAATGCCGGGTGCGTGGCTCACACCTGTAATCCCACCACTTTGGGAGGCCGAGGCTGGCAGATCACCTGAGCTCAGGAGTTCAAGACCAGCCTGGCCAATGTGGTGAAACCCCCCTCTCTATGAAAATACAAAAATTAGCTGGGTGTGGTGGCACATGCCTGTAATCCCAGCTACTCAGGAGGCTGACACAGGAGAATTGTTTGAACCCGGGAGACAGAGTTTGCAGTGAGCCGAGATGTCACCACTGCACTCCAGCCTGGGTGACAGAGTGAGACTCTGTCTCAAAAAAAAAAAAAAAAAAAAAAAAGGCCAGGCGCAGTAGCTCACGCCTATAATCCCAGCACTTTGGGAGGCTGAGGCAGGCAGATCACCTGAGGTCGGGAGTTCAAGACCAGCCTGACCAACATGGAGAAACCCCACCCATCTCTACTAAAAATACAAAATTAGCCGGGTGTGGTGGCAGATGCCTGTAATCCCAGCTACTCGGGAGGCAGAGGCAGGATAATCGCTTGAATCCAGGAGGTGGAGGTGGCGGTGAGCTGAGATCGTGCCATTGCACTCCAGCCTGGGCAACAAGAGTGAAACTCTGTCTCAAAAAAAAAAAAAAAAAAAAAAGATCGTGAGGCTGGGCACATTAGCTCATACCTGTAATCCCAGCATTTTGGGAGGTCGAGGTAGGAGGACTGCTTGAGGCCAGGAGCTCAAGACCAGCCTGGGCAATATAGTAAGGCTCTGTCTCTTTAAAAAAAAAAAAAAAAAAGTGGCACATATACACCATGGAATACTATGCAGCCATAAAAAATGATGAGTTCATGTCCTTTGTAGGGACGTGGATGAAATTGGAAATCATCATTCTCAGTAAACTATCACAAGAACAAAAAACCAAACACCACATATTCTCACTCATAGGTGGGAATTGAACAATGAGAACACATGGACACAGGAAGGGGAACATCACACTCTGGGGACTGTTGTGGGGTGGGGGAAGGGGGAGGGATAGCACTGGGAGATATACCTAATGCTAGATGACGAGTTAGTGGGTGCTGCGCACCAGCATGGCACATGTATACATATGTAACTAACCTGCACATTGTGCACATGTACCCTAAAACTTAAAGTATAATAATAATAAATAAATAAATAAAAATAGGCCTGGTGCAGTGGCTCATGCCTGTAATCCCAGCACTTCAAGAGGCCGAGGCGGGCAGATCACAAGGTCAGGAGTTCGAGACCAGCCTGAACAACATGGTGAAACCCTGTCTCTACTAAAAATACAAAAATTAGCTGGGCATGGTGACAGGCACCTGTAACCCCAGCTACTCAGAAGGCTGAGGCAGGATAATCGCTTGAACCTGGGAGGCGGCGGTTGCAGTGAGCCAAGATCGTGCCACTGCACTCCAGCCCAGGCAACAGAGCAAGACTCCATCTTAAAAAAAAAAAAAAAAAATAGCTGGGCATGGTGCCATACACCTGTAGTCTCAGCTACTCAGGAGGCTGAGATGAAAGAATTGCTTACCCCATGAGTTCAAGGCTGCAGTGAGCCATGATTGCACCACTATAGTCCACCCTGTTGTCCAGGTGATAGAATAAGACACTGTCTCAAATAAATAAATAAAAAGATTAAGGTACTGAGGATGTATCACTTATGTAGTATTCCTACCAAAAATATATACAACCTGAATCTATTCATTAGGAAATAATCAATTTGAGGAACATTCTACAAAATAACTGACGTGTACCTCAAAACTATCAGTCATAAAATACAAAGAAAGACAAGAACTGTTCCAGATTAAAGGAGACTAAGGAGGCATAACAACTAAATGCAATGTGTGGGCTGGGCACAGTGGCTCACTGTAATCCCAGCACTTTGTGAGGCTGACGCGGGCAGACCACTTGAGTCCAGGAGTTCAAGACCAACCTGGACAAGATGGCGAAACCTTCTCTCTAAAAAAACACAAAAATTAGCCAGGCATGGTGGCAGGTGCCTGTAGTCCCAGCTACTCAGAAGGCTGAGGCAGGAGGATTGCTTGAGCTCAGGAGTCGGAGGTTACAGTGAGCCGAGATCACATCATTGCACTCCACCCTGGCAACAGAGTAAGACCCTGCTCAATAAATAAATAAATAAATAAATAAAGCAAGGTGTGATACTGGATTGGATCATGGAGCAGAAAAAAAATTTTCATAACGCACATTACTGAAGCAATTAGCAAAATTTGAATAAGGATTACAGATTAGTTTAATTAATCTATTATAACAGTATTATATCAATGTTAAATTTCTGACTTTCATAATTGTACTGTGTTAGTGTAAGTGAAGGATCTTGTTTTAGGAAATATGCGCTAAAGTATTTAGGGGTAAAGGGGCATGTGTACAACTTACCCTAAAATGATTCAGAAAGATGCTATGTCCATAGGGGGAGAGAGAGAGAGAGGATGGTAAAGCAAATGAGACAAAAGTTTTACAACTGATGAATTTGGGGTAAAAGTGTTGTTATAGGCTGGGTGTGGTGGCTCCAGCTTGTAATCCCAGCACTTTGGGAGGCCGAGGCAGGCAGATCACCTAAGGTCAGGAGTTTGAGACCAGCCTAGCCAACATGGTGAAACCCCATCTCTACTCAAAATACAAAATTAGCTGGGCATGATGGCACATGCCTGTAATTCCAGCTACTTGGGAGGCTGAGGCAGGAGAATCGCTTGAACCCAGGAGGCAGAGGTTGCAGTGAGCCAAGATCGTGCCGTTGCACTCCAGCCTGGGCAACAAGAGCAAAACTCCATCTCAAAAAAATAAAAAAAATAAATAAAAAGTGTTGCTATGGTTTGAATGTTCTGTCCTCTCCAAAACTCACGTGTTAGAAACTTAATCCCCATTGCACCAGTGTTAGGAGGCAGCGCCTAATCAGAAGTGTTTAGGTCACAAGGGCTCTGCCTTCAAGAATGGACTGATGCTATAAGAAGGCCTTGCAGGAGTGAGTTCATTCTCTTCTGCACTTCTGCAAAGTGAGGACACTGCATTCTTCCCCTCTCAAGGACTGGGCATTTGAGGCACCCTCCTGGAGACTATGACCCAATCTGCTGGCACCTTGATCTTGAACTTTCCAGACTCCAGAACTGTGAGAAATAAATTTCTGTTCTTTATAAATTACCGTCTTAGCTATTCTGTTATAGTGGCACAAAACAGACTAAGACAAGGGTATACACAGGAATTATTTGTGGTATTCTCACAATTATTCTTTAAGTTTGAAATTATTTTAAAAAAAAGGCAAAACTCAAAAAAAACATATTAATAAAATGTTGTAGACCAGGCACAGTGGCTCATGCCTGTAATCCCAGCACTTTGGGAGGCTGAGGCAGGCAGATCACCTGAGGTCAGGAGTTTGTGATTAGCCTGGCCAACATGGTAAAACCCCATCTCTATTAAAAATACCAAAATTAGCCACGTGTGGTGGTGGGCACCTGTAATCCCACTACTCAAGAGGCTGAGGCAGGAGAATTGCTTGAACCCAGAAGGGAGAGGTTGCAGTGAGCCAAGATTGCACCACTGCAATCCAGCCTGGGCGACAGGGTGAGACTCTGTCTCGAAAAAAAAAAAAAAACGATTGTGGTAAAACTACATGCTCTGGTGTAGAAAGATCCCAGATTATACAGTGAAGGAGGTATGATGTAAAACAATACATATAATAAAACTCAGTAATGTAAAAACAGCAAACTATAAATGCCTATGTTTGCTTATGCATGTGTGTGAAATTACAGAAAGTTTGGGAGGAGACGGACTAAATTAATAACACTGGTCACCTTGGAGACTGATTCAATGAGGACTTTCATTTTTACCTATGTGTTTCCATTTTAAATAATTATATGTTCAGATACTGTACAATTAAAATCTATAATAATAAAGCAATACTTTTTAACACAAAGGGAGCTCATACTTAGGGAGTTGGGAATCACTGTTCTAGAAAAACATCTACCTAGACTTAACATCCCATGAAAGAGACAAAGTCAGTAAGAGACCCTAGGGCTCACCTCATTTTCCAGGTCCACTACATCAGTGCTCCGCTGGCCCAGCACCTCTGGCCTCTCCTCTGGGAATGCTCGTTCACAATCTGGGGTGGTCCGGTTTTCCCTGCCGGAGGAAGCCAAGGGGTAGAACGGGTTCCAAACCTATGACTCTTAGGGTTCGTTAACTTGTCCCTCTCTGTAGACCCAGGATAAGAATGAGAAAGAAGCCATATAGGATTGACTAGAGGAGACTTCTTTCTGGGATGTGGGATATGACCAGTACAGGATATGTTGACGACTACACAAATATCCTTAACTGTCTTCTCACTTTAGAGCTTATTCTACTTTGCAGTTTTCACCTATGGCTTTCAACTCAAAACAATCTTCCCTTTTGGATGGAGATGATCCTTTCCCTTTCAGCCAACCTTTCAGTCAATGTACATAAAGAAGAGAAAGTCCCCAAGTTTCCTGATGAATCAGAAAAACATCTATAATTAGAATCCAAGAATCCAGGACTCAGACTCTCGAGGCTCTATCCATGTTTAGGCAGTGGCTAGTGACAGGGACCATTCTGTATTTGCTTTGGCTAGAGTTAAAGATGTGCAAGATACCTCACCCTACAAATCCCTAACTATACCCTTCTCACCGAGGTGCAGAGGGCACCTCTCCAGTCCCTGATTTAGCCCAGCTGCTCTTCAATTCTGAGGCTAAGATCCCGGCCAGGAGGCTTGATTCCTGAGGAGTGGCCCCGAGTCTGGGCAGAGGGGCTGTGCCAGGAGCCACCTTGCTGGTCTTGTCCTCTTGCTCAAGGGCAGGTCCTGTGTTCTGATGTTTCTGTGGGAGGTAGGGGGCAACACTGAATCAGAGCTATTTGATTGCTATAGGACAATATGAATGCTATTCACGGCCCTTCTCCAACCCTAGAAAGTCACCCTCCTCCTCTAACTCCCCAGTCACTAGCCTGGTCATTTCACATATTTTCCTCTGCCCCACACACCTTCTGCATGGCCTCCTCAGCCATGCGTTTATAGGCCTGAGTCAAGATGCGAGACTGATTACCCTTGGGGGCCAACCGATGGGCCTGTTCGTCCTTTAGGACCTGAAGTTCTGGGGGTAGGCGGCTGGTGAATGGGGTCCCCAAATCTGGGCCTGCTGGCTCAGTTATTACTGCAGGGAGGGAAGAGGAGGAAGACATGATCATGGGGGCCATAGTCCCTGTGTCCACTTGGCCAGGGACAACTTCAGTGTCTCCAGGCTTCTGTGGAAGAAGATCATTTTGAAAAAGTGACAGAGAGAGAGTGGGTTGTAAGGGAAGTGGCAAAGGTTAAGTGAAGGGCTAGGAAGAAAGTTCAAGCTGCTGGAGGAAAGACGACATGTTATATCTAGATGGTCGGGGAAGTGAAAGGGAAGTAGTTTAGAGGAAGTACTGGGAAGTCCAAGAGCCCTGGGAACCCTGATGACTCACTGGTGACATGACCAGCAATAAAGGGGTGATATAAGAGGTCTGGCCAGGACAGTCGCTGCCGTGGGTCTTTGGTGAGCAGTCCCTGCAGGAAGTTCTACAGAGAGAAAAAATATTCCATCAGTCATTCTTTCCCTTCCCTTAAGTCTCTCTCTATCAGCAGAACTAGCAAACCAAGAATCCCACATCCATCCTCACAGCAGATGAGCTGCTCTTGATCATGCCCTCTAAAAACTTTGTTCAGGTCCCATTTTCCTGGCTGAAATCATGGACAGACCACTATCTTACCTCCTAGGGAGAGGACCCCAAATCCTGTTCACAGACATTTTGTATTCCCAAATGTAAAAACAAATTTTAATGCACCAACTTTGTAAAGAAGGGAGAAAAAACACTGGGAGAAACAGATGTCACCTTCTTAATGATCTTCAGACAGCAAACATTCAAAGAACTCCCAAACTATTCACGCTGCCCTCCCTTTGACTATGGTTTGTTTGTGGCTGGGTAGGAACAGATGCATTTTTGGTTACAAGTAATTCACACGCACAAGTAATTGCATGAAGGTGTGTTTGGGAGTACTCAAAAACAGAAATCTTTCTGCAAGTCTTCAGAGGTGGAGAGATAGGGAGACAGTCTCTGAAAAGGATACACCTTATCCTTATCAGGAATCTTTGGGGAAATCCTCAATTGGGCCTCAAATAGGAACAGAGGTATTAGTAGATTATGACCACTGTTCTAAAACAAAGTGAGCTGTATAACTATGGATCTTGCTGGAGATACCTGAGTATCTGCCCATAGGGAGAATGAATATCCTATGTGCACCGCTTCCACTTAAGATTCCTTCATTTAGATTATTCTTGACAATTATTCGGGCCCCCTCAACTAAACAGGGGAGGAATTTGTTGTCCCTTTTCATCTCAGATAAAGCAAAGCTACAATAAGGTTTCACTCTGGGAGAAGACTGCATTTAAATTCTATTGAAAATCCATAATCTTGCCCTACATAAAAAATAAAAGAAGGTTGGGTGCAGTGGCTCATGCTTGTAATCCTAACTCTTTAGGAGTTGAGACAGGAAGATTGCTTGAGGCCAGGAGTTTGAGACAAGCCTGGGCAACACAGTGAGACCCTGTCTCTAAAAAATTTTAAAAAAAATTTAATTAATTAAAAAAGAAATAGAGGCCAGGAGCAGTGGCTCACGCCTGTAATCCCAGCACTTTGGGAGGCCAAGGTGGGCAGATCGCGAGGTTGGGAGATTGAGACCATCCTGGCTAACACGGTGAAACCCCGTCTCTACTAAAAATTACAAAAAATTAGCCAGGTGTGGTGGTGGGCACCTGTAGTCCCAGCTACTCAGGAGGCTGAGGCAGGAGAATGGTGTGAATCTGGAGGGCGGAGCTTGCAGTGAGCCGAGATCGTGCCACTGCACTCCAGCCTGGGTGACAGAGTAAGACTCCATCTCAAAGAAAAAAGAAATAGAAAAGAAGTCCAACTCCTCTTCTACTCTTCCCTCCTCCAGACTACTGACTTAGTCACAATGAGTAGGCACCACCTCTATCATCTGCCCCTAATCACTGAACCAGCTCCACCAGCTCTCACCATTCTGATAGCTTTGGACTGAAAGCTATGTAGATAACATCTAGAATGTGGACATAGCATCTGACAGGAAGTAAGTGGAATAGATGGCATGTAAGAGGACCAGTATCGATCTCTAGTATCTTCCAATTACCTTTTCATTGTGATAAAGCATAGCCTGGCTCAAACTGGAGTTACCATTCTCAGGTTTGGCAAACTTTAGAACACCCTCCCAGAATTAAGACCCTGCAGTAGAAAAGCAAGGCTGCCTGGCCCAGCTCTGGCATTGATATGGTTTGGATTTGTGTCCCCGTCCAAATCTCATGTCGAATTGTAATACCCAATGTTGGAGGAGGGGTCTGGTAGGAGGTGACTGGATCATGGGGGAGGACTTCCCCCTTGCTGTTCTCATGATAGTGAATGAATTTTCACGAGATCTGGCTGTTTAAAAGTGTGTAGCCCTGGCCGGGTGCAGTGGCTCAAGCCTATGATCCCAGCACTTTGGGAGGCCAAGGCAGGCGGATCACCTGAGGTTGGGAGTTCGAGACCAGCCTGACCAACATGGAGAAACCTCATCTCTACTAAAAATACAAAATTAGCCAGGCATGGTGGTGCATGCCTGTAATCCCAGCTACTCGGGAGGCTGAGGCAGAAGAATTGCTTGAACCTGGGAAGCAGAGGTTGCGGTCAGCCGAGATCGCGCCATTGCAGTCCAGCCTGGACAACAAAAGCAAAACTCTGTCTCAGGCTGGGAGCAGTGGCTCATGCCTGTAATCCCAGCACTTTGGGAGGCTGAGGCAGGCGAGTCACGAGGTCAGGAGATCAAGACCATGCTGGCTAACACGGTGAAACCCCGTCTCTACTAAAAAATACAAAAAAATTAGCCGGGTGTCGTGGTGGGCACCTGTAATCCCAGCTACTCAGGAGGCTGAGGCAGGAGAATGGTGTGAACCTGCAAGGCAGAGCTTGCAGTGAGCCAAGATCACGCCACTACACTCCAGCCTGGGTGACAGAGCGAGACTCTGTCTCAAAAAAAAAAAAAGAAAAAAAAACTGTGTCTCAAAAAAAAAAAAAAAGCGTGTAGCACCTTTCCTTTCTCTATCTTCCTCCTGGTCCACCACGTAAGACATGCCTGTTTCCCCTTTGCTTTCCGTCATGATTGTAAGTTTCCTGAGGCTTCCCCAGCCATCCTTCCTGTACAGGCTATGGAGCTGTGAGCCAATTAAACCTCTTTTCTTTATAAAATACCCAGTCTCAGGTGGTTCTGTATAGCAATGCGAGAACAGAATAACACAGCCATTAATTCAGTAACTGCAAAGTCCCGCCTCAGCTCTGGAAAAGGATTTGGAAAAAGGAACAGAGATAGAGGGAGACAGATTTCTAATGTAAAAGTCATCTCCCTTTCAATATTCATTACCTTAAAGCAGGGACTGATGGTTGAGGGCCAGCGCACAGGGTCCTTGAGAATGAGGCTGACCAGCTGAAAGATGCTTGTAGCATAGAAGGGAGGGGTGCCTACTGCCAGTTCATATAGTATGCAGCCAACAGACCAGAGGTCCGCTGTGTGGTCGTATGGTCGCTCCTCCACCAGCTCTGGAGACATATAGAGTGGTGTGCCTTTGATGGATGTCAGCACCATTGTATTGGTGCTCATAGCCCGGGCAAATCTGCAGAAGATAATGGGATGGAAATGGAAAGGGAAAAGATATTCTAAACCTGGTCACTACTACCTAACATAGAGATATCCCAAACCGGAGCAGAGGGAGCACCTTTGATTAGGTTCCAGAAGACCCAGCAGCAGTCCCAGCCTCTAGCTCCGGTTCTAAAATGAGGCCCAAATAAGTCAAGAGTATGGTCTAAGATTCCCTGTGGGGCCAGGCTCAGTGGCTCATGCCTGTAATCCCAGCACTTTGGGAGGCCGAGGTGGGCAGATCACCTGAGGTCAGGAGTTCGAGACCAGCCTGACCAACATGGAGAAACCCCATCTCTACTAAAAATATAAAATTAGCCAGGCATGGTGGCACATGCCTGTAATCCCAGCTACTCTGGAGGCTGAGGCAGTAGAATTGCTTGAATCCGGGAGGCAGAGGTTGTGGTGAGTGGAGATCGCACCATTGCACTTCAGCCTGGGTAACAAGAGTGAAACTCCATCTCAAAAAAAAAAAAAAAAAAAAAGATTCCGTGTGGAACTGGAAGCTTAGATGGATGCTCAGAATCTTTACCCAAAGTCACAGAGCTTGATGCCACCACCCTTGGCGAGGAGGATGTTCTGAGGCTTCATATCTCGGTGTAGGATGCGGTGGGAATGCAGATAGTACAGGGCTGACACCAACTGGGCAGCAATGGCCTGAACCTAGAAATTAAAGAGGTGGAAGAAAGAAAAAAAAGGTTAGAAACAGCAGCTGGCTGACAAGCCCAAAAATTTCTCTTAATATTACTGCTAATCTTTTCTTCCTTCCCTTTCTTGCAGAGCTTCACACTATTCTTTCTTAGTTATTGTTCCCCTTGTTTAATCACTCTTTCATTTGCTCATTCATTCATTCAAGAAAAATTTATTGAATCTCATTTACTATCTGCTTGACCATGGGCAAACTAAGGTGACAATCTATATAATAACACCATCTACATGGAGGATTATTGTGAGGACTGAGTTAAAGCATGCAAAATAATACTCAGAATGGTGCCTGGCACATAGTAAATATTCAATACACATTACCTGTTATTAAATAAGACAAAATGCCTTTTTTCAAGAAAAGTAGTCAGACAAACAAACAAGACAGATAAAACAAATATGGTGGTCGGGCGTGGTGGCTCACACCTGTAATACCAGCACTTTGGGAGGCTGAGGCGGGCAGATCACCTGAGGCCAGCAGTTCGAGACCAGCCTGGCCAGCATGGTGAAACCCCATCTCTACTAAAAGTACAAAATTAGCTAGGCATGGTGGCGCATGCTATAATCCTGGTTACTGGGGAGGCTGAGGCACGAGAATTGCTTGAACCTGGAAGGCGGAGTTTGCTGTGAGCCAAGATTGTGCCACTGCACTCCAGCCTGGGCAACAAAGCGAGACTCTGTCTCAAAAAATAAAATTCAATTAAAAATAAAATAATTTCAAAAATATGATTACTTACAAATAGTGGTGAGTGCTCAGAAGGAAAGAGAATGCTGCAATAATGAATCCCAGGGGGGGCCTACTTGCTTGGGTACAGACAAACGCCTAGAATAAATGTGGCTGGAGGATATGTGCAACAAAATCCCACTGCTAACCACTACGTCCTGGTGCCAAATCCTGACTCCCCACAACCTTTATTCTTACTGCCCTCTTTCTGGTACCATTACACTGGCCCTTCTTCCCTAAAGGTATCTAATAACAATAATGTTAATAATAGCTAACTATTCAAACACATTACATGACTTAACACTCTTCATCATAGACTTATCAGGCAAACATGATTATTATCTCCATTTTACAAATTAGGAAACTAAGCACAAAGAAATTAAAGTAACTTGTCCAATGAGACCCAGCTAGGAAGGAGCAGAGCCAAGCTTCCTGCTCAGATATTTTGACTCCAACGTTTACATAATTTACTCCCACACTACACTGCCTCTATATACCTAGACTCTTATATTCTTCTCAGAAGTCTTTGAAATGGAGACTCTCAGTGTCCTTAGCTTGCTCTACCAGTTCTCTAACCTGGAGAGAGGTCGGAGGTGGGGAGAAGTTGAAGGCAGAAAGCATACCTGGTCTTCAGGAAGTTTTCCGTCATCTTCTAGGATCTGAAAGAGCTCTCCCTCAGCATAGTCTGTCACCACCACCACCTACAGAGAGAAGGCAGTGGCACTGATGGCTCCAGATTCATGCATTCTGAGGTTGGGAAATTCCTGGAACCCTTGTGCTTGGGGAGACAGGGCCCAAAACTGTCAAAGCACACCTCTTTATCAGTTTCAAAGCTGTCAAGCATATGCACAATGTTGGGATGCCGCAGACCCCGCATTATTTCAATCTCTCGTTGCAAATTCCTCAGCTCCTTCTCTGAGCGCCCCAATTTTGGGATGAACTTCAGGGCCACGACCTGTCAGTGGTAAGGTGAAAAGTTAACGCCTAATCACACTACTGAAAAGATCTAGAATTTCAGCCTTAATCTCAGAGCTCCAGAAGTCAGATTTTAGAGTGTTTGAGTAACTCTTATTATTTCTGTTAGTCTCCCGCTTCCATTTTCTCCATGGTACCCTGGCCTTATCCAGGCTTTCCCCATTCCTCATCCCAGGAGGAAACAGCATCTGCAAAACATTTCCCCTTCTGGAAGAAGTGTTCTGATTTGACCAGCACTCAAGATGAGATTTAGGAGAAAGGAAAGGAAAAAAAAAATGAAGAGGAAATAATAGAGTTCAAGTGGTTTACCTCTTATTACATGGTGTGCTAGAGACTAATAATATTTGTTGTTTACTAACAGCCAGGCACTGTACTAAGTGATTTAATGTGAAAACATATTTAATCCTCAAACTCCATCAATCAGTTGCTGTTCTTATCCCCATTCTAGAGATAAGGAAATTGAGACATAGGGAAGTTAAGTAATTTGTCCATAATTCTAGGGCTAGAAAGCGGTGGAGATGGAATTTGCACCCAAATAATCCAACTTCAAAGCTTATACTCCATAAGAAGTATGAGGGAGTCAGTACCTTAGGAATACAAACTGGTATAAATACATTCCTTCTAGATCCATTTTCCACTGGAGTTGGGGGTACCAAATCCCACCCAAAAGGTATCCCTCTTTGTGCAACACCTGAGCACTGTATTTTCTTCGACCCTTGTACACCCTCCCAAAAGAGCCTTCTCCAATCATCTCCAACACGTGGTACTTTTCCATGACAGAGGTTTCAGGATCTCTTAGAAGGAAGAAAGTAGAGACGGTGAAGAGCTATAGATCCAGGGACAGTTCCACAACATCTGGGACGCCTAGTTGGGGCACGGGAAAGGAAAAATGTTAGCCACCTTGCCTTTTCCTCTTTTTCACAATAAAGCCTCAAAAAACATGGGAGGGTGGAATGCATGCAAAGATGATGCGCTCTTGGAACAAACAGAGCTTCTCTTTGTAGTTCCTCCCCACTTTCATCCTCCTGTCCCCAACCCGGCCCCATGCCCAACTAACACCTGGTTCCCCTTCTCCCTCACCCAGCCTGGCTCACTCGACCCTACTCTTTCAACCTAGCCTCGCCCAACCAACCCTGCTCCTTTGAGTCTCCCCCAAGTTCCTGCCACTCCCAGACTCCTCAGCACCCGCTCTCAGACCCCCTGGCCCGTGCGCTTCGCAGGCCAGAGCCCCTCTCTCACCCCCAGCCTAGGAGCTCCAAGCTCCTCAGGCCAAGGGACGGATTCCCTGGCGTTTAGCCCCATCTCTTCTGGCTGCCTGCATACGTTGCCTGACTTATAATTCTTCTCCACCCGCCTCTCCCTCCGGTCTCTTTCGGCTCCCTTTCTTACAATTTTACTCGCTAGAACTGGTGAGAAGTTCAGAGGACAAAGGCGCTCAGAGGTGTGGAATGGACGGCGGACCACACATGGGCACTTCCTGGGACACATCCGAACTGCCTCAGGGCCATCAGGCCCGGCTAAGGACCCGGAGTCTGCGGTTGCCTAGAAACGACGCTAGCTGCCCACCCCTCTTAGTTTTCCGCCTCCGACTTCCCTAAGGGCATTTCCGGTTCCGGCTGCGGGCCGGTGAAGATATGGCGGCGTCTGCGTCTGCAGCTGCAGGGGAGGAGGACTGGTAACTTTGGGGGCATGGGCTTTGGCTGACAGCCTGGATCTAGTCCAGAGGCCTAGCAGCTGTCGCAGACGGTCCGTACGGCGGGCGTGTGGGGTGGAGCGAGGGATGAGGGATGGCAGAGATGCTGACATCTCTGGGAAAGCTGGACTGGGGAACGGGAGGGTGGAGGGGCGCTGATCTGAGTGAGAGGAGAACGGGTCGGCGCCCGCCAGGCCAGTTCAGGCCTCGCCGCATCCGGTTCGATCCCTTTTCCTCCAGCTTCACGCCATCCCTTTCTCTCCTCCTCAAATGAATTTTCTCAGGGGCTTTGGGGGATGCCTGCCCATCAGACCTCCCCATCTCCCTTTCTCCTCTCAGAACCAGTGCCCTCCAGTTCCGGCCCCCTTTCCCCTTGGATCAGCCTTTTTCCGCCGACGCTTTCCTCAGCCTTCTCTCTCTCACACAGCACTAGTGAGGACTATTGTATGAATAAAGCTTTACACTTCATATAAAGTCCCTCTAGTCCTTCTCTCAAGCATTCTTAACCAAAGACTAGAACATGGAAGGACTCTGGGATTTGGAAGTAGGATCAATGTGGGTTAACTCCACATTTTATTAGCTGTGTGATGCTGAACAGGCCATCTAGCTTCTGTGAGTCAGTGTCCTCAGCTGTAAAAAAAAAAAGTGGGTGTGGCATTTACCTCAGAATAGTTGAGAGGATCACGACGGATTTGTAATATACTTAAGTCTGTTTTTTGTTTTGTTTTGTTTTGTTTTTTGAGACAGAGTCTCACTCTCGCCCACGCTGGAGTGCGGTGGTGCGATTACGGCTCACTGCAGCCTCGACCTCCCCAGGCTCAGGTGATCCTTCTGCCTCAGCCTTCCGAGTAGCTGAGACTACAGGTGTGTGCCACCATGCCTGGCTAATTTTTGTATTTTTTGTAGAGACGGAGTTTTGCCATGTTGGCCAGACTGGTCTTGAACCCCTGGGTTCAAGTGATCCTCCCACCTCAGCCTCCCAAGGTGCTGGAATTACAGGCGTGAGCCACCACACCCGGCCTCCTTTTCATTAATAACTGAGGTGCAGGCACCTGGGAAGACTAGATGAGTCCCAAAGAAGTAAAGTGATTTGCCAAAAGATAGAAAATTATGAATAGAAATCCATATCTGTCTGACTCCACACCTTAGATTCTTTGTACTAGGACATTCTTCAGTCCCCACTCCCCCAATTTTTTTTTTTTTTTTTTTTTTTTTTGAGACGGAGTCTTGCTCTGTCGCCCAGGCTGGAGTGCAGTGGCGCAATCTCGGTTCACTGCAAGCTCCGCCTCCCGGGTTCATGCCATTCTCCTGCCTCAGCCTCCCGAGTAGCTGGGACTACAGGCGCCCGCCACCACACCCAGCTAATTTTTTGTGATTTTTAGTAGAGACGGGGTTTCACCCTGTTAGCCAGGATGGTCTCTATCTCCTGACTTCATGATCCACCCGCCTCAGCCTCCCAAAGTGCTGGGATTACAGGCCTGAGCCACCGCGCCCGGCCCCCCTCCCCCATTTTGTTGTCACCACCTTACCACCATCCCATCCAGGACCCATATAACTAGGGTGGGCGAAGTATTGAAGGGCCACTTGACTGAGGCTACACCTCAATGTTACATTGGTTCAGGGAGCCCAGCTAGTACTGGCCGTTATTAAGAGTATCTAGACTACTGGTTTTCAAAGTGTTCAGGGAAACTTCTTTTTTTTTTTTTTTTTTAAGAGACAGAGTCTTACTTTGTCACCCAGGCTGGAGTACAGTGGCAAGATCATGGCTCACTACAGCCTCGACCTCCTGGGCTCCCGTGATTCTTCTGCCTCAGTCTCCCAAGTAGCTGGGACCACCGTGTCCAGTTAATTTTTTATTTTTTGTAGAGATAGTGTCTCGCTTTGTTGCCCAGGCTGGTCTCGAACTCCTGGCCTCAAGTGATCCTCCCACCTCAGCCTCCCAAAGCGCTGGGATAACTTACAGTTTACCTGTTCAGGGGAACTTTTAAGATTCAGGGGAGACACCTTGAGCCATGGAGACAGCAACAATGAGTGCAGCAGCCTGTAGTACTGTGAGACTCCCACTCCCATGTCAGCCAGAACTACACTGTTATCTGTGAGGTGTGAAGCTTTATATTTTATATTTTGAAGTTTCTGCCTAAGACTTAACAACACTGACATAGGTCGTGCTGGGGCAGCCTTACTCTTAGAATGAAGAGGGAGCAGTGTGAGAAAGCAAAGTGTGCATTTTTCCATGTATCACTTGGTAGAGCTGTAGACACAAACTGATCACTCAGCTTCAATTTCATTACAACTGCTGTTTCTATGCTTAAGTATGTGTGTCCCTTGATTTACATCAGAACCATGGATCCTAACCTCAACAGGCTGATCTAGATCAACCAGACAGCCAGGTCATAAATACATCCAGAGTACTCTATTACCTCCTTCCTTCCCTCTTTCCTTCTAAGGGAGAAGGTTATATACAGACAGGAAAAAAAGAGGACGTAGACTAGCTACGATAGCCCAGATACTATTAGGTACTTTATGTAAACAAATCACCTTTTATCCTCACAATAACCCTAGAGAGTAGGTGTTATTATCTATATGTGACAGACAGGATAACTTAAGCTTACAGAGAGGTCACGTCCCAGATTGCATAGCTTGTAAGTGATTGGTACCTGTTAACTAACTCCGAGGCTGCTGGCTCTTCCATTACAACACAGCCTTTATACCACCCTAAATATGTTGTGTTGAGGTTGCTATCTCCTTTAAGAAGGCTTAGGGTGACTGGTGTTAAAACTGTATGTAGACAGTAGCCAAGGCACTGGGATCCACACTGGACAGTGACGTAGGGAAAGGTTGGAGTAATATTGGTAACGTTAATGCTAATGAATGAGTGCCATATCTCTAGACCAGAGATTCAGCCACTAAGGGGAATGAAACTTAAACAGGGAGTCAGGAAACCTGGCTCTGGGCCTAGTTCTACCTATGTTAAGCCTTGGTTAGTCATTTTACTTCTCTAGAATCCACTTCTTCATCTGTTGGCAGAAATGATGCCTAAAATTCTGATTTCCATGCCTTCTATTTGGCCAGTTGACAACTTAAGGTAACATATTCCTTGTTTTTAAGGAGTTTAGCAGGAGAATGCATTCTGGTAGATTGCCATTTTTCTACAAAGCCTGCCTTTATTGGCCTTAGCAGGCTTCCACAGGGAGAGCTGTAATGGTAAGTTAGTCTACTCCTGTCTCTCTAGGGTCCTTCCCTCTGAAGTTGAAGTATTGGAGTCCATCTATCTAGATGAACTACAGGTGATTAAAGGAAATGGCAGGTATGTATTCAACCAGTGGTGGGCAGGAGTCCCCCTAGTAATGAGGAGAGGTTCTATGCTGAATTTGGGTCTTAAGACATTGTGAGCCTTGATTCAGAGATAATATTTCTCTTGTGTAGACAAAAGCTATTCCTTTAATCCTACCCCAAAAGAAAGAGTCCAATGTGTACTTCCTTTGCCCACTTCACTGTCTCAGCCCCATCCTCCCCAGCCCCCAAGCCCCTACCCAGTCACATCTGCGTGTCCACTTGATCCACCTGCAGAACTTCACCATGGGAGATCTACATCACTTTGCATCCTGCCACTGCAGAGGACCAGGATTCACAGTATGTCTGCTTCACTCTGGTGCTTCAGGTCCCAGCAGAGGTGAAGCCCCTACTGTGTGGCAGCAAAGGGAGGAAGGGGAGAGTCCCTGGGGTGGACCGCTTCAGCAGTAACTTGTTATTTGCCCCCACTAGTATCCCCATGAGGTGCCACAGATCTCTATCCGAAATCCCCGAGGACTTTCAGATGAACAGATCCACACGTAAGTTGAACCTGTCAGAACAGGGAAAACTCAGCTACAGCTTTGCCCGGTGACAGAAATGGGCAGGTCTAATATTTGGTTTGCCCTCTTCCTCCAGGATCTTACAGGTGCTGGGCCACGTGGCCAAGGCTGGGCTGGGCACTGCCATGCTGTATGAACTCATTGAGGTAAGAGGTGCGCTAGTCTGAGATATGTTCTTTCCTTCAAGCTAGAGCAGTTTCTAGCTGTAAAAGGGAAACCATGGGCCTAGAATCTTAAACGGATCTGGAGTCATTAGGTAAGGCCTAAATTAATCCAGAGAAATGAGACTCTTCTATTTGAAAAACTTCCCAAAAGACAGTTCAGTAGCTTCTCCAAGTTGCCTATGCCAGCATCTTGACAGAAAATGACTTTTCCTCTTCACCTTGAATTTTTCTTGCATCAGTTTCAGTATATGTCTTGTTCTCTTGGCACTGGCAACTGAAAGTGGCAAAAGATACGCATCTTGCTTGGGGGCGTCTTAGCCATAAATGAACATTTGAAGGCTAGACTGCCATTGGACCTGACTAGAAAAAGTCATGGTTGGCCAGGCACGGTGGCGGGCATTTGTAATCCCAGTTACTTGGGAGGCTGAGGAAGGAGAATCGCTTGAACCCGGGAGGCGGAGATTGCAGGGAGCCAAGATCATGCACTGCACTCCAGCCTGGGCAACAGAGTGAGACTCCATCTCAAAAAAAAAAAAAAGAAAAAGTCATGGTTCCTTTACTGAAAGAGCTTATACACTGCTTGATGAAACAACCCACATGAAGCAACACCTGAAGCTCCAATATACACAGAAAACTTTTATTGTTTGAGATTAAAAATATAAAATTAAGTACAGTTTTATTTTCCCCTAGTTTGTTTATTTATTAATTTTAATTTTTTTTTTTTTTTTGAGACAGTCTTAGTCTGTCACCCAGGCTGGAGTGCAGTGGTGTGATCTCAGCTCACTGCAACCTCCGCCTCCCAGGTTCAAGTGATTCTCCTGCCTCAGCCTCCCAGATAGCTAGGATCACAGGCATGTGCCACCACACCCAGCTAATTTTATATTTTTAGTAGAGATGGGGTTTCTCCATGTTGGCCAGGCTGGTCTTGAACTCCTGACCTCAGGTTATCCACCTGCCTCAGCCTCCCAAAGTGCTGGGATTATAGGCATGAGCCACCACGCCCAGCCTCTCTTAGTTTAAATTTTTAAGAAAAATGTTCAGAATAGAATGAAGGTGGGTGGCTGAGAGTCAAAGAGAGTGGGTTTGATAGGCCACCGTAGCAGTCCTAGGTCAGGCCTCCACAATGCAGCCTTGGACTTTGTGGAATTCCAGAGTACACTATTAGCTATTCAAATAACAATTCAAATGCATAGTTCACAGCCCAACTCAATGCCTTGTGAATTCTCTGTCCATTTGGGTTGTCCATGCCTTGTCATGCTTTCTGAAAGCTGACTTAGAACAAACACATTGCCCCATGGGGGAGTGATATTGAAGGGGGCTAATCAAGAAAGGCCTCCCAGAAGATAAATTTTAATTGAACATTTTTTTTCTCAAGGTGTATTATTTTCATCTCCAAGATATATTAAAAGTGACTTAATGAAAGGAAAAACAATTAGGTTGAATTTTGAAACCAGGAAGATCAAATTTTGGGGGAGGGGCAGAGATGTGGAGAAGGATTGATTCCCAGCAGAGGGAGCGTCACCAAGCCAGAAATGCATAAACACAAGGTAACAAACTGGCCTGCTAGGAGCCAAGTCTAGCCAGTCACTCCTAGGAGTAGTAGACAGGCCTTGCTCACCGTTCTTCCCCCTACCCCCGTTTAATCAGTGTCTTCTCTCCTCAGAAAGGGAAGGAAATTCTCACAGATAACAACATCCCTCATGGCCAGTGTGTCATCTGCCTCTATGGTTTCCAGGTGGGTTTCTCTCTTGGGACCTGGCATTCTGTTTGGGACCAGCAGATGAGGGCTGTGAGAGAGCTCTGACTTAGTGCCCTACATCTGCCTTCCCTCTAGGAGAAGGAGGCCTTTACCAAAACACCCTGTTACCACTACTTCCACTGCCACTGCCTTGCTCGGTACATCCAGCACATGGAGCAAGAGCTGAAGGCACAAGGACAGGAGCAGGAACAGGAACGGCAGCATGCTACAACCAAACAGGTAGACCTCACTGCACCTGCACACTCATCTGACACCCTTAGGCACAGCCTTTCACAAACTTTTCCATCTCTCCACTCCAGTGGCTCTTCACTTTTTCAGGGTCATAGATACCCTTGAGATTAATGAACTCTTACCTCTGTCCAGAATAAAGGGCATCCTTTTTTTTTTTTTTTGAGATGGAGTCTCACTCTGCCACCCAGGCTGGAGTGCAGTAGCACAATCTTGGCTCACTGCAACCTCCGCCTCCTGGGTTCAAGCAATCCTTCTGCCTCAGCCTCCCGAGTAGCTGGGATTATAGGTGCGAGCCACCACGCCCAGCTGATTTTTGTATTTTCAGTAGAGACGGGGTTTCACCATGTTGGCCAGGCTGGTCTCAAACTCATGACCTCAAGTGATCCCGCCCGCCTCGGCCTCCCAAAGTGCTGGGATTACAGGCGCGAGCCACCGTGCCTGGCCAGGGCATCCTTATATACACTTACATATTGCATGCAGTTTCGGGGGGTTCCCAGATCTCTAGTTAGACAACCCGTGCTCTGTCCCAACTCACTGCTGAACCGGTGTCCCTGTGCCCTTTAGTCCCAGCCCTCTGCAGATTAGGTTGGCTGATGGGTCAGCACCAGGGGGCATCCTGGGCTGTGACACAGGCATATGATTTTTCTCTTTTTTAGAAGGCAGTCGGTGTGCAGTGTCCAGTGTGCAGAGAGCCCCTCGTGTATGATCTTGCCTCACTGAAAGCAGCCCCTGAACCCCAACAGCCCATGGTAAGGAGACTTTTTTCCAATCTGAGCCAGGAGTAATGGTATTTTCTAAAGAGTAAGGAATGGCATCTTGTCTGTGTCAAATGGGATCTCTGAAATTGGGCTTGAACTGCCTAGGACCTCTCTGCAAAGCCACATCCCCCACTGGCGGGAGCCTAAGACTCTGGGAGCCCAGACCTGAGGGGCAAAACCAGTGCAGATCTCCTGAGGCAGCCTGGGAGGAGTAGAGGTTTGAGTCAGCCTTCTGCTGTTCATTATTTCCTCTCTGCCATTCTTCCTTCCAGGAGCTGTACCAGCCCAGTGCAGAGAGCTTGCGCCAGCAAGAAGAACGCAAGCGGCTCTACCAGAGGCAGCAGGAGCGGGGGGGAATCATTGACCTTGAGGCTGAGCGAAACCGATACTTCATCAGCCTTCAGCAGGTGAGGGAAGGGCTTCCCAGTTGTCCTGTAATGCCACCAACCTTTCTACAAACCCCAATCAGCCATGGCCCCAGAGTGAGCTTTGTTCTAACCAGGAAGATGATAGGCTGATCGTGGTCAGCCCAGATAGTAGGAGAGGGGCCTGTAGTTCCCCACCTTGAGGAACTGCATCTCCCTCACTGCATCTTGTCACTTATTTCTAGCCTCCTGCCCCTGCGGAACCTGAGTCAGCTGTAGATGTCTCCAAAGGATCCCAACCACCCAGCACCCTTGCAGCAGAACTATCCACCTCACCAGCCGTCCAATCCACTTTGCCACCTCCTCTGCCTGTGGCGACCCAGCACATATGTGAGAAGATTCCAGGGACCAGGTCAAATCAGCAAAGGTTGGGCGAAACCCAGAAAGCTATGCTAGATCCCCCCAAGCCCAGTCGAGGTCCCTGGCGACAGCCCGAACGGAGGCACCCAAAGGGAGGGGAGTGCCACGCCCCTAAAGGTACCCGTGACACCCAGGAACTGCCACCTCCTGAGGGGCCCCTCAAGGAGCCCATGGACCTAAAGCCAGAACCCCATAGCCAAGGAGTTGAAGGTCCTCCACAAGAGAAGGGGCCTGGCAGCTGGCAGGGGCCCCCACCCCGCAGGACTCGGGACTGTGTTCGCTGGGAGCGCTCTAAAGGCCGGACACCCGGTTCTTCCTACCCTCGCCTGCCTCGGGGCCAGGGAGCATACCGGCCTGGTACTCGGAGGGAGTCCCTGGGCCTGGAATCTAAGGATGGTTCCTAGCAGGACTTGGTGGGGGGAACAGGGAATTGGGGATGGGAGGGAGGCAATAAAGATATTTGGCCTTCTTTGGCTTTCTTTGCTTAGCAGCGCCTAGCCTGTGAGGAATGGCTCTTTTTCTCAATTCCTAATAAGATTGGGGTGTGGCAGAGCAGCCCCCAACTTTGCTCTGAAGTCTGTTCTCCGAAGAGCTGGGTAAAGAGGGTCTGACATCTCATCAGCTAGTATAGTGAGTTTCAGGGAAAACTAGTGGGATGTCAGCATGTAAGCAGAGTCCTTAGGACCCACCGTTAACAACTCATTGTGTACACACCCATGCCTGTCCATTATTTATATACATAGAATGCCTTTAGGTAGAGGAATTTAGTTTCCTGTTTTGTGTCTCATCTCTTTATCTTAGGCTATGCCCCATCATTTGTATATGTGGTTGCCTGACTGACCCCTGTAGGCACCTGTGATTGCAGCCCGTCTTACTCAAGTACCAATCCAGTGATGAAGGGAGATGAGAGAGCAGAGTAGTGTGGCAGATGTTTATTGAGCTAGAGGAGGAGAGCTGAGCTGAGCCCAGCCTGATCACCTCCTCAGAGACTCAGCATTGTGAATTGCCCCTACAGGGTCATTTTTATACAGCATGAAGTAGCCCTGCACCTGGGCAGGACTGATCTGGTTTGTAGCTCGAAGGACATGTTCTGCAAAGTTCTCAGCTAAGGAAGGTGCCTGCCCTGGATAGAACCTCTGGAACATCTGGGTCAGCTGCCAGTGTGAGCAGTAGCCCACGTACTCCTTCAGGTCCACTCGCCCCGGGCGTATCAGGGCAGGGTCCAGCCTGAGAGAAGACAGGGAAAGCAGGTCACACTAGCACCCAACAGAGATGGCCCCTCGACCTCCTGTTCCTCCCAAGGCACTAGGGGAGGAGGTGGGCTCTTGCCTAAGTCTCAGGATGCCTGGCTCCTTCCTACCTGTCAACGTGGTTGGTGGTCATGAACACGATGCGGGCCTCGGTGGAAGCCACACCATCCAAGGCATTGAGCAGTCCACTGAAGGTGAGGCGACCTAGGCCTTGGTACTTTACTGGGTCTGGAGGAAGGCAAAGATAAGGAAGCATGAGTAGTCATAGCCCAGCATAAAATTAGCATGCCCCACTATGTTCCCCTACTTATCCATGTGTCTTGTGGGCTCTTGTCACTAACCCAGGCATCTTCCACCAGCCCTCTGGATTTCTGCTTTCTTCCCCTGTTCCACAGTTACCCACTCCACTTCCTCCAGAACCCCTCACTTACTCTCCACAGCCAAGTCTCGACTGAGAAAAGCAGCATCCACATCCTCCAGGAGTACCAGGCTCTGCTGCGGGGCCACGCTCAGCAGGTGGTTGAGTCGGTCATCAGAGAGGCTGGAGTCCGTGAGGCTCAGCAGGCAGATGCTGTGCTCCAGTTCCCCAGCCAGGGCTGTGCTATGGAGCATGGGATGGCAGGAGGTAGCAGGCAACCTGGAAATGCTTCCTCAGGCCCAGCTACTCTCCTCACCGCCTGGGGACATGTGTCTCAGAGGCCTGACTTCTACCTCACACCCTGATGTTCCACACGTTTCATGTTTATCCTGGTCCCCGATCCCCAGATTCATTTCCCCTTCCAACCCTATCAGCCTAGTGTTTCCACAAAGGCTTCGTTTTGCCAAGTTGAGAGAAATTTTGAATACTCACATAAAACTGCTCTTTCCGCAACCAGGGGGCCCATAAAGCAGGTAGCCACGTCTGTAAGGAATGCCTAGGGATAGAGCCAGGATGATCATGTCTTTTGCCCCGGATATCTACGTTCATTCCCAGCCCTGCCCCCTGGAAGCCTGATAACCTTGGTACGGAAATAAATCATTCTCATACACAACTTTTCATTCCTCTTAATCTCTGGGAATTGGACTAGAGCTTTATATCACCCCATCTGGCTGGAGACCAACCTGTCCCTTCTAAAAATGTCAAAAACAGCACAGCCAAGACCCCAGCTGCTTCTCACCTCTGTCAGTGTACCACTTGGGGTTATCGATGAATTCCTGGACGTCTCTGACAATTCGGTCAGCCAGACCCTGTTGTAGAACCACAGAATTCAGTGGTCGCCGGCGGCGTGGATAGCCAAAGGGACGCCATTCAGAGCCCACAGCTGTGTACATCACGGTCTTCCCTTCCTCCTGCTGCAAGGCTAGCTCTCGAGCTGGGAAGGAGAAGATGAGATAAAGCCAATAATTCTCTTCACCATGGCTGATTCTTCAATTAGGTGGAGCTGTGCCAAACAGCTTCCTTCTGGCCCCCTGTTCCCATGGGCTCACCCCGGCCTGCTTATTCCACTTCTCCAAACTGCTCATCTGATGTCAAATGTCCCCATCCCTGCAATGTCCCTAGAAAGCCTGCCTGTGCCATCCCACACCTTCCTCCAGGATGTTGAAGAAAACCTTTCGGTCAGTGCCCAGGGCCGTGAAGGTGACAGATTCCCAAGGAGTCCCCGTCTGCAAGTCTATCATCTGCATCTCTCGACTTCGTTCTACCCGAATCCATTTCCCCCGATACCTGAATAAGAACGATCAAAACTGAGTGAGTGAATGGGTCAAACCCAGCTCCCATCATTCTTTTCTACTCTCACAGCCCTCCCTAGCTCCCCACCTTACCAGATAAAATGGTTTCCAGGGCTGGGGACAAATTCAAACTTAGTGGAAATGCGGCCACTCTCATGCTGAAGGTACGAAGTCTCGACACTGAGGTGCTGAGTACGGGTACTGTGGCGGGTGAGCCAGCTAAGCAACCAGGCATAGCTCCTGTCTCGAGCAGGGACTTCCAGTGTGATCATGTAATGGCGCCGGAATGCCACCAGGCCCAGTTGGACACCCTTCCGGGCCAGGGCCAGGGCTGTGCCCACACCCACCAGCCCAAATCCAGCCCCAAAGTAGGGATTGTCCTTCAGAGCCAGAATAAAGTCTGAAAGTGGCATCTTGAAAGGGAAACACCAAACCTTACAGGCCCTGGGGTGTTACGAAAACCTAGGGGTGGGGAACAGTGGAGATGGGACAAAGCACAGATTAGAAATTGGACCTCCCCAGCCCTGGCCACAGGTCAGCATTACTGTGTGGGTCAATACCCTCCTTTTGTGGGGTAAGGGTGGTATTGGAATGCAAGGGTGGAGGCTCCAGGTCCCTCATCCCATTTTGTCCTTCATTAGTCTACTCATACCTGTTTCCTACCAGAGGACCATGTCTGGAGATGCCTTAAACCAAAAAGAGCTATATAAACAGGCTTCACATCAGGGTAATGGATGGACAGGATTTTTGTGGTCCCTGGGACCAGCTATGATAAAAAGGGGTCCATTGGCTGCAGTCAGCAAGGGAGAAGCGTCCGTTGACTTGTCAGTAACCCTATGTCTTGTTATGAGTAATGTCCTTCAAATATCCTCCCCCTTACGTCCCCAATATTTAACGTCTTGTTTAGACCTTTATTACCTCCCACCTAAACTGTCTTTAAAATCGTAGTTCTTGAAATGGCATTTTAATAGGTCTTCACCTCCTGCTTCACGGAACATCTACACAAGGGTCCAGATCTTTCATCATAGGGATCAGCTCCAATACCATATCTCTCTCTGCTCCAGCACCTTCAATGGCTGGCTCCCAGCAGACCCCTGAATTGGGTATAAACTCAGCCTGGTACTCAAGGCTCTCTACAATACGGCGCCCACCTACCTTTCATGGATTAGCTCCTAACACTACCTGTTTAGCAAATATGCAAATACGCAACAAATATGTTCAACAAGTAAGCAACCTCCCAACTCCTTGCTCATGCAGTGCTCTTGGCTCGGAATGCCCGTTCTTTTCTCCCTCATTCTCCCCAAATGAAAATCTGCCCATCTGCTACTTTCTCCACGGATCGTCACATCGTAGACAATAAGATCCTGAGGGACAAGAGCAAAGTTGTTTCTAGTACACCTCTCCTCCAACCCCGAACCCCGGCCACTTTGCCCTGCGCCTGGCATGCAGGGAGGTGAGCTGACAGCAGTGACCTCGGCTGAGCCTCAGAACTGGGATCCAGAATTCCAAAACACCTATGCATGGAAGGCCACAGACAAAGCTCTCCCGTCCCCGGCCCCTCCGCGACACCCAGGAACCCCCTCCTGAACCTCGCCCACACCCCAGCTCGCGCCTCCAGCCACATGGTTTGGGGTAACCCGTCACTCAGCCCTCTCACCGCCGTGACTCTCTGGCCCTCCGTCTCGATGGTTTCACCGCGCCTGCACCTTGGGGAAGCTGCGTTCGGCCCCGCCCCGGGTCCTTTCATCTACTTCCCGCCACACCCACAGAGAAGCCCACGCCACTCTACCCCAGAGCTCTCGATGGTGCTTCTCCGGCTTCAGGGCTGGAGTGGGGGTGGAGGGCGGGAAAAACCACAGAGACAAAACATAGAGTACCCCGGCAGCCGGCAAGAGGAAGAGAGAGTGGCTTCCACATCCCCAATATCCTAGAGGCGGCTGAGCCGGAGGCGGTCGCACAAAGCGGGCCCCGGGGGCCGTTCCAGCCGCGGCCGACCATAGAGATGCGGCTCCCGCCGGCTCTGGGTCTGGAGGTGAGTGAGCGGCTGCGGGGCGGAACTGGGAAGGGAATGCGGGTGGAGCGAGCTGGAGGCAAAGTTTTTCGAGCCCCGGGATCAGGGTGGGCCTGGGCGCTGGGAACTCTCGGAAGGAGGTACTGAAGGGAGCACCCAGACGAGCTGGGCCCCGGCGCTGCAGTCGCGTCACGGTTCTGGACCCCGCCCGGGTACCTGCTGCTCTCAGGACAAAATCATGACGATGCTCCATCCCAAGCCTTCCAGGTTACAAACCGCCTTTCCAGTTCGCTGGCTCTTATGATCCAGCTCCTGCCCGACGATGTGGACACTGTCATCACCTCCATTTTACAGATAGGAAAGCTGAGGCCCAGAGAAGCGAAGCGACTGTGTCTGTCCAAGACCACGCGGTGAGTCAGAGCCAGAGGCAGGTGGGAACCTGGGTCGCTAGGCCGGGGCCCGTTGTTTCTCCAGGCCTTCTCTCTGCCTTAGTCTGTCCTTTCTCTTCCTCAGCCCTCCTGCCCGGAAGATAAGCGTATTTCTTCTCTGGTGCCCACCTGTCTCCTACCTCACCCTGCCCTCCCGCAGGTGAAGGTTCTTAATCTTGACGGCTCAGCGTCCTCCTTGGCTCCCCCCGGAGGCCATGTATGGTCAAGCTTGAAGATTCCCCAGAACAGCGATAATATTCAGTAAGTGGAGGCTGCAGTTTCCAGAGAATCCCTCTGACCACGGGAGTGCACTTTCCAGCCACCTTGTGAATCCCTGTGATCTGTTGTTTTGAGTCCATGGGATTCTGGAAATAGGGACTATCAGATTGCAGGATCTTGGTTTTTGTTTGTTTTTTTTTTGAGACGGAGTTTCGCTCTTGTTGCCCAAGCTGGGGTGCAATGGTGCGATCTCGGCTCACTGCAACCTCCGCCTCCCGGGTTCCAGCGATTCTCCTGCCTCAGCCTCCCGAGTAGCTGGGATTACAGGCGTGTGCCACCACACCCTGCTGATTTTTTGTATTTTTAGTAGAAACAGGGTTTCACAATGTTCGCCAGGCTGGTCTCGAACTTCTGACCTCAGGTGATCGGCCCGCCTTGGCCTCCCAAAGTGCTGGGATTACAGGCCTGAGCCACCGCGCCCGGCCTGGTTTCTTCTTCTTTTTTTCTTTTTGCATCTTGTCTGTGACTCAATTTCATGAAGTGATTCCCATCATTCTTATTAATTACTAATTATTCAGCTTAAACTCATTTTAGCCATGTATAACAGGGTATGCAATTCAATTGTCATTCATTCCTCAGTTATGTTCCCATATTTAGTTTGAGGCCATAGTCAGTTAATGAGTTTGAAATTTCTCCAAATGTGTTACGTTATAGGTGAGGAACCACTGGTTTTGTACAAGATACCTAGCTTTACTCCAATGCAGCTCCATATCTGTGGTTCTTCACTGGAATCTTCGATTGTGGGTGATTTGTGTTCGTTGAAGTGATAATGTCAGTATCACAAAGTAATATCATTGAAGTGATAATGTCAACAAATTACTAAAAAAGCTATACATCTAGGGAGAGAGACTGACAGGTAAACAACAGTGCAGTGTGACCTCGTTTCTGATAGGGCTGTGTACAGAGTGCCCTTAGGACGCCAGAAGAGAGAAGATAAGAGTTTCGGGAAGCCAGGCCCGGCGCGGTGCCTCACGCCTGTAATCCCAGCACTTTGGGAGGCCGAGGCAGGTGGATCACCTGAGTTCTGGAGTTCAAGACCAGCCCAACCAACATGGAGAAACCCCATCTCTACTAAAAATACAAAATAGTAGCCAGGCGTGGTGGTACATGCCTGTAATCCCAGCTACTCAGGAGGCTGAGGCAGGAGAATCGCTTGAACCCAGGAGGCAGAGGTTGTAGTGAGCTGAGATCGTGCCACTGCCCTCCAGCCTAGGTGACAGACTAAGACTGTCTCAAAAAAAAGAATGTCAGGAGGCCTTCATGGTGGAAGTGACATTTGTGCAGCTTCTTCAAGGATAGTTAATTGGTTAGCCAGATAAGAGAGAGAGATTGAGAAGGGGAAAAGGCATATCAAGCCAAGAGACGCAAAAGGCTGTGAGGGTATGAAAGCAAAAGAGAATGTGGTGGGTCTGGAGAATGGCACATCATCTGGTTCAGAGATCTGCTGAGGGGAGAAGTGGGAGATGAGTCAGGGGAGGTCAGCAGGAGCCAGATGATGAAGGAAGGGCCTTCCTTATAATCCATGCTGAGGAATAGTGAGATTATCAAAGGTTAAGAGGGAAAGGGACCAGGCAAGGTGGCTCACGCCTATAATCCCAGCACTTTGGGAGGCCAAAACGGGCAGATCACCCAAGGTCAGAAGTTCGAGACCAGCCTGGCCAACATGGTGAAACTCCATCGCTGTTAAAAATACAAAATTTACCTGGGCGTGTGTGGCACATGCCTGTAGTCCAGCTATTGGGGAGGCTGAGACAGGAGAATTGCTTGAACCCAGGAGGCGGAGGTTGCAGTGAGCCAAGATCACGCCACTGCACTCCAGCCTGGGTGACAGAGCGAGACTCTGTCTCAAAAAAAAAAAAAAAAAAGGACTTCTGAGATATTTGGGCCCCACCTAATTTTGTTGCAGATAAGAAATCTGAGACCCAAATTGCTTAATGACTTGGCTAAGGGCACTTAGCTAGCAGAAGACAACCTGCAGTCATTAATATATTGGCCAATACTTGTTGGCTGTCTCCTAATATTCTGTTATCATTTTTATACTTTTTGTTCTGAACATTATCATAAAAGAAAGCCTCTATTTAGTCTCATATGGTATATATGGCATATTGCCATGCAAGAAAATGCCTAAGTGGGTGGGCACTGGGCTGTGTACCCACGCCAGCCAGGAAGAAAGTAAGAACTCTAACCTTACTTTGTTTTTCTTCTGGTTGGCTTGTCAGCATTTAAGAAGCCAAAACACACAAGTCGGTGGTGATGACAGACCCCCTTTTGGACTCACAGCCAGCCAGTAGCACCGGGGAGATGGATGGACTGTGCCCTGAGCTATTGCTGATCCCCCCGCCTCTCTCTAACCGTGGAATCCTGGGGCCTGTCCAGAGCCCCTGTCCTTCCCGGGACCCTGCACCTATACCTACTGAGCCAGGCTGCCTGCTGGTAGAGGCCACAGCAACTGAAGAGGGACCAGGGAACATGGAGATCATTGTGGAGACAGTAGCTGGAACCCTGACCCCAGGTGCTCCTGGAGAGACCCCAGGTACAAACACAGTTGCAAGCAGGCCAGTGGGACAAGCAGCTCTGAGGTTTTGTCTGGGTTATTTTTGATTCTGTATAAATATGATGAGAACACAAGGTAGCATCCTATTTTTATACTTGGAGATGTTGTCATTTGGTTTGCAGTTGGTGCATGTTGATTGAAGGCTGGCGAAGTGGTGCACAGCCTTCTACCAAGCTTTTGGCAGTCTGTCCTGCAAGGGCTTCATGTGTGCTAGGCAGTAATCCAGAAAGTAAGACCTTTCTGACACCTCCGCCCAATCCTGGCTTGTCCCTACTCTTACAGTCCTTGGAGATTCTTTCCTCCATATTGACCCTCCTACCCAGGAACTGCAGCCAGGGATTAAGCAAAAACCCTGTCTCTACCACCCTGGGCTTGGCAGGGCTTTCCAGAAGTGATCTGGTATTTCCCTGCCCTAGTTTTTTGTGTATAACATACTTTACTCATCCGAGGCATGTTGTTAAGAATAAGAGTTGAGGCCTGGTACAGTGGCATGCACCTGTAGTCTCAGCTACTTGGGAGGCTGAGGCAGGAAGATTGCTTGAGCCCAGGAGTTAGAGGCTGCCGTATGTTATGATCATACCTGTGAATAGCCACTGCACTCCAGCCTGGGCAATATAGTGAGACCCCCATCTCTTTAAAAAAACAAAACAAAACAAAAAAGTAGGAGTTGAGCATTTGTATTTATCTCAGATGAAAGATTCTCCCTTTATTCATCCCATTATCCTCACCTCTTATTTTTAGGAAGCTTCCCTGTTTTTTAATTACCGTCCTCCAGCCATAGTTGTCACCACTTCAGTTGGCACTGTAGTATAGTGACAAAGAATATTGGGAAAGATTAGCTAATTTGACCATATAATATTTCCAAACTTCCATATGGTGAAAGAAATTTAAAAAAATAAAAAGCCTAGGAAAAACATTCGCAATATGTAAGAAAGAGTTAATATCTTTAAAATTCAAAGAGCCACAGTAAGAAAAAGAAACCATCTTTTTTGTTGTTTGCTTTGCTTTTTTTGTTTTCTTTTGGTTTTGGGGGTTTTGTTGAGACAGGGTCTTGCTCTGCCACCCAGGCTAGAGTGCAGTGGCACAGTTACGGCTCACTGCAGCCTTGACCTCCTGGGCTTAAGCAATCCTCTTGCCTCAGCTTCCCATGTAGCTGGGGCCACAGGTGTATACCACCCACACTCAGCTAGTTTTTAAATTTTCTTTGGTAGAAACGAGGTCTCACCTTGTTGCCCAGGCTAGTCTTGAACTCCTGGGCTCAAGCAATCTTCCCACCTCGGCCTCCTAAAGTTTTGGGATTACAGACATGAGCCATCGCACCCAGCAGAAACCTTTTTTTTTTTTTAAATGGGAAAAAGAAATCTATGTGCAATGCTCTAAAGAAGAAATAAAAGTAGTAACCATATGGAAGGATGCTTAATCTCACTAGCAAAGAAATAAATTCCAGTTAAAAATAAGAGATGTGGCTGGGCATGGTGGCTCATGCCTATAATCCTAGCACTTTGGGAGGCCGAGACAGGCAGTTGCCTGAGCTCAGGAGTTTGAGACCAGCCTGGGCAAGATGGTGAAACCCCACCTCTGCTAAGATACAAAAAATCAGCTGGCATGGTGGTGGGCACCTGTAATCCCAGCTACTCAGGAGGCTGAGGCAGGAGAATTGCTTGAACCCGAGAGGCGGAGGTTGCAGTGAGCCAAGATCGCACCACTGAACCCTAGCCTGGACAACAAAGCGAGATTCTGTCTCAAAAAAAAAAAAGGAGATGCATTTTGGCATAAATTAAACATTTTTAATAATACCTAGTGTTGATGAGGCTATAGGAAACACTATGTTACAGCTTATGGAGATACAAATTAGTATAATCTTTTGAAGGTCAATTTAGCTACATAGCAAATTTTACAATTTGCATACTCTGACCACTAATTCCACTGTAGGAATGCACAAAGACACCGGAATTACAGTGGCCAGAGCAAGGATGAGGATATATAGGGGTGCTTTATTTGTAATGGTTGGAAACAGCCCAAATGTCCATCAGTAACGGCACAATTTATTTTTTAAAATTATTTTTAGAATGGGCAACATAGGGAGACCCCATCTCTACAAAAAAATTTAAAATTAGCCAGGAATGGTGATGCCTGTAGTCCCACCTACTCAGGAGGCTGAGGTGGGAGAATCACTTGAGCCCAGCAGGTCAAGGCTGCAGTGAGCTGTGATCACACCACCACTGCACTGCAGCCTGGGTGACAGAGAGAGACCTTGTTTCCCCCACCACCAGCCAAAAAAATTATTTTTATTTTTTTGGTCCCCAGGGAAGCAAGGGCAGAATTTCGTTTTGATTTGTTCATGCTCTGGAAAAAACATGAACTGGATAAGAAAGTACAAACTAGATGTAAATGTACTCAAAGATAAAAATATCTTTGATATATAGCAAGTGGAAAGAAAAGGGTCAAAAAGAAACACACCAAATTGTGCGTGTGAAGGTGCTGGGTGGTTATTCTTCCTTTGTATACTTATGTATCATTTTAGATGTTGCACTGAAATTTTTTTTTTTTTTTGAGATAGAGTTTCACTCTTGTCACCCAGGCTGCAGTGCAATGGCGTGATCTTGGCTCGCTGCAACCCACCTCCCAGGTTCAAGCGATTCTCCTGCCTCAGCCTCCTGAGTAACTGGGATTACAGGCATGCGCCACCATGCCCAGCTAATTTTGTATTTTTAGTAGAGACGGGGTTTCGCCATGTTGGTCAGGCTGGTCTCAAACTCCCAACCTCAGGTGATCCACCCACCTCGTCCTTCCAAAATGCTGGGATTACAGGTGTGAGCCACTAGGCCCGGCCTGAAATTTTTTTTTTTTTTGAGACAGAGTCTCTCTCTTGGCCAGGCTGGAGTGCAGTGGGCAATCTCGGCTCACTGCAACCTCCACCTCTCATGTTCAAGCGATTCTCCTGCCTCAGCCTCCTGAGTAGCTGGGACTACAGGTGCGTGCCACCACGCCTGGCTAATTTTTTGTATTTTTAGTAGAGACGGGTTTTCACCATGTTAGCCAGGATGGTCTCGATCTCCTGACCTCATGATCCTCCTGTCTCAGCCTCCCAAAGTGCCAAGATTACAGGCGTGAGCCACTGCACCTGGCCCTGAAATTTTTTTTTTTAACAACAAAAAAAACAATAAAGAGCAAACAGACCAGCAGAATAAATGTAGGACAAACCTGGCCTTGAGTCATGGCTCTACCACTAATAAACATAGTAGTCTTAATCTCGTAGAATCTCAGGACCTTGTTGTCATAGGGCTGTTGGAGGACCAAATGAGAGCGTTTATTAAGCCTTTCTTTATCAAAGTCTTGCCCATTGCTTTTAAAACGGCAGCAATTATTATGGAGAATAATAATTATTTTCAGAAGGATATTCTCCATTTTATCCATTCCTGTGCCTTTGTAAAGCTCTTTACAGAATTTGAAAGTAAAGCTCTTAACCATTTATATTGCAGATATTATCCCTAGTTTGTCATTTTCTTTTGGAAGTTTCTGGTTTTCACTTGGGCAAAATATACTGTCTTAATGCTTTCTGGATTTGCTTGCTTGTTCACTCATTTAACAAATATTTATTAAGCACCTATCTTGTGCCAAGTATTGTGCTAGGAATCCAAACACACGTGCCAGATAGATGGTCCCTGACCTTATGGGGCCTACAGTCCAGGTGTAGGACCAGACTTAAAGTCCATCTGTACTCTACGAATATTAAAAGATTCACCTACATTTTCTACTAGTAACTAACTCCTATGAGTCTTGTTCCATCTGATTCTATGCCTTTCTCTGTCGGTCCTCTGCCTGCAGGTGTCCTGGTAAAGGTGGTGGAGGTGTACTTCTGTGAGCGCTGTGAACAGAGCTTCGCAGAGCCCACTCTGCTGGCCCTGCACCAGTGCAGTGAGACCCATATACAGCCTGTGCAGGGCCTCTCTAGCCCCCCATGCTCTGTAGAGCTGCCTCCCAGCAACCCAACCCTCCCTGGCCCTCTGCAGGGCCAGAGCCCGCCAGTTAGCCCCCTATCATGCCCTGTGTGTAGACAGGAGTTTGCCCAACCCCAGGCCCTGAAGAGCCACTTCAAGATTCACCGGGGCACTCCTGACACCTTCTCCTGCCCAGAATCTGGCTGTGTGTTCTCTGCTGAAGATCGCAAGGGTCTGCAGCACCACCTGAGGCAGACTCACAGAGCAGTTCCTGTGCCCTGTTCTTTCCGGGGCTGCCCCCTGCTTTTCGGGAGCCAGCAGGGCATGGAGCTGCACCGGCAGGCGCATTACCCTTTCCACTGCAGCCACTGCAGCTTCATAGGCTCCAACGTCAAACTCTTCCGGCAGCATCAGCGGAGCCATGGTGCTGGGACACAGGGAGAACTTTCTGCCGTTCAGGGCCTTCCATCCCAGGAGCTGCTGCCAGGTATGAGGCCAAGGGCCAAGCAGTTCCTCTCCTGGAGTTCAGCCACAGTTGATCTTATAGGAGAGGCAGTTGTTTCCAAGGCCATGAATGTACATGAATATAAGAGAATCTAGACAGTGGCTCAGGAGGATGGAGTTACTGGATGACATGGGAAGGCATCTTGAAACAGTTGGAATATATGGGACAAAGAGGAAGTCTTTGTTTGTGACAATGAGTGAAAGTTGGCTTAGGCTACGTGTGGCCTGAAGTTACTTAACCAATATTCTCTAATGATCCATTTCACAACTTTCTGAGAGCTAAAGTGAAAATGACCATCATTGGCTATGGCCACTGATAGAATGCCTGTAGACTTTCCTTTAGAGCAACTGGGGATTGGGCAGTAGAAGCCAGGGTTATTTTAAAAAGGAAATAACCCTTTGGGCTGGGCACTGTGGCACATGCCTGTGATCCCAACAATTTGAGAGGCCAAGGTGGATGGATCCCTTGAGCCCAGGAGTTCAAGACCAGCCTGGGCAATGTGGTGAAATGCTGTCTCTACAAAAAATACAAAAATTGGGTGTGGTGGTACATGTCTGTAGTCCCAGTTACTCGGGAGGTTGAGGTGGGGGATCACTTGAGCTCAGGAGGTGGAGGTTGCAGTGAGCCAAGATTGCAGCACTGCACTTCAGTCTGGATGACAGAGTAAGACCCTGTCTCAAAAAAAAAAAAAAAAAGAAGTAAAGAAAGGAACTTAGGAACTTTCAAGGGAGACGGCGTTTTAGTAGTTGTCATTCTTCTTGGTCCCAAAAAAGCATGAGAGAGCAGAGGAGCAGGAGGAAACAGAGAAAACGGGCCAGGAGAGGCCAGAATTCTGATAAGAGAAGGAATTGCAGTCTACCCATTCTCTACTTTCAGCCCCCTATGACCTCAATGACCTCGCTGCTGTCAGCTTCATGGAGTCTGAAAGTGGTGCTCTCTGAGGTTTGAGTTACTTTAGACTGGAACATTGCTAATAACTTAGCTCTTCGTCCTCCTATTTTCATCTTGAGTGGAAATACATTTATACATAAAACCCAAGATCTCCTTATGCTAAAAGTGGGAGAGGGTGATTATTTCAGCCAGTAGGTAGAGAAGTATAAGCATTTAGTGCTGTTATTGGCTCCTGTAGACTTTATCAAGTTTTATGTATCTCCAGCTCCCAAACTGCCTCCAGGAGAGAGAGAACCTTCACAGGAAGCAGGTACACCCTTGCCTGGGCAGGAGACAGCTGAAGAGGAGAATGTAGAGAAAGAAGAGAAGAGTGACACCCAGAAGGACTCCCAAAAGGCTGTGGATAAAGGCCAAGGGGCTCAGCGGCTGGAAGGTAATGACATTCTGAGGCTTGAAGCCCTTGGTGGTGGGGAAGAATGGATTGTTGAAACCCTGCCATTGAGGCTCTGGGGTTTGTTTTCTGAGCTTTGGTTCGGATCCTTTTATTCTGTTCTACCTTGACTCAAAAGTCAAGGTCTAGTGGGAAAATGATAAATGAGTGAATGGTAAAGACTTTAGTAATATAGCATTGGGGTAAATCGAGTTTGCTTCACTGGGCTGGTTTTCCTCAGGCAGAAAACTCTAGCAGGGAAGCAGGAGGTGATCTTCATCATATAGAGATGCCAGAAGTTATTGATGATCAGCAGCCTATTTTGTCTGGCACTGAGCCCTCAAATACTTTTTTCTGAATCTTTGCTTCCCAGTTTTTCACCTCAGTAGAATATTTGAAAGTCATCCCACAAGGAGCATAGTTATCAAGTGAATAAGAAAGATTGGGTTGTATTTATTACCAACTTCATTATTATCTAGAGCCTGTGAGCCAGTAAGAGTACTGTACCTTCTTTTGGCTCACCCCCTTGGGGGCTCTTTTCCTTCTAACTAATCTTGCCGATGCTTCTGCCTGCCCCCATAGAACAAGGCAGGAAAGAACAAGAATGCTCCATTCAGATTATTTTAAGCAGCTCTAAACAAAGGCTCAAGAAGAGCAGGTAGCTGAGTAAAGCACTTCAAACAGGCTGTCACAGCAAGGCCTGAGAAGCCCTTGTGATTTTGCTTCTCTTAAAACTTGAGTTTCTCACCCTTTTTTGAGACTACAGTATTTGAGACCCTTTTGCTTGGTTTCCTGCAGAGAGGCCACACATCGTTTGTGTCTGAGCAAATTGTGGTTCTCCCATTATCTGGCTTTCCCCAGAAAAATCTCACTCTCTCAACTCTCTGTATTCCCTTTCCCAGGGGATGTGGTCTCTGGCACCGAGTCCCTCTTCAAGACCCATATGTGTCCAGAGTGTAAGCGCTGCTTTAAGAAGCGGACTCATCTGGTGGAGCACCTGCATCTCCACTTCCCAGACCCCAGCCTCCAGTGCCCTAACTGCCAGAAGTTCTTCACCAGTAAGAGCAAGCTCAAGACCCATCTGCTGCGGGAGCTGGGTGAAAAGGCCCACCACTGCCCACTGTGCCACTACAGTGCGGTGGAGAGGAATGCACTCAACCGCCACATGGCCAGCATGCATGAAGATATTTCCAACTTCTACTCAGACACCTATGCCTGTCCTGTCTGCCGTGAGGAATTCCGCCTCAGCCAGGCCCTAAAGGAGCACCTCAAGAGCCACACGGCAGCAGCCGCAGCAGAGCCATTACCCCTTCGCTGCTTTCAGGAGGGCTGCAGCTATGCAGCACCCGACCGCAAGGCCTTCATTAAGCACCTGAAGGAGACCCATGGGGTGCGGGCTGTGGAGTGCCGCCATCACTCATGTCCCATGCTCTTTGCCACAGCCGAAGCCATGGAGGCCCACCACAAGAGTCACTACGCCTTCCACTGCCCCCACTGTGATTTTGCTTGTTCCAATAAGCACCTATTCCGTAAACACAAGAAGCAGGGCCACCCTGGCAGTGAAGAGCTGCGCTGCACCTTCTGCCCCTTTGCCACCTTCAACCCAGTGGCTTACCAGGATCATGTAGGCAAGATGCATGCTCATGAAAAGATCCACCAGTGTCCTGAGTGCAACTTTGCCACTGCCCACAAGAGGGTGCTCATCCGACACATGCTTCTACATACGGGTAGGATGGTTTCCATCCTTAAAATAATGTTGTAATAATGATGGTGGTGATACTGGCTACAAAGGGTCTTGCATACGTTTTCTCATTTGACCCAAAATTCCTAGAGATAGATCTAGCATTCCAAGTTTACAAATGAGCCTTAAGTTGAGTGTCATTTAGCTAGTAAAGTAGTAGAGCTAGGATTTGAATCCATGCAGTCTGATTCCAGAGCCTGTGCTCTAACCACTGTGGTGCTGTGCCTCGCTCTTAAGCCCTTGTCCAGTTCTGCCCACCCCTAGTCAGGCTTGAGTGGGTTAACACCAAGCCTGAAGAAACCTAAACCAGGACAAATACCTTACTTTGCAATTCATGTTTTGGGATATGCTAAGAGAGACGGGCGAGGGGACTGAGCCATCCACACGCATATGGCCTTCTATAACTTGGGCATCCATGACACTGAAAAAGATCACCTCCAGTGACCTGGAAGTTGCAGATGTTTAACTCGCACTCGTAACTGTCTTCTAGCATTCTTGATGCTTTAGGTAACAACCAAACCAAGCTTCCTGCTACAGCATCATCCCATTTGTGATCTCTATATCAACATCAGTGGATTGACAGGACATTTTTAGAATTTTCATCAAAGACACTGGTTTGGGAGAAAAAATTGTAGGCATCCTGGGACAAAGCCATTCTCACTGAACTCATTCCTGTACATGCTTTAGTCACAAAATCTCATGTTTCTGAGGTCTTTCCAAAAGGCTTAATCTTTTAAGTAAGGCAGATAAAGATGAGAAAAGAGACAAACTCTGAGACCTACTTTAAGATCACACAGATAGTGTTAGAACCAGAATACCACATTGCTAGCCTTTTCACCATAGGGAAGGGGTCTGGGTGAGTGGGCAGGGACAACAAGGAGGGGTCTTGAAGGAACCTGGCCCCCAGCCTGTCAGTGCCAGGTCTTGACCATCAATATGGACAGCTCACCTTTGAGTTCTCACTGAGTATCACTGACAGCTTTGGGACATTTCATATAATCTTTATACCAACCTTTTGGAGGCAAGGAAACAGACTGCTCAAACCCACATGGTAGTCAACTAGGATTTAAACTACCACTTAATGGCTCTATGATTTCTCTGTGCCTCTGTTTCCCTATCTGTAAAATGAGGGTGATAATAGCACCTGCCTCTTAAGGATGTTCTGAAAATTTGAGGGGAGGAGGCTTTTTTTTTTTTTGAGATGGAGTCTGGCTCTGTTGCTCAGGCTGGAGTAAAGTGGCCCAATCTCGGCTCACTGCAAGCTCCACCTCCTGGGTTCACGCCATTCTCCTGCCTCAGCCTCCCGAGTAGCTGGGACTACAGGCATCTACCACCATGCCCAGCTAATTTTTTGTATTTTTAGTAGAGACAGGGTTTCACCGTGTTAGCCAGGATGGTCTCGATCTCCTGACCTCATGATCCACCTGCCTCGACCTCCCAAAATGCTGGGATTACAGGCGTGAGCCACCATGCCCGGCCGAGAGGAGGAATTTTTTTACAAAGTGCTCAGAAGAGTGCTAGTCACATAATAAGAACTTTGTTCATGTTGGCTGTTAATATTTTTATTACTGTGTTGGACTTCAGATCAGAATTCTTGACCATTCTGTTCTGTTGTCTCATTTATTTTTCCTTTTGTTCTAGAAAACAGAAAAATTAGGCTGAGTAGTTGACCATAGTGACAGCAAGCTGTAAAACAAATCAAGAGTGGACTTTAAGCTAGTTTTGAAAAGCTTGGGGTGGGCACGGTGGCTCACGCCTGTAATCCCAACACTTTAGGAGGCCAAGGCGGGCGGATCACCTAAGGTCAGGAGTTCGAGAACAGCCTGGCTAACATGGTGAAACCCCATCTCTACTAAAAATACAAAAAAATTAGTTGGGCGTGGTGGCGGGCACCTGTAATCCCAGCTACTCGAGAGGCTAAGGCACAAGAATTGCTTGAACCCGGGCAGCCGAGCTTGGCAGTGAGCTGAGGTAGCGTCACTGCACTCCAGCCTGGGCGACAGATTGAGACTCTGTCTCAATTTAAAAAAAAAAAAGAAAAGCTTGGTCTTTACTTTCTTCCCATCTTCACTGGTGTGGGAGTTGGGGGAGTAGTTGTCTGAGAGGGCCCTGAAGCAGCCCTTTATTATTGTGAGGTTTTCACCATCTCAGGTAGCACATGAAGCTGTTGTTCCTCCCTGGCATCAGGGCAGGCTTGCTGGAAGAAATGGTCTGTCCACTTGATCTGTATCTGACCTGTGTTCTCTCCCTTCATCCGCATCCCCCATATAAGGTGAGAAGCCCCACAAGTGTGAGCTGTGTGACTTCACATGCCGAGACGTGAGCTACCTATCCAAGCACATGCTGACCCACTCCAACACCAAGGATTACATGTGCACTGAATGTGGCTATGTCACCAAGTGGAAGCACTACCTCCGTGTGCACATGCGAAAACATGCAGGGGACCTCAGGTACAACACACACATAGGCCTCCGTCCCAATCCCAAGAATCTTAGCCAAGCTAGCTTCCTCTCGGATCTAACTTCTGGCCCTATTTCTTTCTCCGGTCCCTGGAGAGTCTCCTCCTAAGGCCGGGTGCAATGGCTCACACCTGTAATCCCAGCACTTTGAGAGGCCGGGGCGGGCAAATTGCTTGAGCTTGGGAGTTCAAGGCCATCTGGGCAACACCCCATCTCTACTAAAACTACAAAAATTAGCTGGGCATGGTAGCAGACGCCTGTAATGCCAGCTTCTTGGGAGGCTGAAGCACTAGAATCGCTTGAGCCGGGGGGTGGAGGTTGCAATGAGCCAAGATTGCACCACTGTACTCCAGCCTGGGTGACAGAGTAAGACTCTGTTTCAAAAAAGAAAAGGAAAGAAAAAAGAGAGTCTTTTCCTAACACCCTTCTCTGTTCCCACTGTCTCAACTCCATTGCCTACAGCTGGCCTCTGTGACTGTGGCTCAGTCACATAGCGAGCACTCTCTGGGCTCTGGGAAGGGAGTATAGACCTACAGTATAGGCCTAGAGACTAAGGTGTCACTTGAGTTCTCAGAGTTTGGCCCTGGGAAAGTGGATAGACACTATATTCATGCCCCAATCTTGCCACTTCCAAATCCAGGCAAGTTCTCTGACCTATGGCACAGCTGGCTAAGGGGTTTCTAGACCTGTCATGCCTCTGTGGGAGAAGGGAAATGAGGCACAGAAACCTGCCCTGTGGAGTTGTAGCCACGTCAGTTCCTTGGAAGTCTACAGTGGGTCATGCTGATTCATGATTACTTTCTTTTAGGAAGGCAGTACAGAATAGGGCTTAGAACACAGGCCCTGAAGCTAGGCTGTCTCTGCTCCTGGCTTACTTTGTAACCAACCTTAGGCAAATTATTAACTTCTGTGATTTAGTTTTTCTCACTTGGAAAATAGAGATACCAGTTTCATAGGGTAGTGAAAAGGAGGGTTACATCAGGTGACACATGTATGATACTGAGTGCAGAGCCTGGCCCACAGTAAGTATTTACTGACTGATTCTTAGTTGTTGTGATTAATTATTGTGATTGCCTCCCCCTTTCCCTCCTTGCCAGGTATCAGTGCAACCAGTGCTCCTATCGCTGTCACCGGGCTGATCAGCTGAGCAGCCACAAGCTGCGGCATCAGGGCAAGTCTCTGATGTGTGAGGTGTGTGCCTTCGCCTGCAAGCGGAAGTATGAGCTGCAGAAGCACATGGCTTCCCAGCACCACCCTGGCACACCGGCCCCACTCTACCCTTGCCACTACTGCAGTTACCAGAGCCGCCACAAGCAGGCTGTGCTGAGCCATGAGAACTGCAAGCATACCCGCCTCCGTGAGTTCCACTGTGCCCTCTGTGACTACCGCACCTTCAGCAACACCACACTCTTGTTCCATAAACGCAAGGCCCATGGCTATGTACCTGGAGACCAGGCCTGGCAGCTCCGCTATGCAAGCCAGGAGCCAGAAGGGGCCATGCAGGGCCCAACACCCCCACCAGATTCAGAGCCCTCAAACCAGCTGTCAGCCCGACCTGAGGGGCCAGGTCACGAACCTGGGACTGTGGTGGACCCCAGCTTGGACCAGGCCCTGCCAGAGATGAGTGAGGAGGTCAACACTGGAAGACAGGAGGGCAGTGAGGCTCCCCATGGGGGTGACCTGGGTGGCAGTCCCAGCCCAGCAGAGGTGGAGGAGGGCAGCTGCACACTACACCTAGAGGCCCTGGGAGTAGAGCTGGAGTCTGTGACTGAGCCACCCCTTGAGGAGGTCACTGAAACAGCCCCTATGGAGTTCAGGCCCCTGGGACTGGAAGGGCCAGATGGACTGGAAGGACCAGAGCTATCTAGCTTTGAAGGTATTGGGACTTCTGACTTGAGTGCTGAAGAAAATCCCCTTCTGGAAAAGCCAGTGTCTGAGCCCTCCACAAATCCTCCATCCTTAGAGGAGGCTCCTAACAACTGGGTAGGAACCTTCAAGACAACTCCACCTGCTGAGACAGCACCCTTGCCCCCATTACCTGAGTCAGAGTCATTACTCAAGGCCCTAAGGAGACAGGACAAAGAACAAGCAGAGGCATTGGTGCTAGAGGGGCGGGTGCAGATGGTAGTGATCCAGGGAGAGGGGCGAGCCTTCCGCTGCCCACACTGCCCTTTTATCACTCGCCGGGAGAAGGCCCTGAATCTGCACTCCAGGACTGGGTGCCAAGGCCGCCGAGAGCCCCTGCTGTGCCCCGAGTGTGGGGCTAGCTTCAAGCAACAACGCGGCCTCAGCACCCACCTGCTGAAGAAGTGCCCTGTTCTACTCAGAAAGAACAAGGGCTTGCCCAGACCAGATTCACCCATCCCTCTGCAACCTGTGCTCCCAGGTACCCAGGCCTCAGAGGACACAGAAAGTGGGAAGCCCCCACCTGCATCACAAGAAGCAGAGCTACTGCTTCCAAAAGATGCTCCTTTGGAGCTTCCCAGGGAGCCAGAAGAAACAGAAGAGCCTCTTGCCACAGTCTCTGGTTCCCCAGTCCCTCCTGCAGGAAACTCCTTGCCCACAGAGGCCCCTAAGAAGCACTGCTTTGACCCAGTCCCTCCTGCAGGAAACTCCTCACCCACGGAGGCCCCTAAGAAGCACCACCTTGACCCAGTCCCTCCTGCAGGAAACTCCTCACCCACAGAGGCCCTGAAGAAGCACCGCTTTGAGCAGGGCAAGTTTCACTGCAACTCCTGCCCATTCCTTTGTTCCCGGCTCTCCTCTATTACCTCTCACGTGGCTGAAGGCTGCAGGGGGGGACGTGGCGGGGGAGGAAAACGAGGGACCCCCCAGACCCAGCCTGATGTGTCCCCGTTGAGCAATGGGGACTCTGCTCCCCCGAAGAATGGGAGTACAGAGTCCAGCTCTGGTGATGGGGATACAGTTCTGGTTCAAAAGCAGAAGGGGGCTCGCTTCTCCTGCCCTACATGTCCCTTTAGCTGCCAGCAGGAACGGGCTCTGAGGACTCACCAGATCCGGGGCTGCCCCCTCGAGGAGTCTGGAGAGCTGCACTGCAGCCTCTGCCCATTCACTGCTCCTGCTGCCACTGCCTTAAGGCTCCACCAGAAGCGGAGGCACCCCACTGCAGCCCCAGCCCGTGGGCCCCGGCCCCATCTACAGTGTGGGGACTGTGGCTTCACCTGTAAACAGAGCCGTTGCATGCAGCAGCACCGGCGGCTCAAGCACGAGGGGGTGAAGCCCCATCAGTGCCCCTTCTGTGACTTTTCGACCACCAGACGGTACCGGTTAGAGGCTCACCAGTCCCGACACACAGGCATTGGCCGCATCCCCTGCAGCTCTTGCCCCCAGACGTTTGGTACCAACTCGAAACTGCGCTTGCACCGGTTAAGGGTACATGACAAAACACCTACCCACTTCTGTCCACTTTGTGACTATAGTGGCTACCTTCGCCATGACATCACTCGTCATGTCAACAGCTGCCACCAAGGCACCCCAGCCTTTGCCTGCTCCCAGTGTGAAGCCCAGTTCAGCTCAGAGACAGCACTTAAGCAGCATGCTCTGCGCCGACACCCCGAGCCTGCACAGCCTGCCCCTGGCTCTCCTGCAGAGACCACTGAGGGCCCCCTGCACTGTTCCCGCTGTGGGTTGCTGTGCCCCAGCCCTGCCAGCTTACGAGGACACACCCGTAAACAGCACCCACGGCTTGAGTGTGGGGCCTGCCAGGAGGCCTTCCCTAGCCGACTGGCTCTGGATGAGCACCGGAGGCAGCAGCATTTCAGCCACCGCTGTCAGCTCTGTGACTTTGCTGCCCGGGAGCGGGTGGGCCTGGTAAAGCACTACCTGGAACAGCATGAGGAGACTTCAGCAGCCGTGGCAGCCTCAGATGGGGATGGGGATGCTGGCCAGCCCCCGCTACACTGCCCCTTTTGTGACTTCACATGCCGCCATCAGCTGGTACTAGATCACCATGTGAAAGGGCATGGGGGCACTCGTCTCTACAAGTGCACCGATTGTGCTTACAGCACCAAGAACCGACAGAAGATCACCTGGCACAGCCGCATCCACACTGGGGAAAAGCCTTACCACTGTCACCTCTGCCCCTATGCCTGTGCTGATCCCTCTCGTCTCAAGGTAATGTCAGAGGATATGGGGCAGGAAGTGGAAGGAGCACAGGCTCTGGAGTTAAACTGCCTTGGTTCTCTATAGCTGACTCCTCCAGATATTAGCTCTGTGACTTTGGGAAAGTTCCTTTACCAAGCCTCAGATTCTTCATCTGTTAAAAATGAGATAATACCAACTTCATAGGGTTGTTGTAAAGATAAAGTTCCATAATGTGGCTCACGCCTGTAATCTTAACACTTTGAGATACCAAGTTAGGAGGATTGCTTGAAGCCAAGAGTTGAAGACCACTCGGCAGCAGAGCGAGATCCCATTACAAAAACTTTTTCTTAATCAGCTGGGCATGGTGGCAAGTACCTGTAGTCCCAGCTACTCAGGAGGCTGAGGTGGGAGGATTGCTTGAGCCTAGGAATTTGAGGCTGCAGTGAGCTATGATCATGCCACTGCACCCCAGCCTGAGTGACAGAGCAAGACTCCATTTAAAAAAAAAAATTGAGGCTGGGTGCGGTGGCTCACGCCTGTAATCCCAGCACTTTGGGAGGCCAAGGTGGGCGGATCATGAGGTCAGGAGATCGAGACCATCCTGGCTAACACTGTGAAACCCCGTCTCTACTAAAAATACAAAAAATTAGCCGGGTGTGGTGGCGGGCACCTGTAGTCCCAGCTACTCGAGGCTGAGGCAGGTGAATGGCGTGAACCTGGGAGGCAGAACTTGCAGTGAGCCGAGATCGCGCCACTGCACTCCAGCCTGGGCGACACAGCGAGACTCCATCTCAAAAAAAAAAAAAAAAAAAAATTATCGGCCAGGTGAGGTGGCTCACGCCTGTAATCCTAGCACTTTGGGAGGCCAAGGCCAGAGGATTGCTTGATCCCAGGAGTTTGAGACCAGCCAGGGCAACATATGGAGACTCTGTCTTTACAAAAATAAATTTTTTTAATTAGCTGGACATTGTGGCGCATGCCTGTATTCCCAGCTACTTGGGAGGCTGAGGTGGGAGGATCGCTTTAGCCCAGGAGGTTAAGGCTGCAGAGAGCTGTGATCACACCAGTTCACTCCAGCCTGGGCAACAGAGTGAGACCCTGTCTCTTTAAAAAAAAAAAAAAAAAAATCCCTAGCAAGTAAACTGAAGATTAAGAAAAACAAAGTTCCATAATGTCTGCTTGCCATATGATAAAGGCATAGAACAGGGCAAGAATAACCTGGATAATAACAGCTAACATTTATTGAGCACTTACTATATTTTCTGCTTTTTGCTCTTGCCTCTTCCAGTACCACATGCGGATCCACAAGGAGGAACGGAAGTACCTGTGCCCTGAGTGTGGCTACAAGTGCAAGTGGGTCAACCAGCTGAAATACCACATGACCAAGCATACAGGTGAGTCTGTGTGGTTTCGACAGGCCTGAAGGGTTCCTTTGTTCCCTGGCAAACCTAACCTTACCAAGGTTGGTCCTTGTTCCAATTCAGGGCCAACATCAATTTCACATTGGGAGTAGACAGCAGGGTGGGGTTGTATGTGCCAGAATGGCTCCCCAACCCACTGAAGACCTGTCAGAATCAGAAGGGTAAACCTGAGAGCCTGGGCATATGTACTTTCCAAAAGCTTCCCAGGTGACTGTGTTACGAAGTCAGTCATTTTTCCCCTCTTGAGAACCCCCAACTCAAACTTGTATGACTAAGGGCAGATTTGCTTGGCTCTTACACAGACATGATGGAACTATCATGAGTTAAAAAGGAGAAAGTGAAGGATTCTCCTGTTCTAGTCTGTCCTTTTCTTCTCCTGGGTGTGGATGGAATCCACAAACCCGGTTCTTGAAAGCACACAATCGTGTGCCTGTGCTTATTGCATCTGATCCCCCTATGTGGAGGAATTGATTAGGAGCATTTCAAGGCCCTCTGCTTTTATGAATGCCACTTATTTCACCTCTACCTCTTCCCTCCTAAGTATTTCTTTTTTTTTTTTTTTTTTTTTTTTTTTTGAGACAGAGTCTCGCTCTGTTGCCCAGCCTGGAGTGCAGTGGCGCAATCTAAGCTCACTGCAAGTTCTGCCTCTGCCTTCCGGGTTCACACCATTCTCCTGCCTTAGCCTCCCGAGTAGCTGGGACTACAGGCACCCGCCACCACGCCCGGCTAAGTTTTTGTATTTTTAGTAGAGATGGGGGTTTCACCGTGTTAGCCAGAATGGTCTCAATCTCCTGACCTCATGATCCGCCCGCCTCGGCCTCCCAAAGTGCTGGGATTACAGGCATGAGCCACCATGCTCGGCCCCTCCTAAGTATTTCTTTTACTTTTTTTTTTTTTTTTTTTCAGTGACAGGGTCTTGCTCTGCTGCCCATGCTGGAGTGCAGTGGTGCAGTCATAGCTCACTACAATCTCAAACTCCTGGGTGCACATCATCTTCTTGCCTTAGCCTCCCAATTAGCTGGGTCTACAAGTGCACGCCACCACGCCCACCTAATTTTTTTGTAGACAGGGTCTCACTTTGTTGCCCAGGCTGGGTCTTTGACTTTTTGAGTTGAACAAGCCGTTGTGTTTAAATGAATTGTCGAATTCCATGAGTACTCTGTGACCAAAAGAGGGTTATAATTTCCCATGGGGAAACCCTTCCATATTTGAGTATTCATTACTGTCAGGTAGCTAGTTGGTTAGAGGTCCCGTTAATCATCAGCATCCATTGGGCACCCACAACATTGATTGCTGGGACTACAACATTGAGTTCTTGTTGATGTACAAGGACGCTGTGTTGGAAAGGCACAGAAATGTCAGACAGGGCCAGGCGCGGTGGCTCATGCCTGTAATCCCAGCACTTTGGGAGGCCAAGGAGGGCACATCACTGGAGGTCCAGAGTTCAAGACCAGCCTGGCCAACATGGTGAAACCCTGTCTTCACTAAAAATACAAAATTAGCCAGGTGTGGTGGCCCATGCCTGTTATTCCAGCTACTTGGGAAACTGAGGCAGGAGGATCACTTGAACCTGGGAGGCGGAGGTTGTAGTGAGCCGAGATTGCACCATTGCACTCCAGCCTGGGCAACAAGAGCGAAACTCCGTCTCAAAGAAAAATAAAAGAAAAAAGAAATGTCAGACAGGACTGGAGGACTGGAGCATTCCAAAGAGATGGTCATTAGTCAACTTGCTGCTTGCATTCTTTATATCCACTGATTGCAGTAACTCCATGGCCCAGTAAACCTTGCTCCACCGCCTTTCAATGGTGATTTGTTCCCTGTCCTGTAGGACTGAAGCCATACCAGTGTCCCGAGTGTGAGTACTGCACCAACCGGGCTGATGCACTGCGTGTGCACCAGGAGACCCGGCATCGAGAAGCACGGGCTTTCATGTGTGAGCAGTGTGGCAAGGCCTTCAAGACGCGCTTCCTGCTGCGCACCCACCTTCGCAAGCACAGTGAGGCCAAACCCTATGTGTGCAATGTGTGCCACCGTGCTTTCCGCTGGGCTGCTGGCCTGCGCCATCATGCCCTCACCCACACCGACCGCCACCCCTTCTTTTGCCGCCTCTGCAACTACAAGGCCAAGCAAAAGTTCCAGGTGGTCAAGCACGTACGCAGGCACCACCCTGACCAAGCCGACCCAAACCAGGGTGTGGGCAAAGACCCCACCACCCCCACAGTGCACCTGCATGATGTGCAGCTGGAGGATCCCAGCCCTCCTGCTCCTGCCGCTCCCCACACTGGACCTGAGGGCTGAAAGCCTGCCCCACCTCCTGTATAGGAAGAGGGTATGGTCTGAGATGTGCAGACTGGGACCAGCGCTAGCCTGAGGAGCTCAGAGCCTAAGGAAAGACTGGCTTTTGGGGTACAAGGGTGACTAGAACCTTCCTGGGACTCTGGCTATAGTACTTTGAAATTATCACCCATATAAAAGAGGGACATGGACTATAACGTTGATTTCTTATTGCTGTACATTGCGTTTTTAACCTGCAAGTTCTCAGTTTCTTCACCATCACTCCATCAAAGTCCCTGGCTATAAGATCTGGATTTTACCCACTCCATCTTCTCTTTCCTTCTTACTGTGTCAATTCCTATTTTCTTTCAGAATCTTCTAAAAACAGTTGTATCTAACCGCATGTGCTGTTGTGCCTAATGCTCTATAAAGCATGTTAAACAGAAAGTGGTTACTACATTATAGATTCATCCAAATCCCTGTCTTAACATTTCCAGGCTGTCATCTTGATCAACTCTGTCCCCTCTCAGACCTCTGCCTCCCTTTTGTCCCTTCCATCTTCACTCAGTATTGATACTGAAACAGGCCTAGGTCTGCCTTCTCCCTGTCCTTGAGCCATCTTGACCCTTGACCTGCTCCCTACTTCCAAGCTCCTTTGTCTACCTGTATCTATAGAGGGAGGATTGCTACCCACTAAGCCTCCTCCTAGAAGCAACTTTAGCTCATCATCAATCCTCAGACTGGCTCAGCAGCTACACTAAGGTGTTAAAGCACAAGGATACTATGGAAAGGCAGATGACTAGAGAGGAAAATCTCCAATTCAGAATTCTATAACTGCTTCACAGTATAATTCTGTAGTGCCTTACTATATAATTGATCATCTAAACTGAGACACACTGGGAAAACTTAAAGAGGGTACTATTAATAATTATGCTGGGACAACAGACATAAACCAGGATGGTTCCAGCCAGACTCTTCAGGAAGGCTGGGACCACATAACCTTTTGTCTGCTTTTGCCCTGATTCTTAAAAGCCATACTCTGTGTCCTTCCTATGTAGCACATGCAAGAGGTCTCCTGGGAACCTCTTTCTCTACCTTTTCCTTGTCTCACCTGACTACCCAGATGTCCCCACAACCCTTGTACCTCCCCTTCTTGCCCAACAATGACAGACCATATTGAAGCCAAATTGGAGAGAGATGTATTTATACCAGTGGGGCTAAGGAGGAAGCAGTCCAGTGGGGGACTTTGAGTGCTGTGCAGTGTTCTCTTAAGAGTCGTAGTACAGTCCTGGGGTCAAGTCTCTTTCCCTAATCTTTGCTGGGGAAGCCTTGAGCCTTGATTTATCCTTCCCTTGGCTTTGGGCTTTGAGGAAGTTGGGGATGGAGGGGATGATGCTTCTTTAGGTTTCTCTATTCCAAGCCCCTCTGAATTTCTAGTTGCAACCTGCCTTCACACAGAGTTGATGGGAAAGATTAGTTGTAGATGTCGGTATGGGATTGAGCCTACAGCAAGAGGAAGAAGGGAACTCCAGTATAGAGTACACAAAGGAAAAGGGCAGGAAAGATACCAAAGGCTTATGAAAACAAAGGAAGGGAAGAAAAGAGAAAAAAGGTGGAAAATCAGGTCCCAGATTGCTTGTTAGGAAGAATGAGGTAATTTTGTGCCTAGGAATGCACAATCCAAAGCTTGATTTTCACCACCTCCATTTGTTCTCTCGAGCATCCTTCCAGATGTTTCTCCCCGTCTAAAGCCAGCACACCAACCCTTCCCGTGAAATGCCCACCTCAGGACTCATCCCCCTCCAGGCCTTCCTGGATGCAGATATACACAAAGATGGAAGCTGGGCGGAGGCTGATGCCATCTTTGGACAGCAGGTGAATGTGGCGGTAACCTGGAAGGGGCAGGAGGACAGCATTAGGAAGGCAGCCAGAGCTGGGGTATTGGCCAGGGGCCAAAGGGGCTGGCTCACCTTGTTGCATGCAGGTCCAAGGCAGGGTGTACTGACCAATAAAGTCATTTCGGGATTTCCAGTCATAATCCATTACCACAAAACGCAGCATGGCAAGTTCAGGCACCAGCACCCGGAAACATAGTGTCTGCCCCCAGTATGGATTAAAACCTGAGTTGGTGGACAGAAAGAAATAAGAAGACATTATGACAGTTTTCTTGACTGGGTTGCTTTTCTTGTGTTCTCATTTAATCTAGATGGCAATCAGCATTTTACAGGTAAGGAAAAAGGCTCAGAGTAAGCAAGTAATTTGCCCAGGTCACTGGAGCTTTTAAGTGAAGAGCCAGGATTCTTTGTACTGTTCCACACTGCCTCCCATGTGGGGACATGCAATAACAGATGCTATACTTAATGGAAGACAGACTAGAAGGAAAACTAATCATGCTCCTACCCCCACCTCCCCAGCACTGCCAGTTTCTCACCATTGTTCTCCACATAGTTGGTCTCCTGCCGTGCTGTGTCTAGACGAACGCCAAAGATCTGCACTTTCACCAGTGGATCCACAATGGACCCCTCTTTGGTCTTGTCCACTTTGGGGAGTTGCTGACCGCTGATCACCTGTAGTCAGGGCTCTGGAATCTCACAAGTTCCTGCTCAGCCCAGCCCCACCCGACCCTACTCCCAACCCCAGGGGAGAAGAAGCTTTTTGGTTTGTAAAACATCCTCCATGGGTAATATATTTTCTTCTAGTATTCTATCTGCAATTTAAAATGCACCCAAAGGCCGGGCACGGTGGCTCACACCTGTAATCCCAACACTTCAGGAGGCCGAGGTGGGCAGATCACTTGAAACCAGGAGACCAGCCTGGCCAACATGGTGAAACCCTATCTCTACTAAAAATACAAAAATTAGCCAGGCATGGTGGCGGGCGCCTGTAGTCCCAGCTACTCGGAAGGCTCAGATGGGAGAATCACTTGAACCCAGGAGGCGGAGGTTGCAGTGAGCCAAGATCATGCCACTGCACTCCAGCCTGCAGCAGAGCAAGACTCTGTCTCAGAATAAACAAATAAATTAAATGGATCCAGGTAGAAATTCAACAGTTTGAAAGTAGGCATGCTAATGACAGCAGCCACTTTTTTTTTTTCAAAGAGACACGATCATACTCTTGACCAAGCTGGAATGCAGTGGGGCAGTCATAGCTCACTGCAACCTCCATCTCCTGGGCTAAAGTGACCCTCCAGCCTTAGCCTCCTGAGTAGCCAGGACTATCTATAGTCATGTGCCACCATGCCAGGCTAATTTTTAAATTTTTTGTAGAGACGGGAGTCTCTACAAAATTTTTAAATTTTTTGTTGAGACCAGTTTCAGACTGGTCTCAAACTCCTGGGCTCAAGCAGTCCTCCTGCCTTGGCCTCCAAAGCGCTGGGATTACAGGTGTAAGCTATCGCTCCCAGCCAGCCTCTTTTATAGCACTTCCTGTGTGCCAGGAATTGTAAGAACTTTATATTAACTGTTATACTCCTTATAACCCTGTGAGGCAGGTGGTAGTGTTACCCCTATTTTGCAGGTGAGCAGACTGAGGTATGGAGAGGTTAAGGAACTTGCCCAACATTACCCAATTAGGAAGTTGTGGTTTGAAGCTAGGCAGCTGGCTCCAAAAGCTAAAACTAGACACTGTTAATAGGCTATCCGGCCTCTACATTCCGGTCAGGCCTAGCCACCTCTTCCCTCACTTCTATCCCAGTTATCTCAGTTTCTTCCCAACAGTTTATTTCCACTGTACCTGGATTAAGAGAGTCTGGGCTTTGAAAGGGCTGATGGGCTTCTCAGGGTGGAAAGAACTCTGGATATCACGCAGGAAGTCTGGCTTCAGCACATAGCCACAGCCGCCATTCTGGCGGAAATGCCCATCACAGATGTCCATTTCAAGCCCTGCAGTCTGCATATTCATGGCCACTGAGGGCCCCAGGAGAAAAGAAGAGCAAGATTCACCATGGAGGCCTTCCAGCCCCTCTTTCAGGGAGTTAAGAAGATAGGTACTGGGTGCACGGTACCTGCTGGTAATATCCACTGATAGCATTTCTCAGCCTAGCAATTTTCTTGAGCATTCCCCAACCCTACCATCACTAGAGAACTTATTTCCCACCTGCTGCTCCTCCACTCCCTCTTCCCAGTCCCTGCTGCCTCCTCACCCATCTGGCAGCCTGCATTCCAGAGTTCCTGGGGGTTGTAGTTGGAAGAGTCTGTCCTCAGGCCGCTGGGATACACACGGCTTAACTGCCAAGTATTGTGCTGCACAAACTCATTGCCTGTAAAAGGGTATAGAGAGGGAGATGGAAGTGGGGTGGAATCTCCCACTTCCCTAGTCCCAAGGACCATGCCTACTCTTCACCCTTCTCTCCAGCATCTGAAGCTGGCTCCAGAAAGTTTCACTGTGCCTCTCTACTCTGTCCATCCAGACCAGCTTTCCTGCCCCTAGACCCTTGAGCCACTATTCATAACTCCTCTGCCCTTGTCTGCTCTAAGGAGTTTCTGAACTCCTTCATCTCTCCTTAGCTACCTTGTCTTTTTTCTTGGGACTTACCTGCCAGTCCATCAGGCCTGAACCTATCCATCCCACTTCCCTCCCCATCCCTCCATTTTGGTCCTGACCAGCCTCCTTGATGAGGCGCTTGGCCTTGGTTTCAGAGAAAGATGATATCTCGTAGAAGTGGTAGTGCTCCTTTGAATGTGTGAAGCTGCGGAATGAGACAGACTTCAAGTAGATAACCAGGGAAGAGAGGGCTGGACACAAGATGGGCTTGGATTTCTGGAGAAGGTGGAAAAGAAGATGGAATTGAACCCTCAGCAGTCTGAGAGAGAAGAAGATAATGGCCATCCAACCTAAACCTCTGCCCACTGCCTCCCCACTGTATTCTCCCTCCTGCCTCACCTGCCGGGACAAGAGAAGGGACTCAGGCTTGGAAATAGGAGCCTGGGCCACAATCTGACAACAGATAGACGGACAAAACAGCGGGCACGTCACAACCTGGGGGTGGGAATGGGAATAAAGGCGGTCTGCATGTACTGCTGGGATCAGTGTCAACCTCTGGGCTTGTGTTTGCTCTATGTTATATCCTGGGTGACAGGTTTTAAATTTATTATTATATTTAAACAGAGAGGCATTATCCTCCCTCCCTCTCATTTAAAACAAAGGAACAATAACCTTTGGTCAAAATGTACATGAATCCAGACAGATATGTCAAGGTATGCAAATGGTCATGTAAGTCACACCTGGAAGGATGTGAGAGTCCCAGAGTAATATCTTTGGATTTGTCTCCTGAATTCCCATTTCCATCCCTGGACATGGCAGCAGGTTAGACACCACAGCCCCAGAAAGCACAGGATAAGCTAGGAGTCAGTCAGCTGAGTGAGCCACGCAAGTACACAAGAGAAAGGCAGACTTCAAACCAGGATCTTGGAGGCCCCACCAATGGCATCCCTTCTCCCTCTGCCTCCCTTCCCCATAGGGAGATGGACCACTCTAGCACAGCCTTCTCAGAGCCTTCACGTTCCCCACCTCAAAATGCTCTCCTTCCTGCTCCTCTGGCTACTGCTGGCCCTTCCTAAAACTCATCCTTTCCAAAAAGCTTTCTCTATGCCCACTTTGGTTGAGATCACAACAATCATTCCAGTAACCCCTACTTACCCAATATAATAATGTTACACATACAAACACACACCCGCTCATCACTGGTTTTCAAGCTGGCCTTTAAGAAGACCAAGAAGTACAAAAATGTCTCAGGAGTCACTAGGGCACCCAGGAGAGAGCCAAATGGGTGCTTCAACTAGGATGGTTCTGCGTTTATCTATTTTGCGTAAGATTTCATTTTAAAAAAAAAGATGTGGCCCAAAGAAGTTGGAAAGCCACTGCAACATACCTACATATGGCAGTATATAATATATATTGATGCCATGTATGCGGTCTTAAATCTCCTTCATTGGGAGGAAGGGTCATTGCTCCTTGGCCCTGCATCTTGCACGGCTCTAGTCTTCATGAACAGGCCTTCAGCTTGCATAAGTTGACTAAATACCACAGCAGAAAGACCACTCCTGGCTTACCTTCTTTTTGTCCTTATTCTGAAGGTTCTGCTCCTGGGGCTCAGGCTCAGTCTCAAACTGGGACTCCAGCGCCAATTCTGACTCTTCCAACTCAGGTTCTGCTTCCTCTTCCTCATATTCCAGGTCTTCCTCAAGTGTTAACTTCTTCCCCTTCACCAGGATCTTCCTCCGAAGCTCCTAGGGGACAAAAATGAAGGGGCCTGTCTACCTGTCTGCTCTTGGGTCCTTCTGGGAATCATGCCAGTCTCATTGTTCTCAAAGGCAGAGGAAGTGAGTGAGTGGTCGGAAGTTCCCGAGGGAAGAGATTAGCTGCTTGATACATACAATTGGAATTCCCATATTGTTAAGCAAACTTTTAATATCTCTATCCATATGGAAAATAATATATATGGTCTCCTGCCACACATTTGACACAGTAAATACTCGTTATAGATTAGAGATTTACATGTCAATATAAAGAACATAAGAATACAAGAAGGAAATAGAGAACCTTTTTGAATAATCCTTTTTTTTTTTTTTTTGAGACGGAGTCTCGCACTGTCGCCCGGGCTGGAGTGCAGTGGCGCAATCTCAGCTCACTGCACCACCACCTTCCAGGTTCAAGCAATTCTCCTGCCTCAGCTTCCCAAGTAGCTGGGATTACAGGTGCCCACCATCATGCCCAGCTAATTTGTATTTTTAGTAGAGATGGGTTTTCACTATGTTGGCCAGGCTAGTCTTGAACACCTGACTTCATGATCCACCTGCCTCAGCCTCCCAAAGTGCTGGGATTAGAGGCATGAACCAACGTGCCTGGCCTGAATAATCTTACCGTGGGAAAGCCTTTAGAAACATAACTTGAAAACTCAGGGCCAGGCGCAGTAGCTCACGCCTGTAATCACAGCACTTTGGGAGGCTGAGGAGGGTGGATCACGTGAGGTCAGGGATTCAAGACCAGCCTGGCTAACATAGTGAAATCTCATCTCTACTAAAATACAAAAACTAGCCAGGTGTGGTGGTGCACACCTATAATCCAAGCTACTCAGGAGGCTGAGGCAGGAGAATCGCTTGAACCCGGGAGGCAGAGGTTGTAGTGAGCTGAGATCGCACCATTGCACTCCAGCCTGGGCGACAAGAGCGAAACTCTGTCTCAAAAAAAACAAAAAAATCTATCGATAGCTGCTTGTTATGGGAGAGGTTGGGATTATGATAGGAGGGGAGATTTCCCTTTATATTGTTTGTATAGTCCACAACAACTATGAACTACCAGAAAAAAATCAAGATACTTCCACTGAGAAAAGAAATAATGTAAATTGTTGATTTAAAACTTAGAGAGCTATAAATAGAATTCTGTGTTCAGTTAGATTTTGTTTAAGTTAAAATTGTCTCCAAGGATCCAAGGACATTAAAGAGCAAGATGGTCCATCCGAGGATAGAAAGAAGGGAACAAAGAGGGGCATAGAGGAAGGAGCCCAGGTGGCGGAATCCAGAAGCCACAGCAGAGCCTGGGCTGGAGGAACAGTGTCCCTACCTCAGGCGAGGGCAGCTGAGTGGGCAGCACCCCATCCAAGGTGGTGCTCAGCAGCTGCTCCCCCAGGATCTCAGTCAGATGACGGGCCATGGTCTGCTGCTGCTCCCAGCTGCAGTGGGTCTCCAGGGACAAGATGACTGGGTAGTCTGATGTCTGGTGGTGAGGGGAGGGAACAATGGATTCAGAGTTCTAAAACACTGCAACCTACTTCTTCAAGTACCCGCTTCCTAGGCCTCCCTACTTACTCACTCAGATGAGTACCCTGATCACTAAACTCTTCCAACTCCATTATAGGATTCAGTGAGATCTTGCTGGGTCTGAGGCCCATGCCTGCGACACTGCCCACATCTAAAGACATATTCACATCTTGGGATCCTAAATCTCATACCTGTGCCAAGTCTGACCCAGGCCCCTCTGGGACCTTTGAGTTTTCAGGCTCTTAGTGGGAAGGCCAGGCCACATTCCCTGGTTATGTGTTCATGTTGCACTCTCATGCTTTCATCCTCCAGATTCCCATTGTTCATCAGCCCTACTCACCACTATCTCTGTGTTTCCTATCCACCTCTTCCAGAAGGGTGATAGAACTTGTTAGAAGTAATAGTTTTTTGTTTTGTTTTGTTTTTTGAGATGGAGTTTCACTCTTGCTGCCCAGGCTGGAGTGCACTGGTGCGATCTCGGCTCACTGCAAACCTCTGCCTCCTGGGTTCAAAGGATTGTCCTGCTTCAGCCACCCAAGTAGCTGGGATTACAGGCATGCACTACCACGCCCAGCTAATTTTCTATTTTTAATAGAGACGGGGTTTCTCCATGTTGGTCAGGTTAGTCTCAAACTCCCAACCTCAGGTGATCCACCCGCCTCGGCCTCCCAGAGTGCTGGGATTACAGGCATGAGCCACCACACCTGGCCTGAAGAAGTAATAGTTTCTAACCATAAGTAATTACCTCCATAACTACTAATTATTAGTAACATGTCCAACACTTATTCATAATCAGCCTTTAGTATTTGCCTGATGCTTTACAGTTAAATCCTCTTTTGATGGAACTTCCCCTGTACTCCTCCACCCTCCCCAGACCCAGAGCCAGTCGTTCTTCCCTCAGACCTTCTGGCCTCACCAGTGTCCCCATCCTGGGGCTACTACCTGGAAGGCATACTGTGCTACTGTGGCCACGACATCTTTGAACAGGATGCGGGAGGTCAGGGTGTGTCCGTGGTAAACGACAGGTTCCCCGCTAGGTCCATCCCATACATCCACCTCCACGCAGCGGCACCCCCGCTTCAGGGCCCTGAAAGAACCCCATCCCCACCGAGAAATAGGAGAGGTCAATATCTGATCTTCTACCTAGGGACTCTCCCCACTCTGGAGAGAACAGTGCTCACCAGCACTTACCCATCCAGACCCCTTCAAGCTACATCTGCATAGAGCCTTCTCCATCCATGGGGACACTGCTGCAAGCTCACGCTGATCTCTACCCATACTTCAGCCCACCCGACTCACAGTCCTTCCATAGCAATCCATCACACATTGCCTCATGATGCATCTGGTGTTCTGGTTTTACTTATTTATTTATATTTACTTTTATTTTTTTGAGACAGGGTCTAAATCTGTCACCCAGGCTAGAGTGCAGTGGTGTGAACATGGCTCACTGCAGCCTTGACCTCTCAGGCTTAAGCGATCCTCCCACCTCAGCCTCCCGAGTAGCTGGTACTAAAAGCACACATCACCATGCCTGGCTAATTTTTGCATTTTTTGTGGAGACGGGCTCTCACTATGTTGCCCAGCCTGGTCTCGAACTCTTGGGCTCAAGCGATCTCCCTGCCTCGGCCTCCCAAAGTGCTGGAATTACAGGCATAAGCCATTGTGTCCAGTGGTGTTCTGGCTTTATATCCCTATACAACATCCTGGTTATTCAAACTGTCAGTAAATTTACACCTTAATTCCTCAGCTAGACTTCCTAAGGTGGAAACTATATGTTCCACTCATCTTTGTATCCCTTGAAGCTACTAGTTCAGTTGCTGGTAATAGAAAGATATCTTGACTATTCAATCTAATCCATGATTAGTCACAATAAAATCAGAACTGCTTATTAGCTATTGACATATGAATTATCTCTTCACAACAACCCAGACAGAATAGGCACTGTTACCATCCCTGTTTCACAGATGGGGAGACTGAGGTATAGAAGTTAAATACTTAGCCCCAGAGTACCAAGTGAAGGAGCTAGGATATAATTTCAGATGGTCTGACTCCAGAACCTATATTTTTAACTCCTATTCTCTATTGCCTTCCATTTAACAATCTGTTTATTAATTTGTTAAATATAAATCTGTCAGGGCCTCTGAGTTCCAGGAGAGTTTCATAGCTTGTGAAAGAGAAGTTCCATTGACCCATAGGGTTTCATTACCATTCTCCCACCAGTCTTCAATATCTCCTCCAAGTGTCTCTGGTATCCAGGGCTCCTCAGCCCCTAAACCCCCACAACACTGTCCCAATCTGTTAGACACTGACAGCTCCCCTCACTTTTCTACATGGTCCCTCTCATGAGTTGGACCCCTTCTCTACCACCACTGCACCGTATATATCCCTCGACGCTGCTCTGGCCACAAAGCTGGTCCCCCACTAGGTAGGTGTTATGAGAAGAGCAGATGAAGTAGTGGTTCAGGGGTTGAGTCATATCCTGATAGATGGGGAGGCAGGCTGGGTTGAAGATGTCTCCATCCTTAGAGCAGAGGTAGCTGAGGAAGCCATCCATACTCAGCACATGCCGCAGTTTGCCTGGAGTGTGGACAGGGGAACACTAGGTGAGAAGCTCTGAATGGGAGCATCCCAGCACACCTACAGTCCATCCTTCCTCCCACTCCATCCAGAGCCCTGCCTTTCAGATGGCACCCATTCCCAGCCTTTAGATCCCAAACTTGCCCCACCTAGTGTGTATCATTTCAATCATTCCCACCCTCAAAGAATGTTAAAAGGAATCATTAAGATCATTCAAGGCTGGGCGCGGTGCCTCACGCCTGTAATCCCAGTACTTTGGGAGGCTGAGACGGGCAGATCACGAGGTCAGGAGATCGAGACCACCCTGTCTAACACGGTGAAACCCCATCTCTACTAAAAATACAAAAAATTAGCCGGGCACGGTGGTGGGCGCCTGTAGTCCCAGCTACTCGGGAGGCTGAGGCAGGAGAATGGCGTGAACCCGGGAGGCAGAGCTTGCAGTGAGCCCAGATCGCGCCACTGCACTCCAGCCTGGGGGACAGAGTGAGACTCCGTCTCAAAAAAAAAAGTTCATTTGAGTCCAGTGCTATCCAATAGAACTTCCTATGATGAGATAAATGTCTTTTTTTTTTTAACTTTTTTTTGGTCTTTTTTTATGCTATAGTACTAAAGAGAAAAACGTTTTATTCTGCAGTGTCATATATAGTAGCCTCTAGCCACATGTGGCTACTGAGCACTTGAAATGTGGCTTGTGTAACTGAAGAACTAAGTTTTAAATTTTATTAGATTTTAGTTAATTTAATTTAATTTATTTATTTATTTATTTTTGAGACAGAGTCTCACTCCGTCTCCCAGGCTGGAGTGCAGTGGCAGGATCTCTGCTCACTGCAAGCTCCGCCTCCTGGTTTCACGCCATTCTCCTGCCTCAGGCTCCCGAGTAGCTGGGACTACAGGCGCCCCCCACTACACCCGGCTCTTTTTTTTTTTCTTTGTATTTTTAGTAGAGACAGGGTTTCACCGTGTTAGCCAGGATGGTCTCCATCTCCTGACCTCGTGATCCGCCTGCCTTGGCCTCCCAAAGTGCAGGGATTACAGGCGTGAGCCACCGTGCCCGACCTAGTTAATTTAATTTTAAATAGCCAAATGGAGCTCACAGTTACTATAATGGACAACATCCAAAGGGCTAATTTTATAGATGAGGAAACTGAGGCCCAGAGAGAATCAAAGTCAAAGGCTTAGTGACATGGCCAAGTTACCTGTATTTTCTTCCTTGGGCTGTGTACCTGTGACTAACTATGGCCTGAGGGTTTCTTCTTACTGTCCATGTTCCCATATGATGTTTTGAGGATCATTTGTCAACATCTCCTTAGACTACACTCCCATTGAGAAAAGGGCCCTGTTAGTCCTTCCATAGCTCCCTCCAATCTCAGTATGGGCTTTATACAACAACAACAACAATGACTAACAGTTATCAAGCACTCACTCTATGCCCAGGGCATTCCACGCAGCATCTCACTCATGTTCTCAGTAACGTGATGAAGTAGATGTAATATAATCTGCCATGAGAGGTTAGGTAACTTGCTCCAGGTCTCATAATCAGTAACTGTAGAAGCTGGGATTTGAACCCAGGCCGCCAGGTGTCAGAGCCATGCCCTGCACCACTGGGCTGTGCAGTCTCACTGAGAATAATGTTGCTACAAGGAGGCTCGCCTGGAAGGTGGAACAACATGACTCTCATGGCCAGCTTCCTTGCTCCAGGTTTCACAAGGCCTGGAGATTGTGAAGAAGGACAGGAAGTTGGGCAGGAAGTTTCCTTTTTTTTTTTTTTTTGGGAGACAGAGTCTCACTCTGTCACCCAGGCTGGATACAGTGGCACAATCACAACTCACTGCAGCCTTGCCCTCCAGGCTCAAGCAATCCTCTCACCTCAGCCTCTCAAGTAGCTGGGACTACAGGAATGTGCCACCAAGCCTGGTTATTTTTTTTATTTTTTTATTTTTAGAGATGGGGTCTCACTGTGTTGCCCAGGCTGGTCTTGAACTCCTGAACTCAAGCAGTCCTCCTGCCTCACCCTCCCATATTATAGGCATGAGCTACCATACCTGGTGGAAGTTTCATTCTTTTTGTTTGTTTGTTGGTTGGTTGGTTTGTTTTTGAGATGGAGTCTCGCTCTGTCACCCAGATTGGAGTGCTGTGGTTCGATTTCCACTCACTGCAACCTCCGCCTCCCGGGTTCAATCGATTCTCCTGCCTCAGGCACCCAAGTAGCTCAAATTACAGGTGCCCGCCACCATACCCAGCTAATTTTTATATTTTTAGTAGAGAAGGGGTTTCACCATGTTGGCCAGGCTGGTCTCGAACTCCTGAACTTAAGTGATCCGCCTGCCTTGGCCTCCCAAAGTGCTGGGATTACAGGCATGAGCCATTGTGCCCGGCCAGAAAGTTTCATTCTTGACAGTAATAAATCACTCAGGTAAATTTGCAGTTGCCAGATACTTTTCATGTGCATTATTTCATTTTATCAATTATTTTACAAATGAGGAAACTGAGTTAGTTAGGTTAAGTGACTTGCTCACAGTTATCAGTTAATAAGAAACACAGTGGAGACCTGAGCCCAGGTTTTTTGACTGATACTACTCTCTGTAGCCAGATAAAGTATCTGATTGTCAAGTTCAAGGGAAGGAAACACCAAGAGGGGTCGGGGTCGAAACAAATGTAACTGATGTTTACTGGATTCTGCACAGGTAACAAAAGATCCTATTTCTTTTTTCTTTCTTTTTTTTTTGTTTGAAACAGAGTCTTGGACTGATGTTTACTGGATCCTGCACAGGTAACAAAAGATCCTATTTCTCTTTTCTTTCTTGCTTTTTTTTTTTGAAACAGAGTCTTGGACTGATGTTTACTGGATTCTGCACAGGTAACAAAAGATCCTATTTCTTTTTTCTTTCTTTCTTTCTTTTTTTTTTTTTTTTTTGAAACAGAGTCTTGGTCTGTCGCCCAGGCTGGAGTGCAGTGGTGCAATCTCAGCTCACTGCTGCAACCTCTGCCTCCCAGGTTCAAGCAATTCTCCTGTCTCAGCCTCCCGAGTAACTGGGATTACAGGCTCCTGCCACCATACCCGGCTAATTTTTTGTGTTTTTAGTGGAGATGGGGTTTCACCACGTAGGCCAGGCTGTTCTCAAACTCCTGACCTCAGGTGATCCTCCTGCCTCGGCCTCCCAAAGTGCTGGGATTCCAAGCATGAGCCACAGCGCCCGGCCTAGAGATTCTATCTCTTAAACTTTTAACTCTCTTCGATTTCATTTTCTGAAATGATTGCTTTACAACCTCCATTCTTTTTTTTCTTTTCTTTTCTTTTTTTTTTTTTTTGAGACAGAGTCTCACCATGTCACCCAGGCTGGAGTGCAGTGGTGTGATCTCGGCTTACTACAGCCTCCACCTCCCGAGTTCAAGCGATTCTTATGCCTCAGCCTCCTTAAGTAGCTGGAATTACAAGCGTGCACCACCATGCCTGGCTAATTTTTATATTTTTAGTAGAGACAGAGTTTTACCATGTTGGCCAGGTTGGTCTCGAACTCCTGGCCTCAGGTTATCTGCCCGGTCTCCCAAAGTGCTGGGATTACAGGCGTGAGCCACTGCACTCAGCCTACAACCTCTACTCTATTCTGAACACCCAAACAAATCTGAAATAACAGATTGTAATGTTTTCTGTTTGACTCTAAGTTTCATGAGGGCAGTGTCCTTGTCTGATCTAGGCACTAATGTATGTCTGGTGCCTAGCATAGGTCCTGACACATTATAGGAACTCAATAAGCATTCATTGAAGTAGTGAATAAATGAATGAATGAAAGGGAGTAAGAGTTTAGACCCAGAATACCTTGATCACTTGTCCAGCTCTCATTCATCCCATCTCTTATCCTCATTCTCAAGAGAGGCACCAACTAAGAGTCAGATGACCTGGGTTTGAATCTCAGTTCCTCTCTCATTAGCTGTTGACTTTGAGCAAGTCATTGAATCTTTCTAAACCTCAGTTTTCCTCTTTTATACAACTGACTTAATAACAGGACCCATTTCAACAGGTCATTGTATTAGAAAAGGTACGTAGATGCCAGGCACAGTGGCTCATGCCTGTAATCCCAGCACTTTGGGAGGTTGAGGCGGGTGGATCACCTGAGGTCGGGAGTTCGAGACCAGCCTGACCAACATGGTGAAACCCCATCCTCTACTAAAAATACAAAATTAGCCGGGCGTGGTGGCGCATGCCTGTAATCCCAGCTACTCGGGAGGCTAAGGCAGGAGAATTGCTTGAACCCGGGAGGCAGAGGTTGTGGTGGGCCGAGATCGTGCCATTGCACTCCAGTCTGGGCAATAAGAGCAAAACTCTGTCTCAAAAAAACAAAAAAATAGAAAAAGGAAAAGGTACATAGAGATATTAGAGCATTATGGGATATGTAGTAAAGGGCCAATAAAGATTACTGTTGATTTGCAAAGTTGTACTGAGGACTAAATGAAATGAGGAACGTGAAAGTTCCTTGTAAAGTATTTATTATTAATGTAAATTTCTCACACTCCGAAGGGAATGGAGGGCAGGAAATGAGTCTACTGAAGAGGCAAGAGGAAGAAACTTTGAAGAACAAGAGCGTATATTTCAGCTGCACTCCTTAAAAGCTAAATAACTGGCCTCCTTATTCCCCCAGCCAGGGGCTAACTGGCTTTCTGGTTCAGGGGCTTAGAGACTCAAGAGAGCCACTTGAATTGAAGACAACTCAGGAAAGGGCAGCGAGCCAGCATTTAAAGGAATAGCAAACAGGAACCATGGAAGAAGAACCAGAGGAAAAGGAATCATTTGCACTAGAGAAGAGGCCAAAGAAAGAGGATCAAGGGTTTTCCGTTTCCAGCGAGGGCAAAGCTGGTATCAGAAAGAACTTCCTGAAAGTAAAGGAAACATGAGCATAATGGAGGAATGAGGAGCCATGGAATCTTCTTCCTCCTGAGAGGTCTAGCACCTCAGAGGAAACCCCTGTCTTGTCTGAACAGGAAATGCCTGCCCTCCTTTGGGAGGAGTGGTTAAATGAGATGATTGGGCAGGGGTCAGGATAGGGATAGACTCAACCTTCTCTCAGGCAGATGGCTGCTTGTCTCTGGACCTTGTAATCATGTCCCTCTCTCCAACCCCTATGTCTGGTGCCTCTCCACCTGATTTCTCTTACCACTGTCTGAAGGTTCATAGCGGTCAATGAGTTCCAGAGCAAGCTCAGAGGTGCAGTCTCTCTCCTTCTGCTCCTCTTGGAGGAAATCCAAAAATTCCAGCAGAGTCAGCTTCTGCCCATCAGCTGAAAAACTTTCAAACAGTTCCTGCACCTCAGCACGTTTAGTCAATGCCTTATAGAACTGTACGAATTCTTCTCCTTCCAGGGTTCCAGACTGGGACGTGTCTGCTGCCTGCAAGAGAGGTTTAGGGGAGAGTGAATGAAACTTTTAATGGGAAATGTTATCTTTTTAATTAAAAAAATTTTTTTTTAAATTTTTCTGGGTACATAGTAGGTGTATATATTTATACAGTAAATTAGATGTTTTGATATAGGCATGCAATGTGAAATAAGCACATCATGGAGAATGGGAAATGTTATGACCTTGACTTGCACTGTAAAAGCAATTTTACAGACAGATAGATCCAAACATGCTTCCATAAAACTCCCACGGAACTCCTAAACATTTAGTGTTCATAGAATAAATCACTTCAGTAAGAAGCAAAATTTTAGCCATACCATTTGCTACTAGAGAAAATTTTCAACTAGAAAGAATTAAATCTCCCAAAGGCCCCTAAAATGTCAGAAGATCCCTCCTCCTATTTACTCACATTCCAGCTGGGGTTTTCCATTGTTCTAGGCACCTGTGAAATTCTGGCCATGGACAGAGAGGTCCTTGAGGTCCAACATAATAACATATTGTTATTTACCTTTCATAGAATCATGACTTTTCTTTTTCTTTTTTTTTTTTTTTTTTTTTGAGACAGAGTCTCGCTCTGTCACCCAGGCTGGAGTGCAGTGGCATGATCTCGGCTCACTGCAAGCACTGCCTCCCGGGTTCACACCATTCTCCTGCCTCAGCCTACCTAGTAGCTGGGACTACAGGCACCCGCAACCACACCCGGCTAATTTTTTGTAGTTTTAGTAGAGACGGGGGTTTCACTGTGTTAACCAGGATGGACCCGATCTCCTGACTTCGTGATCCACCTGCCTCAGCCTCCCAGAGTGCTGGGATTACAGGCATGAGCCACTGCGCCCGGCCGAATTATGACTTTTCAACAAGACTGAAAGGCAAGAATCATCCCCTATACTTCCCATTGAGCCTAGGGCATTGAGCCTAGCACTTAGGGCACATAGCAGAGATTTAACAATTGAGTGTTGTGGACTGGGGTCAGAGGACTTCTGGCCAAATGAAAATGTGGCCTGGTTGGCCGCTGGAAATCCTTCCCCACAGACTCACCTGAAAAAGACTGAAGGCATATTCTTGGTCCATTTCCACATTCATTAGGTGCAATAACCGCTGAACTTCTTGGAAACTCATCTTACCATCCTGATTTTTGTCTCCACGTTGAAACCAATCGCTCAGCCATCCAGGTATGAGTCAAGGCAAAAGCACTAATGTATCTGTTTGTGTGTGCAGTTGTGTGTGCACCTTCGTCCACTGACATCTCTCCCCTCTCTTTCCTGCCAGTCTCTCTCCCCGGTGCCAATCCATTCTCCACACAGCTTCTAGAATAATCTCTCTAGAGCACCAATCTATCTTGTCACTGTATGGCCCAGGCACCTGCAGGGACCTCCCTGTTGCCTGCAGAAAGAAATCTATATTCTGGCCAGACGCGATGGCTCGTGCCTGTAACCCAACACTTTGGAAGGCCAAGGTGGGTGGATCACATGAGGTCAGGAGTTTCGAGACCAGCCTGGCCAACATGGTGAAATCCCATCTCCACTAAAAATACAAAAAAATTATCTGGGTGTGGTAGCACACACCTGTCGTTCCAGCTACTAGGGAGGCTGAGACATGAGAATCACTTGAATCAAGGAGGTGGAGGTTGCATGGAGCCGAGATGGCACCACTGCATTCCAGCCTGGGTGATGGAGTGAGATTCTGTCTCAAAACAAAACAAGTCCATATTCCTTTAGCTTTTTTTTTTTTTTTTTTTTTTTTTGAGACAGAGTCTCGCTCCGTCACCCAGGCTGGAGTGCACTAGGGAAATCTTGGCTCACTGCAACTGCCATCTCCTGGGTCCAAGAGATTCTCCTGCCTCAGCCTCCTGAGTAGCTGAGATTACAGGCGCCCACCACCACACCTGGCTGTTTTTTGTTTGTTCATTTGTATGTTTGTTTTAGACAGAGTCTCGCTCTGTTGCCCAGGCTGAAGTGAAGTGGTGCAATCATGGCTCACTACAGCCTCAACCTCCCAGACCAAAGTGATCCTCCCACCTCAGCCTCTCAAGTAGCTGGGACTACAGGTGTGCACCACCACACCTGGCTACTTTATTTATTTATTATAAATAAATAAATAAAAATTCTTTTATAATTAAAGAAAAAAAATTTTTTTGGAGACAGAGTCTAACTCTGTCGACCAGGCTAGAGTGCAGTGGCACCATCTCGGCTCCCTGCAACCTTTTCCGGTTCAAGTGATTCTCGTGCCTCAGCCTCCTGAGTAGCTGGGATTGCAGATACATGTCGCCACGCCCAGCTAATTTTTTTGTATTTTTTGTAGAGGTGGGGTTTCACCATGTTGGCCAGGCTGATGTCGAACTCCTGGCCTCAGGTGATCCACCAGCCTCAGCTTCTCAAAGTGCTGGGATTAATTACAGGTGTGAGCTACTGCACCTGGCCACACCTGGCTAATTTAATTTTTTAAAGTTTACTTTATGAGCCAGGTGCAGTGGCTCACACCTCTAATCCCAGCACTTTTGGAGGCTGAGGTGGATGGACCACTTGAGCCCAGGAGTTAGAGACTAGCCTGAGCAATGTGGCAAAATCCCATCTCTACAAAACAAAACAAAAAATTAGCCAGGTGCGGTGGCACATGCCTGTAATCCCAGCTGCTCGGGAAGCTGAGGTGGGAGGATTGCTTGAGCCCAGGCTGTCACGGCTGCAGTGAGCCAAGATCGTGCCACTGCACTCCAGCTTGGGTGACAGAGTGAGACCCTGTCTCAAATAAAAAATAAAATGTATTTTATGGTGCTCTACACATTCAGAGAAACTTCTCTAGTAATGAACTATAGAAATTATCCCTGAAAGTGTAGTCTTTCAGTTAACTTCTTAATTTTTTGTAGAGACGCAGTCTTCCCTGTGTTGCCTAGGTTAGGCAACATAGTGATCTGCCTGCCTCAAGTGATCTCCCTGCCTTGGCCTCCCAAAGTGCTGGGATTACAGGCCAAACAAAAAATTATTTACACAGTTCCATCCTCTTCACTAACTGAAGCAATATGTGAGTCTCATTAATCTTTGTACCACTGGCCGGGTGTGGTGGCTCATGCCTGTAATCCCAGCACTTTGGGAGGCTGAGGTGGGTGGATCACGAGGTCCAGAGTTCGAGACCAGCCTGGCCAAGATGGTGAAACCCCGTCTCTTCAAAAAAATACAAAAATTAGCTGGGCGTGGTGGCATGCACCTGTAGTCCCAGCTACTCAGGAGGCTGAGGCAGGAGAATCGCTGGAACCTGGGAGGCAGAGGTTGCAGTGAGCTGAGATTGTGCTACTGCACTCCAGCCTGGGTGACAGAGCAAGACTCCGTATCAAAAACAAAACAAAACAAAACATATATATATATATATATATATATGTACCCCTATAGTCTGGCATAGTGCCTGATACATTCTGCTTAATAGATCATGAATGAATGAATAAATGAATGAAATGGTAAACAATCCAGGAAACTTGGAGTGAGTTTATATCACTGAGCCTTCTAAGAGGTTGCTTCCCACCTACATGCTGGTTAATGCCACTGGGATCTTCTGTGCAGCTCTTAGGAGCAGCATCTTGTTTGCTCCTCTGCCTGTCACTGCCTCTTCCTCCAATCCTGGGGGTCCTGATTCCTGCCTGGCTATGTGATCCTTGGCATCCATTCCTCCCTCAGTATTCTCAGTCTCACATTGGCCTGAGCTGTCCCTGCCCATACCATCTGGACCCTTGGGCCTCCCTAGCCCTGCACCCCTTCTCACCTTTCCTAAACCTGTTGCATCTGGCTCCTTCAGGGATAGCGTGATCCCTCACCCCCACCCTGACTCCATCCTGCCGATACTGGTCCAGGCGCTCCTGATGGTCCATGCTGGTGACAAGATCCACCAACAGCTGGAGCCCTCGCATCCATATCTGGGCCTCCTCAACACTGTTGGCCATCAGGTCCAGGTTGGAGCGGCGGCCATGGAAGACAATGGTGAAGCCCTGCTCCAGGGGGAGCTCCTCTGCCAGGCTACGCAGCAACTCGGAATCATGGCCATTACGTATTGTCTCCACATCAGAGATTGAGACTGCCAGAGAAGAAACAGGTGGAGGCATTAAGGAAGGGATTCCAACAAATAGCAGGGGCTAAGAGTGAAGGACCAGCACCCCCTTCTCCATGACACCATAGAAAAGAACCCCAGCCTCTGCAGGCTGAATCCCAAAAAGCATTAGTACAGAGAGATGCAGACCCCAGGGATTCAGGAGTCCACATGAATCACTGATGTTTTCAAAGGCAGCATGGCAAAGGGCCTGTACTGGAAGTGGCAAGACATGGCTTCCAGCCACAAGCTGGCAGTATGACACAAACCAAAATGACTTAACTCCTCAGTATCCTCATCTGATACAATGGATAGTCCCCTTCCATAGGCAGCCCCAATGGTGATCACAGGAGGACTGATGGGGATGACAAATGGACATACATTTGAAAGGCAGAAGCAGTTATACTAAAGCATTATATGCCCAAGTCCAGTTCTCTCATTCCAGGTTTGTTTGTTTGTTTGTTTGTTTGTTTGTTTTTTGACATGGAGTCTCGCTCTGTTGCCCAGGCTGGAGTGCAGTGGCGCGATCTCGGCTCACTGCAAGCTCCACCTCCCAGGTTCACGCCATTCTCCTGCCTCAGCCTCCTGAGTAGCTGGGACTACAGGTGCCCACCACCATGCCCGGCTAATTTTCTGTATTTTTTTAGTAGGGATGGGGTTTCACTGTGTTAGCCAGATGGTCTCAATCTCCTGACCTCGTGATCCACCCGCCTAGGCCTCCCAAAGTGCTGGGATTACAGGCGTGAGCCACCACGCCTGGCCCCCATTCCAGGTTTGAGGGCTTCCTCTTTCCAGATGTCTACGAGGGAACCAGAGAAATTCTTTCACCCTCTTACCTCAGCTGGGGGCGGTATGGATTGTGAGCAATTTGTCTGTAAAACAGACTCTCTTAGATGTGTCCTGTGATCAAATTATGTCTTGTTATCATAAAGAGTTTGGCCAATAAGTGCACACTGTTATGATTTTTTTTTTGTTTTATTTTGTTTTTTGAGACCAAGTTTTGCTCTTGTCACCCAGGCTGGAGTGCAATGGCACAATCTCAGCTCACTGTAACCTCTGCCTTCCAGGTTCAAGCGATTCTCCTGCCTCAGCCTTCCGAGTAGCTGGGACTACAGGTGCGCGCCACCAAGCCCGGCTAATTTTTGTATTTCTAGTAGAGATGGGGTTTCACCATGTTGGCCAGGCTGGTCTCAAACTCCTGATCTCAAGTGATCTGCCTGCCTCGGCCTCCCAAAGTGCTGGGATTACAGGCATGATCCACCACACCCAGCCGCATTTTTTGTATTTAAAAATATTTATTATAGGCCGGGTGCAGTGGCTCACGCCTGTAATCCCAGCACTTTGGGAGGCCGAGGCAGGCGGATCACGGGGTCAGGAGATGGAGACCATCCTGGCCAACACAGTGAAACCCCGCCTCTACTAAAAATGCGAAAAATTAGCCGGGCGTGGTGGCGGGTGCCTGTAGTCCCAGCCACTCAGAAGGCTGAGGCAAGAGAATGGCGTGAACCCGGAAGGCGGAGCTTGCAGTGAGCTGAGATCACGCCACTGCACTCCAGCCTGGGCAACAGAGCGAGACTCCATCTCTCTCTCTCTCTCTCTCTCTCTCTCTCTCTCTCTCTCTCTCTCTCTCTCTCTCTCTATATATATATATATATATATATATATATAAAATAATGGCTAACATTCATTAAATGCATTCTGGTTTTACATCCCATGCTAAGTGTTTTACATGTTAACTCATTGAGTCCTTGTAGCCTACTAAGCAGGTACTGTTTAATCCCTGTTTTACAGATGAGGAAACTGAAGCTTGATGTATGTATGTATGTATGTATGTATGTATATATGTATTTTTGTAGAGACAGGGTCTCACTCACCCAGGCGGAGTGCAGTGGTGTGATCACAGCTCACTGCAGTCTCAACTTCCTGGACTCAAGTGATCCTCCCATCTTAGCCTCCCAAATAGCTGAGACCACAGGCGTACAGCACCACACCCAGCTAATTTTTTATTTTTATTTTTTATAGAGACAGGATCTCCCTATGTTGTCCAGGCTGGTCTTGAACTTCTGGTCTCAAGAAATTCTCCTGCCTCAACCTCCCAAATTGCTGGGATTACAGGCATTGAGCCACCATGCCCAGCCATAGCTTAACTACTTGATTTTCCACAGCTACTCAGTTAGAAAGTGGCAGAGCCAGGGCTTTAATTCAGGCAGGCTGATGCCCAAGATCATGGTCTTATTATAATAACAACAAGATGTAACCAATGATTTATTACATCTTACTATGTTCCAGGACTCTTCTAAGCCTTTTATATACAATAACTAATTTAATCCTCATAACAGCCTTATGAGGCAAGTACTGTTATGATCTCCTTTTACAGGCTCAGATATAGCCACAATTAGGACAGCACAAACACACACTATCGTAGGACTTTGGTCCCTCCCCTGCCGGGCTCCTCAGGCCTCTATCCACCCATGTATCCACCCCCCACTATCCAGGTCACTCACAGCTGGGCTTGGCACTGCCCCTGGCCTGCCGTGCATGCCAGACTGTCATGCCGTCATTCTGAAGTCTGAAGTATCTTAGCTTCTTCCAGCTTTTGGACCTCACCTTGCGCATCGGCATGCCTTCCTGCATCAGCAGCAAGTCCTGATCAGTGGTCAGCTCTAGGTCAGGAAAAGCAGGGGTTAGGTAGCCAGCAGAGAGGGTAGCAGGCCCAGGGAGAGCTCTGGAACAGGGGTCCAACCTCCTTCCCTTCCCTGAGCTGTACACTAAGGCCTCTTCCCCTGCAGGGGCCCCGGCACTCACGGTCTTGCAGCAGGGACGCCATCACCCACTGTTCCACCAGCTGGCACCAGATCACCTAAAGGAGCAAGGAAGAGCAAAGGGCTCTGGGTGAATCTTGAAGATAGTCTGTAGCTGATTTTTGCTTCTAATTTTGAGTTTAGTGACTCTGACACTTTAGATAGGTTTAGAAACCTGCCTCAAATCACATAAGGATCAGAATTTAAACCAAGATATGTCTGATCCCAGAGCCTCTGCTATTTCCCATGGCTATCTTCAGAGAAGGGTAAACCAAAGATTCCGCCCAGCACCCCCTTCCTACCCAATAACCCACAGTCTACTAGTGCCACATTTTGCTCACTCCCCACCCTCTCATTATTAGGAACTAACATCTTGCTGGATGTCCCTTTCAGAAACTAGAATCTCTTCACACCCTAGCCTTCTCATTTCCAGGTGGAATCCTTTCAGCTTCCCTATTCTGGGAGTCCTCTCTATCTATGCTCCCACATAGACTGTCCAGCTCCTGAGGGGCTAGTGCAGACTTTCTTTTTCTTTTTCTTTTTTTTGATACGGAGTGTCGCTCTGTCACCCAGGCTGGAGTGCAGTGGTGCAATCTCAGCTCACTGCAACTCCCAGTTCAAGCGATTCTCCTGCCTCGGCCTCCCGAGTAGCTGGGACTACAGGCATGTGCCACCACACCCGGCTAATTTTTTGTATTTTTAGTACAGACAGGTTTTCACTGTGTTAGCCAGGATGGTCTCAATCTCCTGACCTCGTGATCCGCCCACCTCGGCCTCCCAAAGTGCTGGGATTACAGGCGTGAGCCACTGCACCCGGCCAGACTTTCTTTTTTCTCTTTAACAATACTTAGTTGTCTTCTTCTACCTTCACATGGTAAAGCATATTTTATACCTTTCCTTTATAGTTATTCTCACAGTTTTAATGGACCAAATAAGTTACACAAGTCTCAGAACTACATTTTCAAATTTTCTCTACCTACCAAAAAAGGGTACCTCTTTTAAGATATAGGCTGTTGGCTGGGTGCGGTGGCTCACGCCTGTAATCCCAGCAATTTGGGAGGCCGAGGCTGGCGGATCACCAGAGGTCAGGAGTTTGAGACCTGCCTGGCCAACATGGCAAAACCCCGTCTCACTAGTAATACAAAAAAATTAGCTGGGCATGGTGGCAAGCACCTGTAATCCCAGCTACTTGGGAGGCTGAGGCAGGAGAATCGCTTGAACCTGGGTGGCAGAGGTTGGCAGTGAGCCAAGATTGTGCCATGCACTCCAGCCTGGGCGACACAGCGAGACTCTGTCTCAATAAAAAGAGGAAAAAGGCTGGGCACGGTGGCTCACACCTGTAATCCCAGCACTTTGGGAGGCCGAGGTGGGTGGATCACGAGGTCAGGAGATTGAGACCATCCTGGCTAACACAGTGAAACCCTGTCTCTACTAAAAAAATACAAAAGGCTGGGCGCGGTGGCTCAAGCCTGTAATCCCAGCACTTTGGGAGGCCAAGGCGGGCGGACCATGAAGTCAGAAGTTCAAGACCAGCCTGGCCAACATAGTGAAACCCCGTCTCTACTAAAAATACAAAAAATTAGCCGGGTGTGGTTGTGTGCACCTGTAATCCCAGCTACTCAGGAGGCTGAGGCAGGAGAGTCGTGTGAACCTGGGAGGCAGAGGTTGCAGTGGGCCGAGATTACGCCATTGCACTCCAGCCTGGGCAACAGAGCGAGAGCAAGACTCCATCTCAAAAAAAAAAAAAGAAGAAGAAGAAGAAAAGATATATGCTGTGAAATATAGGACCTGGTTAAGTTGTCCTAGTAGCTGACAACAAACTTCCCTTGAAAAGGACTAGAAAATTTGATATGTGGCCACACTGATTCTAGCTATGCCCCTATAGAAATACTCAATTCTTGGCTGGGCACAGTGGCTCATGCTGTAATGCCAGCACTTTGAGAGGTTGAAGAGGGAGGATTGCTTGGGCCCAGGAGTTCGAGACCAGTGTGAGCAACATATTGAGACCTCCATCTCTACAAAGAATTTTTTTAAATTAGCCGAGTGTGGTAGTGTACACTTGTGGTCCCAGCTACTTGGGAGGCTGAGGTGGGAAGCTCACTTGAGCCCAGGAGGTTGAGGCTGCAGTAAGCTGAGATTACACCACTGAGCTCCAGCCTGGGTGACAGAGCAAGACTGTCTCAAAAAGCAAAAACAAAAAAACATTCTTGACCAGGTCGTGCTGAAACAGACAAATCTCATAAAACATAAAGCTCTATGCTTTTGTGTAAGCAAAGAACCTACATTTGAATAGAAGTATATTGTGAGTTTCTTTTTTTTAAAGGGTATCTCTACCTGAAAAATGTTATGTGCTTTTTTTTTTTTTTTTTTTTTGGAGACAGACTTTTGCTCTTATTACCCAGGCTGGAGTGCAATGGCACAATCTCGGCTCACTACAACCTCTACCTCCCGGGTTCAAGCGACTGTCCTGCCTCAGCCTCCTAAGTAGCTGGGATTACAGGCACCCATCACCACACCCAGCTAATTTTTGTATTTTTAATAGAGACAGGGTTTCACTATGTTGGCCAGGCTGGTCTCAAACACCTGACCTCAGGTGATCCACCCGCCTCGACCTCCCAAAGTGCCGGGATTACAGGCATGAGCCACCTCACCCAGCCATGTTCCTTAATTTAAAAGTTTAAAATTTTGACAGTGGTGCACATCTTAAAAGAACTTTAAAAATTTGTAGAGCAATCATTCAGTTAGTGTTCCATTAAAACATCATGCAGTTAGTTCAACTCCCTATATTTTACAGATGAAAAAGCAGAAGTCTAGAAATGTGATGCGACTTGCCTCAGGTCACACAGCCTATTAGTGCCCTACGTCTCTTTTGTGGGAAGACCCTATAAAGTCACCTAGTAGTGACTAAGCCTTCAGGGAGAATGTGGGGGGGTCACTGAAAATACAGCTTCCCTGAATACAAGACCTTGAGAAGACTTTCTTTTTTTTTGTTTTTGAGATGGAGTCTTGCTCTGTCGCCAGGCTGGAGTGCAATGGCACCATCTCAGCTCACTGCAACCTCTGCCTCCAAGGTTCAAGCAATTCTCCTGCCTCAGCCTCCTGAGTAGCTGGGATTACAGCTGTGAGCCACCACGCCTGGCTAATTTTTGTATTTTGAGTAGAGACGGAGTTTTGCCGTGTTGGCCAGGCTGGTCTCCAACTCCTGATCTCAGGTGATCCGCCCACCTTGGCCTCTCCAAGTGCTGTTACAGGCGTGAGCCACTCTGCCCCGCCTAGAGAAGCCTCTCTAAATGGGTAGTAATGTATAGGTATCCAGAGTGAGAGGGGAAGGTTGAGAAGAAGTCTGTCAGGAAACAATTTCAGGAAGAAAAGATTTTGCTGGCTTATGCTGAATGTGTGTGCCTGAAGGAGACCAGAAGAAACCTCTGGTTGGACGAAGGGACCCAAAGTGTTTCCTGAGAGCCAGAAAATCATCTCTGCTTTTCTGAGTGGGGATGCAGTTTGGAATCTGAGGCTTACAGAAGCTATGTGAAGACTGAAGTAGAAAGTAACAGACCTGGCCGAAGGCGGTGGCTCATGCCTGTAATCCCAGCACTTTGGGAGGCCGAGGCGGGTGGATCACAAAGTCAAGAGATCGAGACCATCCTGGACAACATGGTGAAACCCTGTCTCTACTAAAAATACAAAAATTAGCTGGGCATGGTGGCTACTAGGGAGGCTGAGGCAGGAGAATCGCTTGAACCCAGGAGGCAGAGGTTGCAATGAGCCAAGATCGCACCACTGCACTCTAACCTGGCGACAGAGCTAGACTCCATCTCAAAAAAAAGAAAAGAAAAGAAAAGAAAGCAACAGACCTCTCTTAGGTCTAGCAGGGTGTGGTGGCTCACGCCTGTAATCCCAGCACTTTGGGAGGCTGAGGCAGGTGGATCACTTGAGGTCAGGAGTTTGAGACAAGCCTCGCCAACATAGTGAAACCCCGTCTCTATTAAAAATACGAAAAGTAGCCGGCTGTGGTGGTGCACACCTGTAATCCCAGCTACTCGTGAGGCTGAGGCAGGAGAATCACTTGAAACCAGGAGGCAGAGGTTGCAGTGAGCCGAGATTGCACCATTACACTCCAGCCTGGGTGACGGAGTGAGACTCTCTCAAAAACAACAACAAAAATTTCTTAGGTCCTCAGACTCTAGGAGAGTGAATTGGCCTGGGGCTGAAGTCTAACCTCTTCTGCCAACATCCTGGCTTATCTCCTATCTGAATTTTAGCTCCCACCTCTGGGACACAGGGACTCTAGGATGTGGTGAACTTTAGGACTGCAAGAAGATTGCATTACCTTCCCTTACGCCTGTGTCCAGGAGCCTCACAATGATGTCCTGAAACATGGGAAGCCTGAGAACCGAGCCCAAGTGCCTGAACACCCTTACTTTGGAGACTCCCTCCTCTCAAACCTGCCTTAGAAAATTATTTTTTCCTCCTTTGTCCAATTCTTCTAACCCCAAAGCTTGGCTTTGTTCTTCCAATCCTTCTCCCATTCATGAATCACTATTTTAAATCTGTATTCACATGACTGACATGTGGTCATAAGAGGGCCAGTTTCAAATCAGGGAGCCATAGAAGGTCAGAGCTGGACTTCATTTTATAGAAAAGGAGCCCGAGGACTAGAAAGGTTAGGTGAAGTAAAAAGAATTAGTGCCAGAGTCATTTAATGAGTGACAGAACTGGAATTAGAACCAAGGTCTCTGGCCGGGCACGGTAGCTCACATCTGTAATCCCAGCACTTTGGGGGGCTGAGATGGGCAGATCATGTAAGGCCAGGAGTTCGAGACCAGCCTGACCGACATGGTGAAACCCCTTCTCTACTAAAAATACAAAAATTAGCTGGGAGTAGTGGTGCACACCTATAATCTCCGCTACTTGGGAGGCTGAGGCAGGAGAATTGCTTGAACCCAGGAGGCGGAGGCTGCAGTGAGCCGAGATGGCGCCATTGCACTGCAGCCTGGGCAACAAAAGCAAAACTCTGTCTTGGGCAGGAGGAAAAAAAAAAGAACCCAGGTCTCCATACAACCAGCTCAAGGATCTCACAATGACTCTGCTCTTGGAAAGGGCCTTCTCTAGAAAACAGTTGAAGCAAGGCTAGGAATCAATAAGGGACATTGGTATTTTGTCTCTCCTCTCCATCACTTTCTGTTCCCTCTGTACTCTGAATAGTCTTGCTTTTCTTTGGTCTCATTTTCTTTATTTCTATTTATTTATTTTTTTTTGAGACGGAGTGTCACTCTGTCGCCCAGGCTGGAGTGCAGTGGCATGATGTTGGCTCACTGCAACCTCCGCCTCCTGGGTTCAAGTGATTCTCCTGCCTCAGCCTCCCAAGTAGCTGGGATTACAGGTGTGTGCCACCACGCCTGGCTAATTTTTTTTATTTTTAGTAGAGACGGGGTTTCACTATGTTGGCCAGGCTGGTCTCAAACTCCTGACCTCAGATGATCCACCCGCCTCAGCCTCCCTAAGTGCTGGGGTTACAGGGGTGAGCCACCATGCCCAGCCTCTTTCATCTCATTTTCTTTCCTTTCCCTATCCCATGCCTGACCTGGTCCTTTTCCTTTCTTCCCAGTTCACTATAAAAAAAATTTTTTTTAAATTATTATTTGTTTTGTATGGAGATGGGGTCTCCCTGTGTAGCCCTAGTTTTAAACTCCTGGCCTCAAGCAATCCTCCTGCCTGGGCTTCCCAAAGTGCTGGGATTACAGGCGTGAGCCATCATGCCCAGCCCCATCCCCACCTCTCTCTCTCTCTTAATCCTCTGTCTTCCTGTTTGCTCACCTAGGTCAGTCTCTCCTCTTCTCTTCCTTCTCCTCATCCCTTCTCCCCATCACCTCTTCCAGTTGGTTCCCTCTTTTGACTCCACTAATTCGCAATGGCTCTGAGTCTCATCTCCTTTGAGAATTTTGAGACTGTGGTCCAGAAGGGAGGACACTTGGGTTCAGAACTCAGTAGCATGCGTGTCCCTCTGCTCAGCCTCACTTTTCTCTGTATCCTAGGAGATTGACCAAACAAACTGCCCAGACAATGTGAGTTAGAACCTAGGTATTCTAGGTCTTGCTGTTTCCTCTGGTGTCTAATGGTAGAATGGGAAGGATGCCCACAGCTGATGCAGGTGCAATGAGAAGAGAAGGAACAAAGGGTTTGGGAGTGAGGGCACTGGGAAAAACACAGAGGATGACATCTGATAATAAGAAAGGTTGGTCTTAAATATTAACTCATAGACACATATATGGAGATCTTCAATGATATGGTAATTACCTCTCTAATACAGATACGAAAATAGGGACACAAAATGAGATGGGAAGTAGCCCAGAGCTGCAGAGCGCAATTTGGTCCTCAATTTCTAAGAGACTTCATGTCACCTAGAGATGGACTTTGGCAGAGTTACCAATGGCACCAAGGAGATTACAGTGGGATTCAGGGTGTCTCAGGTCTCTCTGAGGGGCAAGAAAGAAGAGAATCATTTTGTCTACTCCCTTGCTTCTGAGAAGGATTATGCCTAACCTGGTTCATATAGAGGACAAATTGGCTCTGGTCACAGGTCACAGAATGTTGGAGCTTGAAGGTTCTTTTTTTTTTTTTTTTTGAGACAGAGTCTCGCTGTCGCCCAGGCTGGAGTGCAGTGGTGCGATCTTGGCTCACTGCAGGCTCCGCCCCCCGGGGTTCACGCTATTCTCCTGCCTCAGCCTCCCGAGTAGCTGGGACTACAGGCACCCGCCACCCACCTCGCCCGGCTAATTTTTTGTATTTTCAGTAGAGACGGGGTTTCACCATGTTAGCCAGGATGGTCTCAATCTCCTGACCTCGTGATCCACCCGCCTCGGCCTCCCAAAGTGCTGGGATTACAGGTGTGAGCCACCGCGCCCGGCCAGTTCTTTTATAACACATCTAATCCAGACATTCCCAGCTACATCAATAGCCTCTGGAATGTCTTGAAATTGAGATCCTTAGCCCTACCCAAAAATCTACCAGATCAGAGTTACCCAGGGTGGGGCTCAATAATATATTTATTTTTAACAAGTACACTTGGTACACAGGCAAGTCTGGGAAACCCTAAACTCTCTCGTATCACAGATCTGGAAGTTGTGGCTCCAGGTCCCGTAGCTAGTTAATGGCACAGGCAGAACTAGAAGTAGGTTTTCTTACCAACGTAGCACTCTGGTGCACTAAGAAACTGCTCTGGCCCATGGAATAGGCAAAGAACAAGTTCTTTAGAGAACTTTCTAAGGGACTTTCATAACTCTCTCTATTACCAGGGATCTCTGATTCCCCATGGTTCTTGGCCAACCCCTATTTTGCAACCCTCAACAAACTGTTAATGAATCTATGCTAAAGCTTAGCTACTCCAATTTTTTCTTCCCTTATTGGGGGTGGAGTTCACCTCAGGAGTGGCTAGGGTTGGCACTTCTGGCCCTGCATAAGCTAAGAGGTACCTCATATAAAGGGCGACTGACACAGCCAGGAGGAAAGCTGTAAGGATAAAGGAGGATAAGCTAGAGAGAACCAGGAGGTGGGAGCCCTGTAGAGCTGTTGGGATGAGGAAAGGAGTCTAGGGTACAATTTAATCAGGGTGGATAAGCATCTAGAGGGCAGAGGTAGGGACTCAGGGAAGACAGAGCTTAGAGCAGAGGGTAGTCAGAGCTTCCAGATCCTTACCGTGGGCAGGAGAGCAGAATAGCAGTCCTGTGTTTCCTGTGTCTGTGAGCTGTGCCTCCCGAGCTCTGCGATGCTGTGGGATCAGGAAGCCCAGCCTGGCTCCTTTTCTCTTTTGCTCCCCTTGCACTGGCTTGTTTCCTCCCCTCTTCTACAGCAGCTGGCTGCTGTGACTGGCAAGTTATAGCCGGAGGGAAGCAGTAAGAAGGGGAGAGGTGTGAGCTCTCTCCAGTCCAGCCCATCCAACTCTTAAAGGCCCAGGACACTGGTCAATGTGAGGGAGTAGTGGGGGTGGGGTGGGGAGAGAAGGATTAAGGGCAGCACATCTCCAGGGAGGAGCCTGGCTGCCCTTCATCTTGATGCCAGCCCTCATTGACCCCAATCCCGCAGTAGCTCTCAAAGTGAAGGGAGTGTCCTCAGTTGCAGTGCTCTGTGAATCACTGCTTTTCATTCTGGTTCCTGCATGTAATACGGCTGTTTTTGCCCTTATTTAATCTGGCTCCTTTCCATAGTGTCTGTTTCCACTGGCCTGCTCCTGTATCTCTGAATCCTGCCTGCAGGGCACTCACTGTAGCTCCGTCCCACAGGAAAAGAAAGAAATAAGATGGGAAAAGAGGAAGACGAGGAGAAGGGGAGGACAGGAATGATGATAGAATGTAGAGGGACAGATAGGTTAGAATCTATGTATATTTTAGGCACTCATTAAATATTGAAAGAATGCATAGATGAACGTGTGAAACAGCTCATTTTTTTTTAAACATCCATTCGTTCCTCCTACAAGCATCTGTTCAGCACCTCTGGGTTATAAGTCATAGCCCTCAGAATGGAGGTAGCACCTTCAGGACATACATGCATGTTTATAAAGATGTGTGCAGAGATGAAGCATAGGCTCAGAGGGGAACTGTGTGAAATGGTGTAATTTTAAGTGTGCTGACGTCTGGCTGCCTATCATGGTTTCCACAAGCATCCCTCAACTGCCTAATATTTTACCATTAGTGATTATAGCTACATTTTTTAGTCCCATTAAAATAAAATCCTCCTAAGTGATTACTATAAAAGTCAGGATAGTGGTTACTGTTGGGAGGGGGAGGAATTGTGGTGAGATGGGACACAGAGGGGGCTTCTGGCATAGCTAGCTAAACTCTATTTCTAGTTCTAAGTGCTAACAAGGGTCTTCACTTAATAATTTATTAAGCTATACATTCTCTTGATATATTTTCTATATGTGTTTTTAAATTTATTTTTTTAGGTCTCATTTAAAATATCATATATCTGTGTTAACTTTTGAAGGCTTAATGATTTTAAATATACATATATGTATATGTATATGTGTGTGTGTGTATATATATATATATATATATTTTTTTTTTTTTTTTTTTTTTTTTTTGAGATAAGAGTCTCGCTGTTGCCCAGGCTGGAGTGCAATGGCGTGATCTTGGCTTACTGCAACCTCTACCTCCCGGGTTCAAGCAATTCTCCTGTCTCAGCCTCCTGAGTAGCTGGGATTACAGGTGCATGCCACCACCCCCAGCTACTTTTTTTTGTATTTTAGTAGAGACGGGGTTTCACCGTGTTGCCCAGGCTGGTCTTGAGCTCCTGAGCTCAGGCAATCCACCTGCCTTGGCCTCCCAAAGTGCTAGGATTACAGGCGTAAGCCACTGCACCCAGCCGATTATAAATAATTTTTTAAAAATTCAATCCTAAGGTCAAAGTAGATTTTAAATAATTTATACCTAGGTTGGGTTGTCTATATTCTTTACTGAGAGCAGGTTTTGATAGAAGAGTAGTAGTATGAAGGAAGGGGACACATTAGGAGGGAGGCCATTCATGGGGAACAGGAAGATTGGGGGGCATCGTAGTTTAAACTGTGCTGATTTCAGATTTGACTTAATAGAGGCCCTGTTTTACATGCTTGTCTTGCTCTCCCATTTCTACTTCCCCAACATGGCCAGCTTATTTTTCCAAGCCTCACCTTCACAGTCCACACTCCTCTTCTATACCCCCAGATTATATACCATCTTTCTGAGTCACTATTTGCATCAATTTAATGCTGCCCAACCTCCTTCCCTCTTGGGTAATCTGTGAGGGGTGTTATCACTCATAGTGGATTTTCTGGGAGAGTCTAGATCTCAAATATTCTGTTTCAATGTTCCCATGAATACAACAGTATTCTTCAGCCCATATGTTCTGATTTTTGGGGCAGGGACTTGGAGACTTTCACAAGGTTAGTATGGTTCCAGAGTGCCAAGGCATGCCCACTGCAGGACTCTCATGAAACAGAGGGAGGGAGCAGACAGACAGGGCCCCCTGGGCACAGTAAATGTCCATCTGGTATGGTTATTCCTATTTCCACCATGATCCTGGCTGCCCCTTCCCCCACTGTTGTCTATTATTAACAGATCCAGAAACCTGATCAGGGCAGTAGCAGCAGAGGGACTTTCTGGGAACCATGCCCAGGAAAAGCCTAGAAGCCCTAAACTGAAATGAAGCAGCAGCTGGCAAAGAGGAAGACCTAAACATGGTACTCTCGCCCTGCCACCCAGGCCTGCCTAGACCTTCTTCCTGACATCCAGAGCAGATGCCACCCAATTAAATGTCTCCGCTTGTCAGGACACTCAGGCTGGAAAGTCTGAGATCAGTTCCCCAGACTATCGAACCAAACTACTCAAACTTCTGAAATAAAGCCCAACTCCTTCCTGATCAAAAATGCAACTCAAAACAGTAAATTCCATTTAAAAATCATCAACATAAGGCCAGGCACAGTGGCTCACACCTGTAATTCCAGCACTTTGGGAGGCCGAGGTAGGAGGATTGCTTGAGTACAGAAGTTTCAGACCAGCCAGGGCAACATAGCAAGACTCTGTCTCTTAAAAAAAAAAAAATCAGGGCCGGGCACGGTGGCTCACGCCTGTAATCCCAGAACTTTAGGAGGCCGAGGTGGGCAGATCACGAGGTCAGGAGTTTGAGACCAGCCTGACCAACATGGTGAAACCCGATCTCAACTAAAAATATAAAAATTAGCCAGGCATGGTGGCACGTGCCTGTAATCCCAGCTACTCAGGAGGAGGCTGAGGCAGGAGAATCGCTTGAACCCAGGAGGCAAAGGTTGCAGTGAGCCGAGATCGCAACACTGCACTCCAGCCTGGGTGACAGAGCGAGACTCTGTCTCAAAAAAAATAAAAATAAAAATAAAAATAAAAAAATAAAAGGACTGGGCGCGGTGGCTCATGCCTATAATCCCAGCACTTCGGGAGGCCGAAGCAGGTGGATCACTTGAAGTCAGGAGTTCGAGACCAGCCTGGTGCCTGGTCAACATGGTGAAACCTGGTCTCTACTAAAAATACAAAAATTAGCCAAGCATGGTGGTACATGCCTGTAATCCCAGCGACTCAGGAGGCTGAGGCAGGATCATTGTTTGAACCTGGGAGGCGGAGGTTGCAGTGAGCTGAGACGGTGCCATTGCACTCCAGCCTGGGTGGGTGACAGAGCGAGACTGTGTCTCAAAAAAAAAAAAAAAAATCAATATGAGACCACCTGTAGAATTAAAAGCCAGGATATATAACTTCAAAAGACCAGAGAATATACATATGTGTGTGTGTGTATATATATATATATATATGTGTGTGTGTGTGTGTGTGTGTGTGTGTGTGTGTGTGTGTATGGTCAGTCCTCCATTCTAACAAAATTTAAAAGCAGAGTCCCAGTTCTGCTATTCAATTCTTTAAGTGGGCGTGGGGAGTGGGCAACAAGGTGGTATTAAAAACCCCAGAGAACAAGATGATGGAAAGTAGAATAAAAAATACAAATAGTATTTTACACCAAGAAATAAAACTTTCAGAAAAGGTCACAAAACAAAATATAAGTATGTGCTACTGGTAAGAGTCATGTCTACAGGCCGGGCACGCTGGCTCATGCCTGTAATCCCAACACTTTGGGAGGCCAAGGCAGGCAGATCACTTGAGGCCAGGAGTTCGAGACTAGCCTGGCCAGCATTGTGAAACTCCATCCTACTAAAAATTAAAAAAACAGCCGGGCATCGTGGTGCATCCCTGTAAGGCCAGCTACTCTGGAGGCTGAGGCAGGAGAATCACTTGAACACAGGAGGCAGAGGTTGCAGTGAGCCAAGTTCACGCCATTGCCACTGCACTCCAGCCTGGGTGACAGAGCAAGACTTCGCCTTAAAAAAAAAAAAAAGTCACATCTACAAAAAGGTGTTACTAAAAAAAAAAAGAAAAGGCCAGGCGCGGTGGTTCACGCCCATAATCCCAATACTTTGGGAGGCCAAGGCGGGTGGATCACTTGAGGTCAGGAGTTCGAGACCAGCCTAACCAACATGGAGAAACCCTGTCTCTACTAATAAATATAAAAAATTAGCCGGGCGTGGTGGCACATGCCTCTAATCACAGCTACTCAGGAGGCTGAGGCAGAAGAATCGTTTGAACTTGGGAGGCGGAGGTTGCGGTGAGCCGAGATCGCGCCATTGCACTCCAGCCTAGGCAACAAGAGTGAAACTCTGTCTCAGGAAAAAGAAAAAAAAAAGAAAAAAGTTCCAGCCTGGGCAACATAGCAAGACCTTGGCTCTACAAAAAAGTAAACACTCTCTTTTAGTCCCAGCTACTTGGGAGACTGAGATGGAAGGATCACTTGAGCCCAGGAGTTAGAGGCTGCAGTGAGCCACGATCATGCTACTGCCCTCAAGCCTGGGTGACAGAGTAGGATTCTGTCTCAAAAAATAAAATAAAAGTTGAAAGTCAAAGGAAAGTGGCTGTGTGTGATGGCTCACTTACGCCTGTAATCCCAGCACTTTGGGAGGCTGAGGTGGGCGGATCATGTAAGGCCAGGAGTTTGAGACCAGCCAGGCCAACACGGTGAAACCCCCAGCTCTACAAAAAATAAAAAAATTAGCCGAACGTGGTGGCACATGCCTGTAATCACAGATACTCGGGAGGCTGAGGCACAAGAATTGCTTGAGGCCGGGCATGGTGGCTCACGCCTGTAATCCCCGTACTTTGGGAGGCCAAGTGGATCACGAGGTCAGGAGTTTGAGACCAGCCTGGCCAACATGGAAAACCTCCCCCTCCATCTCTACCAAAAATACAAAATTAGCTGGGAGTGGTGGCGCATGCCTGTAATCCCAGCTACTCAGGAGGCTGAGGCTGGAGAATCGCTTGAACCCAGGAGGTGGAGGTTGCGGTTAGCCAAGATCACGCCATTGCACTCCAGCCTGGGCAACAAGAGCAAAACTCTGTCTCAAAAAAAAAAAAAAAAAAAAAAAGAATTGCTTGAATTCGGGAGGCAGAGGTTGCAGTGAGCTGAGATCATGCCACTGCAGATCAGCCTGTGTGACAGAGCAAGACTCTCTCTCAAAAAAAAAAAGAAAGTTAAAGGAAGAACTCCAATTTTCTTCTTAAGATTGCCTTGGCCGTGCACGGTGGCTCATGCCTATAATCGCAGCACTTTGGAAGCCCAGGAGTTTGAGACCAGCCTGGGCACATAGTAAGATTTTGTCTCTACAAAAAATAAAAATATGGCCAAGGGCAGTGGCTCACGCCTGTAATCCCAGCACTTTGAGAGGCCGAGGTGGGTGGATTACGAGGTCAGCAGTTCAAGACCAGCTTGGCCAAGATGGTGAAACCCTGTCTCTACTAAAAATACAACAAAAAAAATTAGCCAGGCATGGTGGCGGACACCTGTAATCCCAGCTACTCGGGAGACTGAGGCAGAGAATTCTTGAACCCGGGAGGTGGAGTTTGCAGTGAGCTGAGATTGTGCCACTGCACTCCAGCCTGGGCAACAGAGCAAGACTCCGTCTCAAAATAAATAAATATAAAAAAAAAATAAAAATATTAGCTGAGTGTGGTGGCGCACATCTACAGTCCCAGCTACTTGGGAGACTGAGGTGGAAGGATTGTTTGAGCCCAGGAGAGTGAGGCTGCCATGAGCCATGATCACTCCACTGCACTCCAACATGGGTGACAGAGACCCTGTCTCAAAAACAAAACAAAAAAAATATCCTCGGCTCTTCGGGCAAAATTTTAGAATCAGCTTACTAATTTTCAGAAAAATAAACCTGGTGGGATTTTACTTAGAACTGAGTTTAACAAGCAGATCAATTTGAGAGAATTGGCATCCTCATAGTATTTTTGTTTTCCAATCCATGGAGATGATATATCCTTCAATTATATAGCTTTTTAATTTCTCTCCACAATGTTTCATTGTTTTCAATGTAAAGGTTCTACACACTATTTGATATATCTATTTCTAGCTACTTGATTTCTTATGCTTTATAAACTATTTTTGAAATTTTACTTTCTATTTATTGTTGTATATGAAAACATATAATTGACTTTTTATTTTTTTTTGTGAGACAAAGTCTCACTCTGTTGACCAAGCTGGAGTGCAGTGGCGAGATCTCGGCTCACTGCAACCTCCACCTCCTGGGTTCAAGCGATTCTTCTGCTTCAGCCTCCCAAGTGGCTGGGACTACAGGCACATGCCACCATGCCCAGCTAATTTTTGTATTTTTAGTAGAGACGGGGTTTCACTATTTTGGCCAGGCTGGTCTTGAACTCCTGACCTTGTGATCCTCCCGCCTTGGCCTCCCAAAGTGCTGGGATTACAGGCTTGAGCCACCGTGCCCGGCCATATTTGACTTTTTTTTTTTTTTTTTTTGTATATTGACCTTATAGTCTGTGACCTTGCTAAATTCACTTATTATTATTATTTTTGAGATGGAGTCTTGCTCTGTTGCCCAGGCTGGAGTGCGGTGGCGTGATCTTGGCTCACTGCAACCTCTGCCTCCCGGGTTCAAGCCTGCTTCAGCCTCCTGAGTACCTGGGATTACAGGCATGTGCCACCACGCCCGGCTAATTTTTGTATTTTTAGTAGAGATGGGATTTCACCATGTTGGTCAGGCTGGTCTTGAACTCCTGACCTCGTGATCTGCCCACCTCGGCTTCCCAGAGTTCTGGGATTACAGGCGTGAGCCACCGCGCCCGGCCTCACTTATTACTTTTTAGGGGTTTGTAGGTTATTTCAGGTTATCTATGTACACAGTCATGTTACCAAATACCAAGGGTTTTTTTCTTTTCCTTTAAAATCTTTTTTTTTACTGGCTGATAAATGGAGGTGTGATTGATAGTGGACAAATGTGTTTAATTCCTTGTCTCATAAATAATATAGTATTTTATTGAGAGGTTTACGGTAGAGTTTTTGTTGATACTTTTTTTTTCCTTTTTTTTTTTTTTGAGACAGTCTCACTCTGTCACCTAGGCTAGAGCGCAGTGGCACAATCTCGGCTCACTGCAACCTCCACCTCCCAGGTTCAAGCGATTCTCCTGACTCAGCCACCCGAGTAGCTGAGGTTACAGGCACCTGCCACCACGCCTGGCTAATTTTTGTATTTTTAGTAGATCTGGGGTTTCACCATGTTGGCCAGGCTGGTCTCAAACTCCTCAGGTGATCTGCCTGCCTTGGCCTCCCAAAGTGTTGGGATTACAGGCGTGAGCCACTGCGCCCGGCCTGTAGACCTCTTGTCTGTATCTATCTAGATGATTGTGTGACTTTTCTCCTTTTATGTTGATATATGAATTGCATTGTATTTTTTTTGAGATAGAGTCTCACTCTTACATAGGCTGGAGTGCAGTGGCACAATTTTGGCTCACTGTAACCTCTGCCTCCCCGGTTCAAGTGATTCTCCTGCCTCAGCCTCCCAAGTAGCTGAAATTACACGTGTGCACCACCACACCCAGCTAATTTTTGTGTTTTTAGTAGAGACAGGTTTTCACCATGTTGGCCAGGCTGGTCTCGAACTCCTGACCTCAAGTATCCACCCGTCTTGGCCTCCCAAAGTGCTGGGATTACAGGCATGAGCCACCGCGCCTGGTGATTGATTTTGAAGTATTGAATCAATCTTCTATTTTTGCAATAAATCCCAATTAGATCTAATGCATTATCATTTTTATATATTGATAGATTTAGTATGTCCGGGAATCTTATATCTACATTCATGGGAGAGGTTTGTCCCTGGTTTTCCTTTCTTGTAATGTTCTTAACCAGTTTTGTTGTCTAGGTTATGCTGCTTCAAAAGTGAATTGGGATTTATTCCCTTTTTCTGGAACTTTATATTAGATTACTGGCTTTGGTGTTTCTTCTTTTGCAATGTGTGAATTTAAGGTTATATATTTCTTTTCTTTTTCTTAGACAGAGTCTCACTCTATCGCCCAGGCTGGAGTGCAGTAGTACGATCTTGGCTCACTGCAACCTCTGTCTCCTGGGTTCAAGCAATTCTTAACCCTCAACCTTCCAAGTAGCTGGGATTACAGATGTACATCACCACACCCGGCTAATTTTTGTATTTTTAGTAGAGATGGGGTTTTCACATGTTGGCCAGACTGGTCTTGAACTCCTGGCTTTGAGTAATCCACCCGTCTCAGCCTCCCAAAGTGCTGGGATTATGGGTGTGAGCCACCACACCCAGCCAAGGTTATATATTTTTTAAATTATTTTTTATTTTATTTTTTTGAGACGGAGTCTCGCTCTGTCGTCCAGACTGGAGTGCAGTGGCACACTCAGCTCACCACAAGCTCCACCCCCGGGTTCACGCCATTCTCCTGCCTCAGCCTCCCGAGTAGCTGGGTCTACAGGTGCCCGCCACCACACCCAGCTAATTGTTTGTATTTTTTAGTAGAGACAGAGTTTCACCGTGTTAGCCAGGATGGTCTCGATCTCCTGACCCCATGATCCGCCCGCCTCAGCCTCCCAGAGTACTGGGATTACAGGCGTTAGCCACTGCGCCCGGCCATATATTTCTTTTTACTCACGGCACCCTCCAACTCCTGGGCTCAAGCAATCCTCTTGCCTCAGCCTCCTAAGTAGCTGGGACTACAGGAGTGCCACCACACTCAGCTTTATTTATTTATTTATTTATTTAAAGAGATGGGGTTGGCTGCGCACGGTGGCTCATGTCTGTAATCCCAGCACTTTGAGAGGCCGAGGCGGGCGGATCACGAGGTCAGGAGTTTGAGACCAGCCTGTCCAATATGGAGAAACCCCATCTCTACTACAATACAAAAAAAAAAGTAGCCTGCCATGGTGGCATGAGCCTGTAATCCCAGCTACTTGAGAGGCTGAGGCAGAATTGCTTGAACCCAAGAGGCAGAGGTTGCAGTGAGCTGAGATCATGCCACTGCTCCAGCTGAGGCGGCAGAGCAAGACTTTGGTCCTGTTATGTTGTCCAAGCTAGTCTTGAACTCCTGCCCTCAAGTGATACTCCTATCCTGGCCTCTGAAAGTGTTGGGATTACAAGTGTGAGTCACTTACATCGTGCCATCATTTCAATTTTCTTAGGGTCTTCCTGTAACCTAGACTGGAGTTCAGTAGTGTGATGGTGGCTCACTGCAGTCTTGAGCTCCTAGACTCAAGCAATCCCCCGACTTCAGTAGCTGGGACTACAGATGTGCACCACCATGCCTAACTTTCTAATTTTTTGGTGGAGACAGAGTCTCACTATGTGGCCCAGGCTGCTCTTGAACTCCTGGGCTCAAGCAATCCTCCCACCTTTGCCTCCCAAAGTGTTGGAATTACAGGCATGAACCACAGAACCCAGCTTTCCTTTTTTTTTTTTTGAGTCTCTGTCGTCCCGGCTGGAGTGCAGTGGGACAATCTCAGTTCACTGCAACCTCAGCCTCCCATGTTCAAGCACTTCTCTTGCTTCAGTGACCCAAGTAGCTGGGATTACAGGTGCCCGCCACCACGCCTGGCTATTTTTTGTATTTTCAGTAGAGATGGGGTTTCACCATATTGGCCTGGCTGGTCTCGAACTCCTGACCTCAAGTGATCCACCTGCCTTGACCTCCCAAAGTGCTGGGATTACAGGCGAGAGCCACCCTACCCTGCTCTCAGCTTTATCACTTAACCAAAAATATTTTCTAGGCTGGGCAAGGTGGCTCATGCCTGTAATCCCAGCACTTTGGGAGGCCAAGGTGGGCAGATCACTTGAAGTCAAGAGTTCAAGACCAGCCTGGCCCACATGGTGAAACCCCATCTCTACTAAGAAAATACAAAAATTAGGTGGGTATGGTGGCATGTGCCTATAATCCCAGATACTTAGGAGGCTGAAGTAGGAGAATCACTTGAACCCAGGAGGCAGTGGTTTCAGTGAGCTGAGATCACGCCACTGCACTCCAGCCTGGGTAACAGTGAGACTCTTCCTCAAAAACATATGTATCTATATGTATAGATACAGATATATATGTATTTTTTTTCTAATTTCCTTTGTGATTTTTTTTTGACCCACGGGTTATTTAGAATTGTACTGCCTAAGTTTCAAACAGCTAGGGACTTTCTAGTTATTTTTCCTAGCTTACTCCACTGTGGCCAGAGAATATTATATTAAATTTTTTGAAAACTTTTTGAGGCTTGATGGTCCAGCTATGATCAGTTCTGATAAATGCTTAGGTGTAATTAAAAAGAGTATGTATACTATTGGTTAAGAGTGCAGTGTTCTATGAATGTCATTTAAGCCAGGTATGTTAATTGTTATTCAAATTTTCTGCTTGTTGGCCAGGCACAGTGGCTCATGCCTGTAATCCCAGCACTTTGGGAGGCTGAGGCTGGCGGATCACCTTAGGCCAGGAGTTCGAGACCAGCCTGGCCAACACGGCGAAACCCCGTCTCTACTAAAAATACAAAAATTAGCAGGATGTGGCAGCGGGCGGCTGTAATCCCAGATACCCAGGAGGCTGAGGCAGGAGAATTGCTTAAACCTGTGAGGCAGATGTTGCAGTGAGCTGAGATTATGCCACTGCACTCCAGCTTGGGAAACAAGACCGAAACTCCAATTCCCAAAAACAAAACAAAACAAACCAACAAATTTTCTATTTGTTATATCTGCTTTTGAAATAAACATATGAAAATATTTTTCCAAAAATTAAATTCCATAATGTATCAGGAAAGAAAAATATAATTTCATTCTAAGGTTTCCTATTCCAAATTTTTTCTCTGAGTTTTTGAAAGCAACAACTTTGTATATCCCCCTTTTCCTAGCCTTTAAGCAGCAGGAACAATGAGCAGAGGAATAATATGTAGTTAGTAAGCAAGGCATGCTCTGAAGGCTACCAATGCTGCTCCTGTTCCACCAGTGAAACAGGCCACAGGCCCTCTAAGGCTCTTGAAAAAAGAACGTGGAAGCATAGGGCAGCTGTGTCCCACTGACAGCCAGGCATGGAAACAATCCTGGAGATGTGCTCCAAGCCTTGAACTTGAGGAAATGAACATCAAAGTTCGTAAGATGTTTCAAGCATTACCTTGTCACTATGGAAGTCTCTCCCTACACTGGCACTAAGTTCTGGCCAATATGGCCAGGAGTGAAGTTCTGTCCCAGTAAAACATACTTTTATCAGGTAAGGGGCATCATCCCCCTCCCAGCCTCCCAAACAGCTTTTGTACCTCAGATGGAGTCTCCCCAAAAAACATGTTCACAAAAGAACCACTACTGCCATCTTAGCAGGGCTGTGTGTGTGTGTGTGTGTGTGTTGTGTAGGTAGACAGAGGGGAGAAGCAGGCATGACAAGGATCACCTGACCAAAGTGCCTAGTTACCCATATACTGATAGAATAAAATCTCCAGTGTAAAGGAAAAATTATTTTTACAAAAACAGAAGCATGTTTTATTTCAATCCTGTTAAGGGAGAGGGATGGAAAACACAAAATAAGGGGAGGGGTCTCTTTATATAATACACACACCAGGATCAACTACAATGAATAATACCCATTCCATCCCTCCCCCACCAACTCCTATGTGGGTTCCAAGGCCAGCTGAGAATAGATGGGACAAGAATTAAGACACTTTGGCACAGTAACATGGCCAATGCACCGAAAGATGGAGAGAAGAGAATTTCCCAGGGAGCAAGGCCCTGGGCCTCAGCTGCTTCCCCAGTGGAGGGGTAATGAGAAAACTTTGGCTCAGCAGGAAGGCGGTTGTCAAAAATCTGGGTTACCTTAACTGGACTCTCCAGATCACAGACTACGGGCTGAATAGAGTCAAGATGTCTATCCAGTCCATTCTGTTCTCTGCTTTCTCTAAGATCACTTCTCTTCAGGCTTGCAATTATTGAGGGTTGGCCTGCTTCTCCTCTTCATCTTGGAAGGCAGGGGGAGTAAGTGCTTATTCTGCCCTTCCTATATCTAGGCCACTTAATTACTATTTTCTTGGCTCTAAAGAGACAGAAGCCAACTAACAAGTCCGGCTCTCTTTGTGAAAGTCGGCTTGAAAGAGCCCTTGTGTTGGCAAAACTGCCTCTGCAAATGGGTTTTTTTTTTTTTGAGCCTACCCCTTATAGACCCTCCCCAAGCTTGTTCAGACACCTCAATTGTGTGAGATGTGGGCAGAAAAGACTTGGTCCCTCTCCAGAGTTGGATTAAGCAATCCCATCTTTGACTGGAGATAGGGATGAGAAAGCAGGTGCTAGCAGGGGAAAGAACCGGGGAAAGCAAGGCAGTTTACACTAGGTTGCAGATTCAAGCCTATGGATTGTGAAGAGCCACCTAAGCTCCAGAGAAGAGGAAATCTCTGACACGATATGAACAAGTGAATATTTTAGCGGCAACCCTGTAATTCCCATAGACTAAAAGAGAATGGTCAAAAAAAAAAAAAAAAAAAAAAAAAAAAGACTGAGTGAGCAGAACCCAGCCCTCCATCTTCAATCTGAATAAAATTAACTCATACAGCTAATACTGCTCAAGTACAATCATGAAGACAGATGGAGCTGCTGAAATTCACACTAAAACAAAGAAAAGGATCAAGTGGACTGTCACCTTAATCCCAAGCACCTCCCTTTTAGAGTTATTGAGAAAATATCTTTGAAAACTTGGATTGAAGGTGAGGTCCACCACCGCCCCTTGTCTCCCAATACAATACCCTTCCAAGACAGCCTGATTAATTAAGACATCTGTTTTAAGTTTAATAGAAGGGAAGTTCAAAAAGGGAAAGCACTGAGATTTGGGAAAACTAGCAGCTAAAGCCAGAAACAAGGTTAAGGTCCTCGTGGCATTCCGGACTGGGAGTAGAATGGGAGAAGGAAGGGAAACAGGTGGTGGGTTCCTGCTGTACTTTGGCTTTACATCTTTCCCCTGCCCTCCCATTTCTCCCAACAGCTTGATGCAGCTATTGGCCTGCCAGAGGGGATGTAATGCCCAGACCAACTTTTTATTGAGCTTATGCAGCTAACAGACTTGTAAACAGTGCCAGTCGACAAAGTTTTGCTGAATATTACAGCTTGTGCCCACTAAACACACCTCTCTCTGAGATTAAAAACAAAAAAACCAAAGTAAACAAATACTGAGAGAGAATGAAGAGACATATCTTGAGTCTTCCAGAAAGGCAAAATAAAAAACGCCACATGGCTTGGTCCCAGGCGTTCACCATGCCTAGAGTGCTGCTGCTATCACCACTGTCTCCCCTCCCTGCCAGTGGCTAGGTAGAGGTAGGGGAGAAGGGTCATCTTGGACATGCTGCAAATACAGCATTTGCTGGTGTTGACACCCTCCTGGGGCTGTGGTGGCAGACTGCTGTGTCAGGAGCCCATTTCCTGGGAGTAGCAGAGGGAGCCCAGGTCCTCAAGACAGCCTGAGATGGCAGCCCATACACCTCAGCAGGGGTACCTTGCCCCTTTTCTCCAGTGCGGTTCAGCATTGAGGTTGTCTATTCCCAGTCGGTGATAAAACCTGAGCTGTTTTTCTCGTAGGTTCCCCCTCCTTTCCCCAACTTGGGGGAGTAGTGGGAGGGAACAGGGAAGGATCACTGAGGGGGCAGGGGGATACCCCGGGGATCGGTGACCTGGCCCTCTTGCAGGTTCTTCACCAGTTGTGCAAGCCAGCGTTTCGTGGTGGTGTCATCTTTTAGCACCTGGGCGAAGGTTGTGTCTTTCAGCTGGTCAGGGAGGCACTGTCTGAGTGCTTCACGTGCCCTACATCAGAAACAAACAAACCAACCAGGGAGACCAACAAATAAACCCACATTTTGTGGACAGGGAAGAGCCCCCTTCTTAGACATAAATATTTAGAATACTGTGAATCTATGGCTCCTTAAGAAGCCATTAAAATTCTCTAAAGCTATATTAGGCATAGGCTTAGAGATCTCCAAAATCTGTATCCACAAATATTTTCTGAATGATGCCCCAATGTAGAATTTCATGAAAAAGCAAAATTAAAAGGTTCAATAGTTTACTTCCATTCAAACAGCTTTCTGATTTATTAAATACTGTCAAAATACTCATGTTAGAAATATATGGATTATGGCAAATAAAATAATTCAAAAATCAGTACATTAACAAGGATATCATCAAACTTATGATAACTTAATGAATTTTAATTCTATACTAAGTTATCAATTTGTGTCTTTACAGAAATTGCTTCAGTTTTATGGTTAAAAACCTTAATAAGAGATGAGCAGTGAAAACAAAACTATGGTAGCAGTATTATCAGATGAACTTTTAAACGTTTCATTTTCTTTGAAAAGATGACCAGCAGAAAGTCAAATCTGAAAACCTAAAAAAGGTAAATGTTAACTATGTGTAGAGCTATTTTAAACAAAGTTATAGTTTTTGCACTCAGACTAGTTTTCTTTGTACAAGTAGAATTTTAAATAAACACATTTTTAAACTTTAGTGAAACAAGAACCACTGAAGAACAGGATAAAATGGTCAACAAACAGGTAGGGCTTGAATAAACTCAGTGGCAGGAGACTGAGTTCACATTAAATCAAATCAAGCTAGCTCTCTTCCCAGGAACACAGAAATTGCTCCATTACGTGGTTTAGCAGAATATGAGCAGGTTGCTTTCAGCATGAATTATGGATTTACAAAGCAAAAGGTCAAACATTTCTAAAATGCATTATATCTACAGTGTATGATTTCTGGCAGAAAGATTATGAACATAAGCAGATAAAATAATTAGCTCAAGAAACTTATAGGAATCAAGGACAGAATTGGAAATAGAATTCAAGAGCCCTCTGGGCTGTGTTCCTTTTTAAGAGATCTTTGAAAATATACTTCTCTCTCTGACCACGTAGAGTAGCAACAGAAAATTCAAACAACAGGAGTAATGCATCATAAGGTTTCCTTTGGAATCGCCTAGACTCTCTGGAATTTCACAGTAGGATGGAGAGTTACAGTGAGAAGATGAAACTGATGGCTACTAAAATTCAGCATTTCAGATTTTTAAAAGAATCTAAGTTCTGTCTCAGACAAACTAAATGCAGTTATATCCCCACTTCCCTGTCCTAAAGACACAGGAGCTATGCCATGAGATTAGGAAACTGTTCAGCAGAGTATTTCCCTAAAGTCCTATACATCCTATAAATGTTTACCTGGGGTTATCTGAAAGTCGAAGGTAACATCTCACTACATGCTTCAGCAGACGGGCAGAAGGCTCTTTGGATAGCTGCAGGACCATCTTACCCTGTTTCCCCCAAAATAAGGGGAGGGGTTGGAAAAAACACACAAAACACAAACAAATTCTAATTGACATCAGAGATCAGATAGTCCAAGAATCATAAAAGGTTCCAAAATTGTTAGTTCTAGTCAGAGGACTGAAGTTGTTCAATGCCAGTTATAAAGAGATTAAGCTTTGTGATGAGAAGTAGTTGTAAAGGGGATAGATGAAAGAACTCACCAAGATCATGGCAACATGGGAGAAACGCTCATACGTCTGACATATATAAGCCAAACCAGTGTCATCTAACAAGATCTTCTGGAGGATGAATGTGGCAACCTGAAGCAAAACAAAATCGAAGAGTTTATAAAGTTGCTCAGATTTAATCTTCTCATTTTCTACTCATTTTCCCAGGCATGACTATCAGTCAGAAAATTGAGCAAGCAGGGATCCTTGTATATTATGTACAACTTTATCATATATGTATAGTACAAAGAATAATAAATATTACCATGTTGAACATTACTTTGTACCAGTTTTTTTTTCTAGAGGCTTTACATGCTTATCTTATTTTTATAATAAATCAATGAGGTAGGTACCATTATTATTCTCACTTTACATACAAGGGTAGGTTCCGTGTAATTATCAAATTCTTAAAAACTCAGAGACCTTCTCATTTACAGAGTACCTACTATGTGCCCGGTATAACTGTTAATCAATAATGCACCAGGTTAAGGTCCCAAGTGACAAAGTTACTATGGCACAGCTGAGATCCAAGCCTCATTTGAATATCTAAGGCTCTTCTCTTTTCCATAGGCCAAGATGATTTATTCAGCTATGCCTCCTCTCTTCCAGATGAAGTAAGGCCTTTCTTTCTTTTTTCTTTTCTTTTTTTTTTTTTAGATGGAGTCTCACTCTGTCGCCCAGACTGGAGTGCAGTGGCTCCATTTCAGCTCACTGCAACCTCTGCCACCCTGGTTCAACTGATTCTCCTGCCTCAGCCTCCCGAGTAGCTAGGATTACAGGCTCCTGCCACCATGCCTGGCTAATTTTGGTATTTTTAGTAGAGACGGGGTTTCACCGTCTTGGCTAGGCTGGGCTTGAATTCCCTGACCTCGTGATCCACCTGCCTTGGCCTACCAAAGTGCTGGGATTACAAGCGTGAGCCACTGCACTCGGCTGAGATAAGGCCTTTTTTGTTCTTAAAAGATCTTGAAGAAATAAGATTTTCACGCTTCTCTTTGAAGATTATCTAACAGTAATAAAACATATCCTGGCTGTGAAGCTTATATGTGGCCTCAATTTTTCCCTCAACTTGAGCTCATTAGCTCTTACATAAAAGAGATATTAAAATATTAGTTTAATTTAAATTAGACAATCACGATAATGATACTCTTTCTTGGCTGCTCATCAAAATGAACTGTGGAATTATTTTACTATTTTATTGGGGTTATAACACTGTAGTAGGCTGAATAATGGCTCTCAAAGATATCCAGGCCCTAATCACCAAACTCTGCAAATGTTACCTTAAATGAAAAATGGGACTTTGCAGACGTGATTAAGTTAAGGATCTTGAGATGGGGGATTATCCCTGTTTATCCAAGTAGGCCTTAAATGTAATAACGAAGTGTCCTTAAAAGCGATGTAGAGAAGGCCAGGCAAAGTGACCCATGCTGGTAATCTCAGCACTCTGGGAGGCCAAGGTGGGAGGACTGCTTGAGGCCAGGAGTTCAAGGATGCAGTGAGTTATGATCATGCCACTGCACTCCAGCCTGGGCGACAGAGAAAACCCCATCTCTTAAAACAAACAAACAAACAAAACAACAACAACAACAACAACAACAAGAGAGATGTAGGGAGAGATTTTACCACAAAGGAGAAAGCAATGTGACAAGCAGAAAGAGATTTGAACATGCCACATCGCTGGATCTGAAGAGGGAGGGGGCCATAATCCAGGGAATGCAAGAAATGCAGTTCTAGAAGCTAGAAAAGGCAACAAAAAGACTCTCCTCTATATCCTCCAGAGAAAGCATGACCCTCCTGATACATTGACTTTAGATTGGTGAAACTCATTTAGAACTTGTGACTTCCAAAACTATAAAACAGTAAACTTCCATTGTTTTAAGCCACTACCCTTCTAGCTTGTGGTAATTTGTTATAGCAGCAGGTTATATAGGAACCTAATATAAACTTACACACAGTGAAGTGTGTTAAGTGCACTAATCTTAAGTGTACCTTGAATTTTTACCTATGTACACATTATGTACTATAACCAGATTAAAATACAAAATATTGTATAAAATACAGAATATTTGGGAGGTGGAGGCAGGCAGATTGCCTGAGCTTAGGAGTTCAAGACTAGCATGGGCTACATGGCGAAACTCCATCTCTACTAAAAATACAAAAAATTAGCTGGGTATGATGGTGTGTGCCTGTAGTTCCAACTACTCAGGAGGCTGAGGCATGAGAATTGCTTGAACCCAGGAGGCAGAGGTTGCAATGAGCCGAGATCACTCCACTTCACTCCAGCCTGGGTGACAGAGTGAGACTGTCTCAAAAACAAAAAACAACAACAACAAAAAAAAAAACAGAAAAAAGCAATATTTCTACCAACTCAGGATTCCAGCATTCCCTTGTACCTTTCCCCAGTCAATGTTCTTTCCTCAGAGCTAACCACGAATCCAACTTATTGCCAGTAATTGGCTTTGCTTGTTCTTAAACTTCACATAATCAACATACAGTATGAATTCCCATGTGTCTGGCTTCTTTTGCTCAACAATGCCTTTGACAGTCATCCATATATTGAATATTTAAAATAAAAAGCTTAAAAATAGCCAGGTATAGGGATGTGTGCCAGTATCAAAGCTACCTACTCCAGAGAGGGAAGTGGGAAGACTGCTTGAGCCCCGGAGTTCAAGGCTATAGTGTGCCATTATCATGGCTGTGAATAGCCACTGCATTCCAGCCTGGGCAACATAGTGAAACCTTGTCTCTTTAAAAACAATAAATTGGTCAGGCACAGTGGCTCATGCTTGTACTCCTAGTACTACGGCAGAAGGCAGGAAGATCCTTTGAGCCCAGGAGTTCAAGAGTAGCCCAGGCAACATAGGGAGACCTTGTCTTTACAAAAAATAAAAATAATTAGCTGAGTGTGGTGGAGCAGGCATGTGGTCCCAGCTACTTGTGAAGCTGAGGTGGGAGGATCAACTGAACCTAGGAGGTCGAGGCGGCAGTGAGCCATGCCTCTCTACTCCAGCCTGGGTGACAGACAGAGATCCTGTCTCTAAATAAATAAATAATTTAATTAAAAATTAAAAAACCAGTGCTCACTTAGACAGCACATGTACTAAAATTGGAACAACACAGAGAAGATTAGTGTGGCCCCTGTGCGAAGATAATACACAAATTCATGAAGCATTCCATATATATATATTTAAAAGTAAAAAGCCAAAAAAATCATTATACCTGCTTACACCCAACTCAAGAATAAAATATTTGTTAGACTAAAAAAGTAATTTAATGTGACAAGGCAAATTTTAGAGCAGAGGTTGAATACTACCCAAAATTGTCAGCAGTATGGAAAAGTAACCTTGAAAAAAATCAAATAATATGAAATTTAAAAATTGAAAGTGATTAGAGAAAAAAATATGAAAGACAGATAATAGAGCATAACTGATGTTGAACCAAGAGACTTGAACGAATAAAAGAGAAAAATATACAAATCAACAAAAAAGACACAAGTAATATGCTCTTTCAGAAAAAAATTGAGGCTGGGTGAGGTGGCTCACGCCTGTAATCCCAGCACTTTGGGAGGCCAAGGTGGGCGGATCATCTGAGGTCAGGAGTTCAAGACCAGCCTGTCCAACATGACAAAACCCAATCTCTACTAAAAATACAAAAAAAAAAAAATTAGCCAGGAGTGGTGGTGTGTGCCTGTAGTCCCAGCTACGTGGGAGGCTGAGGCAGAAGAATTGCTTGAACCTGATAGGTGGAGGTTGCAGCGAGCTGAGATTACATCACTCCATCTCAAAAAAAAAAAAAAAAAAAAAAAAAAGGCCGGGTGGAGTGGCTCATGACTGTAAACCCAGCACTTTGGGAGGCTGAGGCGGACGGATCACCTGAGGTCAGGGGTTCAACACCAGCCTGGTTAATATAGTGAAACCCCATTTCTACTAAAAATACAAATATTAGCTGGGTATGGTGGCACATGCCTGTAGTCCCAGCTACTTGGGAGGCTGAGGCAGGAGAACTGCTTGAACCCGGGAGGCGGAGGTTGCAATGAGCTGAGATTACACCACTGCACTCCAGCCTGGGTGACACAGCAAGACTCCATCTCAGAGAAAAAAAAAAAAAAAGATATATGATTATCAAATGAACTTTAAAAATAATAAAAGACACTTGTAGGTAACCACACAAAAAAGTAAGTTCACCTAAAAAAGGAAAGAATTAGGCTGACCCTGAGACTTCTCTGCAATATTCAATGTTAGAAGACAAAAGGACTATGGCAATGGAGGTCTGAGACAGAACAATGAGGTAAGAATTCTGTACAATGAGTAAGAATTCTGTACCTTGTCATGTTGTCATTCATGGTTAAAGTACATAGTAAGCAGAAGCTCAAGTACATATAATTGATTATGTATTTTAAAAAAGCCCGGTTATAGAAGGAGCAGGATTGAAATTTTAAAATTAAAAAAATGAAACCGTAATAATATACTTAGAATTTACCTGTGGAGTGAGATGTGGGTTTGGAGAAAAGAAATTTAGTGTTTAACTTGATTTTCTTCTGAATGGTTTGGGTTTTTCAATAATTGTTTCATAATAATTTTTATTCAAAACAGAAAATATTCATACAAATTTCAAAAGCTTGAAGAGAGAAAATGATCCCAGGACCATAAGGAAGCAGCTTAAGAGTCAACACAATGTAAAATCTAAGTTAAAAGTACATACTGTTTTAGAAAGTTCACTTCCAGATTCCATAATTCGCAAACATAAAGGGATAATTTCTGTTGTTAATAAAAAGTTGATTACTTCTTGTTCATCTGTTTTCACCAGGGCCCCTAAAGAAAATAAGGACAAACAAAATTATTTTACAGTTAGGGTTTCCAGTTAACATTAACTTCGAACTGTTTATCCAGTGAGTTGTGAACTTAAATAACAGAACACAAACTGGGGTTTGTTAAAGGAATCAGATTCACACTCGTATTAAAAAAAAAAAGGAAGAGGGCGGCGCAGTAGCTCACACCTGTAATCCCAGCACTTTGGGAGGCCGAGGCGGGCAGATCACTTGAGGTCGGGAGTTCAAGATCAGCCTGGCCAACATGGTGAAACCCCGTCTCTACTAAAAATACAAAAATTAGCAAGGCATGGTGGCAGGCTCCTGTAATCCCAGCTACTCGGGAAGCTGAGGCAGGAGAATCAATTGAACCTGTACAGGTTACAGTGAGCTGAGATTGCACCACTGCACTCTAGTCTGGGTGACAGACTCTCTCTAAAAAAAAAAGCTTTCTGCACTAAATTGTCTTTGTACCTTTGTCAAAAATCAACTGACCATATATGTGTGGGTCTATTTCTGGACTCTTCATTCTGCTCCAATGGTCTGTAAATCTTTCTTTTCTCCAGTATTACACTGCCTTGACTACTATATTTTTCCAGTAGGTGTGGAACTCAGGTAGTATATGTCTTCCAACTTTGTTCTTTTAAAGAAATGTTTGGATATTCTAGTTCCTTTGGCTTTCCATATAAATCTTAGGATCAGTCTATTAGAAGGCTGCCATAACAAAATACCATAGACTGGTGGCTTAAACAACTGAAATTTATTGTCTCATAGTTCTAGCAGCTGAAAGTCTGAGATCAGGCTGGGCACAGTGGCTCACACCTGTAATCACAGCACTTTGGGAGGCTGAGGCAGCTGGATCACCTGAGGTCAGGAGTTCCAAGACCAGCCTGGCCAACATCGTGAAACCCTGTCTCTATTAAAAATACAAAAATTAGCCGGGTGTGGTGGCACGCACCTGTAGTCCCAGCTACTCGGGATGCTGAGGCAGAAGAATTGCTAGAACCCAGGAGGCGGAGGGTGCAGTGAGCCAAAATTATGCCACTGCACTCTAGCCTGGGCAACAGAGCAAGAATCTGTCTCACAAAAAAAAAAAAAAAAGCTGAGATCAGGGTGCCAGCATGGTATGGTATAGTTCTTGTAAAGTCTCTCTTCCTGGCTTGTAGATGGCCAGCTTCTCACTATGTCCTCACATGGCAGAGAGCGAATGAGGGAGCACAAGCTCTTTGGTGTCTCTTCTTAGAAGAATACTAACCTCATGAGGGCCATGTCCTCATCTAAACCTAATTATCTTTCAAAGGTCCCATCTCCAAATACCATGACATGAGGGGGTAGGGTTTCAAAGCATGAAATTTTGGGGAGGACACAATTCAGTCCATAGCAGTCAGCCTGCCAATTTCTAAAAAAAGTGCTGCTGGGATTTTGTTGGAATTACTCTGAATCTATAGATCAGTTTGGGGAGAATGAACAACTTAACAATACTGAATCATTGATACACCAATCAATGAACATGGTTTATCTCTGCATTTTATTTCATTAGAAATCAGTTTTGTAGTTTTTAGTTATAGATCATGCATATATTTTTAAAGATTTATACCCAAATTTTCACATTTCGGTGCTGTTATAAATGGCAGTTTAAAAAAATTTCAGCTAGGTGCAGTGGCTCACATCTGTAATCCCAGCACTTTGGGAGGCCAAGGTGGGAGAACCACTTGAGCCCAGAAGTTTGAGACAAGCCTGGGCAACAAAAAGTGAGACCTTGTGTCTACAAAAAAATAAAAAAATGTAGCCAGGTGTGGTGGCATGTGCCTATGGTTCCAGCTTCTCAAGGCTGAGGTGGGTGGATTTGTGTGATCCCAGGAGTTTGAGGGTGCAGTGAGCCATGATCATGCCACTGCACTCAAGAGTGGGCAACAGAGCAAGACCTTGTCTCAAAAAAAAAAAAAAAAAATAAAATAAAAAATAAATTTCCTATTGTTCATTGCTAGTACATGGAAATTTAATTTTTTTTTTTTGAGTCTCCCTCTGCCGCCCAGGCTGGAGTGCAGTGGCGTGATCTTGGCTCACTGCAATCACTGCATCTCCACCTCCCAGGTTCAAGCGATTCTCCTGCCTCAGCCTCCCCAGCAGCTGGGACTACAGGCACATGCCACCACGCCCGGCTGATTTTTGCATTATTTTTTTAGTAGAGACTAAAAAAAAAGTAGATGAAAAAATTTAACTGGGTGAACTGACAGATTCATATTCCTGGAGTTATGGGAGAATTACAGGTTTTCAGAATGCTTAGTGTATTTGACATGCATATTCTTAGGGCATTTCAGATATACGAAGCATTCCGGTATTAGAAGTAAGACAAACAAACAAAAAAAGACAGTGGTGTGTGCCTGTGCCCATGGTCCCTATTACTTGGGAGGCTGAGGCAGGAGGATCACTTGAGCCTAGGAGTTCAATTCCAGCCTGGGTAACACAGCAAGACCCTATCAGAAAGAAAAGAAAAGAAAAGAAGAGAAGAGAAGAGAGAAGGGAAGAGGAGAAGTCCCAAATTTAAACTCTTATTCCTTTAATAATACTCTTTATATATTGAATCAAGTTCTTATGCTTTACTCTCCCTACAATTCCAGCAAATGTTTCCACATATATGCTGAATTTAATCCCAAATGTTGGATCTCAAAGTCTTATTAACAACACTTAGAAGAGTGCTTGATAGGAGTCATCATGTTCCTGATACTTATTGATTAGTGAATGAGACAACCTCAAAGACAAAAATGAATGACTGGTGTACAAAAATCATAACCGGCAAGACAAAACACCCAACTTAGACTACTACTGTGAGTATTTCAGGCTTGCAAAACAATTCTAATAACTTACCAATAACTCCAAGGCTGGTGAGCCGGAGATACTCAAAGGGACGTGTTTTGCTGACAGTGTGCAAAAAGGGGTACAAAAAAAGTGGGATGTGTGCTGCGAGAAACGCTGACCTGGAAGAAAACAATAATTACATTCACAGCCCAGGGTTGATTTCTAAGGATCCTGAACTTTCAAATTTCTAGGTGGTTAATTCTGTAAGGCCTTAACATTGTCAGAGCAAGGAATCCTTAGGAAAACAATGTTACTGGTCATTAGTCTCAACCAATGGTTCTCAAATGGGGTAAATTTTGCCCCCTGGAGGACATGTGGCAATGTCTGGAGACATCTTTGATTGTCACAACTCAGGATTATGAAGCACTATTGGCATCCAGTGGGAAGAGGCCAGAGATGCCATTAAACATCCTACAATGCACAGGACAGTCCTCTCCTGCCCTCTCCTTTCCATCACAAAGATTCATCCAGCCCCAAATGGTAATGGTGCCAAAGCTGAAAACCCTAGTCCAGATCACAGTGGTTAAGAAAACACATGATTTTCCCTGTAATCAGCAAAAAGTACCTTACAAACTGATTAACTTAAAATATCCAATTGTGGATTTTAAAAAATAGACCACAAAATGCTATTAAGTGTCCAAGAGATTGTCCTAGATTATCTCCCTCACCTATGACTGAATAATAGTATTCACAGGTGCAGTCGAATAAACCTTACAAACCAATACAACAAAACAAAGCAGCCATTATCAGGCTTACCTGCTATACTTTAATAAGCACATTCTTCTTTTTTTGTTAGGGCATTTCAGATACACAAACCATTCTGAAAACAGTTTAGTCAGGCAACTAATAAGGAAATCAGTCTATTATTTTATATTATTTATAGTTACACCTTGTAGAAGAGCCAACGCCCAAGATTTTTAACACTCAAAGTACTCTTGTGTTTTTGTTAAGTGCTTAAAAGTAATTTTCTTAGTAATTTCTCTAAAGCTGTGTAAGGTCAGTGCCAACCTAGCATACATATTTCATAAGGAAACTTGACAAAGAGGAAAGGCTTTAATAAGATGACTATTAAGTGCCTTTGGGGCCATAAAAGCCCACAAAGTAGATTCCTGAACAGGATTTCCCTTTTCTTAATTTTTTAGATATGACAGGTGGCAAAAATATTTTAACTTACATGCCAATTCTCGTCTATTATAGAGGCCGCCCAGAATGCTATGTTAAGAAGGATTCTGAAGTCAAATCTGGGTTCAGTGTGGGAAAAGTGCTGGAAAAATAATTACTAAACTCCTCTTATATGCCATGCACTATGCCTCACAGATGACATAGTGTCAATAACAGGTCAGGGAGTGAGAAGTAGCTGTATGCCTGATACCTTTCCTGTAATGTGAACACTGTTTCTTTAAAGTTCATTGGGTAAAAGTAAATAAGAATCCGGAAGACCAGGAGAGAGAGAGAGAGAGAGAGAGAGAGAGAGAGAGAGAGAGAGAGAGAGAGAGACACACACACACACACACACACACACACACACACACACACAAACGTTCTCTCTCTCTCTCCTCCATGCCCTTCCTTTTATTATTCAGAGAACGTTTAGGACCATATTCAATGTATATCTCCCCCAAGTGACTCACCCAAAGCATTTACCTGGTTTCTGGATGTGATGCTACACATTGCAGTAATGCCAGAGCATTGCAAACTCTGTTAGACTGGTGTGCTGTCAAGGTGGGTGGGTTGATAGATGGATAAATATTTACAATTTCCTAAAAAATGGAAATCAGCATCAGATGAATAAGGAATAACTAAAAATTAATTCCCATGGTAATAAAGCAAAAAAAAAAAAAGGCAAATAAAATAGCTCTTAATTCTGTGCATCTTTTAAGAACTCAGTCATCAAAGAGGGAGCAGAAATAATGCTCATATCCTTTCATCACAAACTTACTTGGCTGAGACTAGCTAAGACATTTCTACATTTGTCTCTAGGAAGATTTTTTTTTTTGAGACTCACATTTCTACATTTGTCTCTAGGAAGATTTTTTTTTTTGAGACGGAGTCTCGCTCTGTTACCCGGGCTGGAGTGCAGTGGCACGATCTTGACTCACTGCAAGCTCTGCCTCCCAGGTTCACACCATTCTCCTGCCTCAGCCTCCAGAGTAGCTGGGACTACAGGCGCCTGCCACCACGCCCAGCTAATTTTTTGTATTTTTAGTAGAGATGGGGTTTCACCGTGTTAGCCAGGATGGTCTCGATCTGCTGACCTCGTGATCTGCCCGTCTCGGCCTCCCAAAGTGCTGGGATTTCAGGCGTGAGCCACTGCGCCCGGCCTAGGAAGATTTCTGTGGAGGCAAATGTAGTCATCTACACTTCCTCTTATATTCTCCAGCTACTGAGGCTATCAGTTGAGGGATACTCAAATTTTTATAATTTTGCTAGCATCCTGCTTTAAGTTACAGTGATGAGATCACTGGCCAGAAAGTGTTAAGTCAACCACGGTGACTCATAAAGAAGTTTGAATTTGGTTAGGTAGTAACATGGTAAGGACATGAATCAATGGGTGGGGATATGTATAAACAGCAGTGAATATATGCACTATCTGTCAAAAAGTAATGATTTACTCAATACAATTCCATTTACATTTTTTTTCTTTTTTTTTGAGACAGGGTCTCACTCTGTCATCCAGGCAGAGTGCAGTGGCATGATCATGGCTCACTGCAGCCTCCACCTCCTGGGCTCAATTGATCCTCCTACTTCAGCTTCCCAAGTAGCTGGGATTACAGGAGTGTACCACCAAGCCTGGCTAATTTTTGTATTTTTTGTAGAAATGGTGTTTCGCCATGTTGCCCAGGTTGGTCTCAAACTCCTGGGCTCAAGCAATCCTCCTAACTCAGTCTGCCAAACTGCTGGGATTACAAGCATGACCCACTGCACCTGGCTACAATTTTCCATTTACATTATTTGTAAAACTTTTACATAGAAAAACGTTCCCATAACAAAGATCAGTTTCTTGGCTAAATGCAATAGAGATGGAATGTGAATTTACTTAAGAGTTGAAAAGTTAATCTAATTGTTAGGAATTTGGGGCAATACTTTAATGGATGATCATGCCACTACCTAGGTATTTTGGTATTGTTATTGTACCATATCAGTTAATTAGCCACCAGTGACCATTCTGGTTTGAACTGAACTTCAGTTATCTATTCTTTAATGTACAAGTGTACCCACCTTTAATACTACAGCTGTTATACCTTCAACATTTCCTTTCCAGGCCAGGCATGGTGGCTCATGCCTGTAATCTCAACATTTTGGGAGGCCAAGGTGGGTGGATCACGAGGTCAGGAGTTCAAGATCAGCCTGACCAACATGGTGAAACTCCGTATCTACTAAAAATTAAAAAAAAAAAAGCCAGGCATGGTGATGCAGGCCTATAATCCCAGCTACTCAGGAGGCTGAGGCAGGAGAACCACTTCAACCCGGGAGGCAGAGGTTGCAGTGAGCCGGGATTGCACCATTGCACTCTAGTCTGGGCGACAGAGCGAGATTCCGTCTCAAAAAAAAAAAAAAAAGAAAAACAAACAAAAAAACCCAAAAACCCATTTCTTTTCCATAGAATATATTGTACCTTGTGGTCCTTATACTCTACTTTCCACCTTCCTCCCCCTGTCATGTAGATTTATCTTACAGTACTCCTAAAGCGGTGTTCGTCAAAGCGTAGTTCTTAGATCACTTGCATCACAATCACCTGGGGGAGGTGAAAGTGCTTATTAAAATATAGATTATAGGGCCCACCTCAGACTGACTAAATTGAATCTCTTGGGTAAGGATCCAAGAATCTGCATTTTAACAAATACCTCAGACCTTTCTAAAACAGATTCTTACAAATGCAGTTTTTTAAAGAATCATCCTCCTAAAGTCTTCAAATCATTTGGGCAAAGGTAAAGAAATATACAAGTGTAATGAAAAGAACTGAACTGCCAATCATGGACATGAACCCACCTGTAAAAGTGCTGCAATAGTACCAAATGAATGCCACAGCATGGGTGCAAGGTCAGGAACAGATTCTCGCTTCTTACTTAGCTCCAGCAAAGCATTTTCCCTAGTCTCAGGACTGGACAGCTCATTGATCCACTGATAGATCTTTTCTCTATCCACTTGTGCCAGTGTAGTAGGCACAGGCTTCAGATGAAGACAAGAAAGTAAATATCAGTTTATTAGAGTCAAACCAAGTCTTACCCTGCAACAGAGTTTTAGAGGAAATATATTTTTCATGAATACCAGGGGAGCGTTTCTAAATACATACATTTGATGTCAACTATTCAATCTCTTTGGTAGTTACTGATGAAAATCTAAAATGCACACATACCCTTTGATAATTCCATGTTTAGGAATTTATCCTGTAGGTATAATTGGGCTGTGCTAAAGACATACCAGGATGTTTACTGTTGCACTGTTTTAAAAGCAGAAAAGTGGCCGGGCGCGGTGGCACACCCCTGTAATCCCAGCGCTGTGGGAGGCCATGTTGGGTGGGTCACTTGAGGTCAGGAGTTTGAGACCAGCCTGGCCAACATGGCGAAACCCCGTCTCTACTAAAAATACAAAATTTAGCTGGGTGTGGTGATGGGCGCCTGTAATCCCAGCTACTCAGGAGGCTGAGACAGGAGAATTGCTTGAACTTGGGAGGTGGAGGTTGCAGTGACCCGAGATAGCGCCACTGCACTCCAGCCTGGGCGACAGAGCAAAAAAAAAAAAAAAAAGCCAGGTGTGGTGGTGCATGCCTGTAGTCCCAGCTACTCAGGAGGCTGAGGCACTAGAATCGCTTGAGCATGGGAGGTGGAAGTTATAGTGAGCTGAGATTGCACCATTGCACTCCAGCTTGGGCGACAGAGTGAGACTCTGTCTCAATAAACAAACAAACAAATAAATAAATAAATAAATAAATGCAGAAAACTGGGCCAGGCGTGGTGGCTCATGCCTGTAATCCCAGCACTTTGGGAGGCCAAGGCAGGTGGATCATGAAGTCAGGAGATTGAGACCATCCTGGCTAACACGGTGAAACTGGTGTCTCTACTAAAAATACAAAAAATTAGCTGGGCGTGGTGGCAGGCGCCTGTAGTCCCAGCTACTCTGGAGGCTGAGGCAGGAGAATGGTGTGAACCCAGGAGGCGGAGGTTGCAGTGAGCCGAGATCGCGCCACTGCACTCCAGCCTGGGTGACAGTGTGAGACTCCGTCTCAAAAACAAAAATGCAGAAAACAAACAAGTATCTCTCACTAAGAGACTGGTTAAATATTGGTGCAGCTTTATAATGTGATACTATGTAGTCCTTTAAAAAAAGAAGCAGCTCTCTATATACTGTATATTGATACTAAGTAAAAACAATAAAAGGGTTACAGAAGAGCATATAAAATGTTTCCATTAATATACACACATATAAAAATAAAAAATACATATACATTCTTACACATTTACATATAACATTTCTAGAAGGACACATAAAGAACTGTTAACTGTAGTTACCTCTAAGGTTGGGGATTTACAGGGAGACTTACTTTTCATTGTTTACACTAAAACCTTTTGCATAAACTTTTTTTAAAAAACCATATGCATATAATAGTTTTTGAGAGGAAAAAAAATTATGCCTTCCCAATACTGGTCCCTCCCCAGTGATTCTGACATCCCCCCTCAACTGAGCAGAAAACCTGTAATTTGGAAAAGCTCTCCCTCTTAATGATTCTTCAGTATATTCTCTAACTACATCCCTTTGAGAACCATTCATTACTTACTCATGTAGGAAATACATACTTAATAGGGCATGCTTTCATTATTATGCTAAAGAATCACAATATTCCCCCCAAATTTGAATATTTTATAATTCTCTATAGTCATCAAATATGTTTGTGACCTTGGTTAAGTTCCTTAATTATTCTTATCTGGAAAACAAGATGGGAGACTAGAAAAATGATAATTGCTACCCCTAAGCTCTAAACTGCTAACAAATTCCTGGTGATTTCCATCTCTATGCCCAATATGTTCTCAGGTAATTGCCCCCAACCATGAGAAATAAAAGAAGGAGCGGGAGGCGGGGGGGAAGGCTATCTACACTTGCAGATGAGATCACTAATGTTCAGAGGAATTAACTCACTCAATTTAACCAGGTATGAAGGTATGAAGTTGCATATTCCCGTACTTTTTTGAACTATATTACAGTTTCTCACAGTACTTATAAGTTCCCAAAAGATCTTAGCTTGACAGAATGATGACCTACCCATTGTACAGATGTAAAGACAAAGAACACAAAGAACTGCCTTTGTTGAAGATCAGAAGCATAAAATAGACTTTGAAGTGGATTCAAATTTACTCTACCCAATCTGAATAATGGCCTTTTAAAAATGGAAGCTTCATTGTAAGTTTTTAGCTTTATTTTTACTATTTCACTAGCCTGACAGAAAGAACCACAAGTTGTTCTGCTAAATAGACTGAAATACAATGCAGCTTAAGCTTTAAGTGCCTTACAGTAATCTGCTAAAAGCTGTTTTGTAACTCCCTTCAGGGATGGTCCTCAAGGAATCAATCATAGGCTCTTAAAGCAACAATATGATAGAAGGAATATGGTAGCTTTTTTCCTCCTTTCCCAACAGCAAAAGCAGTGTTGTTCAGGCACTTGCCCTTTCTAGGCAGCCACAAACAGGCCCTCAACTTAAAAACTATTTTTGGAAATGTAATTCCTACCTGAAGATAGGGTATGTGTTTATTTAGAATATTACATCACCTTAGACGCTCAGCAGAAACACAGGATAAAATTTTAGTGTTAGGTTTCCTGCCCAGTCTCTTGGATGACCCCACAATCCAGTAACCAAAGGGGGCCTCACAGATACTGGTCTGGCAATATAGTACCTTTCCTGATTAATCAGTACCCATTCCAGCTGACCTTCCCCAAAGTCTTGTCATACAGATACCACCATCAGTAAACTCCATCATCCCTACTGGAGCCAGTGTGTGACTTGCAGTTGGCACCTTGTACCCCATCTTGCCCTGGTAACCACTGGTTTGCATACCATGCCTCCTGAACACCAGGCCCCATCCCTACATATTCTCTTTCTGGAGCTGGCCTGATGCCCACAGAGAAGATGGCCCTGCTGGCAGTGGTGTAGGCACTCTGAAAGGCCAATGCCTGGTGCGTACACGGGTTCCTAAAGCCATGGACACCTGCTGCTAGCAATACTCCAATTTGTGAGATTATTTGTGGGGGCTGCAGCCTCCATGTGATTTTGATTCTAAGAGAGCTAGAACCATGTCAGGTGGGTGGTAATGTGGCCCCCATGGGCACTAGCTTGGTGTTATGGGTTCTGCTGTCATTCTAGCCAAAAGGAGGGCAGTTTGGTGCCAGGAAATATCTAGGGTGGGGATCCTCCTTTTCATCATCCCTGTTGCATTTCACCCCCAATTTAATAACAGCAGTAAGTTACACCAACTGAATACCCACCTGTCATGGGATGAATACAATTTTTTAAAAATAAAAATGAGAGCTTAAAACATACAGTGCTTACTCTGCCAGGCACTGTCCTAAATACTTATATTTACCAGCACTCTCATTTTATAGATAAGGAAAATCTGAGGCACAGAGAAGTTATGTAAAATTTAAATGGCAAGCTAGGATTTGTACCCAGGTGTTCTAGCAACAGAGCCCACACTTTTAACCGCTTTGCTAATGCTGCTTCTCATCTGCCTGAAAGACAAAATCTGATCTAAAGATGACTTTTTTTTTTTTTTTGAGATGGAGCCTCACTCTGTCTCCCAGGCTGGAGTGCAGTGGTGTGATCTCAGCTTACTGCAACCTCCGCCTCCCAGGTTCAAGCGGTTCTTCTGCCTCAGCCTCCCCGGTAGCTGGGACTACAGGCATATGCCACATGCCCAGCTAATTTTTGTATTTTTAGCAGAGATGGGACCTTCCCACGTTGGCCAGGCTGATCTCAAACTCCTGACCTGAAGTGATCTGCCTGCCTTAGCTTCCCAAAGTGCTGGAATTGCAGGTATAAGCGACTGTGCTCAGCCTAAAAATGACTTCCTAATAAATTATATTCTTTGACCTAGACAATATAGTTAATACATAAAAATCTCAGACAAAAAGTAAAATGTTATTGGTGGTAGTTCAACAAAATCTGAAAGAACACTCAGTACTATGAACAGTAGCATTGATGTTAGGAGAAATTCTCTACTTATTGAGATTACAAAGCACTTAATAGGTATTGTTTTCAGAGAGAAGTCAGTACAATAGTTTCACATAGTTCCCTGTGTCACATTATGGATCAGATGGGGCATAATTTACTTAGTGAGAACCACCAACACACACATGGACATATAACAAGCAATTTTGTAACACACATATAGGAATTTCATTGTTTTGGAGAATAAAAAGGAAATATTCTTATATTTTGAGTTATATATTAATTTATATAACCAGATGATTGATAAAATATTTTGGACATTCCTAAATAAAACACCAAAACTCAAAATGTATCTTACTCTCCTTCCATATCCCAAGAGTTATTTAGGCCCATCTTTCACAAAAAGAATCTGTAATTGACATCTTTTTAAAAGGAGGCGGGCAGTAGAAGAAGGGGTACGGCAGGTGAGGGAAGAGTTAGTTCTGTTGTACCACCTTTTTTTAAAAACATGGTTTCATTTAATGATCACAACATGGTGGTTATTAACCTCATTTAACAATCGATGAAACCATGGGCAGACAACAGGCAGATTTACTCCTCATGCCACTCTGTAACGATCACCTCTAATGATTCCTAGTTCAGATGCTACAACTCTTTGAATTTTTAATTTACTAATACATTTCTAAGGCTGTGGCTGATATGGAACTCAATCTAGTAGCACACATTGCTCACTGACAGGCAAGCAAATTAATCTATGACTTCTCTACTGGAAATTACCTTATTTGAAGCATTAATAATAATTGCAGGATACCAACCAAGAGAGCAGAGGTTGACATTTTTTGAGGCCCAGACCCTTTAAGAATCAAATGAAGTCCGGCACGGTGGCTCACGCCTGTAATCCCAGCACTTTGGGAGGCCGAGGTGGGAGGATCACAAGGTCAGGAGTGTGAGACCATCCTGGCTAACATGGTGAAATCCCATCTCTACTAAAACTACAAAAAAATTAGCCAGGTGTGGTGGCAGGCACCTGTAGTCCCAGCTACTTGGGAGGCTGAGGCAGAATGGCGTGAACCCGGGAAGCGGAGCTTGCAGTGAGCGGAGATTGCACCACTGTACTCCAGCCTGAGCCACTGTACTCCAGCCTGAGCTACAGAGCAAGACTCATCTCAAAAAAAAAAAAAAAAAGAAAAAAGAAAAGAAAAAAGAAAATTGTGGATCTTTTACTCAGAAAAATACACAACTGCAAAAACACGAAAACCTACACATAATTTTAAGGAGTTCACAGAGTTCCTGCAATGTATCCATGTACCCAGGATTAAGAATCTGTTTATCAAATTGAAGAACAGGAAAGACCTCAATTTGCAAGGAACTACATGTGTATATAATTGGAACACACACTGGCGTGGGAGCCTGAAGTGACTTCAAAATCCAGTTTTGCTCTTTCTAGAATTGTGTGACCTAGGATAAGTCATTTAACTTTCCAAACCTCAATTTTCTCATTGTTAAAGTGAAGGAACTATATTAAATAATTGTCAGTCTCAGGCAACTCTAAAATCTTAGAAATTATTTAGTTCTTAGTTGTGAGAGTCTAATCTAAGAGGCTCTTTTTTTAAAAAAAAAACTTTGACGTATAATTTGCATACAATAAAAGTGAACTCATTTTAAGTGTACGCTTCAATAGATTTTTGAGAAATTTATACACCTAAGTAACTGCTACCATAATGAAGATATAGATCCATTCACCCCAAAAAGTTCTTTAATGCCCTTTTCAGTAAACCCCATACTCAGCCTGAGGCAATCATGGGTGTTTTCTGCTACTATAGATTAGGTCTGCCTTTTCCAGAAATTATTAATATGCAGTAATATTTATTGAGCATACCATGTTTCAGGCACTGTGGATTACATCATTTTATTCTCAAAATTCTAAGAGGAAACAGGTTAATAGAGGTTTAATGTGCTCAAGGTCACACAGCCAGTGTACAGCAGAATGAGACTGAAACTCTACTTCTCTCTAGAATCGATGAGTTCTATCTGGTCTCAAGGATAGAAAGCACAAATACTCCTCCAAGTTGAAGAAATTACTCTTAAGAACCCAAAAAAACTTTCTTAAATTTAATATTCCCTTAGCACAGAACTCATTAACAGCTGGATTTGGATACACAGTGAGCTCAATTACATACCTGGACACATAGAATCATCATGAGAAATCTGATTTAGATTATGAGTTATCCTTAACACTTCCAAGAATAGAAAAAAGCTCTATAGTACATTACCGTAGATTATTAATTGTAACCTGCTAAAGTCAACAGTCCTGGCCAGGCACAGAGACAGGTTCACACCTGTAATCCCAGCACTTTGGGAGGCTGAGGCTGGTGGATCACTTGAGGTCAGGAGTTTCAACACAGTGAAACCCTGCCCCTACTAAAAATACAAAAATTAGCCTGGTGTGGTGTCGTTTGCCTGTAATCCCAGCTACTCAAGAGGCTGAGGTGGGAGAATCGACTGAACCCAGAAGGTCGAGGTTGCGGTGAGCCAAGATCACACCACTGCACTCCAGCCTGGGTAACAAAGCGAGATCCTGTCTCAAAAACATAAAATAAAATAAAAAAATAAAGTCAACAGTCCTGTTCTTTTAATAAGTGTGTTAAAAAACTTTCATATTATCAAAATTTAGGTGGTAACTCTCCCTCCTTTTCTGTTTAATGATTTGTATATGGAAAATGTATTTCAAATGACACCTTTTTTCCCCAAGAAAGCTTAACATACAGATAAGGTATTTACCAAAGTAAGTTACCAATGGTTAACTCCAAGTGTCACACAGGGTACTGACAGTTTAAGTTGGTCTTCTATTTCTGAAAGATTTTAACACATAATGTGAAAAGTATAAAGATGTTTATAAATTATTTTAAATAAAACATGACATTTATCTATAAATGGTAAAGAAAATGATTTCCTTCTCTGAGTAAACTAAAAAATTGATGCTGATGGTTTCTTAAACAGAAAATAGCCAAATTATCAATGTAACTTTATGTTTAAGGGCCAAAATAGCTGTTTATTTTCCTGCCAATACATAAAGAATGGAATCAGACTGAAATAGAGATTATTTTCCCAAGTCTGGAGATCAACACGTGGATTTGGGTGTCAGCATGGTATTCCAAGAAAATGAACTTTCTAATAGTGCTGGAAGTACTAAATTAGCTTACCTTCATAATTTTATAAGAGCCAGAATGTATCTTTTTTTTTTTTTTTTTTTTAAGATGGAGTTTCGCTCTTGTTGCCCAGGCTCGAGTGCAATGGCACAATCTCAGCTCACTATAACCTGCGCCTCCCAGGTTCAAGCGATTGTCCTGCCTCAGCCTCCCAAGTAGCTGGGATTACAAGCGCATGCCATGACGCCAGGCTAATTTTTCTATTTTTAGCAAAGACGGGGTTTCACTACGTTGGCCAGGCTGGTCTCGAACTCCTGACCTTATGATCCACCTGCCTCAGCCTCCCAAAGTGCTGGGATTACAGGCATGAGCCACCATGCCCGGCCCAGAATGTATTTTTTCAAAATAACTTTTAAAAAATGAAAGTGAATAAGGAAAGATAAGTTAGGCAATTTGCCTAAAGCTTCATCAGGAGACTCGGGAGGAGAAAGTGAATTAAATCCTTTAGAGTGCAGTGTTCTTTCTACTTGCCAAAAAGGAAGGCATCTGGCAGTCCATGACAGCTTCAATAAAAAGATGTAAAATAACTAATGATGCTGCTGGTTAGGCGGAAAGTGAGAGAAAGACAAGTGTTTAGGGATGCTAGAATTGTCAGTGGAAATCAGTGGGAAATTAAAAACAAAACAAAACAAAAACACATCCCCTAAAGGCTTACCTCCGGTTGTTTCACAAGCATAACATCCATTACAGAATACCTATGGCATGCAAAGATTTGTAGTTTTCTTTTTCCTTTGAGACAGGGTCTCACTATGTCGCCTAAGCTGAAGTGCGGTAGCATGATCATGGCTCACTGCAGCCTGGAAAATTTTTAAACATTTTTTGTAGAGATAGGTTCCTACTGTGTTGCCAAGGCTGGTCTTGAACTCCCGGCCTCAAGTGATCCTCCTGCCTTGGCCTCCCAAAGTGCTGGGATTATAGGTGTGTGAGCCTTTAATTTGGGAATTAAATTCCCAAAGCTGAAGTCTGGGAACAAGTCACATATCAGTGAGTGAATCTAGCCAACCACTGAGCATTTTGTTATTCTTTCTTTCATTTTTTTTTAAAGATGGAGTCTTGCTCTTGTCTCCCAGGCTGAAGTGCAATGGCACGATTTTGGCTCACTGCAACCTCCACATCCTGGGTTCAAGTGATTCTCCCGCCTCAGCCTCCTGAGTAGCTGGGATTACAGGCGCCTGCCACCATGCCCAGCTAATTTTTGTATTTTTAGTAGAGATGAGGTTTCACCACGTTGGCCAGGCTGGTCTGGAACTCTTGACCTCAGGTGATCTATCCGCCTTGGCCTCCCAAAGTGCTGGGATTACAGGCATGAGCCACAGTACCCGGCCGCATTTTGTTATTCTTACTTAATCTTTAGAATAATCCTGTGTGGTACTTCTGTCCTTATTTATTAGAGGAGAGAAAAAAGAAATTATGCTCAATGGTAGCGGTAATGAATATATGAAGATGTTAGGATGTATTCCATCAAGAATGACAACAGCAAGGTCGGGCGCAGTGGCTCATGCCTGTAATCCCAGCACTTTGGGGGCTGAGGCGGGCAGATCACCTGAGGTCAGGAGTTCGAGACCAGGCTGACCAACATGAAGAAACCCCATCTCTACTAAAAATACAAAAAAAAAAAAAAAAAATTAGCCAGGCGTCGTGGCTAATGCCTGTAATCCCAGCTACTTGGGAGGTTGAGGCAGGAGAATTGCTTGAACCCAGGAGGCGGAGATTGCTGTGAGCTGAGATCTCGCTATTGCACACCAGCCTGGGCAACAAGAGCAAAACTCTATCTCAAAAAAAAAAAAAAGAATCACAAAAGCCTACTACACTAAACATTTCTAGCATACGACTACTCAAGAGTCAAAATTTAAGATACTTCCCATACTATCTTAATTTTTCCTTCTAGTGAATAATATCCTGCATTTACATGTGACTACATTCTCTCTCTCTCTTAATAGACAAAGTCTTGCTATGTTGCTCAAGCTGGAGTCCAGTGGCCATTCACAGGTGCCTTCATAGCACACAGTAGCCTGGAACTCCTGGGGTGAAGTGTCCTCCCTCCTTAGCCTCCCAAGTAGCTGGGACTATGGGCACACACCACCCGGCTTACATTCTCATTTGGCAGTACTTTGTTATCTCCCTAGCTGAAATGATGATTTACCTACTATTTTAAAAAAGAGATAAATAAAGTCACAGATACACACTTTCATTGTTCGGCAGAAAGTAAGCATCTTCTCAAGTGGCTTTGATTATTCTGGGCACGGTTGCATGCATTAATTATGCTTCTCAAATTCCAGTGAGTGATATGCATCATTACTGTCCCTTTACCCACATCAGAATAATGCAGTTTGCTCCAACGGAAGGCATGAAGAATTGAGAATGAGGTGGCTCAACTTTTTACGTTTTAGTTTCCTCACTAGCTAAATATAACCTAGTGAATGAGTGGTACGAAGGAATTTGTCAGAGCTGCTACGAGGTCCAAACATCCTAAGTGAAAGTGCATCTAAAAGTTCAAATTTTAAAATTAATGTAAGGCACTGAAAACGTGAAGAAACATGTATTGAGTACTTATTATAAGTAATGTACCACAGCTTTAATGGTTGTTTAAAAGATGCATTAGGGAGCAATTGAAAATAAAAGGAATAGCTACAGAGTTTGGGAAGGCACAGGGAAAAGAGTGGCTCAGTATCGAAGATAAAATTCGGGAGAAGACACAATCAGATTTTGAGAGATGGACAAGTCAACCTTAGAATAATTTCCCTTATTTAACCTGTCTTTCCCCTAATAGCAGCACACTCATCTTTCAACTTGCTTTTCCCCACGTTACATATATAATTTGGGAGAAGGAACAAAAAAGCTAGGGGAATTGCAATGACCTAATTGAGATATAAAAGATACTCTCTACATTGAATAGTTACAAACACTTAGAAACAGTATGAAAGGAGGCAGAGATACCAACAGCACTGGAACTGACAATGGAGATCAAATCTCAAAAAGCAGTTTTCTATAGCTTAGTCATACTTGGCTCAATTTTTCACTTTTTGTACTTAAACGTATGGCAATTTTTGGTGCTTTATTTAGTAATTACGTCATTTTGCCTGATAATACAATTTCAGTACATTACTTTCCTTAAATCATTTCCCTTTGGTTAAACAGAAAAAGCAGAATTGGTCTTCAGGCAGGTATGCTCAAATCAAATGATCTCCTTTCCCCATCATGGCAATGTTCTTTCAGTGGTCACCTTCCCTTCAATATTCTTTCATGCAGCAAAGTATCTGAGTCTTTAATCTTGTACTAGGAACTGTCCTGGCACCGGGGAAACCACGTCAACAGGGCTCACATGATCCCTGTCCCTGCCCTCAAGGAGACAGACAACAAATAAACGAATACAATAATTACACGGGGATCAGGGCTGTAAAGGGTACTCTACTAAAGTTAGAGGCTGCGGAACTAATTTGAAGAGGATAGTCAGGGAAGGCCACTCTGAGACCGATTTAGGCAGAGACCTGAAGAAAGATGGATTTGGATAAACAGTTTAAGGAGAGGAAGGAGAGTTCAAGGAAGAGGTACCAATTACACTCATGCTGTGTATGTAAAGGAGGAGGGATAAGAAGAACATTCACTCCAGGCATAGAGACCACAAAGTGCATCTTGGAGAAAAATAAGCGCGTTGCAGAGGGTTAGGTGGCCAGAGTAGCTGAAGCTTTAGGAGCAAGAGACATAAAACGAGATTATAAACGTGGGTTAAGTACCACATCATACAGGGCCGTGCAGGCTATGGCAAGGAGTCTAGATTTTATTTAAATGCCAAGAGAAGTAGGATTACTTCGGATAGCTGAATTACACTATCTTTCTTTTTTGTTAAAAGATCACGCGGGTAAAACGAGATGTGTCGAGGAAAAGTTTTAAATGCAGAGAACCTAAGTCAGATGCAAAAATTATGCACTTTTCCGGGCCTCAGGTTTTCCATAAATAAAGCAAGTGGTTTGAACTAGAAGCCATTTCCTTCCCGCTGCGACGTGGTGAGTTCTAAGAGCAGGGGCCGCGTCAGATTGACCATGGAATTCCCCTCATCGACGCCGGCGCCCAGAACACAACTGGCGCCCTGAAACTGTTGGTCAGCGCAATAAATCAATGAATGGCCTGCTACGGGCGTGGGACCAGGCCCCGGCGCCCGCAAAGAACGCGATGGGTCGCGCTGAAGGCCGCGAGAGGCGTCCGGCAAGGAAATAGGGGCCGGCTCCACCACAACCAAAGCGTGCCGAGGAGGGGAACCGGGGCCTTGGAGATTGAGGGCAGAAAAAAATCAGACTAGGGACCCGACACCGGGAATTAGGAGAGAAGGCCGAAACGTGGGTCTGAGAAAGGATTCTGGTTCCAAGCCTGGGGGCCCAGCCACTCACCGCAGCCGTCGCCAGGCTGTGCATGTTGTGAGCGGCCGCCGCTCTCTTCCACAGCCGGACGCGTCCGACCCGCGTCCCCCCTTCAGCACCCCTGCAGCGGAAAACAATGAGCCGCCGTAGCCGCCATCCGACTCCGGCTCGCTCCGCCCACTTCGCGGCCCTCTGACCTCTCACCCCTGACCCCACCCACACATCCTCTTCCCGCCTCCAGGGCCTAGTTAACAGTCCCAGAGTATGTCCTTTGCCCCTTAAGATTTAGGACCGGAAGGACGTCCGCGACCACTAGTCCCCGCAACTTCTGGCTTTGAGCAGTTATTTCCAGAGAGCGGCGTGAACTCTGACCCTCCTCCAAAAGCCAGTGAACGGCGGGAAAAGATGGACAGTCCCGGCAAGACAACTATTGCGCATGCCCGACTGGGTTGCGTAGGAGGGAAATGGTGGGGGGGCGTCGAAATCGGGTGAGGTGGAAAGTGCGCGTGCCTACTACAGTCACGGCAGGGGCGGGGCTGCCCGGGCTAGGCCGCTCTAGGTACTGGCGGGGCGGGGCGAGGGCGTGTGAGGGGCGGAGTTTTCGACTGACGCGCACGCGCCTGTCTGGTCGCGTCGAGTGTGCGTGCGTGCGTGCGTGTTTGCGTGTGGTCACAGTTCCCGCCATCAGCCGCTCTCCCTGACTAGGGGTAGCTAGCGGCCTCCCTCCTTTGGGTTCGGTATCCCTACTTCCATTACCCTCGGCTCCTCCCACTCCTCGCGGGCTCCGTGCTTTCCGCGGGTCTGTCCGGGGGCTCCGGACCCTCGGCGCAGGTAAGGCGGGCCGGGGTAGCTTCTCAATTGAGCCGTTTTCCCTACCTCCTCCTCCTTCTGTGCGATCCGCCCACTCGGCGTTCACTCCTCTGGAGTTCGCCCTGCTGCTACTCAGCCCGCCCACAACCCCTCGATGCACCCCCAGCCTCACAGGTACTACCTTTGGGTGCACTGCCCCGGCTTCCACCTCTCCTTTGACTTGGTCTCCACTGCCACTCGCTCCCTCCGAAACTCAAACCTGGCCCCTTTTCTCTGGGGCTGTTGTCGTTCGCCTCTTACCTTCTAACAGGGCCTGCTGTCTCTTCAGGTGACTTTCGTTACGGCACATCCACCAGGCCTTGGACATGATACTCATTCACTCTCTTGACCATCTTCACCTTCCTCTTGACCAGTCCTCACTGCAAAACATGAATTGTATTTTTGTTGTGCATTTCCTTGCGCCCATTTCTAGCCGCCAGATCAGGTTGTTAGATGTAACTATTTTAAGTCATGATCCATGAAAGGAAATGATGATTGATGATAAAATCCTGTGTCCTGAAGAGTTGTCCTAAAGTGGTTTTGGGGTATTCCTCTCAAAATTTCAGCTCTGTATAAATTCCTTTATTGAGGTGGCAATTCCTGACAAGTGTCTAACTGGAAGAGATACCTGAGAGGGAATGTCAAGTAGGCAGTTGGATATAGTGGGTTTGGAGATCTTAGGAGAGTTCTGGGCTGCGTACGTAAATGTGCGCGGTGTGTGTATGTGTTTGTCATCTGCCATATTGATAGTAATTGAAGCCATGGATGTGGATGAAATTGCCGAAAAAGAGTATAGTGCTGTAAAATAAAGGCACCTAGGATGGAGCATTGACGAATTCCTGCTGTTTAATAACCAATAGAGGAGGATGCGTCTTGCAAGCCATGAAAAAAGTCATCAGTAGTGTTGCATTCTGCTGAAAGGTAAAATGGAAGGAGGACTGAAAAACCCAGTGATATAAAAGTACTCACTTGTCTTAAAGATGTTTGATGAAGTAAAATGAGTATTTGGGTTCAGTCCTAGGTCCTCTTCTTTTACTCTTATATTCCTCCCTAAGCTTTAAATTTGATCTATATATTGATGACTTAAAAATTGTTATTTCCAGCCTATTCCCTTTGTTTTCAGCTCCACATCTAGATAGCCAGCTGTCTGCTTGACATCTCAACTTGATTTTTTTCTTAGGAGTTTCAGATGCAACACAGCCAAATCCAAAGCCTTGATCTTTCTCTCCATATCGAAATTCTTTCTTCTCCAGTGTCCCAGTTTATTAAGTGGCACATGACACAGGCTACACACTTGGGAGGCATTCTTGACTTCTACTCTCTCCAAGTTCTATCCTACTTCCAATACGTGTCTTGCATCTTTTTCTGTACATTTTCACTGTCACTTTTCTAGTTTAAGCCACAGTCCTTAAAAAACCTGGACTTGATTGCCTTGGCTTCCTGTATTATCATCTGTAAAATGGAAATAGTAATTTTCAGCCTATTGGATTGTTATGAGGATTAAGTGAGATAACCATGATAAGCACTTGGCACAGAGTAAATGGCCAGTAAGCATTAATTGTTATTGTTATAAGCTGATCAACTCAATACTCTTCTATCTGGTTACATTATTTTCTTCTGTTCTTGCTCTTAGTCACTCTCCCAAAACCCAAACCAACCATATATGACTTCCTCATTCAGTAGTAACATATTTCTTTGCTTAAAACCTTTTGGTGGATTTCCTCCTGGTAAGTGCTTGTTACATTTAGGATAAAATTCGGAATCTTTACTGTGGTTCACAAGACTGCATAACCTGGTTCTTGCCTGCTTCACTAACTTCATCTTCCTCCTCTCCTTCACTAAACTGTAGCCACATTGCTTTTAATTTCCCTAGTCATATCAAGTTATTTTACAATTCAAGGCCTTTGGGGATGCTGTTTGCCTGGATTGTTCCAGCACCACCATCTATCAGTCATCTCCTTCTGCAGTTTTCAACTTAAGTGATACCTTCTCAGGGAAGCCTTCTCAATGTTATCCTCTACCCCAAGTCTTAATCTTAAGACTCATCATTCCATGTATCTTGCTTTATATCATTTCTCAGAACTTGTAATTATTGTTATTATTATTTTTTGAGATGGAGTTTTTGCTCTGTTGCCTAAGCTGGAGTACAATGGCATGATCTCAGCTCACTGCAACCTCCGCCCCCTAAATTCAAGCGATTCTCTTGTCTCAGCCTCCCAAGTACCTGGGATTACAGGCACCCGCCACCATGCCCGGCTAATTTTTGTATTTCTAATGGAGACAAGGTTTCACCATGTTGGCCAGGCTGGTCTTGAACTCTTGACCTCAGATGATCCACCTGCCTCGGCCTCCCAAAGTGCTGGGATTACAGGTGTGAGCCACTGCACCCAGCCCAGAACTTGTAATTATATATTTACATGTGTGATTATTTAAAGTCTGTCTCCTATTAGAATATAGGCTAGTGACCACTTCTTTTTTATTTCCCAATAATTTGTTAAATAAGCTGGAAGTTGCTGTAAGAACCATCATGTCTTTTGGAAGCAAAGCTTGCTGATGTTCTTGTCATCATCTCATGACAAACACTTTTCATTCTGAAAAGTTAGAGGACACATGAGAAAAAACAAAACGTTTTCCAACTTTGGATTCTTTTACCCATTTTTATATCATAAAACCATTCAGATTTTAAACTCTTTGAATTGGAGATAAACTTTAGGTCAGCTTTCCACTTTCAGTAACAAAACTAATTTTTTCTCCTTTGTCCATTTGTTTTATAGGTCTTTTTAAAGGAAAGAAAGCCTTCAAAAATCAGAGTAGTGGTTTGTATATTTTAACAACCGGTTAATCTTTAAGACCAGTGAAGATGAGATTTCCATAAATAAAGCAAAATTCCATATTTAAGTCAGTTGTTGGTGAATGACAAAGAAAATATTAATATATGGCCAGCTGCATTGGCTCATGCCAGTAATCCCAGCATTGCGGGAGACCAAGGTGGGCGGATCGCTTGAGCCCCGGAGTTCGATACCAGCCTGGGCAACATGGCAAAACCCCATGTCTATAAAAAATTACAAAAATTAGCCGGGTTTGGTGGCATGTGCCTGTAGTCCTAGCTACTTGGGAGGCTGAGGTGGGAGGATTGCTTCAGCCTAGGAGGTGGAGGTTGCAGTGAGCCAAGATGGCACCACTGTGTTCCAGTCTGGGTGACAGAATGAGGTTCTGTCTCAAATGAAAAAGAAAGAAAATATTAAAATATAATAATTTTTGTATGTGTAGAACAGGATTCGTGTTGAAAAATAGGGAATTTAAAATGGAGGTGTATGAATACCAAACACAAGCATTTGGATTTATTTTATTTTCTAGGTAGTGATGAGCTATTTAGTTTGGGAAGGTCCTAGCATCAATGGCAACCATTTAGCACTTAACAAGTGTTTGTTATTTTGTTGGAGTATACAGTTAGAGTACCCAAGTTCTGTGTGTTACCTCCCTGTCCCGTGCCCCACCTCTACCCCCCACTCCCACCTTAGGGAGAAAGTTAAGAAGATACCTAGTGCATAGTTCAGTTGAAAAGTGGTAAAAAGAGTAGTTCTTTAGAAAGGATGTTACAATGTAAAGGATTTGTTGGAGGTAAAACCCCAAGAGCTGAGACTGGAAAGGGAAGGGGTTGCCATAATTCATTGATGAGGATGAACTGTGGTTGTAGTTAAAAATGTAGGTTCTGGCATTAGACATAGCTTTGTTTCTCACTGACTGTATTTATAAATTATGTAATGTCTCTAAACCTCAGTTTCCTCATCTGTGAAATAGAGATAATATCCCTATCACTTAGGATTATTTTAAAAATTAAATTGAGATAATGCATGTATGGCATTTAGCACTGCTTAGTAAATGTTGCATAATAAATGTTGGGTTGCATAATAAATACTAGGTGGGATGATGGCATAGTGATGAGTTTCTGAGAGTAGTAGCTATTGAAAATCTGGGATTTGAGTAGATAAGAGTGAGGATAAAGCTGATGCCAAGATTTCTTGCCTGAATGATGGTAGAAGGACAAAAGTAGGGAAGTCTGGGAGCTTCTTTTTTTTTCTTTCTTTTGAGACGGAGTCTTGCTCCCTCACCCAGGCTGGAGTGTAGTGGTGTGATCTCTGCTCCCTGCAACCTTTGCCTCCCAGGTTCAAATGACTCTCCTGCCTCAGCCTTCCAAGTAGCTGGAACTACAGGTGTGTGCCACCACACCCAGCTAAATTTTGTATTTTTAGTGAGAACACATTGTGGTCTCAATGTGTTCGAGACCACATTGGCCAGGCTGGTCTCGAACTCCTGACCTCAGGTGATCTGCCTGTCTCTGCCTCCCAAAGTGCTGGGATTACAGGTGTGAGCCACCGTGCCTGGCCTCTAGGAGCTTCTTAATGAGGGCATGGACTGTATCATCTTCACATCTATATGCCTACCAGGGTGCCTTGAAAGTGCAGTAGCTTAATAAATGTTGTTTACTAAATGAACAAAGGAGTTTAAAGTTGATGTTGTAGCATTCAGATAGGCAGTGAGAGATGTGCGGGTAGAACTTCAGAGAAAGTTCAGGCCTAGTGAAGCCTAATTTGAGAAACAATGTTAGCTTTGAAAGAAAAGTGAAAGCACCAAGTTTACCCACCTTTTGAAATAGTATCAACATGTTATGGAAGTTTTAAGACTTAAGACATTATTATGTAACAATGTTTATAAAGTGAACAAAGGACATATTCTTTCTCACTGACTTCTTAGTTTCAAAATGTAGCAAGAATGAATAAACCAAGGTACAAGTTGAACAAGGTGCAGGCTCATCCTGTAATCCCTCATTATGCACAGCAGATAAGTTCCTAAAGTTCTGTTGATCTTTTATGTGTGTCTCTGTGTGTTGTGCATCATATTTTAAATATTTTCATTAAGGTAATCTGTAGTTTTTAAATAACCAAGAAGTTAATCTTTGTTGTATAAACGATCACTTTCCTTTTTTTTTTTTTTTGAGATGGAGTTTTGCTCTTGTTGCCCAGGTTGGAGTGCAATGGCGTGATCTCTGCTCACTGCAACCTCCACCTCCTGGGTTCAAGCAATTCTCCTGCCTCAGCCTCCCGAGTAGCTGGGATTACAGACATGCACTGCCACGCCCAGCTAATTTTGTATTTTTAGTAGAGACGGGGTTTCTCCATGTTGGTCAGGCTGGTCTCGAACTCCTGACCTCAGGTTATCTGCCCGCCTCCACCTCTCAAAGTGCTGGGATTACTCGCGTCAGCCACCGTGCCCAGCCCACTTTCTTTTAAGTATTAATTTTGTATATTGGGTTCTTTTTAAAAAGCACATTTTTATTTTCTTTAGCTGAGTTGATGGCTTCCGGAGAACTGGCATAGCTGCAGAATATGAGTAGTGTCCCAAGAAGAGTGCTTTGCCTTTGGCACAAGGATCAGAATAAAGGTGAATTGCTATTACATAGGGTTTTTCGGTAAAAGTCACTGAAAAGTAAGTAATGTTTTTGTTTTGGATATATGTTTCAAAGAGCATGCAATCTGGCGGGAACTGACAGTTTTGTGTTTGTTTTGTAGTAATAGTTTTTGTGTTTTGGCCATACTTTATTTACCACTGAATGCTCTCTGATTAAGGATGTTTTCAAAGCAGTACCTAAAATGTGAGCACTTAAATAAATGTACAGGGCATAGAAACATTTTTGCTAATATTGTTGCTTTGAGCATTCATGGTGATGCTCAAAGTTGAACAGTAATTTTAATAATTGTGAAGAAATTTAGAGAAAGAATCTCTGGACATATTTAAAGAATAATTCATTTTAATTATCTTTTGTCTTCTTATTTTTTTGCTTTAATAAGACAATTACCATTACCGAGTTTAAGGAAACCCTGTCTTTGTCTTAGGTTCATAGGAAGTTTAACTGTTACTGGATCATGCTTCATGCTGAAAAAGAAACTTAGTTTTTTACTCTTAACCAAGTAGAGCAAGCCCTGATAATATAATGAATGAGCAAATGTAGCTGTCAATTCATTTAGTGCAAAAGCAGGTAATGAACTAAATTGAGGCATTATGAAAAAGTTTATTATATTGGTTCTGCCAATTTTATGTCCTACATCTTTTATATAAAGCTTTTTAAAGAGGGTAATGTGTAAATTGAGTCTTGATTTTAGAGCCAGGAGAAGAAATTAAGGAGGGTTGGGGATGGGGAGAACACATAAAAATCCTCTAGACATGACCTCTGTGTATGCAAAGGTATAGTGGCATGAGAACATAGAGATTTTTGAGGAAATTATAAGTAATTCAGAAGGATTTGGGGGTTTTATTGGGAATAGACAGGTAAGCAGGGCCTGAGTCCTGAAGGGCCTCTACGTCACATTAGTGAGTTTAGATTTTATTGCGAGAACAAGTGGAGAGCTATTGAATGATATAAAGCAAGAGAGGGATATGATTTGATCTGCAGTTCATTATAAGGCTGTCTGAAAGGTGTATGGAGGTAGAATTTTTTTTTTTTTTTTTCTGAGACAGAGTCTGGCTCCAGGCTGGAGTGCAGTGGTATGATCTCGGCTCACTGCAGCCTCTGCCTCCCGGATTCCAGCGATTCTCTTGCCTCAGCCTCCCAAGTAGCTGGAATTACAGGCGCACGCCACCACACCTGGCTAATTTTTGTATTTTTGGTAGAGATGGGGTTTCACCATGTTGGCCAGGCTGGTCTCAAACTCCTGACCTCAGGTGATCTGCCCACCTCGGCCTCGCAAAGTGCTGGGATTACAGGCATCAGCCACAGCTCCCGATCTGTGGAGGCAGAATTGATGGGATTCTCCTGACTTTCCATCTCTAATCTAATACCAATAATTATCAAGAAGGAAGCCAAAGACAAGTCTTCTGTTTCTGGCATGGGAAACTGGAGTAGAAGAGTGATGTATTCTTTGTAGCACTGAGTGGCGGAGTGGAAAAAAGTCTCAAGGATGTATCCAACAATAAAGTCACAAATTATAATTGCAGAAAAAAGTATTACAGATATACATTGCTGGCTCAAGTTTCTGTAGCTCTGTAGCATTACTAGTTTGAGCCAAATGTCATGTTAACAGACAGTTCTATAAACATTAATGGACTCTATTACTTTGACGAATTCATATTACCCAGCACATTATACTAATATCTAAATCTGCCCATAGTAAGCACTTAAAAATTTTTGATGAGATGAGTGAATAATAATAGAGTACTTATGATACTTAACACCTTTAAACTCTCGAAAGTGTTTTCATATATCTTCTTTTATCTTCAGTTATTTGCCATACAGTAACCAGAGACCTCCAACTAGGGGCCCCCAAACTGTATCCTGCCTGTAGGTGAGTTTTGTTTGATTTGTAGCTGTTAAAAATAAATTTGAATTCATTGCCAACAATTAAAAATGGACAGTTTTACATAAACGTTTGGATGTCTTTATTTTCTTGAAAAGTTAGATGGTCTGGCAATGCTAGGTTCGCTATTTCTACATGGTAATAATTGGCTAGATTGGGTAGCAATTGTTCAAATTTTGCCTGCTTAAGTCATTTCTGTCACCTGCTAGCCCCTATAGATAGTTGAGTTAGTGACTCCTGTTAACATTGTATTTATTGAGGTCTTTGGAGAAAGAGGTATTATGGACATGGAATAAATTCAGAAAACAGACATTAATTCCATTAATATTAATTACTGCTGTCTGCTGAGTGCCTAGTATGTATTATTTCATTCTACAACACTAAAACATTTGCTATTCCTATTTTGTGGTTGAGAAAACTTATGGTTAAAGAAGGTAAGTTACAAATTAGTAAGTGATAGGGCTGGCTGGCTGCTGATTTCTAGACCTAGCATCATTTTCCTTTATATACTAGCCTTTCTGGCTTTTCTTGTTGAGCTGTTTAGGCAAAGGTAATGTTTAATTGTGTTTAATTTAGTAAATTATAAGCAAGAATCCACTTTAGAAGTAGTGTTTTTAAAGGTTTGAAATAGTATAAAATTTGAGTTCGCAATTTTAAATGATTGCATATTTATGTATGTAACACACTATTTGATAACATTCTTTGCTATAACTGTAATTTTATTTACTTGTTGACTTTTGCAAAAGCTAATTTGAAGAGTTTTACACATCCGATTATTGCTGTAAGTTTAAGTTTTTTGTGTTTTTTTTTTGTTTGTTTGTTTTGAGACAGGGTCTCACTCAGAGTGTCACCTAGGCTGGAATTGAGTGGTGCAATCATGGCTCACTGCAGCCTCGACCTCCCTGGCTCAGGTGATCCTCCCATCTCAGCCTCTGGAGTAGTTGGAGCTACAGGAGCACATGACCATGCCAGGCTAATTTTTTGGTATTTTTTGTAGAGATGAGGTTTTTGCCGTGTTGCTCAAGCAGTCTGCCCACCTCATCCTTCCAAAGTGCTGGGATTACAGGCATGAGCCACTGTGTCCGGCCATTTTTTCTTTTTAGTTTTCAAATATTGCCTGACAAGCACCCAGCCATTTTTGAGTATTAAAAGTTCATTCAGGAAACTTGAGTATTTGTTAAAGATAAAATTGGTAAAGATTCTTTCTAGGAATGGTAGTTTAAATATAAATGGTAGGTGGTTCTTTGGAAGAGAGGTTTTTTGTTTGTTTTCTCTAGAGATTAAATGATTTCCTCAAATATTGTAATTCTGGAGGTCAAATAACTTGGTTATTTTTAAAATTTTTTACTCATTTAATGTCTTCTGTACATACGGATATGCTTAGATTGCTCACTGTTAGAAGGAAGCATTTGGTGATATACTTTGATGTTTTGGGAGGAACTCCATTCTAAGAAATGGAGTCAGAGGCCTGAATTTTGTATTGTTTTGTTTTGTTTTGAGACAGTGTCTTCACTCTATTGCCCAGGCGGGAGTGCAGTGGGTAGTCATGGCTCACTGCAGCCTTGACCTCCTGTGCTCAAGTGATCCTCCCACTTCAGCCCCTCTAGAAGCTGAGACTATAGGCGTGTATCACCATGCCTGGCTAATGTTTTTTCAGTTTTTTTGTAGCGATAGAGCCTCCCTGTGTTGCCCAGGCTGGTCTCAAATTCCCAGGCTTAAGCAGTCCTCCCACCTCAACTTCTCAAAGTTTTGGGATTACAGGCTGAGCCACCATGCCTGGCCTGAACACACTTTTTTTTTTTTTTTAACTTATATTTGGAAATCCAGACCCATTAGCTTTCATGAAGGAAGAGAATAATCAACACTTTAATGGTGAAGGCAATCACTTTGAGAATGGGATCTTATTCCTGTTGACATGTCTTTAGCGGTAGCAGTATGGTTGTGAATGATACAAAATGTAGAATTTAGGCACTAATAAATACAGTACTGGACACATGGCAAAGAAGGGAAAATGAAGGCGCAGAAGAAATGCATGGTGGTTAGAAATTAATTACTAGTAAGTTATAACTTATCTTATTTTTCTTCCTTAGAACCTGCCAGGTAAAGGTATATTTTTGCTTTTTAATTTAGCCAGAAGCAATTTTTAAAGAAAATATGTCTCCTCTGAAGATACATGGTCCTATCAGAATTCGAAGTATGCAGACTGGGATTACAAAGTGGAAAGAAGGATCCTTTGAAATTGTAGAAAAAGAGAATAAAGTCAGCCTAGTAGTTCACTACAATACTGGAGGAATTCCAAGGATATTTCAGGTAATACCAAATATTGATTTGGAATAGCTCTTGAAGCAGATCATTTAGTAAATAGCTATTCTGTGCCATAGTAAACATCACAGTAGCCCTCCTCCTAGATTAATATTTCTTGCTTCTTATTTCTAGGACATTAATATTTTTATGTACATGTTTTATAAATTATTCATCAGTATTGTTGTTGGTATATAATAAAAGCAGGAAGTAGTCACCATTATTGAAAAGAAAACTTGTGGGAGGAAGCTGACAAGAGTTCGGATACTGTATATCTAAGCTATTTTTAAAACCACTTTAAGATAATTTTAGTTCTTCCTTTTTTTCCCCTTAACATACATGACGATGGATTCATCACTATTTAGTGTTAGTTTTTAACAGAATTTATTAGTGTCTTCTAAAAGCCAGTGTCTACTTCCTGAATAATCCTGCCAAATGTCATGGTGTGAATCATTCAAGGATGATTATTCAAGGTTATCTTTATAGCTATTTTCTTCTAACTGTGAAGTTTTGAAGAATCTTCATTTTCACTGCAAAAATTAATTTTCTTTTCACCTTTTTTTTTTTTTTTTTTTTGAGACAGAGTCTTCCTCTGTCACCCAGGCTGGAATACAATGACATGATTTCGGCTCATTGCAACCTCTGCCTCCCGGGTTCAAGCGATTCTCCTGCCTCAGCCTCCTGAGTAGCTGGGATTACAGGTGTGCGCCACCACTCCTGGCTAATTTTTTTTTGTATTTTTAGTAGAGACAGGGTTTCACCATGTTGGTCAGGCTGGTCTTGAACTCCTGACCTCGTGATCTGCTCGCCTCGGCCTCCCAAAGTGCTGGGATTACAGCCGTGAGCCACCGCGCCCAGCCAAGATATTATATTTTTAAATTAGATTATGCAAAAGTGTAATATCCGTTCTAAAATATTCTATTGAAAAACAATATTTAACTTTATGCTTCAGAACCTGATCTTAGGTAAAATTTGTATTTGTCTCTGCTTTTGAATTGTAAAAATAGATTGCCTATGATTTCGTGTATCAAAGGTAGTCTTAAATAAGATAGAGGTGGTGATGGAAAAATAGTAGTTTGTCACATGCATATATCTGCTAATTGTTCGCCTCATCAAAAGAAAGGGTTTTTTGCAAATACAGGCTCATTTTTTTTTCAATCCTCAGCCCAATTTGGCAGTGAGTAAATATTCAAATGTTTAACCAAATACAGATCTTTAGGAGCATGACGGTTTTACCTGTGACTTCAGCCTTTATCTCAGTTCCAGATCAGTTTACATTCAGCATTCGTTTGTTAAAACCATGTACAGGTTACTGCTATGGATATTGTGCTAAGGGATGGCTGGGCGCAGTGGCTCATGCCTGTAATCCCAGCACTTTGGGAGGCTGAGGCAGGAGGATTGCTTGAGTCCAGGAGTCCAAGACCAGCCTGGGCAACATGGCGAGACCCTGTCTCTACAAAAAAAAATTCAGAAACAAATAGCCAAGCATGTTGGTATGTACCTGTAGTCCCAGCTACTTATAAGGTTGAGGTGGGAAGATGGCTTGAGCCTGTGATCATGCCACCGCACTCCAGCCTGCGTGACAAAGCAGGATCCTGTCTGAAAAAGAAACAGGGTGGTTGGGGGACAGGGGCTGGTAAGTATACACAGCTGAATGAGACATCATTTCCTTCAAACTTAAGAGTAACCAAATAGGCCAGGCGTGATGGCTCACGTCTGTAATCCCAGCACTTTGGGAGGCTGAGGTGGGCAGATCACCTGAGGTCAGGAGTTCGAGACCAGCCTGGCCAACATGGTGAAAACCTGTCTCTACTAAAAATACAAAAATTAGCAGGCACGGTAGTGGGCACCTGTATTCCCAGCTACTCGGGAGGCTGAAGCAGGAGAATAGCTTGAATCCGGGAGGCAGAGGTTGCAGTGAGCTGAAATCTCACCATTGCACTCCAGCCTGGGCAACAAGAGCGAAACTCCATCTCAAAAAAAAAAAAAAAAAAAAAAAAAAACAGAAAAACCCAGAGTAACCAAATACATTTTTAGCTGTAAAAACATTACAAAGATCCTGAGGTAACACAAGAAAGCAAGCCATTTGCACTCTGAAGATTCAAAGAATAAATAGAAGTTTGCCAAACATAGTAAAGGTGGAAGTGATGTCTTTTTTTTTTCTTTAACCCTGAATTTTCTGGCCAAACTGGAAGTGATTTCTGTATATTTTCTGGCCAAACTGGAAGTGATTTCTGTATGTAGACAAATACATGAAATGTGAATCAGCACTCAGGGAACTAGAAAGTTATTTTTAAAATATATGGACACTGAGGAGTGAGTAACAGAAATAAGGCTGAAGAGCTAGGTAGGAACCAGATATTGATGTTTCTTGTTTGTCATAAGGAAAGCAGAAGTTCTAAGGAGCCAAGAATCTCAAACTCACATTTCTTTGGGGCTAGGCAGATGACTTTATTTCAGGTGATAGTGGGAGAATAGAAGGACATATAGGAGGTTATTATGGGAGTTTAGATGAGGAATGAAAGTAAGGAAAAGGGAGTGGAGTAAGCAAGAAGAGGAAAGGATAGATCTGAAGAGATTTCAAGAAGATTTAAAGATTTGGGAGGTGTGAGAGAAAATTATCTGGGGAGAGTCTCAAGTTTTTGAGTGGATGGCAGTCACTTTTATGTCTTCCATGATACGGAGCAGAGGGGAAGAATTGGGGTGTGAGGATTAGGAGAGATGAGTTATCTGAGGTGTCAAGCATTCAGAAGGTAAACAGGACTGGAGCTCCAACAGAGAGGTCTGGGCTTAAGATAGAGGAAGAGTTGTGTGTCGTTACCATATGAATAGTTACTGAAATTGTGGGGCTGGATGGGCTTTTCAGTTGTTGAAGTGTCGAAGTTCAAGAAGATTCTCATCTTTTTTGTTAATGAACAAACTTTGCTTTGTATATTTAATTTTTAAAAAGTGATAAATTGACTGAAATAATGCGTTTAATGTTATCTATTTTCCTTTTGCATACTAAACTGCTTATTTAAGTATTTTGGAGTTAAAAGCATCTAAAACGAATTATTGTGTTTTCCTAGAGAATTTCCACTCAAGGACATAATTTTACGACCCACTTTGATGCTAAAAATACATATATAATTTAAAATTTGAATATAAATTGGCAAAATTGTTTTTCATTCTTATCTAATAATTAACAAAAGTCAATTTTCTCTAGTTTAAAAAAAATTCTGAAGTATGTTACTAGTTCTTTGTTTATGCTTTTCAGAGGGCATGTCTTCAGTAAAAGGCAGTTTAGAAACTTTTATATATGCCTGCTGAGAACATTAGAGAATAAGGCTGCCTGACTGGCAGGAATTATTTAGATAATGAAGAAACTGTAAGATTTACTAATTTAGCCTTGGAAAAATTCCATTTAAGAGAAAATAAAAGTTATCGCTTCATAGCACATTTCCAAAGTCTGGTAGAGTCTAAGATGAATTATTGAACCAGTTCTGTGGAGAGAGAAGTAAGTTAAGAGTTTTCAGGTCCATATGATCTTTGAATGAAACTTAAGTGAGTTTTCTTAGTTAAAAAAGAAAAAAAAAGTGTGCTATATTGGTAAAGGTTTATTTTTGATGGTTTTTGAAAGTTTGGAATTCTTTTGAGGATTATTTAATTGCTTGGAATAATATCTTTTATATTGAAACTACCTAAATAATTTGCCAAATGTCTTACAAACTTTTGTTTAACAAAAGACAAAGATTCTACTCCAATTTTTTTTTTTTTTTTTGAGACAAAGTTTTGCTCTGTCATCCAGGCTGGAGTGCAGGGGCACACTCTCAACTCACTGCAGCCTCCACTTCCTGGGTTCGAGCTATTTTCCTGCCTCAGCCTCCCGAGTAGTTGGGACTACAGGTGTGCTCCACTATGCCTGGCTACTTTTTGTCTTTTTAGTAGAGATGGGATTTCGCCATGTTGGCCAGGCTGGTCTTGAACTCCTGACCTCAGGTGATCTGCCTGCCTCAGCCTCCCAAAGTGCTGGGATTACAGGCATGAGCCATGGCACCTGGCTTTCTACTTCCATTTGGTTTTCTAAACTGGTGATAATGTAACCGTCCAAGGTTCTGAAATGTGTTAACTCAGTAGTTTTTATCCTCTATAACTATATCTGAAAATAAGGGATTCCCTACCATGAGATCAAGAGTTCTAGGATTGTTCCGTAAAATTAATTTTAGTAGAAGAGTAAGTCCACACTTTATATTGTCAGTTGGTTCTTGAAAACTGTGACTAAGAAATGAAACTAGTTTTTTTCCTCATCAACATTATAATGAAGGAAATGATGTTATTTGAGGACCTGCTATATGTCCTTTTGCTTAATGTTTAACACATTAAAAACATCAGAAAATGAAGGGGTAGCAGTGCTGCCTTTAATTAATGTCTCCATTTGACACAATATTCTTATAAAATAAAAAGTTTTCATGGTTGTTTGCCATTTAGTACCAAGAACCTATTGACAACATTCATTAAGGGCTTTTTTAAAACAATTCTTTATTTTTCCTTCTCTATTACCCTTGGTGCAAGATCTCTGTATAATTAAAGGCTTATTGCATGTGTTTGCATCTCCTAAAAGGTAAATCTTTAATTTAAATGTATCAAGAAATGGGAACTTCTTTTGGTTGAAAAAAATTAAATTACTGTGGGGAAGAGTGATAAATGTAACATGGAAAGTATAAAGTTTAGTATTTATTATACAGATTGTTATACTTAGTTGTCATACATTTTTGATGATAATTTTCCTTTTGTCTTGATTAGCTAAGTCATAACATTAAAAATGTGGTGCTTCGACCCAGTGGAGCGAAACAAAGCCGCCTAATGTTAACTCTGCAAGATAACAGCTTCTTGTCTATTGACAAAGTACCAAGTAAGGATGCAGAGGAAATGAGGTTGTTTCTAGATGCAGTCCATCAAAACAGACTTCCTGCAGGTGAGTACTAATCACCCCAGGGTCTAACGTTAGTATTTTTACAAGGCTATGACTAGACTACAGACCAATATTCAACTGAATTCATCAGCACATTAAAAGGATTATACACCATGAGCAAATAAGATTTATTCCTGAAATTCAAAGATAGTTCACCATATGAAAATCAATCTGTGTAACACATCATTCTTGACAAATGAAGGACGAAAACCACATGATCATCTGAATTGTTGCAGATGAAAACATTGACAAAATCCAACACTCTTTCATGATAAAAACACTCAACAAACTAGGAGTAGAAGGAAACGACTCAGCGTAATAAAGGTCATATGCAACAACTTACAGCTAACATCGTACTTAGGGGTGAAAAACTGGAAATGTTTCCTCTAAGATCATTAGCAAGGCAGGAATACCTGCTCTTGCCACTTCTATTTAACATAGTACTAGAAGTCTTAGCCAGAGCCATTAGGCAAGAAAAGGAAATAACAGGCATCCAAATTGGATAGGAAGAAGTAAAATTATTTGTGTTTGCAGATGACTTGATCTTATATGTAGATTCCACAAAACAATATGATTAGACAAAGGAGCAGGATTTTTTATTATTTATTTATTTGTTTGTTTGTTTGTTTGTTTGTTTTGAAATGGAGTCTTGCTCTAACACCTAGGCTGGAGTGCAGTCGTGTGATCTCAGCTCACTGCAACCTCCACCAGGGAGGAGGATTTAAATTACAGTTGGGAAAAGTTACCTTGTTGCATAAATCTTAGACACTTACCTATCTATATGAAAATTATTCTGAAGTTTTACTCTTGCTGTGGAAAATGAGTCCTGTAAAAAAATCACATGGTATGATCAGGTTCCTCTGCCCCCTCTAACCCCTTTCATTTAAAATAGTGGTTTTTTTTTCTTTTAATGCATTTACAGGCACTTTTTCTTTTCTTTTCTTTTCTCTTTTTCTTTTTCTTTTTTTTGAGACAGTGTCTCACTCTGTCACCCAGGTTGAAGTACAGTGGCAAGATTCCACTCTGTTTCCCAGGCTGTTATCGAACTCCTGGGCCCAAGCGATTGACCTTCCTTGGCCTGCCAAAGTGCTGGGATTACAGGTGTGAGCCACTGCCTGGCCCTACAGCCATCTTTTTAGGAAAAAATCTCTGCTTAAAATGAGTTCTCTACTATCACATTAGTCTTTAGCTCTGTCATCTTCAACATTTTACTATTACTTCTATTTTGTAGTTGACAAACTTACTTGAATTTTTTCAACTTAAATATGACACATTAAAAACATCAGAAAATGAAGGTGTAGCAGTACTACCTTTAATTAGTATCTCCATTCGACACCGTATTCTTGTAAAATAAAAGCTTTTTATGATTGTTTGCCATTTAGTACCTACTCATTATATGTTCATGCCACCAAATTGGAGCATATCAATTTACTAAACTATTGAATTTTAGAATCAAGAAATTGAGGCCAGGCACGGTTGCTCACACCTGTAATCCCAGCACTTTGGGAGGCCGAGGTGGGCGGATCACGAGGTCAAGAGATCGAGACCATCCTGGCTAACACGGTGAAACCCCATCTCTACTAAAAATACAAAAAATTAGCCAGGCATGGTGGCGAGTGCCTGTAGTCCCAGCTACTTGGGAGGCTGAGGCAGAAGAATGGCGTGAACCCGGGAGGCAGAGGTTACAGTGAGCCGAGATTGCGCCACTGCACTCCAGCCTGGGCTACAGAGTGAGACTCCATCTCAAAAAAAAAAAAGAATCAAGAAATTGAATACTATTTAAAATTCTTAGAATATGTCAGAGGCTAGTTTATATCTCTGTTTTAGTTTTATTTCATCTTACCCATATTAATGGAATCACTGTTTTAACAATTGATACGTGTAAGAAAAGCATGTCTTCAAATCCACTGGAGTGGAAAGCACAATATACTGTCTGGGGACCAATATTGAACAACATAGCATAATGAAAAAATATGGGCTTTGGCCATAAATAGATGTAGGTTGAAATTCTAGCTCTGCCTGTTATTTCTGTGTGGTTTTAGGTAAGTCACTTAGTGACTGAATTTTAATTTCCTAATCTCTAACATGAAAGTATCACCTTGATTTCAGGGCTTCTTAAAGAATGAGAGCTCGTAAATGTAAAAGTATGACTTCCCTATGCTAGGCACTCAGTAAGTCATTGGCGTTATTAGAATAGCTAGCTGTGGGCTTAACTCTTAATTCATTCTGTGATCTTGGGCAAGTTATTTTAATCTCAGGTTTAGTTGCTTTAGCTGCCCAAAGGTGGTTATTATATACTTTGCAGAGACTAGAGCAAAATAATGAATAAAAATACTTTGAACAGCATAAAGCATTTAATATAAGCATGGCATTTCAAATCAGTGGACAAAAGACTAATATTTGATAAAGTGTTAACCATAAACAAGACAACTAACCATTTAGGAAGTTAATACACTTGGATCCTTATCTCCAGTGACCAAAGATTTGAATGTAAAAAAAAATGATAAAAGTATTGTAAAAAGTACTTTTAACATAATCTCTGGATGGAAAAGACTTTTCTGGGTGTTACATAAAAACTAGAATTAATAAAGGAAAAAGATTGAAAACTTGTGTTAAAAAATTAGACAGTCTATCTGGCAAGGAACAAAAGACAAAGGAAGAAAATAGTAGCCAGAGTGACAAAGTTAATATTGCTAATATACAAAGACCTATTTTGCAAATCAATTAAAAAAAAACTAGTAGAGAAATTGACAAAAACTGCAAATAGAGAATTCAGGAAGCAAAATAGATGGCCCTTACACATGAAAAAATTCTCGACTTCACCAAACTCAGATTCCTACTACCACATTGGTAGCAGTGTGAGGGGAAGCAAGATACTCTCATATACTTGGTAGGAGCATAGAGGTTTTTTTTTTTTTTTCTTTTTTCTTTTTTTTTTGAGGACTGTAATAATGTCAGTTTAGTTTAAAATTGTATGTTCGCTCAGTAATTCTTATTATAAGGAGTTTTTCCTACAAAAAGGTTTGTGAAAGGATGTTAAGCATTGTTTGCAACTTTGAAAAATTAAAACATTTCAAATGGTCATCAGTTGGAAATTGGCTAACCAAATTAATTATAAAATATTTTTAAAAGTATATGCAAATTTATATTTATACAATACCTTGAATGTTCCTTGAACTACCATTAGTTTCTTCAGAATAGAAGCCATTTATTCTGCTGGATAAACTTACCTGTAGAGAATGTTTTGGAGTATATGTTATTGGAGATACAACTGTCACTGTTTCTGACATCCAGTGTCAGTGTTCATGTTGTTGATACACAATGACTTTTCCATAGTGTTATTAATATAATTACCAAATGTTTATTCTAGCTTTTTTTTTGCTTTGTAAATTTTAGCCTTCTATTAAATGTTTTCAGGTATATGTGTTACTTAATTTTTTGCTTCAGATTCTAGCTCTAAATTTTAGTTTATATAAGATGTATATTCTGTCAGAAAGAATTGGTTGATAGGCACTTTGATTTGTTTTCTTTTTTGCCTGCTGTTTCGTCCATTTCTTCAATATTATATAAAAATAATAATGATAAATCTTTTTGTTAAAGTGAGTGATTTGGGGATTTTAAAAAAAATTATATTTTTGGTCACCAGCCATGAAACCGTCTCAGGGGTCTGGTAGTTTTGGAGCCATTCTGGGCAGCAGGACCTCACAGAAGGAAACCAGCAGGCAGCTTTCTTACTCAGACAATCAGGTATGTTCATTTGAATCTTTTTAGCATTTAAAAAAAATGATAGTTGGCCAGGCACAGTGGCTCACGCCTGTAATCCCAGCACTTGGGAGGCCGAGGCGGGTGGATCACCCGAGGTCAGGAGTCTGAGACCAGCCTGGCCAACATGGTGAAACCCCATCTCTACTAAAAATAGAAAAATTAGCCAGGCGTGGTGGCACATACCTGTAATCCTAGCTACTCAGGAGGCCGAGGCAGGAGAATTGCTTGAACCCAGGAGGTGGAGGTTGTAGTGAGCTGAGCTCATGGCATTGCACTCCAGCCAGGGCAACAGAGCAAGACTCCATCTCAAAAAAAAAAAAAAAAAAGATAGTCATAGACTATCAAGGGTATTTCTGCATACCTGAAATGTATCATTTCATTTAGGTATCATTCCAAACCATAGAGTAAGAGAAACTTTGAAGCTTTTCTGTAAGTAAATTTATGAATTCTCTTTGGCTGTGCAAAGAGGTGATCACTTAGTCCACTTATTGGACTAAGCAATGAATAAGATTTCATTTTTGTCAGGTTCTTTTTATAGGTTAGATTTTTGGGGGACATTTTTATTGAGATATAATTGACATGCAGTAAGTTGTGTATATTTAAAGTACAATTTGATATATTTTGACTTACATATGTCCTTAAAATCGTCATCATAATCAACATAGTGAACATAACCATAACTCTTGAGATTTCTTATTCTTCTTAGTAATCCTTCCCTCTGATCCCTATCCAGAAGCAACCACTGATATGTTTTCTCCCACTATAGATTAGGTTGTAATTTCTGGAGTTTTATATAAATGGAATGAGCGTGTAATTTTGGGAGGGCAGGGTCTGGCTTCCCTCAGCATAATTATTTTGAGATTCATACATTCCTTGGAATTTAAATTGTTGAAATATTATTTAAATGCATAAGTGTTAACACATATAGCAGAAGCAAGTATTTATGCTTTCACAAGTAGTAATTCTCGTTAGTGGAGTCATAAATTCAATTTTGTGGGTCATAACTAACATTAAATTTAAAAAGTAGAATAGAAAATAATAGAGAATATTGTACATATTAAGGATAAATACTGATTTTTCAAACTTTTATTTTGGTTTATTTATACATATTTATAATAGGTTTTGATGTAAAATATTTCTTACTATGCGGCCAGGCGTGGTGGCTCACTCCTGTAATCCCAGCACTTTGGGAGGCTGAGGTGGGCAGATTCCTTGAGCCCAGGAGTTTGAGACCAGCCTGGGCAACATGTGAAACCCTGTCTCTACAAAAAAAAATACATAAATTAGTTGGGCATGGTGGTGTGCACCTGTAGTCCCAGCTGCTTCGAAGACTGGGGTGGGAGAATCACCTGAACCTGGGAAGTCAAGGCTGCAGGAAGCAGTGATTGTGCCACTGCACTCCAGCCTGGTTGACAGAGTAAGACTCTGTCTTAAATATATATATGTAATATATATATTTGTTACTATGGGATGGGATAATATTCAAAATTCTGAAAAAGTTGCAAAACAGTGGACATGTAGTATGCTACTGTTTGTATAACAAAAAGTAAAATATTGATTTGTATTTGCATAACAGAACAAGGGAAGAATTAGTGGGAAAAGGGGAAGTGGAAGAACTGAGTGGATGGTCATAGTGAGACTTATCATTGGTCTGTGGCTTCTAATATTACTTTGATTTGTGAACCTTGAGAATATATCACTCATTTGAAAATAAGTTTAACTTTTTAAAGTATTCATTCAGATGCTCTTAGAAGTTTTAAAATTTCCTATCCTAGGATTGTAATTCTGTAAAACAAAAGTAATAGGACATAACTTCTATAGAAAAATCGCATAGCTCTTAATGTAGAGATATAAAACTTAACTGGCAGAGTGTTCATGTAAAGCTGTATTTCTCAGCTAATGCTTACATTGCCATATTCTCTTTGAGTGTTCTTGCCATGTCTTAAGGGTAGACTCTTTGATTCATCTTCATATTGAACTCTATCTCACCTTCCTTTTCCCTATCATATGTTTCATTCCTCCAAACTAGAACCCTCTCAAGAGTCATGACTGTTTTGTTGGCATTTAAGTTGTGGCAACCAAATGTCACTGTCACCTTTTCTTAACTTGTCATAATCATAATTAGATATTTTTTTCCTCCAAAGATCAGTTCCCATGCTGATCACTAGAGCCATGTCTGTGTGTGTCTTTTTTTTTTTTTTTTTTTTGGTTAGTAATTCAAAGCAGTGTTCTTGCCCCCTCAACAGGTGTGCTGTGGAGTTTTTAAGTTTATAAGAATGCTATAGGAAAATAAGTGTCAAGCTCAATTTTTCACACTGACTGTACATTAGAATCACCTGGAGTGCTTTTAAAAACAACAACAAACAACAACAACAACAAAACTGATGAATGAGCCTTACCGCAGATCAACTAGAATAGAATCTCTAGAGATGTATCTCCATTTGTATTTTTTCCTTTTTTTAGAGATAGGGTCTTGCTCTGTCGCCTAGGCTAGATTGCAGTGGTACAGTTGTAGCTCACTATAACCTCAAACTATTGAGCTCAAGTGATCCTCCCGCCTTCGCTTTCTGGGATTACAGGCATGAGCCATCGCACCTGGCTCCATTTGTATTTTTTAAACCTTTCCATTGGAGAATCACTGTTCTAAAAGTATTCCAGTTAATTTGAAGATTTAACTATCTCAAACTTTATTTTTACAGGCTTCTGCAAAAAGAGGAAGTTTGGAAACTAAAGATGATATTCCATTTCGAAAAGTTCTTGGTAATCCGGGTAGAGGATCGATTAAGACTGTAGCAGGAAGTGGAATAGCTCGGACGATTCCTTCTTTGACATCTACTTCAACACCTCTTAGATCAGGGTTGCTAGAAAATCGGTAGGAGAGACTTTTTTCTTAGTCACTAGCTGTATCTGTAAATGTCTTTTAGGCCTTTTAGAAATACCAGTAATTTGAGGAGAAATAAAGTATAGAGTACATTTTTGGTAGATGTAATGATTACAAGTATTTGTCATATGTAGTTTATGTCAGTGACATGTATTAAGCATACAAATATACAGCATATAAATTTAAATATGGGCCAGGTGTGATAGCTCACGCCTGTAATCCCAACACTTTGGGAGACTGAGGCGGGCGGATCATGAGGTCAGGAGATTGAGACCATCCTGGCTAACATAGTGAAAACCCTTCTCTACTAAAAATACAAAAAAATTAGCCTGGTGTGGTGGCACACGCCTATAGTCCCAGCTACTCGGGAGGCTGAGGCAGGAGAATCGCTTGAACCTGGGAGGCAGAGGTTGCGGTGAGCCAAGATCATGTCACTACACTTCAGACTGGGGTGACAGAGCGAGACTGTCTGGAAAATAATAATAATTAAATATGGTGTAGAGAATTAGATAATAGTAGTCCCATTTCCTGTCCTTCAGTATGTTGATTTATGAATTTTTGTGATATGAATTGTGGCTTTTTAAAAGTAACCTTTTCTTTGTTCTCTGTAGTACTGAAAAGAGGAAAAGAATGATATCAACTGGCTCAGAATTGAATGAAGATTACCCTAAGGAAAATGATTCATCATCGTAAGTTACTTTAAGGGCCTTTATAGTGTTAGAGCAGTGTTTCTTATATTGGTATTTGTAACCACTGGGGAAGATTGGGGAAATGGTTTTAATTTATGAGAATTCCAAAGATGGAAGAGCAGAATGTAAAGTAGTTTGGTGACAGTAGACTGTAGGCTCAATAGAGAGGGAAATTAGCCAGTGCTATTGCTTTGGTCATTTCATTGCATTTCTCTTATCCTGCCTTTTCTTAAATCTGCAGTACTTAGTGGGAGAATAGAACTGAAGAACTCTAAACAAATGTTTCTTGCTGGCTGCTGTTTTAGTGTGAACCCCTTCTTGTCTTCTTTATGCTTAATTAAAAAAAAAATTTTTACTTTTTCATTTTACTCATGTAAAAAGTCAGCCTAGAGGTTAAAGGATGTGAGCCTATGTGTTCTAGGCAAGTAGCATTAATCTTTCAGAGATGTTTTCTGGGTTGAACAAAAGGGAATAGATCAACCCAGGGTGCTCGCCAACTCGTAATCATCGTCCTCATTTTGTGAGGATTTTTTTTTTTGTCTTCTAGGGGAGAAAACTAATTATACAGTTATCAGTTAAAATCTCAATTAATACCTTAACAGAATCAGTTGGTAGACAGTTAATTGGTACTTGAGGTCAAGAGGTCACTAGAAAGGAGTTGGGAAAAAGCCAAAGAAACTTTATGTATTAATTGATTTGCTGCTGTAATAGATGTAAAAGTCTGAATAGGTGGTAGGACTGGTATCTGAAACTATAATCACCAAGGACTCAGATTCTTTCTGTCTTGTTGTTCTGCCATCCTTAATTAATAAGCAGCCTCCATTTTGTGGACCAAGGTAGCCACTTCAGTCTCTACTTTCTTGTCTCCATTTCTATTAGTTGAAGAGAGCAAAGGGAGGGCATGCTGTTTCCTTAGGCTGGAAATTGCATATACCACCTTTGTGCATATCACATTGGCCAGAACTTAATCACATGGTTATATCAGGTTATGAGAAGGTCTGGGAAATATGCCTGTATTTCAACTATTGTGGCAAAAGCGTACAGTGGTTATTTAGGGACAACTAATACAACTAATAGTCTGCCTTAGTTTGCCCCTACAGCCACTGAAATAACCCAGTTCACTATTCTTCCATACATAGAACACCCTTATCTCTATCCAAATGGAGAAGAACTCCAAATCTCATGAGAACATTGTATCCAGCTCAGAGTCTAGGATCTTTGAGTGATCTTTCTCTCTGGGTGCGGTCTTCTCTAGAAGGTCTAAATGTACCTTGGACCATGCCCCTCATGGTCTGGTACCTAAAAACTAAAAGGCATGTTAATTTGCATTCCCCACTCCAGACCTCATGCACACATCATTATACATTGCTGGAGTAGGAACAGAATAATCACAGTAAAAATTTCTGTTTAAAATAGACAAGAATAGGAAACTGGAGGGGTCTTGGGTCTATAGCAGTGATAAAATCTTGCTAGGTGGAAATTCTGAGGACAGTGAAGGCGTTGGAATAAGTTCCTGGTTAGCCCATCTAGCAGTCTGATTCTGTTGTCTGGGAGAAACCCCCTTGCCCATTGTACTCCATGTGACCCCTGGCTTTGCCCTCTGGCAGATTTTCCTTGTTTGTTTTCTTTAAAGGCTACCACCAAAATAGATTTTGAAGACTATATTTTTCATCAAGGCCATATAGCTTTTATAGCCTGCTTCATCCAAGTTTAAAGATTCTTTAAAGGTAAAACAAGCAGGCTTGAGAAAGAATTGGGGTCTCTCTCTCTCTCTCTCTCTCTCTCTCTCTATATATATATATATATATATATATTTTTTTTTTTTTTTTTTTTTGTGAAACGGAGTCTTGTTCTGTCACCCAGGCTGGAGTGCAGTGGCACGATGTCAGCTCACTGCAACCTCCACCTCCCAGGTTCAAGCAAGGTTGAAGCACTGCCTCAGCCTCCCATGTAGCTTGGACTACAAGCGTGTGCCACCACGCCCAGCTAATTTTTGTATTTTTAGTAGAGACAGGGTTTCACCATGTTGTCCAGGCTGGTCTGGAACTCCTGACCTCAAGTGATCTGCCCGCCTCGACCTCCCAAAGTGCTGGGATTATAGGCATGAGCCACTGCACCTGGCCTGTTTTAATATACTTTTTAATTTTGAAATAATCTAATTTGCAGAAAAGTCACAAAGATAACATAGAATGTTCCTGTATACCCCTTACCCAGCTTCTGCTAATATTAATATCAAAGTTACTTTCTACAAAACTGACTCTCTAGTTAACTCTTACCACTGCCTCAGTTTGAGAATCAAAAGCAATTGGATATTTTTATCCCATGGTTTCAAATTACCAGACAATTTTGATTCTAGGTTCTTGGCACAGAGAGCTATGTTTTTTTTTTTGTTTGTTTTTTGTTTTTTGTTTTTTTGAGACGGAGTCTCGCTGTGTTGCCCAGGCTGGAGTGCAGTGGTGTGATCTCAGCTCACTGCAAGCTCTGCCTCCTGGGTTCACACCATTCTCCTGCCAAGTAGCTGGGACTACAGGCACCCGCCACCACACCCAGCTAATTTATTTTTTGTATTTTTAGTAGAGACAGGGTTTCACGGTGTTAGCCAGAATGGTCTTGATTTCCTGACCTCGTGATCCATCTGCCTCAGGCTCCCAAAGTGCTGGGATTACAGGCATGAGCCACCACGCCTGTCCTGTTTTTTTTTTTTTTTTTTTTTTTTTTTGAGACGGAGTCATGCACTGTCGCCCAGGCTAGAGTGCAATGGTGCCATCTCGACTCACTGCAATCTCCGCCTCCTGGGTTCAAGTGATTCTCCTGCCTCAGCTTCCCAAGTAGCTGGGATTACAGGCGTGCACCACCATGCCTGGCTAATTTTTGTGTTTTTAGTAGAGACGGGGTTTCACCATGTTGCCCAGGCTGGTCTCGAACTTCTGAGCTCAGGTGATCTGCCCACCTCGGCCTCGCAAGGTGCTGGGATTATAGGCATGAGCCACCATGCCTGTCCACTATGTTTCTTTTCATCACTGATTGCAAGCTGATTAGCTTTGGCCTAAATTTATATGTCTCAAATAGGACCTTGTTGAAAGCAATAAGAAGCACTAACACAGACCAGTATCCTTAATTGTAATCTTTTACTGTAGAGCTATAGGTTCAGTGAGTATGAGATCTGCCTTTCAAGACATTAATATGACCGTTTTTATCAAATATTTTACTAAGGCATAAAATGGTCATCACCTTTCTAATCTGTAATATCGGTATTCGTACCTCCCTATCCTCTTACTAAGCCAGTGCTACATGTTTTAGGTTTGTTATGGTAGCACCCTACTTTTAATAACAAATTTTGTATATTCAAGGTCTAGTTGAAGGGAACAAAATTCACTCTAGCGAGTTTATGCACAAAGGTATTTGCACACAATAAGTATTAAACGGCTTACAGAATCATTAGGACAGTTGAAAAGACAGGCTTTAAGTTAAGTTTTCAGGAATGATTTTGAGAGGTTTGCCTCAAACCAGATCACCAAAGATGCTCCCAGCTATTCTATCATGAAGCTAACAGCTGAATTGGAATCTATCATGAAAGCTGTCCTCTCTAGAACCGTGCTGTCACTGCCAATATTGGAAACCCTGTATAGAAAAACCAAGGTGATATTTAGCATCAGAAATAGTGGAATGGTAATGCTTCTGCCTTATTTACACTTCCCAGATCTTGCATGTAATTGCCTTATTTTAAATCTGATCCAGAACACTAACTAAGAAATGTAGGGTTACTTTATTAGCATTCTTGTTTCTGCACATCAGGGAGGTACACCAGAATGTGGTTGTGCATGCCAGTCTAGCATGTTCACTACACTTTTGGGAAGTCCCAGTTGTTCCAATTAGAAGTCTGTCTGTTAAACACTAGGTTACCGATCCTTGTTCTGGGTTACTAATACTTTTACACCATCACATCTAGATTTTTTTTAAGTTTGCACTCCTTAGAAGCTGACCTAGATGAATATACTTGTGCAAATGACATTTAAAGCAGTGCTTATAGAGGAGACAAATAACAGAGTGGGAGAAGCAGGCCAGAGAAGAAGAGGAAGCCAAGCAAGAGTGTGATCTCAGGTAAAAGTACCACAGAGAATAGGCTTCGTCTTGATCTAGCAGGGAAACTCTTGGGTTGTTCTAGCTTGAGGCAGGGAGGCTGGGATTTCCTATTTCCATACTGGACCATCTTTGGTTACCAGTTGCTCTGGCTCTGTCCAGGTGGGCAAAATGTTTTAAGTAGTTAAATGCAGTCCTCTGAAGAACTGCAGATGCTGACTGGTGAACCACATTGAAAATACACAGTCTAGGGGTGTGTAAAGGATAAAAAGGATCTTAGAGACTCTGATGGAGCGTCACCATTGTCCACTAAAAGAGTTGGTACTATAGTTCCCCCTTCCCCTAGCTTGTACCGTTTATATTGACTCCTGTCTTGTATTAAGTTTATTCCATTTTGTCATGGATTCTTCATATTGTTGCTTCCCACTTCTGGGGAAGAATCTTACAAAAGGAGGCTTAGTGGGATTAACCACAGTGTGTTGCTGCAGGTGGTCTTAGGGCTGTAACCCATATTGACATCTCTTCCTACCATCAATTCCATGCATCCTCTATTAACACTTCTGCTCATCTTGATAGTTTGACTGAATGGCATTACCGAGATCTTCATCTGAGGGATTTGAGCCTTTGGTCACCATGTGCTTGTCAGACTGTGGTTGTTGTGATTGCCCATTATAATTACATGAGAGCTATGCTTATCACTGAGCATGAGAGCATTAAGAGGCACCCTAGTGAATCCCCTTTATACCATATAAATTCCTCACTGCCCTCGTTATATAGCAGCAACCCGTCTTCCTTACAATAGTCATTTACCCCTGCCAGTATGGTAACTCCTTTTCTTTCCTATGAATCTGCCTGCATGAGGAGCTCAAAATAGCTAGGTAACAGCCATAACTTCAGGTTTAATTGTTCTTCAACTGTCCTCCTTGATTAAAAAGCACCCCCTCTGGGAACTAGGACCCACAAAATCTAATTTGGAGAGACAGCACAAATTCTCCAAGTGAGTTATTGAAAAATAATGGCAAATGGGGCTACTCCTGCTTTTACTTCTTGGTTGCTGGACCCATATATTTTTTACAAATGGAATGATTTATTGGTATCTTGAAGGCCACCCCATTCTTAATGAGATCCTCTTCATTCTGCACTTTTAAAGGGTATTGCAGCACTTTATCAGGCCAGCAGCTTTGGGGTAATACTGTATGTGGTAGGAACTGTGGATCTTTGTGGTCATATGCTGTCATTGTACCTCCTATTCTGCAAAGTGGAATCCTTGTTCTAAGATACTATGTGAGTTTTCTTGTTAGTGAATGAGATACTCCTATGAGTCCTTGGATAGTAATACTGGTCAAGGCACCATAGACAGCATAGGCAAATGTATATAGTAGTCCCCCCTTATGCATGATTTTACTTTCTGTGGTTTCAATTACCTATGGTCAACCTTGGTCCAAAAATGTTAAATGGAAAATTCCAGAAATAAATAATTCATAAGTTTTGTTTTGGTTTTGAGACAGGGTCTTGCTCCAGCCCAGGCTGGAGTGCACTGGTGTAGTCATAGCTCACTGTAGCCTCCAACTCCTGGGCTTAAGCAGTCAAGCCTCAGCCTCCCAAATAGAACTACAGGCATGTGCCACCATACCTGGCTAGTCTTGGCTATTTTTATTTTTATTTTTATAGGGATGCAGTCTTGCTATGTTGCCCAGGCTGGTCTTGAATTCCTGGCCTCAAATAATCCTCCCACCTGGCCTCCCAAAGTGCTGGGATTATAGGCAAAAACTACTGCACCTGGCCCTAATTCATAGGTTTTAAATGGTGCACTGTTTTGAGTAGCACAATGAAACCTTGAGCTGTCCCATTCCATCTGGCCTGGGATGTGAATCATTCCTTCGTTTAGTGGCTCCACACTGTATATGCTACCCGCCCATTAGTCACTTAATAGCCATCTTGGTTATCAGACCAACTGTGAGAGTATTGCTGTGTTTATGTTAAGTAACCCTTATATTACTTAATGATTATCCAAAGCACGACAGTAGTGATGCTGGCAATTCAGATGTGCCAAAGAGAAACTGTAAAGTGCCTCCTTTAAGTGAAAAGGTAAAAGCTCTCAACAAAGAAATAAAAAAAAAGATTTTTTTTTGAGATGGAGTCCCACTCTGTCACCTAGGCTGGGATGCAGTGGCATGATCTTGGCTCATTGCAACCTCTGCCTCCTGGTTTCACTCAATTCTCCTGCCTCAGCCTCCTGAGTAGCTGGGATCACAGGTGCGTGCCATCACACCCGGCTAATTTTTGTATTTTTAGTAGGGATGGGGTTTCACCATGTTAGCCAGGCTGGTCTCGAACTCCTGACATCGTGATCCGCCTACCTCGGCCTCCCAAAGTGCTGGGATTACAGCCATGAGCCACTGCGCCCGGCCAGGTTTTTTATTTTTTTGAGACAATCTTGCTCTATTACCTGGGCTGGAGTGCAGTGACACAATCTCAGCTCACTGCAACCTCCGCCTCCCGGGCTCAGGCGATCCTTCCACCTCAGCCTCCCAGGCAGCTGGGACTACAGGCATTCACCACCGTGCCTAGCTAATTTTTGTATTTTTTGTAGAGACGGGGTTTCACCACGTTGCTCAGATTGGTCTCAAACTCCTGAGCTCAAGTGATCTGCCCGCCTCAGCCTCCCAAAGTGTTGGGATTACGGGTGTGAGCCACTGTGCCCGGCCAATAAAAAGAATCTTATGCTGTGGTTGCGAAGATCTATGGTAAGAATGAATCTTCCATCCATGAAATTGTGAAGAAGGAAAAACAAAAATGTATGTTACTTTTTGTGTTGCACCTCAAACTGCAAAAGTGCAGCCACAGTACAGGATAATTGCTTAGTTAGAATGGAAAGGGCAGGTCGGGCACGGTGGCTAATACCTGTAATCCCAGCACTTTGGGAGGCAGAGTCAGGTGGATGGCTTGAGTCCTGGAGTTCAAGACCAGCCTGGGCAACATAGCAAGATCTCATCTCTACAAAAATTAGCTGGGTGTGGTGATATGTGCCTGTCATCCCAGCTACTTGGGAGGCTAAGGTGGGAGGATGGCTTGAGCCTGGGAGGCAGAGGTTGCAGTGAGCCGAGATCACACCACTGCATTCCAGCCTGGGCAGCAGAGCAAGCCCCTGTCTCAAAAATAAAAATAAAATAAAGTAGCATTAAATTTGTGAGTGGAAGACATGAACAGAATTTGTTCCAGTTGCTGGCAATTGAGTTCTATACTATCTGTGGTTTCAGTACTATCTGTGAATTCCATCATATTCATTGTGGGTCTTAGAACATGTACCCTGAAGATAAGGGGGAACTACTGTATCTAGAATATTGTCAGTCCCAATAAGGATTAATTGCTGTCTTTTTTAGTGTGGAAAAAATCTGACATAATCAATATGCTACCAAATGACTGGTTTTCTCAAGGGATGCCCTTGGATCAGGGTCTCAGTCTTTGCTGTTAACCAACTGGACATTCAGCAGCCACAGTAGATAAACCTTGGTGAAGGGGAACCCATTTTTTATAGCTTCTATCTGCCACCATGGCTGTTACGTTATTCATGGTCCCTTTGTGGAAATAACGGAATGTCTAAGGACAGAGGCTGGCTGACATGCACTGGACAAGTTATCCTGCTGATTGTTTAGTGTCTCTTTAGTGTTGTTCTCTGGTGAGCATTAACATGTAAAACAGATCACTCTTTGTACATACTCCCATAAGTCTGTCCATATGCCTCTTCCATAAATCATTTCTTTCCAATCTTCCAGGCTTGCTCGTTCCAAGCCCCTATTTATCCAAATCATTTGCCACAACCCAGGAGTCCATGACCCACTTCTCTCTCCATACAAAGTAGATGATGAGATGCATCCCTCCAAGCTCTGCACAATGGAGGATTTCCCCTCACAACTGTCTTTCAAGGCAGTCCCTAGTGGGACTATAGTGCAACAGTAGTTTATTTGCAGTTTGTACCAATGTACCAAGATGACCTATCCATTAATCAGGCCCAGGTTTATTCCTCGTTTCAGCTTGATGTAGGAAATGCCCCTAACGCTTGTTCTTGTCATCTCTTTCTTACTTGGGCCCAATTCCAATATACCTGCTTCCATTTTATGATGAATTGCTGTTGTACTCTCCTGGTCTTATCACTTCATGGGTGTGATAGCACTTAGCTCCTGATGGTTAGCTCTGGTTGCACAGTCCCTTGATGACCATCAGTCAGATGCTCTGTCTCTTCCAGGGCTTAATAATATGCCAAGAGTAGTATGCCATACTTTACAGATGAGGTATAATTTTTGGCTGCAGACAGCATGGTCTTGCTTTACAAGGTCTGGGCTGCAACTCTCCTGTGGGTGACTCTACACATTGTCTTTGTCCTTTAAGTTGGTAATTGGCTCAACTGAGCCTGTCTTCTCTCTTGAACACATAAATACTCAGCATCAACCAGTCAATTCCATAGTCTTTTTGATGATTATTTACCTGATATCACCTACATCTTATCTGTTGCTGTATCCAAACCACTCCAAAATTTAGTGACTTGAAATAGTAACTATTCATTTTTGCTTATGAATTTATGGTCACCTGGGTGGTTCTGTTTATCTGGGCCCAGTTTGGCTCATAGTACCTGGATTCTAATTTTGTTACGCCTCTGTAGTCAGTAGATGGTTTGGCTAGAGTTTGACTGGTCTAGGATGGCCTCACTCATATAACTGGCCATTGAGTGGTGGGCGTGATTGGGCCATGTGTCTTCCACTGTTAACAGGCTAGCCTGGGATTATTCACATAGCAGTGGCAGGGTTCCAAGAGAGTGAGTGGAAACCTGCAGGGCACCTTTAGACTTAGGGTCAGAACTCACACACTGTTAACTTCTGTCACATTGTTTTGGGAAAAGGAAATCACAGGACTAGCCCCATTAAGGGATGAAGAAATAGACTGAATTTATTGATTAGAAGCTTGAATATAGGGAGTGAAATAATTTGCGACATTTTAAAAACAACTTTATTAAGCTACAATTTACATACCATGTAATTGACCCATTTTAAGGGTATATAAGTCAATGATTTTTAGTAAATTTTTTTAGTTATATTACGTCATCATTATCTAGTTTCAGAACATTTCCATTACCCCAATACGATCTATTGTGTAATCATTCTACCACATTTCTAAAATACTGGAGATACTGCGTGAGCCCTATCCTTCTCTACCTTATTTCATCCTAATTCACCATAGGTGAAAATCTTAGCAATTGTAACACTATAAGATGTCAGAGGTATTACTATCAGCAACAGAATTTCTGTTGCCATTGCCAAACAAGGGTCCAATTCCAGAATCCTATCCTTAGAGTGTGCTTCCTAGGCCCACTTTTAGTACCAGCTGTTGTAGATTATGTTCCCCAGAAGCAGAATCTGAAATGGAGATTAGTGTGCATGTGAATTACTAAGGAAGTACTCCCAGAGAAGATAGTGAAGGGAGTAAGGAAAGCAATATAGTTAAGGGCAGGAAACAAAGCATGGATGTGATCCTGGAGAAGTCACACAAGGACATGAAGGTTAGTCTTCATCCTGATATTACAGAAATCTGTTATGTAGCTTCCACCATAAAGTTGTTTTAATCCAAATCAGGAGAGCTGGGCTTCTCTACTGTAGCGCCCGGCCTTGTTTGTGACTCTGAGATTACAGGCAAAGTATCTCTAGTAACTTGAGGGCAGTCCTGTGAAGAAGAGCCCTTGGTACTGGCTATCAAAAACATAAGTTGGTGTGAAGATATGGAAGAGAGAATATAAAAATGAGTCAGTGGGAATCTAGGTGGGGCACACTTAGGCATTGTCTGCCACAGGCTTAGTTCATGATGGTTCCCCTTAAATTAGCACTGTTAAAGCATGAACATTTATTTGAATGGACACTCTCTACTTATATGGGTTGAGGTATTTGAAAATAATACAGGGGAGAAAAGGGCTTTTAAAAGAAATTTTAACTTTGTATTCATGATCCTAAAGAATTTTAATCAATATAAATTAAAATGCTGTTGCTGCTTAGCAAATAGTATTGCTATTCATGTGGAATACACAGTTTTGATTTTGATTTTTCTTTTCCTTTTTTTTTTTTTTTTTTTTTTTTTGAGATGAAGTCTCGCTCTTGTCACCCATTCTGGAGTGCAATGGCGTGATCCCTGGCTCACTGCAACCTCTGCCTCTGGGTTCAAGCAATACTTCTGCCTCAGCCTCCTGAATAGCTGGGATCACAGACGCCTGCCACCACGCCTGGCTAATTTTTTTTTTTTTGAGACAGAGTCTCGCTCTGTCACCCAGGCTGGAGTGCAGTGGCGCGATCTTGGCTCACTGCAAGCTCCGCCTCCCGGGTTCACGCCATTCTCCCACCTCAGCCTCCTGCGTAGATGGGACTACAGGTGCCCGCCACCACGCCCAGCTAATTATTGTATTTTTAGTAGAGACAGGGTTTCACTGTGTTAACCAGGATGGTCTTGATCTCCTGACCTCATGATTCACCTGCCTCGGCCTCCCAAAGTGCTGGGATTACAGGTGTGAGCCACTGCATCCAGCCCACTCCCAGCTAATTTTTGTATTTTTAATAGAGATGGGGTTTCCCACGTTGGCCAGGCTGGTCTCGAACTCCCAACCTCAGGTGATCCGCCCGCCTCGCCCTCCCAAGCTGCTAGGATTAAGGCTTGAGCCACCGCGCCCAGCCTGATTTGTTTTTCTTTGTAAACCTATAAACTGCCAAGCTTGAACATTGTACTTTTTTTTTTTTTTAAGACTAAGACTCACTCTGTTGCCCAAGCTGGAGTGCAGTGGCGCGATCACGGCTCACTGCAACCTCCACCTCCCAGGTTCAAGTGATTCTCCTGCCTCACAGCCTCCCGAGTAGCTGGGACTACAGGAACGCGCCACCATGCTTGGCTAATTTTTGTATTTTTAGTTGAGACGGGGTTTCACTATGTTGGCCAGGCTGGTCTCGAACTCCTGACCTCGCGATCTGCCCGCCTCAGCCTCCCAAAGTGCTGGGATTACAGGAGTGAGCCACCGCGCCTGGCCACAGTTTACTTTTTAATTGATTCTTTTGGTCTTAGTAGCTGAATCATTTTATCTGGTCTTGCTTTTGGCCAAGAAAATCTAATAATCTTGCTGTCTCTGATTTGACTTTTATATAAAGAAAAATGCTCCTTTACTTTTGCTAAGTTATCAGAGTCATGGATTGGATTGGCTCTTGAGATAGTAATTAAAGATTATTTTTGTAATTTTCATTTGTTTAAGTCATTGACCTTTTGAGACTAACAATCTTGTAGCTTAATTTTCAAGCATATCAATGAATTTGGCACTTTAAATGTAAATGTTTTAATGACAACTATTTAAAATTAAGAACAATATTTTTATACACCTGTACTATATTGATGTAAAATTATTAACTATAGGAACAACAAGGCCATGACAGATCCCTCCAGAAAGTATTTAACCAGCAGTAGAGAAAAGCAGCTGAGTTTGAAACAGTCAGAAGAGAATAGGACATCAGGTAAGTGTTTGATCTTACAATAAATAAGGTGCTCATTTATTATATATTTATTAGATTAGAAATAAAAACCTAACCCATCTGTACATTCTTTTTATTTTTATTTATTTATATATATTTTTTGAGACGGAGTCTTGCTCTGTCGCCCAGGTTGGAGTGCAGTGGCACAATATCGGCTCACTGCAACCTCTGCCTCCCGGGTTCAAGTGATTCTCCTGCCTCAGCCTCTCAAGTAGCTGGGACTGCAGGTGTGTTCTATCATGCCTGGCTAATTTTTGAATTTTTAGTGGAGACGAGATTTCACCATATTGGCCAGGCTAGTTTCAAAATCCTGAACACAAGTTATCCACCTGCCTTGGCCTCCTAAAGTGCTGGGATTACAGGTGGGAGCCACCATGCCCGGCCTAATCTGGTGTTAGTTATTGGGTGCCAATTTGTACCCAGTACTTGGCTAAAATATTTTAAAGTATTAGAAATCCAGGGAATTTGTATTCTGTTTATAAAGAATCCAGTCTTTACCTTATTCTTCCCCTATTTGACTGCCTAGAATTAAGCTGTTTCATTGTCAAAGTACCAGGACCATAGAATGAATTAGAGGAGTAAAGTGGTTGAAATTAAAGTGCATCAGTGTTAGTGCTTATTAGAAGCTTCAGAAGATCTTGAAATTATTGTCTGAAGCAGTTTTTTAAACTTAACCTTCTACCCTGTTTTTACAAAAACATTTTTGTCAGATGTTTCCCACACTTAACGTATCTGTTCGATTCTCTGAAATCCTTAGAGAGTCCGTTATCTGGTATTAACTTGAGTATTATGTCAACTTTAACTTGAAGTAAGCTAAAATATGGCATGATTTTGATAAATTGATAGTTTAAGAGAATCCAGTTGATCAGGACCCTAGGAATATTCTTCTTTTAGTGGTTTGGGATTGTGACATTGACTCCTACAGAAAGAAATATCACATGTAAGTCTTACCTCTGAAATAATAATATTTAGAAGATATAAACTCTGCTTATTGTCTCTCAGCTTTTATAATCAGCCTATAGTTAAAAAACAGAAAACATAAGCTGTAATAAGCCTTAACAATGCTGAAGTTAAGGTACATCTCACAAAATTTGATGTGGAGGAGAGAAGGAAGTGCATGGCCAAATGACAAGATTAATGGAACAAAACGTAGATGTTTTAAATGTGTTAAAGTTACAGAGTTAATCGGTGGAAGAACTAAAGTAACACTACTAATGGTTGGAGAGAGGAGAACAAGAGTAGGGGTGATACTAATTTTCTACAATAAAGAGTCAATTGATACTGTTTAAAATGAGTAAATCAAGAAGTAGTAGAAATGTTATTAGCACTGTTGAAGAAATCAGAAAAAAAAAAGTTTTTTTAAATCGTTAAAAAATAGAAGTACAACTTGTGGAACTTGGGGGCAGGAGAGGGTAGCTTTGCTATTATAGCTTCTTTCACGGTATTTTATCTTTTAACATACATGTGTACCGGCATACTTCAGAGATATTGCAGATGTAGTTCCAGACCACATAAATAAAGCTAATAGCACAAAAAAGCAAGAATGAATTTTTTGGTTTCCCAGTGCAATAAAAGTTATGTTTATACTATGCTGGAGTCAGTTAAGTGTGCAATAGCATTATGTCTAAAAAAAAAATAATAATAAAGTACCTTTTTTTTTTTGAGATAGGGTCTCACTCTGTCGCCCTGGCTGGAGTTCAGTGGTGTGATCTTGTCTCACTGCATCCTTGACCTCCTGGGCTTAGGCTGTCTCCCACCTCAGCCTCCCAAGTAGCTGGGATTACAGGTGCACACCACCATGCCCAGCTAATTTTTTGTATTTTTTGTAGAGACATGGTTTTGCCGTATGGCCCAGGCTGGTCCCCAGCTCCTGGGCTCAAGTGATCCACTGCCTCAGCCTCCCGAAGTACTGGAGTTACAGGCAGGACCCACTGCACCCAGCCAGTCATAATTTTAAAATAGTTTATTGCAAAAAAATGCTAACAATCATCTGAACCTTCAGAGGGTTGTAATCATTTTGCTGGTGGAGGGTCTTCTGTGTTGTTGGCTGCTAATTAGGGTGGTGGTTGCTGAAGGCTAAGGCAGCTGTGGCAATTTCTTTCTTTCTTTTTTTTTTTTTTTTTTGAGACAGAGTCTTGCTCTGTCGCCCAGGCTGGAGTGCAGTGGCACGATCCTCGGCTCACTGCAACCTCTGCCTCCTGGGTTCAAGCAATTCTTCTGCCTCAGCCTCCCGAGTAGCTGGGACTACAGGCGCACACCACTACATGCAGCTAATTTTTGTATTTTTAGTAGAGATGGGGTTTCACCATATTGGCCAGGCTGGTCTCAAGCTCCTGACCTCATGATCCGCCTGCCTCAGTATCTCAAAGTGCTGGTATTACAGACGTGAGCCACTGCACCCGGCCAAGGCAATTTCTTAAGACAATTTGTCACATCTCTGATTGACTCTTCGTTTCATGAAAGGTTTCTCTGTAGCATGTGATGCTGCTTGATAGCATTTTACCCACAGAACTTCTTTCAAAATTGGGATCAGTCCTTTCAGACACTACCATTGTTTTCTCAACTAAATTTATGTAATATTCTAAATCCTATGTTGTAACTTCAACAATATTCATGGTTTCTTTACCAGGATTAGATTTCATCTCAGGAGACTTCTTTCTTTGCTCATCCGTAGGAAGCAACTCCACATCCATTAAAGTCTGATCATGAGATTGCAGCAATTCAGTCACATCTGCAGGCTCCACTTGTAGTTCTCTTGATATTCCCACAATATCTGCAGTTGACTGCATCTCCACTGATGTCTTGAACCCTCAAGGTTATCCGTGAAGGTTGGAATCAACTTCCAAACTCCTGTTATGGTTGCTATTTTGACCTCTTTTCATGAATTACAAGTGTTCTTAATGGTATCTAGAATGATAAATTCTTTCCAGAAGATTTTCAGTTCACTTTGCCTAGCTCCATCAGAGGGATCACTGTCTGCTGTAGCCTTCTGAAATGTATTTCTTAAATAGTAAGACTTGAAAATTGAAATGACTCCTTGATCCATGGGCTGTAGAATGGATGTTGAGTTAGTAGGCGTGAAAACAACATTATCTTTGTATGTCTCCATCAGAGCTCTTGTGTTACTAGGTGCATTGTCAAGGAGCAGTAGTATTTTGAAAACAATCTTTTTTTCTGAGCATTGGGTATCAGTAGTGGCTTAAAATATTGATTAAATCATGTTGTGAACAGAAGAGTTGTCATCTAGGTTTCGTTGTTCCATTTCTAGAGCACAGGCAAGTAGAATTAGCATAATTCTTAAGGGCCCTAGTATCTTCAGTATGGTAAGTGAGCATTGGCTTCAGCTTCAAGTCCTCAGCCACATTAGCGCCTAGCAAGAGAGTCAGCCTGTCCTTTGAAACTTTGAAGCTAGGCATTGATTTCTCTCTAGCTACGAAACTCTTAGATGGCATCTTCCAATATAAAGCTATTGCAGCTACATCGAAGACCTGTTGTTTAACGTAGCCACCTTCATCAGTGATCTTAGCTAGATCTCAGTAACTTGCTGCAGCTTTAATATCAGTAGTTGCTGCTTCACTTTGTACTTTTATATTATGGAGATGGCTTCTTTTTTTAAACCTGATGAACCAGCTCTTACTAGCTTCACATTTTTCTTCTGCTTCTCTCAGCCTTTATAGAATTGAAGAGAGTTAGACTAGACCTTTACCCTGGATTAGGCTTTAGCTTAAGAGAACATTGTGGCTGGTTTGATCTTCTGCCGAGACCACTAAAACTTTCTCCACATCAGCAATAAGGTTGTTTTGCTTTGTAATTCACTTGTTCACTTGAGTAGCACTTTTAATTTCTGTCAAGAGCTTTTCCTTTGCATTGGCTGTTTGGTGCAAAAGGCCTAGCTTTCATCCTGTCTCAGCTTTTGACGTGCCTCCCTGACTGGGCTTAATTATTGCTAGATTTTTATTTAAAAGGAGATGTGCATCTCTTCTTTTCACTTAAAAACACAGAGGTCATTGTAGGGTTATTAATTATCCTAATTTCAATATATTGTCTCAGGGAATAGGGAGGCCCAAGAAGAGAGACAGAGATGGGGTAATAATGACAATTTGGTGGAGCAGTCAGATAAATTGAGTTTGCCGTCTTATATGGGTGCAGTTCGTGGTACCCCAAAACAGTGACAACAGTAACATCAAAGATCACTGATCGCAGATCACTGTAATAGATATAATTAAAAAGTTTGAAACATTGCAAGAATTACCAAAATGTGACATAGACATGAAGTGAGCGAGCGTATACTGTTGGGAAAATGGCACTGATAGACTTGCTTGGTGCAGGGTTGCCACAGCCTTCCATTTGTTTAAAAAAAAACATACAAAAAAACCTGCAATATCTGTGAGGCACAATAAAGCAAAGAGCAATAAAATGAGGTATTCCTGTATTTGATGAGAAGGAAAAAGAGTTAAATATAATCAGGACTAATGTATACTTTTATTATTAAATGAACTTGAATGGTTGATTTAGGAATTAAGTTTTTCCTTTGTTCATTTGTTTTATAGGGCTTTTACCTTTACAGTCATCATCCTTTTATGGTAGCAGAGCTGGATCCAAGGAACACTCTTCTGGTGGCACTAACTTAGACAGGTATGCATTGGTTATATTACTTGTGAAAAACTTAGGAGTTCTTTTTTTTTCAGAATATTGAATGATTGGATAGGTTATGTATTATCCTCTTAAGTGAATATGATAATTTAACAAAATTGACGAGACTCATAGAATCCTGACATGTTAGTTAGAAAGTATTCTAGAAATGAGCTGAGCACAGTGGCTCACACCTGTAATCCCAGCACTTTGAGAGGCTGAGGTGGAAGGATCACTTGAGCCTTGGAGATCAAGGCTGCAATGAGCCATAATTATGCCACTGTACTCCAGCTTGAGCAACAGAACGAGACCCTGTCTCAAAAAAAAAGAGACAAGATCTCACTGTGTTGCCCAGCCTGGTCTCAAATTTCCTGACTTGAAACGATCCTCCCACCTCAGCCTTCCAAAGTGCTAGGGTTATAAGTGTTGAACCACTGCTCCTGCTCCTGGCCTCTACAGAATTTTTTTTTTTTTTTTTTTTGTTTGAGACCAAGTCTCGCCCTGTCACCCAGGCTGGATAGAGTACAGTGGTGCTATCTTGGCTCACTGCAGCCTTGCCTCAGCCTCCCACATAGCTGGGATTACAGGTGCCTGTCAGCACACCACGCTAATTTTTGTAGAGACAGGATTTTAGCATATTGACCAGGCTGATCTCAAACTCCTGACCTCAAGTGATCTGCCTTTCTTGGCCTCCCAAAGTGTTGGGATTATAGGCGTGAGCCATCGCATCCGACCACTCTACAGAAAATTTTTTAAAAATTAGCTGGGCATGGTGCCGTGTGCCTGTAGTGATAGCTACTTAGGAGGCTGAGTTGGGAGGTGCTCTTAAACCTGGCTCTGGGAAGTTTTGTAGTGATGCCATAGATTGCGACAGACAATATTATCAGACTGTAGACCAATATATATTCTACCATCCCATGTGGATGAACATACTAAGATCTCTCCTCTGAAGCATTTTTATTTTCCTTTTGTTGCTGTTGTATTTGTTAAGCTACATTTTAAATATTTAGGAATTTCCCTTAAAAATCAAAAGCTGTATTACAGCAGTGAATGTCTTTTATTAATAAATTGGAAAAGGCTAGTTGGATATTTAATTGCCAATTCTATAGATAAGCTCTTTTTTTTTTTTTTTTTTTTTTTTTTTTTTTTTTTTTTCAGATTTATTGGGTATAAATACATAAGATACCTGCTAAGCACTTGTTGAGAACATGTGATCATGCAGTGCAGCACAGAAGGGTTGATGGTTTTAAATGTAAAAAGTGAGGGTAATGGCAAATGCCCATCAATGATAGACAGGATAAAGAAAATGTGGCATATATATACCATGGAATACTATGCAGCCATAAAAATGGATGAGTTCATGTCCTTTGCAGAGACATGGATGAAGCTGAAAACCATCATTCTCAGCAAACTGACACAGGAACATAAAACCAAACACCACATATTCTTACTCATAAGTGGATGTTGAACAATGAGAACACATGGACACAGGGAGGGGAACATCACTCACCGGGGTCTGTCGTGGGGTGGGGGGCTAGGGGAGGGATAGCATTAAGAGAAATACCTAATGTAGATGATGGGTTGATGGGTGCAGCAAACCATGATGGCATGTGTATACCTATGTAACAAACCTGCACATTGTACACATGTATCCCAGAACTTAAAATATAATTAAAAAAAAAAAGTGAGGGTAATGGTAGTCTATAATATACATGCTATATAATGACCTATTAAGTCATATGTTTGTTTGTTTGTTTGAGATGGAGTCTCGCTGTATCGCCCAGGCTGGAGGACAGTAGGGCAATCTCGGCTGACTGCAACCTCTGCCTTCTGGGTTCGAGTGATTAGCCTGCCTCAGCCTCCCAAGTAGCTGGTATTACAGGCGCCCACCAACATGCCCAGCTCTTTTTTTGTATTTTTAGTGGAGACGGGGTTTCACTGTGTTAGCCAGGATGGTCTCGATTTCCTGACCTCATGATGTGCCTGCCTTGACCTCCCAAAGTACTGGGATTACAGGTGTGAGTGACCGCGCCCAGCCCATATTTGGTTCTTAATAGAATTTAATTCAAAGTGTTAAAAACATCTTGGTTATTTGTATAAAATGATTAAGGTAAAGAATTTGATATTATATATTTAGGTATATTCAGCCTTGGGTGGTATCTCAAGCACTTTATAGATTACAGTGGTAATTAAGTTATTTGAATTTAGGAGAGAGGAAGTTTGACATATTTCTGCTTATTAGAAGAATCTTAAATCTAAGTTTTAAAAAAGCCTACATTTGGTTTGCAAATGATTTCCTACATACAAAATTCTTCTCAAAATAATAGAATGGACATATTCATTCCATATAGGAATGATTGAGGAAAGAAATCTTTTTAGTGCAAAGCTGCACTGAGAGATAAGGTGAAAATTTCCAGATTGGTGAGAAAACTAATAGTGTGCAAAGGCTAAAGCGGTAAGGAATGTGGAGAACACAAACGAGAGCCAGGTGTCAATAGCTGGGACTTCAAACCAGCACGAGATTGGGAACTAAATGTAAATTAAATGTAAAACTTAGAACTTGTTTTCTCATAAGAAGCTGGGTGTTTAGAATAGCTCTTTGAGCTAGTAAACCAGAGTGGAACACTTGTGTATAAGTGCTTGGGGTTGGAACTGTAAATATGCTGCTTTCCTACTCCCTGAGTAGAGTGCAAAGACATGAAAATGGGACAACAATGATTAGCCTCTGCTTTACTGTTACCTGCATGGGGCCAGAATTATGACCATTTAAAGTCCTATGCAGGGTAGACGGCCAGGCAGAAGTAACTACTAAGTCCTTGTCAAGAAGGCTTGATCGTGGAATATAGCAAGGAAACCGAGATGATAAAAGCAGGCCGGGCGCGGTGGCTCACGCCTGTGGTCCCAGCACTTTGGGAGGCCGAGGCGGGTGGATCACGAGGTCGGGAGATCGAGACCATCCTGGCTAACACGGTGAAACCCCGTCTCTACTAAAAATACAAAAAATTAGCCGGGCGTGGTGGCGGGCGCCTGTAGTCCCAGCTACTCGGGAGGCTGAGGCGGGTGAATGGCGTGAACCCGGGAGGCGGAGCTTGCAGTGAGCCGAGATCGCGCCACTGCACTCCAGCCTGGGCGACAGAGCAAGACTCCGTCCCAAAAAAAAAAAAAAAAAAAAAGCAAATGAAATGAAGAAACTTACGTTGGTCTTCTTGGTGTACCCTCCATGTCTTAACAGTATTCTGGAAGAAAAGACTAAGGAAAATAAAGGCAAGGAAATTGGCAAAGAAGTAATAAATGAAAATGGTGAAAGTCCTCACATCGAAAAGCCTCAAAAAATACCAAACAACAAATACTTTTTAAAAAATCCACATTTTGTCAAAAAAGATGCTGGTGAAGTTGTGGAGAAAAAGAAATGTGTATACACTGTTGGTAGGAGTGTAAATTAGTTCAACCATTGTGGAAGAGAGTGTGGCCATTCCTCAAAAACCTAAAGACAGAAATACCATTCGAACCAGCCTGGGCAACATGGTGAAACCCCATCTCTACTAAAAATACAAAAAAATTAGCTGGGCGTGGTGGCAGGTGCCTATAAATCCCAGCTACTCAGGAGACTGAAGCAGGAGAATCACTTGAACCTGGGAGGCAGAGGTTGCAGTGAGCCAAGATTGCACCACTGCACTCTAACCTGGGCAACAGAGCAAGACTGTCTCAAAAAAAAAAATAAATAAATAACCATTCAACCCAGCAATCCCATTACTGGGTATATACCCAAAGAAATATAAACCATTCTGTTATAAAGACCCATGCATGTATATGTTCACTGCAGCACTATTCACAATAGCAAAGACATGGAATCAACCTAAATGCTCATCAGTGATAGACTGGATAAAGAACGTGATACATATACACCGTAGAATACTATGCAGCCATAAAAAAAGAATGAGATCATATCCTTTGCAGGGACATGGATGGAGCTGGAGGCCATTATCCTTAACCAACTAACACAGGAACAGAAAACCAAATACTGCATGTTCTCACTTATAGGTGGGAGCTGAATGATGAGAACACGTGGACATATAGAGTAGAACAACACACACTGGGGCTTGTTGGAGGATGGAAGGAGGGAGAGGATTGGGGAAAATAACTAATGAGTACTAGGCTTAATACCTGGGTGATGAAATAATCTGTATAACAAACCCCCATGCCACGAGTTTACCTATGCAGCAAAACTGTACATGTACCCCTGAACTTAAAATAAAACTTAGAAAAAAATTTATATTGTAAAATTTTAGAAGCTACCCGAAAGAAAATACATCCTCTATAAAAGTGGAGAAATCAGATTGACATTAACACTATTGGAATAGGAAGCAGATAGTTAGATATTATTAGCAGAGTAACAGTATCAAAAACTTCTATACCTAGCTAAATTATATTTCAAGAATATAGACAAAGAATGCAATATTTATTTATTTATTTTTTAGACAGGGTCTCACTCTGTCACCCAGCCTGGAGTGTAGTGGCATAATCATGGCTCACTGCAGCCTCAGCCTCCTGGGCTCAGGTGATCCTCCCACCCACAACCCCCCCAGTAGCTGGGACTACAGGTGTGTGCCACCACACCTGGCTATTTTTTTGGTATTTTTCGTAGACACGGAGTTTCACCATGTTGCCCAGGCTAGTCTCAAACTCCTGGGCTCAAGTGATTCGCCTGCCTCAGCCTCCCAAAGTGCTGGGATTACAGGCACGAGCGACTGCACCTGACCAAGAATGTTATTTTTCAGATGTGCAAAGACAGATAGAATTAATTCATCAAAAAGAAAACTGAACAAGGAAGGAGTGATAAGAAAAATCAGTGAATAAAAACAATTTTAAAGTATATTTTTTAATCTAAATGTTTTTAAAGTTTATCTTTTAGCTAATAAGTGAATGTGGTAGAAAATTCAAATGACATAGGGTGTATACAGTAAAGAAGATCTTCTTTTCTTTCCTAACTCCTAGTTTTCATTTTCCCTTTTGAGACATAACCACTGTTACTATTAATAACATCCTTCTGGCCGGGCATGGTGGCTCACGCCTGTAACCCCAGTACTTTGGGAGGCCAAGGCGGGTGGATCACCTGAGGTCAGGAGTTCGAGACCAGCCTGGCCAACATGGCGAAACGCTGTCTTTACTAAAAATGCAAAAATTAGGCAGGCGTGGTGGTGCGTGCCTGTAGTCCCAGCTACTCAGGACGCTGCGACAGGAGAATCACTTGAACCCAGGAGGCAGAGGTTGCAGTGAGCCGAAAACGCGCCACTGCACTCCATTCTGGGTGACAGCGCGAGACTCCATCTAAAAAATAAAATAAAATAACATCCTTCCAGGGTTATTTTATGTATGTAAATACGTCTTGATATTTTCTATCAAAGGAGGATGTTGTTGGATTAAAAGCCAATACTTAATAAAACATTGGACAAAAGAAATACAGGAGTGGAGAAGATTCAGGGAAATTAAAATATTTCAAGCTTTAGTTTCAGAGGAGGCTGCAATTACATAGACATATTAAAAAGTTAAAGATGGCTGGGAGTGGAGCAGTGGTTCACACCTATAATCTCAGCACTTTGGGAGGACTAGGTGGGAGGATCACTTGAATCCAGGAGTTCAAGACTAGTCTTGGCAAGATAGCAAGACCCCCATCTCTACAAAACAGGAAAGGCTACATAACTAATCTAGGAATTTAATAAAACCTTGTAACAGCAATATGAGAAGAGAAAATTATAGTTTTTCACTTATGAACACAGAAAAATCCAAAATAAAATTTTAACAGTTGAATCTAATAGGGCATTGAAAATGATACACAGTGACTGAGTAGGGTATATCCCAGAAATGCAAAAGTAAACATTAGAAAACTCTTTTGGGATTGTGGTAGATTTTTAAAACTATTTGATAGCCATTGATGATACCTACTTTTAGCATATTAGGAACAGAGCATTATGTTCCTAGTTTGATAAAAAGTTATCTGTCAAAAACTTAAATCACATTACAATTATGAAACTTTGAGAAGTATTCCCATCAAAGTCAAGAACAGGGTGATATTGTTCTGAAGGTTTTAGCCAATGCAGTAGGACAAGAAAATGAAATAAAGAGGTTTGGGGATTGGAAAGGGGAAAAACAGAATTGTCATAATTTGCAGACTGTGTGATCTGTTAAATATTTAACACAAAGAGAATCACCAGAGGTTATTAAAACAAATTAAAGTGCTCTAGGCCGGGTTCAGTGGCTCACACCTATTATCACAGTACTTAAGGGGGCAAAGGCAGGGGGATAGCTTGAGCCCAGGAGTTCAAGACCTGCCTGGGCAACATAGTAACATCCTGTTCTCCACAGAAAAAGGATGAAAAAAGACCCCCCCGCCAAAAAACAGCTTTATAAGGTTTCTGGAATACAAGATCAATTCACAAAATTAATGGTGTTTCTAAATCCAGCAATAATAAAATGTAAACTGTAACAGAAAACAGATTAAGTATTCCTAATCCAAAAATCTGAAATCTGAAATGTTCCAAGTTTCATTAGAAATTTTTTGAGTGCTGATATAATGCACAAAAGGTCATGCTCAAAGGAAATGTTCATTGGAGTGTTTAAGACTTTCAGATTAGGGATGATCAACCAGCGTAATACAAATACAATATTTCAAAATCTGAAATTCTTTTTTTTTTTTTGAGACGAAGTCTCGCTCTTGCCCCACAGGCTAGAGTGCAGTGGCACAATCCTGGCTCACTGCAACCTCCGCTTCCCGGGTTCAAGCGATTCTCCTGCCTCAGCCTCCCAAGTAGCTGGGATTATAGGCGCCTGCTAATTTTTGTATTTTTGGTAGAGACGGGGTTTCACCATGTTGGCCATGCTGGTCTCGAACTCCTGACCTCAGGTGATCCACCCGTCTCGGCCTCCCAAAGTGCTGGGATTACAAGCGTAAGCCACCGCGCCCAGCTCCAATTTTTGTATTCTTAGTAGAAAGGGGGTTTCACCATGTTGGCCAGGCTGGTGTCAAACTCCTGACCTCAGGTGATCCACCCGCCTTGACCTCCCAAAGTGCTGGGATTACAGGGCATGAGCTGCCGCATCCGGCCCTGAAACTCTTCTTTCCAAGCATTTCAGGGATACTCAACCTGTACTATTTATAAGAACTACAAAATCAGTGAGATAGATAGGAATAAATCTAATAAAATATGTATTTTTATGAAGAAAAGGATTACTAAGGGACATAATGGAAGACCTAAGTAAACAAAGCTCAAGGATATCATTTATCCCCAAATTAATAAAAAAATTTAAGGTAGTTCCAGTTGAAGTCTCACAAAGTACTTTTTGTGGAACCCCCGCCCATACAAAAAAAAAAGAATCTAAACTTTTTTTTTTTTTTTTTGTGGTGGAGTTTGCCTCTGTCACCTAGGCTGGAGTACGGTGGCACAATCCTAGCTCACTGCAGACTCTAACTTCTGGGCTCAAGCAATCCTCCTGCCTCAGCCTGCCAAATAACTGGGACTACAGGTGTGTGCCACCGTGCTTGGCTAATTAAAAAAAAAAAGAGAGAGATGGGGTCTTTCTATGTTGGCCAGGCTGGTTTCAAACTCCTTGCCTCTGGCAATCCTCCCTCTTTGACCTCCCAGAGTGCTGGGCTTACAGGCATGAGCCAGTGTGCTCAGCCTTAAATTCTATTTCTTATAAGTAAGCTTATAAGAATAGCCAAGATAATTTTGAAGAAGGCCTAAGAAGATGGGTTGAATGGCCAGATATTAAGACTTAATGTTGGTGCGGTGTGGTGACTCACCCCTATAAATCCTAGCACTTTTGGGAGGCCAAGGCAGGAGGATGGCTTGAGCTCAGGAGTTTGAGACCAGCCCTGGCAACATGGTGAGACCCTGTCTCTACAAAAAAAAAAAAAAAAAAGCCACGTGTGGTGGCATGGACTTGTAGCCCCAGCTACTCAAGAGGCTAAGGTAGGAGAATCGCTTGAGCCCAGGAGGTCGAGGCTGCAGTGTGCTGTGATCACGCCACTGCACTCCAGCCTGGGCAACAGAGCAAGACCTTGTCTCAAAACTGGAAAAGACAACGTTAAGTGGTGGTGATTATTACAGGGGATGCATTAGAATTAATCTTTAATCCCTGGAGCAAAATAAAGACCCAGAAACAATCTTGTGCATATATGGGGACTACTTGGATTGTGGTACAGATGAAATTAAAAATTAGTGTAGGATCCAGACTTTTTAGTCAGGTGGGGAAAAAATGAACAAATATTGCAGGCATAAAAAAGAATGAGTTCATGTCCTTTGCAGGGACATGGATGAAGCTAGAAGCCATCATTCTCAGCAAACTGATACAGGAACAGAAAACCAAACACTGCATGTTTTCACTCATAAGTGGCAGTTGAACAATGAGAACACATGGACACAGGGAGGGGACCATCACACAGTAGGGCCTGTTGGGGGATGGAGGGCAAGGGGAGGGGAGGGCATTAGGACAAATATGTAATGCATGCGGGGCTTAAAACCTAGATGGTGGGTTGATAGATGCAGCAAATCACCATGGCACATCTATATGTAACAAACCTGTACATTCTGTACAGTATCCCAGAACTTGAGGTAAAATTTAAAAAATAAAATCTCTAGATCTAAAGGCAAGGAATGCATGGACAAAATCTGAAAGTAGCCTATTGTATTAGTCTGTTCTCACATTGCTATAAGGAAATACATGAAACCGGATAATTTATAAAGAAAAGAGGTTTAGTTGACACACAGTTCTGCAGGCTGTACAGGGAGCATGGCAGCGTCAGCTTTTGGGGAGGCCACAGGGAACTTAGAATCATGGCAGAAGGCAAAGTGGGAGCCAGCACTTCACATGGTCAGAGAAGGAGGAAGAGAGTGAGAAGGGGGAGGTACCATACACTTTTAAATGACCAGATCTCATGAGGACTCTATCAGGAGAACAGCACCAAGTTTAGCACCAGGATAGTGCTAAAGTGTTCACGAAGGATCCACCTCCATGATCCAATCACCTTCCACCAAGCCCCACCTCCAACATTGGGTATTATGATTTTACATGAGATTTGGGCAGGGACAAATATCCAAACTATATCAGCTATTCTGAGGGACAGCTGGCCTGTTCTCTTCACCAAGTTGATGTCATGTCAAGTAAAGGTTGCAGGGAGTCAGGAGAGCACTCTTAAAGGTTATAAATGATTTAAGAGATATAAAAACCAAATGTAATATATGGACTTTGGTTGGATCTTGGTAAGAATAAACTGGGAATAACACTTTTTTGTAAAACTGTTGGCAAGGGCCAGGCACAGTGGCTCACACCTGTAATCCCAGTACTTTGGGAGGCTGTGGTGGGCCGATCACCCGAGGTCGGGAGTTTGAGACAAGCCTGACCAACATGAAGAAACCCCATCTCTACTAATAATACAAAAAAATTAGCTGGGCGTGGTGGCGTATGCCTGCAATCCCAGTTACTCGGGATGCTGAGACACGAGAATCGCTTGAACCTGGGAGGTGGAGGTTGCAGTGAGCCAAGTTCGCTCCGTTGCACTCCAGCCTGGGCAACAAGAACAAAACTCTGTCTCTGGAAAAAAAAAAAAAAAAAAGCTGTTGGCAAGGTTTAAATATGAGTCAGGTATTAGATGATGATAATAAAGAATTGTTAACTTTGAAAAAAAATTAACAAATATAAAAATTAAAAGAAAAAATTGGCCAAGCTCAGTGGCTCATGTCTATAATCCCAGTACTTTGGGAGGCTGAGGTGGGTGGGTGGATCACATGAGGTCAGGAGTTCGAGACCAGCCTGGACAACATGGTGAAACCTCGTCTTTACTAAAAATACAAAAATTAGGCAGGCATGGTGGCACACACCTGTAATCGCAGCTACTCAGGAGGCTGAGGTAGGAGAATTGCTTGAACCCGGGAGGCAGAGATTGCAGTGAGCCTAGATCGCACCATTGTACTCCAGCATGGGTGACAGAGCAAAACTCTTTCAAATAAAGGAAAAAAATAATGCAGGAATTTTCAGAGCATTGAAAAACTGACAGGAGGCCTGGTGTGGTGGCTCACGCCTGTAATCCCAGCACTTTGGGAGCCTCAGGTGGGTGGATCATGAGGTCAGGAGTGCAAGACCAGCCTGGCCAACGTGGTGAAACCCCGTCTCTACTAATAATACAAAAATTAGCCACTGCAACCTCTGCCTCCCCAGTTCATGCTATTCTTCTACCTCAGTCTCCCGAGTAGCCAAGATCCCGCCACTACTGCACTCCAGCCTGGGACAGAGGGAGACTGTGTCTCAGAAAAAAAAAACAAAAAACAAACAAGAAAAAACTGATAGGAGTGTGAGGAATTACCAAACCGAGAAGGGAGGAGGAAATCCAGAGTTCCCAAGCACGTTGGCTGAACCAGAAGAGATTGCTGAAAGACCAAGCAGTGCTTTTGACACACTCATGAGTCTAGAAGGACAATAGAGGCTAGGACCTACCAATATAGGGAGCCTAGTACATTACTCCACATATTTCAGTGTGTACTGAAGGGTTCCCTCTGGGAATAAGGATGAGCTAGAAGTAAGCCAGCCTTTCTGTGAATTTTATTAATCTGTATGGCCCAGTTATTGCAAGCACTGAAATTTAATTAAGTTGATTATAAGTGGCTAGTATCCTAGATGATTGACATAATAAATGTACTAAATGAAAATTCTCTCTGGGGGAAGACATTTTCCTACTACACCTCAACATATTTCTATAATTCTTAGATGTACATTTTTTCACATTAGTATTTACAATGGAAGTATATCAGATATTGTGACATCTTAAATTGCTGCCAGGAGGCAGTTGTAACATAGTTGGCATTACCTGCACATTAGCAGACTTGGTTGTCATTTGTGGTATTACTGAAAAACTATATTTTTTAGTCAGACCACTTAAAATGACCACTTAAGAAAGGGCAGCAAATTCTAGTTGTGATCTGAAAATCTGTGGGCTTCTTTTGGTAAGATTAAGATAACCTCAGTATTAGACCTTGCCAAATGAATGTCATTGGCTTAGAAGGAAACTCCCGGAGACATAGTGTGGCACTATTTACTATCTAGAAATGCAGCATCATCACACTGTGGGCTTAATTGGAGAAAAAAGAAAAGAAAGAAAGAAGAAATACAACATCACCTTTGTTTTTAGTAGCACAGGTAGCAGCACTTTTTGGAAAAACTGAAAAATCTATGACCCTGGGTGGGAAAAATGATTCAGAAGATTCAGATTCTGAATGTGAGTTATTAGAAATATCTTAACCGGTTTTATATTTTCCTTTTTGTATAAGAGCAACATGATAAAAATGTGTATCTAGTTACATAAAAAGCTTCCAGTAAGAAGTAAAAATTCTAAGCCATAGAAGTCATTATATACTTTGGTTGACATTGTTTTTTCTTTCTTAGTACTACCTGAAATAAATGTTATGTCTTATAATTGGTTGTATCTTAGATTTGATTAAATACTGTTCAGTGTCCAGACATGCAGCAAGACAGGTCAACATGAATTATTACTAGAAGAAATAGTTTAGATCGGCAGTGGACCACAGGGCTCCACATATTCTGGAATTAATGAGTCAGTGATTATAAAAGAACAATATTTAACACATCAAAAGAAATAAAGGAAATTTCTGTAGAAAACCTTAAACTGTGAAATTATCACAGATTTAAAAAAATCAAATAGAAAATCTAGAAATGAAAAATACAAAAACTCAAATCTGTTTTGGATTTTTTTTCCAGCATAAAACATAATTGAGACCAGCCCGGGCAACATTGGGAAATCTCGTCTCTACAAAAAAATTAAAAATTAGTCAAGCATGATGGCATGCACTTTTGGTCCCAGCTACTTGGGAGGCTGAGGTGGGAGGATTGCTCAAGCCCAGGAGGTCAAAACTGCAATGAGCTGTGATTATGTCACTGCACTTCAGCCTGAGTGACAGAATGAGACCTTATCTCAAAAAAAAGGGGTGGGGGGAATAGTAATTGAGAGAATTAGTGATCTGAACGATGACTCAGAAGAGGCTCTAGAATAAAACATGAAAAAGACAATACAGGAGAGTGTTAAGAGACATAATATAGTTAAAAGGTCTATTGTGTCTTATTAAAGTCTCAAAGAAGAGGGACATTGGGGTATAAACTGTATTTAAAGATATTGGCTGAGAATTTTCCAAAAGTGATAAAATCAGACTTTAGAATTAAGAAGCCTAATGAATACCAAGTAGGATTGAGAAAAAGAAACCTACCCTTAGGCATGTCATAGTGAAACTCTAGAAATAAAGACAAAGTCTCAAAAGCAACCGGGAGAAAACATTTCAGCTTCAAAGGAGCAAAAATATCTGACCTTTGACTTTTCTATAGCAATTGTAGAAGCCAGAAATATCTTCAATATGCAGAAATAAAATAACTGCCAACATAGAATTTTATTTGCTGTGAAAATATCCTATAGTTTCGAAGTAAAGGTGAAATAGACACTATCATACAAAACAAAATAATAACAGAGTTTACCCACAAATATGTACTAAAGGAAATGCTAAAGAAGTTTTTGGGCAGATGGAAAAAGAACTCAGATTAAAGGTTGGAGCTTCAGGAAGGATGAAGAGCAACAAAAAGTTAATATGCTGTCTATCTTGATAAATTCTGTTATACAAAACAATAGTAATATCTTGTTGGGTTTAAATGACAACAATAACATATAAACCAGAAGTGAAGGAAGACACAGAATAATTAAATGGAGTTAAATTGTTCCTAGTTTCTTTCATTATCCAGGAGAAGGTAAAAGAGTCAGCTACATTAGACTTCAATATATCAAAAATGCATGAGTACACAAATATTGTACTCTAGTTCATAATTTGTTTCTCACAGGGGTGTAGGGTTAGCAGTTCTGAAACCACCTCATGTGTATACTTGGATTGAACAAGTAAACATTGTAGATACTGAGATCCAGGCTTGCAATGTCAGAGAAAGAAATAAGGAAAGGAAGAAAGCTAGTATGAACCTTTGGTGTTCAGTTAGAATCAGAGATGTTAATATGAACTCAAGGTTTTATATATGTAAATTCATGTATAGATTGATTCAAAATAAACATACATGCATTTGTATGTCTTGGGTTACACACGTACATACATTTCCTAGCTCAGTCCACTAGGGGGGGTACCTTGAAGCAATTGCACCCAAGTAACTATGAGCACCCTAGTGCCAGACCCTGATTTTTTTATTTTATTTTATTTTACTTTAAGTTCTGGGACACATGCAGAATGTGCAAGGTTTGTTACATAGGTATACATGTGCCATGGTAGTTTGCTGCACCTATCAACCTGTCATCTAGGTTTTAAGCCCTGCATGCATTAGGTATTTGTCCTAATGCTCTCCCTCCCCTTGCCCCCCATCCCCTGACAGGCCCCCATGTGTGATGTTCCCCTCCATGTGTCCATGTGTTCTCATTGCTCAACTGCTACTTATGAGTGAGAACGTGCAGTGTTTGGTTTTCTGTTCCTGTGTTAGTTTGCTGAGAATGATGGTTTCCAGCTTCATCCATGTCCCTGCAAAGGACATGAACTCATTCTTCTTTATGGCTGCATAGTATTCTATGGTGTATATGTGCCACATTTTCTTATTTATCCCGTCTATCATTGATGGGCATTTGGGTTGACTCCAAGTCTTTGCTATTGTAAATAGTGCTGCAATAAACTTATGTGTGCATGTGTCTTTATAGTAGAATGATATATAATCCTTTGGGTATATACCCAGTAATGGGATTGCTGGGTCGAATGATATTTCTGGTTCTAGATCCTTGAGGAATCGCCATGCTGTCTTCCACAATGGTTGAGCTAATTTACACTCCCACCAACAGTGTAAAAGCATACCTGTTTCTCCACATCATCGCCAGCATCTGTTGTTTCCTGACTTCTTAATGATCACCATTCTAAATGGCATGAGATGGTATCTCATTGTGGTTTTGATTTGCATTCTCTAATGACCAGTGATGACGAGCTTTTTTTCACGTTTGTTAGCCGCATAAATGTCTTCTTTTGAGAAGTGTCTGTTCATATCCTTCACCCACTTTTGGATGGGATTGTTTGGTTTTTCTTGTAAATTTGTTTAAGTTCCTTGTTGACTCTGGATGTTTGTCAGATGGATAGATTGCAAAAATTTTCTCCCGTTCTGTAAGTTACCTGTTCACTCTGATGATAGTTTCTTTTGCTGTGCAGAAACTCTTTAGTTTAATTAGATCCCATTTGTCTGTTTTGGCTTTTGTTGCAAATGCTTTTGGTGTTTTAGTCATGAAGTCTTTGCTCATGCCTATGTCCTGAATGGTATTGTCTAGGTTTTCTTCTGTGGTTTTTATGGATTTAGGTTTTACGTTTAAGTGTTTAATCCATCTTGAGTTAATTTTTTCGTAAGATGTAAGGAAGGGGTCCAGTTTCTGTTCTCTGCATATGGCTAGCCAGTTTTCCCAGCACCATTTATTAAATAGGGAATCCTTTCCCCATTGCTTATTTTTGTCAGGTTTGTCAAAGATCAGATGGCTGTAGATGTGTGGTGTTATTTCTGAGGCCTCTGTTCTGTTCCATTGGTCTATATATCTGTTTTGGTACCAGTGCGATGCTGTTTTGGTTACTGTAGCCTTGTAGTATAGTTTGAAGTCAGGTAGCGTGATGCCTCCAGCTTTGTTCTTTTTGCTTAGGATTGTCTTGGCTATACGGGCTCTTAAAAAAAAAAAGTTCCCTATGAAATTTAAAGTAGTTTTTTCTAATTCTGTGAAGAAAGTCAGTGGTAGCTTGCAGACCCTGATTTTTAAATACCATTATTCAGTACAAGAAAGCAGAGCTCCTTGAAATAATAGTTGATTCCAGGGCTAGAGCAGGGAAAATGCAAGATCAGTCTATAACATCTTGTGGTGCCAGAAAGTAAAGATATGCACAAAAAAGTATGAGGAAATGTCCGAAAGACACAGGAGCCAACCTGAAAGGGTTACCAATGGCCCAAACTAGAACAATTATAGTTACGAAATGATAATATTGGATTAAACCTATAGAAAAAAAATAAATATGTCTGAGTCCATACTGAAATGAATGAATGAATGTGTAGAGACTGAAGAGCTCTCCTAACAGAAGAATTCCAATTAAGAATTTCAGAGGGTTGTAGGAATAAAATATTACCTTAATCAAATACTGCAGTAATAATTGCAGTCAAAATGTATCATTGGGTGCTAAAATTAGTGGACAAAAGTTTGATGAGAAACAGGGTATTTGCATAGTCTCAAAAGTATCTCCCTATATTTCTTAATTACAAAAGGAAAAATAGAAACTTCACTGTAGAGAAACCCAGAAGATACCTTAACCAAGAAATCAAGATTACCAACACCAGTAATAAGACATTGTCATTATAGACTCTGTGATATGATGCACTGAGGAGGTCACAATGTCACTTAGCTGTTATTGTTTGCTAATGCATAACCTCAATCCAATCATGAAAAAACATCAGACAAACCCAGTTGAAGGAAATAAAGTAAAATACCTGACCATTACTCTTCAAAATTGTCAAAGCCATTAAAAAAAGAAGAAATTGAGGATTGTACGAGTAAAGAAACATGACAACTACTTGCACTGTGGGATCCTGGGCCAGAAAAAGGACTTTAGTGAAAATACTGATGAAATTTGAATAATATGTGTAGGTTACTAGTTAATAGTATTGTATCATTGTTAATTTCCTGGTTTTGGTCATTGTACTATGGTTATATAAGATTCTAATATTAGGAGTAGCTGGGTGAAAGCCATTTTGCAACTTTTTTGTAAATCTAAAACTGTTTCAGGCGAGGTGCAGTGACTCACGCCTGTAATCCCAGCACTTTGGGAGGCCAGGGCAGGTAGATTGCTTGAGCTCAGGAGTTCAAGATCAGCCTGGACAACATGGTAAAACCTCATCTCTACCAAAAATACAGTTAAAAAAAAAATTAGCAGGGCGTGGTGATGTGCATCTGTGATCCCAGCTACTTGGGAGGCTGAGATGGGAGGATCTCTTGAGCCTGGGAGGCAGAGGTTGCCGTGAGCCGCGATGGCGCCATTGTACTCCAGCCTGAGCAACAGAGTGAGACCCTGTCTCAAAAAATAAAACTATTTCAAAAGAGAAAGTAAGTGGTTAAACAAATTGTGGTATATTCATACAATGGAATGCTGTCTAGCAATAGAAAGGATGAACTGTTTATACACCCAGCAGAATGGATGAATCTCAAAATAATTAGGCTGAGTAAAAGACCTCATAAGAAAGTGCATATTGTAAGATTCCATTTATATGAAATTTTAGAAAATGTAATCTATAGTGACAGAAAACAGATCAGTAGTTGCCTGGTCACAGAGACAAGGTCACAGGCAGAGAGGAGTGGGAGGAAGGGATACAAACGGGCACCAGGATACTTTTGGGAGTAATAGATATGTTCACTATCTTAATTCTGGTGATGATTTCATGAGTGTATATATGTCAGAACTTAAAGTTATACACTTTAAATGTGTGCATTTTATTGTATGTCAACTATACTTCAGTAAAGCTGTTTCTACTTTTAATGCATAATATAATTTTTAGGACATCCATTAAATTTCTAGACTGGGCATGGTTGGCTCACGCCTGTAATCGTAGCACTTGGAGAGGCCAGGATGAGAGTATCACTTGAGCCCAGAAATTTGAGACCAACTGGTCAACATAGCGGGACCCCATCTCTTCAAAAAAATACAAAAATTAGCCAGACATGGTGGTGCACGCCTATAGTCCCAGCTACTTGGGAAGTTGAGATGGGAGGAATGCTTGAGCCCAGGAGTTAATATATATATATATATGCCTATATTATTTCCAGACTAACGGAGGGGAGACAATGAAATAAATAGTTAAACATTCTAAAAGAAGGCATAAAGGAGAGAAAAAGGAACATAGAACATGTAGAACAAATAGTAAATGCATCATAAAATTCAAGAAATAACCCAAATCAGTACTGACATTACTGATACAAATATACTAAATTTATATAAAATTTATATGAGTATGTACTAAATATTCCAGTTAAAGTATACACAGGATTTAATGGAAGAAGAAAATGTATGTGCTATGTAAAAGAGAAACAACTACAATATAAAGATGCAGAAAGGTTGAAAACAAGATGAAAATAGATACATCACATATTATCCAAAGTACAATATTTAGGGGTTTGTAGTAAGGGATAAAACTTTTAGATAATGCCGACTTTTAGGTTAGAGGAATGCAGAGTTGTAATTGGAAGGGGAACTTGGGGTTTAGACACTAATAAGGTTATTTACACAAGTGTTTGTTTTATGAAAATTTGTTATGCTCCACATTTGATTTTTATACACTTTTCCCATGTGAGTATTCTATTTCGCAATTTATTTTTAATTTTTAACTTTTTTTATTTTTTTTGAGACAGCGTCTCTCTCTGTCCCTCAGGCTGGAGTGCAGTGGCATGATCTCAGCTCACTGCAACCTCTGTCTCCCAAGTTCAAGCAGTTCTCCTGCCTCAGCCTCTCAAGTAGCTGGGGACTACTGGTGTGCGCCACTACGCTTGGCTAATTTTTGTATTTTTAGTAGAGACAGGGTTTCTCCATGTTGGCCAGGCTGTTCTCAAACTCCTGACCTCAGGTGATGCGCCTCCGTTGGCCTCCCAAAGTGCTGGGATTACAGGTGTGAGCCACCGTGCCCAGCCTTAATTTTAAAATAATAGAGACAGTGTCTTGATATGTTGACCAGGCTGGTTTCAAACTCCTGATCCTCCTGCTTCAGCTTCCCAGAGCGTTGGGGTTACAGGCATAAGCCACCTGTGCCTGGCCTACACATTTTTTTTAAGTACCAAACCAAACAGCCACTAACACATGGCTTAGACAAACAATAAGTAATTTGGGAACAATTGGTTTGCCTTACAGAAAAGTAAATCTTATAGAAAAGTATGCCTCACAACATACAGAAAAAGACACTTATAACTGTATTGAAGACCTAAATAGAAGGGAAAGCAAAATTTAACTGTTAAGAGAAAATACAGGAAAAAATTTCTGTGCTCTTATGGTACAAGATGATTTCTTAAACAAAATACAAGATACAAAAATCTTAAACGAGATACAAAAAAAAAAAAAGAAAAGAAAAAATTGATAAATTTCCCAGTATAAAAATTTTAAAATTAGAATGTGGGCCAGATGCAGTGGCTCACGCCTGTAATCCTAGCACTTTGGGAGGCTGAGGCGAGCAAATTGCCTGAGCTCAGGAGTTTGAGACCAGGCTCGGCAACATGGTGAAACCCCTTCTCTACTAAAATACAAAAAAATTAGGCTGGGCATGGTGGCTCACGCCTGTAATCCTAGCACTTTGGGAGGCCGAGGCGGGCAGGTCACCTGAGGTCAGGAGTTCGAGACCAGCCTGGCTAACATGGTGAAACCCCGTTTCTACTAAAAATACAAAAAGTAAGCCAGGTGTGGTGGCGCACGCCTGTAGTCCCAGCTAGTCGGGAGCCTGAGGCAGGAGAATCGCTTGAATCCGGGAGGCGGAGGTTGCAGTGAGCCGAGATTGCGCCATTGCACACCAGCTTGGGCAACAAGAGCAAAACTTCATCTCAAAAAAAAGAAAATTAGCTGGGCATGGTGTTACACACCTATAATCCCAGCTACTTGGGATTGGGAGGCTGAGACACAAGACTCGCTTGAAACCGGGAGGTGGAGGTTGCAGTGAGTCGAGATCACGCCACTGCACTTCAGCCTGGGTGACAGAGCAAGACTTTGTCTCAAAAAAAAAAAGACCTACTCTATAGGAAAGCAATTCAGAAAAGAGTAAACAACTATATGAATATGTTAGTTTCAGTAGTAATCAGGACAGTGCAAAATCAAATAACAGTGAGATCAAGTGTCTCCTTATTGGTAAAAATTAAAACTTTTTTTTTTCTTTTTTGGAGATGCCTTCTCACTTTGTCACCCAGGTTGGAGTGCAGTGGTGCAATCTGCGCTCATTGCAACCTCTGCCTCCCAGGCTCAATCAGTCTGCCCACCTCAGCCTCCCAAGTAGCTGTGACTACAGGTCCTCCCCACCACGCCTGGCTAATTTTCTTGCATTTTTGATAGAGATGGAGTTTCGCCAGGTTGCCCAAGCTGGTCTCAAACTCCTGAGCTCAAGCAATCCGCCCACCTTGGCCTCCCAAAGTACTGGGCTTACAGGCGTGAGCCACCGGACCCAGCAAAAAAATTAAAACTGATAATAATAAGTAATGTAAACATATGAGGCGATGGAAGGTCACTGTTGTTTGAAGTATAAACTGGTATAGCCTTTTTGGAAAATAATCACAATATCTCAAAAAATTAAAAATGAAGATTGAAAATACCTCCAACATTTTCACTTCTATGCATATAAACTAGAGGAATTTCTCAAGGAGATTGGGTAAGAATGTTTGTTGTGTTATTTGTAACAGTGGAAAAAGTATACTGTAAATCTGTTCAAGACTAGGTAAATGTAATATCCATAAAATGGATAACAGTGAAACTATATGTATTGTTTTCTTTTTCAAGCCATTAACATGGATTATTTTGGTTGTAGGTTAAATATGTTCTGTATTATAACCCTCTCCAACTGTGTAGGAACAGATTTGCTAATTTACGTTTGTAGAGTTTTCCCTTAAGTGATCATTATTACTGATATTTCCCTAAATTCAAGATTTTTTTCCTTAAACATTGACTTCTCTTAATCTATTCAAGGAAAATAGTAGTATTCAAAAATTTATTTTGCTTCTTCATTATTTATGCTTTTTTGTAGGACTAATGTTTCAAGCCAGACTCCCTCTGCCAAAAGAAGTTTGGGATTTCTTCCTCAGCCAGTTCCTCTTTCTGTTAAAAAACTGAGGTGTAACCAGGATTACACTGGCTGGAATAAACCAAGAGTGCCCCTTTCCTCTCACCAACAGCAGCAACTGCAGGGGTAGGTCAATTCTTTCATTTTACTTTCTTTTTTATAAAGTGATTCAATAGAAGTGTGCTTTGGTGTAAAATGTAATTAAAGGAGTCACATTAAAGTTCTAAAATATTTAGAAATTAGATCACTTATTAAAGATTTATTACATCCATAAGTAATGTTAACTTCATTTTCTGTTCACCAAACAATTTTAGAACTTTGGAATATATATAATATTCATTTTAAAGCAGAAAATGTGTATTTTCCAACCCAGTACACTTCATTCTGCTGCTGAGATACTTTCAACATTTTTTATATATTTTCCCTAGGTTCTTCATGGTTATATATATATTAAACACAAAAATGAGATCATAGTATAATAACTGTAGTAATTATAGTAGCTATCTTTTAAATTTTTTTTTTAATAGAAATGGGATCTCACTATGTTGCAGGTTGGTAGAACTCCTGGCCTCAAGCAGTCCTCCCTCCTCAGCCTCCCAAAGTGCTGGGATTATAAGCATGAGCCACTGTTCCTGGCCAGTAGCTCTATTACCTAAAGTGTTTATTACATGCCAGATACTGTCTGCTAAGTGCTTAAATTGATTTTTTTTAAATTTTAAATCTTCGCAACAAGTCTTTGAGATAGATATATTAAAAATCTGGTTTTATGAATAAAATAAGGCTTAGCAAAGTTAATTAACTTGCTCAAAGTGATATAGTCAGTAGTACAGCAGTAGTAAATCCAGGCAGTAGTGCTGCAGTTGCATTCTTAATCACTATGCTATATTGCTTCTCTGTTATCTTTTTCACTGCACATTAATCTTGGCACCTATGTATATTAATACAGAACTTTCAACCATGTAAGTGTGCATAAGGTTTCTCTTTTTTCCAAATGTAATTCAGGCTAGAGTGAAGATCGTTATACACATATGTATGTTTTTAATGCTTGTTGGAAATTTTCTGTAGGATAAATTGTCGGAAGTAAAATTGTTAAGGATTAAGACTAAGGAAGACAGTTTGAAATTTTTAATTGTTTTTACCAAACTGCTCTCTCATAACCTATTAACTTATTTGTTTTTAATCTCACTCAAAGTACTGCTTTTATACCAGCTTTAAACTTACAACATTACTTGAATGAGTGGTATTTGCCAAATGGCTTATCCGTAGTAGTTTATATGCTTCATATATTGGCAGAAAACATCATAAAATTTGCAGTGAAAACAATTCACTCTCCTTTCTGCTTACCTGTTGCTTTCTTTAATCTTCATCTTTTCTACTCTTCTATGATGTTTGCTTTCCAGTCAAATGCTTAATTTCCTTTGTTCTTCATTCTAATTGTTCAACCTCAGTTATCTTGCTGCCTCCTAACCAGACAACATTTTATATTGGTCTTATCTATCCCATTTTGTGACCATTCTTCATCTGGGTCTGTGTCTCTGTCTACCCTGATCTTACTTGTTTCATTTTCCTATTGCCTTCTCCTGTATATATTTTAGTTTACTTGTGGTTTCTGTTATTCACCTCCTTCAGATTCTTTTGAGAGCCTTGTGAGTTGCCACCCTTGGTACTCTAGGCTTCTTCAGTGTTTCTTTCATTTCTGTATAGTACCTATACCCATCTCTAGAAATACATCTTTCCTCTTTTTTAGACTTCTTCCAGGAATTAGTTTAGTGTAATTTCAAGCAGTGTAAGTACTCAGGACTAAGAACTCCTTTTAAAAAAAAAAAAGAAAAAAAAACTGAGTAGAAAACTACCAGGTCTAAAGGGTAATGGAGACTGCCTAATTGCAATGTTCCTCACAAATCCTCCAAAAAAAACCATAAGATTAACCAGGAGTACAAAGAAAAGCACACATAATCTATGCTTCAGCATTGCTAGGAGACAATACCACCACCTTTAAGTTACCTTCTTCAGAACAGAAGCAAACCAAATTCCTTCAGTGTTCCTGTTTTCTACTGGTGAAGCCTGTGGGTGCTGAGAGTTAGGGAAGGGAGCCTAAGGGATTCCATGAAAAATAATTTATAGGAGTGGAAGACTTAGATGAAGCACTGAAGAAAATCACTCCCAGAAACATAAAATCCAATAATAAGTAGCAAAATACTGAATCTGGATCTTGGTAGTTTGCAGAACTAGTTATAGGGAAGAGGCTTGAATGTCAGTGGTACCAGAATAACAGCCTCAAAGAATCATTACTTATAGAGAAGAATTAGCCAAGTCTGGAAACTTGATTTAGAAGCAAGAGAAGAAAATTAAGGATCATGTCAAAATGAAAGGGAAACAAGACGTGCCAACCTCTCTTTTTCCCCTCCCTCCACCTCCATCATTCTCATCCATTAAAGAAACTATACTTTGCTAAACTAAGTGCTTCAATTAAGCCCTATTCACAAAATGAATAGGAATGTAAAAAAGCAGGCCACTTCCATAAAAAAATGACTATAAGAAAAAAACAGAAGCATGAATCAAAATATTTCAGCCAGTGAAAATTCTGCCCCCTAGAACAAACCATGAAGTAAACCGTTTACAGTGGGTAGACGCTAAATAGAATTAAGGCCAGGCACTGTGGCTCACACCTGTAATCCCAGCACTTTGAGGGGCCGAGGCAGGCGGATAACTTGAGGTCAAGAGTTCGAGACTAGCCTGGCCAACATGGTGAAACCCTGTCTGTACTAAAAATACAAAAATTAGTTGGGCATGGTGGCACAAGCTTGTAATCCCAGCTACTTGGGAGGCAGAGGAGGGAGTATCACTTGAACCAGGGAGGCAGAGTGCAGTGAGCCGAGATTGCACCACTCTACTCCAGCCTGGACAACTGTGAGACTCCATCTCAAAAAAACAAATAAATAAATAAATAAATATAATTAAATACCTTGAAAGAAGCACTTGAAAATATGAAAAAGTAGCATGAATAAAAATCCAGGCACCACTCACACCTGTAAACCTAGCACTTTGGGAGGCCAAGGCAGGTGGATCACTTGAGGTCAGGAGTTCAAAACCAACCTGGCCAACATGATGAACCCTGTCTCTACTAAAAATACAAAAAAATTAGCTGGATGTGGTGGCGGGTGCCTGTAATCCCAGCTATTCGGGAGGCTGAGGCAGGAGAATTGCTTGAACCCAAGAGGCAGAGGTTGCAGTGAGCTGAGATCGCGCCACTGCACTCCAGCCTGGGCGACAGAGCAAAACTCCGTCTCAAAAAGAAAAAAAAAATTCAAACTGAGAATGACAATGGACAAGCAAGAATAAATGAAATGACAAATGCTTTAACTCAGAAAAGATGGAGAAGAAAAGACATATTGAAAATGAAGTTTTAAATTAAAGATACTCAAGTGAAAATAATTTCAAATGGAAATGGGCTTTAAAAAGGAAAGCCAGGGAAAAAAAGATGAAAAAAAAAAAAAAAGAAGTATAAAAAGCCAGAAAGGGCCGGGCGTGGTGGCTCACCCCTGTAATCCCAGCACTTTGGGAGGTGCATGGATCGCCTGAGGTCAGGAGTTCGAGACCAACCTGACCAGTATGGTGAAACCCCATCTCTACTAAAAATAGAAAAATTAGCCAGGCATGGTGGCGTGTGCCCGTAATCCCAGCTACTCAGGAGGCTGAAGCAGGAGAATTTCTTGAACCCAGGAGGCGGAGGTTGCAGTGAGCTGAGATCGCACCACTGCACTCCAGCCTGAGTGACAGAGTGACACTCCATCTCAAAAAAAAAAAAAAAAAAAAAAGCCAGAAAGAAAGTAGTTGAACTAGAAAAAAGGCAAAGAATACACCCATATTACATATAATTAGTGTCCCGGAAGAAGAAGATTAAAGCATTGAGACAGAAGTAGTGTTAAAAACTATAATCCTGCTGGGCATGGTGACTCATGCCTGTTATACCAGCACTTTGGGAGGCAGAGGTGGGTAGATCTCTTGAGCCCAGGAATTCGAGACCAATCTGGGCAACATAGCGAAACCCCATCTCTACAAATAGTACAAAAATTAGCTGGGCTTGGTGGCGTGCACCTCTGGTCCCAGATACTCAGGGGACTGAGGCAAGAGGCTTGCTTGAGTCCAGGAGGTCAAGGCTGCAGTGAACCATGATAGTCCACTGCACTCCAGCCTGGGTGACAGAGAGCAAGACTTTGTCTCAAAAAAAAAACAACAAAACAGCTATAATCCAAGAAGACTTCACTGAAATAAAAGTCTCGAATCTGTATATTGAAAGAGCTTTCCAGCTCTTTCAATCTGGAAAATTGACCTAGAATAATCAAGACATATCTTAGTACAACTATTAGACTTTAAAGACAAGGAAAAATCCTCAGTTCCTGAATCAAAAAGATGAAATAACTTACAAGGGCAACAGAAATAGTCTGGCATCAGACTTCTCAAAATCATCATGCAAAGCAGGATAACACTAACATCATTTTCAAGAAACTCAATGAAAGGAGGTGTGAAACAAAGATTTCATGCCAAGCCAAGATGTCAAATATGCAAGCTAGAGAAAAAAGGTTTGGAGTATAAGAACTTGGAATACTATACACACATTTGCTCTTCCTGAGGACTCTACAGAAAATGAGCTTCATGCGTCCAAGAGTAACTGGAGAAACATTGACAAAAACGTAAATGATGAACATTTCATATATTCAGTTATAGAACTAAGACAAACAATGGTGAGAATACATATAAAAGAATGGTATATAAACATTATGTCAGCTGGGCATGATGGCTAACACCTGTAATCCCAGCACTTTGGGAGTCTGAGGCAGGCAGATCACTTGAGCTCAGGAGTTCGAGACCAGCCTGGGAAACACAGAAAAACCACATCTCTACAAAAAATACAAAAAAAATTTAGCTAAGTGTGGTTGTGCACACCTGTAGTTCCATCTGCTTGGGAGGCTGAGGTGGGAGGATTGCTTGAGCCTGGGAGGTCGAGGCCACGGTGAACCGTGGTCACACCACTGCACTCTAGTTTGAGTGACAAAATGAGACACTATTTCCCCCCAAATTTTTTTTTCTGATAAAGTAGTAAGATTGCAACTAAAAGAAAATGGGTGAAGAGAGAGAAGGAAGAAAGTAGAATAATGTAGTTGACTGTTTCATAAAGTAATAGGTGTGAGTCAAAGGATACCATTTAAAATGAATAGGCTGAGTGTAATGGCTCACGCCTGTAATCCCAACACTTCAGGAGGCCAAGTTGGAGGGATCACTTGAGCTTGAGAGTTCAAGACCAGCCTGGACAACATAGTAAGACCCTGTCTCTACAAAAATAAAAAAATAAATAAAATGAGCAGGCTAGGCCAGGCACAGTGGCCCACATCTGTAATCCTAGCGCTTTGGGAGGCTGAAATGGGAGGATCACTTGAGGCTAGGAATTCAAGACCAGCCTGGGCCACATAGCAAGACCCTCTGTCTACAAATAATAAAATAAAATAAAAAATTAGCCCAACATGGTGGTACATGTCTTTAATCCCAGCTACCGGGGAGACTGAGGCTGGAGGATTGCTTGAGCCCAGAAGTTTAAAGTTTCAGTGAGCTATGGTCGTGCCACTGTGCTCCAGCCTAAGTGGCAGAGCAAGACCTTGTCTCTAACATAAAATAATAAAATGGACAGGCTAGATGATTTTAAAAATTTATGATAAAGGGGTTAACAGCAATATAAAAAGTCTAAAACTGTCTCATAAAGCAAAACTGAACTCTGTGCTGCATACTAGAAATATACGTAGAACAGTAATTCAAAAAGTATTATAATAAAGGGAGGGAGAGATTATTTAATGGAAACAATAAGAAATCAGAGGCTGCAGTCCTGATACCCAGTAAAGTAGAACTTAGGTCAGAAATTTGTATATTAGGCCAGAAACCTGTATATTTTTCCTTCCAGTTCTGTCAGTTTTTACTTTATGTATTTTATAGCTTTGTTTTTGGCACATACACATTTAGGATTATATTAATTAAATCTTAATGAATCGACCTCCCTATTGTTATGAAATGCCCCTTTTTATCCCTGATAATATTTTTCTGAAGTCTGCTGTGTCTTATATTAATAGTGACTCCACATTTTTATGATTAGATCATCCAGTCTAAATTGATGGTTGAAGTATTTAGACCATTAACATTTTTCACAATTATGGATAAGGCTGAGTTTAAGTCTACCATCTTGCTAATTGTCTTCTATTTGTTCCATCTGTCCTTGGTTACTTTTTTCTCTTTTCTTTCTTTCCTTTGTGTTCATTTTATCTCCATTATTGCCTCCCACCCCACATCATTTATACTGTTATCATACATTTTACTGCTTTTTCTTTTTCTTTTTCTTTTTTGAGATGGAGTTTTGCTCTCGTTGCCCAGGCTGGAGTGCAACGGTGCGATCTCGGCTCACTGCAGCCTCCGCCTCCCGGGTTCAAGCAATTCTTCTGCCTCAGCCTCCAGAGTAGCTGGGATTATAGGCATGTGCTACCACGCCCTGCTGATTTTATATTTTTAGTAGAGACGAGGTTTCTCCATATTGGTCAGGCTGGTCTCGAACTCCTGACCTCAGGTGATCTGCCCGCCTCGGCCTCCAAAGTGCTGGGATTACAGGCGTGAGCCACCGCGCCCAGCCCATTTTACTTCTATGTATGTTATACATCCCACAATACGTAGTTAGGATTTTTTTACAGCCTTAAAAATTCACGTACCGTGTAGTTACCTATTTAAAGTGTATTATTTGGTGTTATTGTTTTAAACAGTCCAGTGTATTTAAAGAAATTAAAAGATGAGACAGAAATGTATTTTGTATTTTCCCACATGATTTCCTGTTTTAAGTGCTCTTCTTTTGTGTAGATCTGAGTTTCTGTCTGGTATCATTTTTCCTTCTGCATGAAGAATGTCGCTTTAACATTTCTTACAGTGCGTGTCTCTTGGCAGCAAGTATTCTCAGATTTTGTTTGTCAGAAAAAGGATTTTGCTTTTAATTTTAAAAGATATTTCCATTGGATCTAGAAATCTAGCTTATATAGAACTCTAACGTGATAATGTGTTTCTTTCAGTATTTTAAAGATATCTTTTCTTTGTCTTCTTTTTTGTATAATTTCTGACTAGAAGCCTACGGTCTTAATCTTGTTTTAGTCTTAACTTTACAATTATGTACCTTGTTTCCCTAGTTCTTGCATATTCAAAATTTTTTCTCTAGCTTGGATATTTGAAAAATAGTTTGGCTGGATGTAAAATCCTTGGGTCATGCTTTCTTTCCTTGGGTTTCTTATAATGCTACTTTACTGTTACCTTGCTTTGTATTTGCTTTTCAGAAATAAGATGCCAGTCTAATTCTTCTGCCCTTGTAAGTGATTTAATCTTCCTCCTTGAAGGCACTGAGACAGTTTTTCTCTGACTGCTTTTCAAGATTTTCTCTTCGTTGCTAATTTTTAGCAGTTTTATTTTGGTGGGCTTCATTTTGATTTGTGTTTATCTCACTTGGGATTTGTTGAGCTTCTTGGATCTGTGGGTTTCTAGTTTTTATCAGATTTTGAACGTTTTTATATATTGATTTTTTCAGATTTTTTTTCTGACTCTTCTCTCTGGATTCCAGTTATATTTGATATAAATATAATTGTATTTGATATCGTCCCACAGGTTTAGTGGGAATCTATTCTGTTGCTGTCTTTTCAAGTTCAGATATTTCCTTCTACAGTGTCTAATATGCTATTAATCGCATCAAGTGAAATTTTCATTTTAAATATTGTGATTTTCATCTCTAGAAGTTTAATTTGGGTCTTTAAAAAATCTTTCACTTCTCTCATTATGTTTATGATTTCCTTTCCATTCTTGATCGTGTAGAGCATATTTTAAGTAGTTGTTTTAATATTCTTGTCTGCAGTAGTTTTGATTGTTTTGAGTCTCCTGTTTAAGTTCTTCTTTTTCATTTCTGTTTTTTTTCTTCTTTCTCAGCTGTGTGATCTGCTTAAGTTCTTTTTGAATATAGAGTATCCTTTACTCTAAGGCTAATTTGCTTCCTTTCCTAAAGCATAGTTCCTTTGGAGTCTCTGTTAACACTCTGTGAATTCATCTAGGTCTCTCTACTCTGACTGGTGTAAATTCGAACTGGTGGAATTTTAGTCCCTGTGTGAGTTCTGGGAGTTGTTTGGCCAGTAGCTCCATAGTAAACATTCTTTTCCTTGAAGTTGTTCTTGATTAGTGTCAAGAAGACTGAGTTTCACTCTGCATACACAGGTTGGTATTCAGCCAAATATTCAAGCAGACTGCTATGCAGATTTCTGGAGCTTTTCCTTTGTTCAGTTCCTTCCTCTCAAGTACTCTGTCCCAGAAATCTCAGCAACCTCAGCTTTTCGAACTCATTTCTCTCAGCTCAACTTGGTAAGATTTCTAGGCTCTGTTTGGGTGCTCCCTGAATTGCAGTTCACAAATTGCCTCCAGACAGAAAATCTGGGTAATAGTAGGACTCACATCATTTATTTTCCTTCTCTTATGGATCACTGTTTTGTGCTGCCTATTGTCTAGTATCTGAAAATAGCTGTTTTCTCTATTTTGTCCAGTTTTCTCATTGTTTATAGTAGGAAGGTAATTCCAGACTCTCAAACTTCCTCATAGGCAGAAGCAGAAGCAGTAGTTCTCTCAGGTACTCAAAATTGACATCACCCATGGGCAACACAGGAATATCATGTATTCCTGGATGTGATGCCCTTAGAAGGATACAGTGTCCACCAGACATGTGGCTCACACCTATAATCTCAACACTTTGGGAGGTCAAGGCAGGCAGATTGCTTGAGCCCAGGAGTTCAAAACCAGCCTTGGTAACATGACAAAATTCTGTCTCTACAAAAAAATACAAAATTAGCCTGGCATGGTGGTGCGCATTTGTAACCCCAGCTACTCAGGAAGCTGAGGTGGGAGGATCATCTGAGTCCGGGGGGGTCGAGGTTGCAGGGAGCCAAGATTGTGCCACTGTGCTCCAGCCTGGGCAACAGAATGAGACCCTCTCAAAAAAAAAAAAAAAAAGATTGGATGTGAGGGCGATCTGACTGTGACATCTGTCACCCCGTTGTTCACCAGGGTTGATTTGGCTGATCTGACTGGCTAGGCGGGTATCCCCTTCCTCCCTCACCACTCCATGTGTGTCTGTCGCAAACCTGCGTGCTCAGTCAAAGAGGATGACCATCCCCAATAGAGGAGGACTGGTCTTCAGCCAAGAGTATACGAGTAGCTGCACTCCCCTGCTAGAAACTCCAAACAAGCTCTCAAAAAAAAAAAAAAGGCATGACATGGTATCACTGTTTGTTCATGTGCTCTTCCAGTTTAGGCTGAATCTCATCATGAGGAAATAGCAAACCCAGTATGAGGGATGTTCTATTAAAAATAAGGCTAGGTCAGGTGAAGTGCCTCACACCTGTAATCCCAGCACTCTGGGAGGCTGAGGCAGGTGAATCACTTGAGGTCAGGAGTTCGAGAGCAGCCTGGCCAACATGGGGAAACGCCGTCTCTATTAAAAATACAGGCTGGGCACGGTGGCTCATGCCTGTAATCCCAACACTTTGGGAGGCAAAGGCGGGCAGATCAGGAGTTCAAGACAAACCTGATCAACATGATGAAACCTCTACTAAAAATACAAAAAAATTAGCCAGGCCTGGTGGTGCACACCTGTAATCCCAGCTACTCAGGAGGCTCAGGCAGGAGAATTGCTTGAACCTGGGAGATGGAAGTTGCTGTAAGCCGAGATGACACCACTGCACTCCAGCCTGGGCAACAGAGCAAGGCTCCGTCTCAAAATAAATAAATAAATAAATAAATGAATACAAACATTAGCTGCGTGTGGTGGCACACGCCTGTCACCCTAGTTATTTGGGAGGCTGAGGCATGAGACTTGCTTGAACCCGGGAGGCAGAGGTTGTAGTGAACTGAGATCACGCCACTACACTCCATCCTGGGCAACAGAGCAAGACTCTGTCTAAAAAAAGAAAAAACGAAAAAAACAGGCTGGGTGCAGTGGCTCACGCCTGTAATCCCAACACTTTGGGAGGCCAAGGAAGGAGGATTGCTTGAGCCCTGGAGTTCAATACCAGCCTAGGCAACATAGTGAGATCCATCTCTACAAAAATTAAAAAATTACCCAGGCATAGTGGCACACATTGTAGTGGGGAAGCTGAGGTGGGAGGATTGCTCGAGCCCGGGAGGTTGAGGCTGCAGTACGTTGTCATCACACCACTGCACTCCAGCCAGGACAACAGAGCAAGACCCTGTCTCAAAAACAAAAATAAAACAACCCAGGGTAGGGAGAACTGTATTCTTCAAAAATGTCAGTGTCATGTAAGAGAAAGCTGAGGACTTACTCCAGATTAAAGAAAACTAAAGAGACATACATGAAAACAGCATGTGATCCTGGACTGAATCTTGTACCTAAGTGAGGGAAGAAAAGCTATAAAGAACCTTCTTGGATCTGTTGACAAAATTGAATTAAGAAACGTATATTAGATAGAATATTGTATCAGTGTTACATTTACTGATGCTGATAATTGTACTCTGATTATTTATAAGAATGGTCTTATGAAATATACACTAAAGTATTTAGAACTAAAGGGGTTTAATAAATGCAACTTACTCTGAAATGGTTTCAGAAAAATATATAGAGAGAGGGATATTAAGTGATGAAGTGCACATTACAGAAGTATAACAGTTGGTGAATCCAGGTAAAGATTTTTGCATCTCTTCTGGAAGTCTAAATTTATTTCTAAATTAAAAGGTTTTTTTTTGTTGTTTTTTGTTTTTTTAAAAAACATAGTCTTGCTCTGTTGCCCAGGCTTGAGTGCAGTGGCGTGATCTCAGCTTACTGCAAGCTCCGCCTCCCGGGTTCAAGCAATTCTCTTGCTTCAGCCTCCCAAGTAGCTGGGACTACAGGCGCATGCCTCCACGCCTGGCTAATTTTTTGTATTTTTAGTAGAGACAGGGTTTCACCGTGTTAGCCAGGATGGTTTCCACCTCCTGACCTTGTGATCCACCCGCCTTGGCCTCCCAAAGTGCTGGGATTATAGGCATGAGCCACTGCACCCGGCATAAAAAGTTTTTAAAATATATTTGTACTTAGGAAAAAGATTTGGCAGTACCTAAACACATATATTCTATGACCCAGTAATTCCTTTTCTGAGCATTCATTTTCAGAGAAATGAATAAGTTATATTTAAATGAAAAAATAAATTATAAGTAAGAATGAAAAGCACTTTAGTTAAGCCCCCAGTCATGTTTAGCATTAATTTTGAAAATGTATACTTTTCCATTAGATCAAACTAAGTTATTATTTATTTATTTATTTTATTTATTTTGAGACAGAGTCTCACTCTGTTGCTGAGGCTGGAGTGCAATGGCACAATCTTGGCTCACTGCAACCTCTGCCTCCTGGGTTCAAGCGATTCTCGTGCCTCAGCCTGCAAGTAGCTGCGATTACAGGCGCATACCACCATGCCTGGCTAATTTTTGTGTTTTTAGTAGAGACAGTGTTCCACTATATTGGCCAGGCTGGTCTCAAACTACTGACCTCAAGTGATCTGCCTGCCTCGGCCTCCCAAAGTGCTTGGATTACAGGCATGAGCCACTGCGCCTGGCCTATTATTATAATGTCATAATGCAGTAGTTCTCAAAGTAGAGTCCCCAGACCAGCAGCATCAACGTGATCTAGTAACTTGTTAGAAATGGACATTTTTGTGCCTTCTTTTTTTGGACACATTTGTGTCCAAACCTACTGAATCAGAAACCTTGGGGTTAGGGTGTAGTAATATGTAGTTTAACAAGCCCTCCAGGTGATTCTGAAACATAAAGTGGAGAACTCCTACTATACTGAACATACTTTAGGAATTCCTGTTGCCTTCTAAAGCACTATTTCTTTAATTTTCAGCTTCTCCAATTTGGGAAATACCTGCTATATGAATGCTATTCTACAATCTCTATTTTCACTCCAGTCATTTGCAAATGACTTGCTTAAACAAGGTATCCCATGGAAGAAAATTCCACTCAATGCACTTATCAGGTAATCATTATGTACTGTACTTACTGAGTAACCTTTTACTTCATTGATTATAGAATAATGGAATTTTAGACACTCAAAAATTTTCTGTGCCATTATTAGTAATTATTCTTTAAAATATCACGCCATGTCATGTAAAACGTGCTAACTTTGTGTTTTTTGTTTTACTAGACGCTTTGCACACTTGCTTGTTAAAAAAGATATCTGTAATTCAGAGACCAAAAAGGATTTACTCAAGAAGGTTAAAAATGCCATTTCAGCTACAGCAGAGAGATTCTCTGGTTATATGCAGAATGTGAGTATTAATTGTTTTAAAACGTTTCAGAGGCCTGACACGGTGGCTCACGTCTGTAATTCCAGCACTTTGGGAGGCCTAGGTGGGCAGGTCACCTGAGGTCACTGAGGTCAGGAGTTTGAGACCAGCCTGGCCAACATGGCGAAACCCTGTGTCTACTAAAAATACAAAAATTAGCCAGGCGTGGTGGCATGCGCCTGTAATCCCAGCTTCTCGGGAGCCTGAGGCAGGAGAATTGCTTGAACCCGGGAGGCAGAGGTTGTAGTGAGCCAAGATCATACCACTGCACTATAGCCTGGGTGACAGAGCAAGACTCCATCTCAAAAAATAAATAAATAAATATTTATAAAAATAAATAAAATAGGCCAGGTGCGGTGGCTCACGCCTATAATCCCAGCACTTTGGGAGGCCACGGTGGGTGGATCATGAGGTCAGGAGTTTGAGACCAGCCTGGCCAACATGGTGAAACCCTGTCTCTACTAAAGATTAAAAAAAATTAGCCGGGCATGGTGGCACATGCCTGTAATCCCAGCTACTCAGGAAGCTGAGGCCGGAGAATCTCTTGAACCTGGGAGGCAGAGGTTGCAGTGAGCTGAGATCGCACCATTGCACTCCAACCTGGGCTACAGGGCAAGACTCTGTCTCAAAAAAATAAAAATAAAACAAATAAATAACGTGTAAGAAATCATGGAAATTGACATGATTTTAGTGTGTTTCTTGATTTTTATTTTAAAACGAGATTTGTGTATGTGTGTTCATTATAGATTGAAAAACCTGAGGAGAGGCTGGGTGCGGTAGCTCATGCCTGTAATCCCAGCACTTTGAGAGGCCGAGGCGGGTGGATCATCTGAGGTCAGGAGTTCCAGACCAGCCTGACTGATGAGGTGAAACCCCATCTCTACTAAAAATACAAAAAAATTAGCCAGGCGTGATGTCGCATGTCTGTAATCCCAGCTACTTGGGAGGCTGATGCAGGATAATCGGTTGAACCCTGGAGGCAGAGGTTGCAGTGAGCCGAGATTGTGCCATTGTACTCCAGCCTGTGTGACAAGAGCGAAAATCTGTCTCAAAGAAAGAAAGAAAGAAAGAAAAACCTAAGGAGCTGTAGTAAGATTAAATGTGACTCTTCAAATATAGATTTGATTTACCAGTGCAAGGACCTGGGCTGTGTTACCTGCGAAAATTACCTCTTTTAACAAAGTGAGGAGTTATTCATTGATTCATGTCAGTGCAACTGATATAATTATTAAGAATATATAATCTGTCATTTGTTTTTATTCACAAAATATGCAGCTCCCCAAATTCTTATAAGAATAAACCTGACATTGTTCACATATGTCATTGACTTTCAAGGGTTTTCACTGTATAAATTATAATGTTAATAAGCTATTATTTTTTGTTTGTTTTGTTTTTTGTTGTTGGTTTTTTTTTCTTTTCTTTTGAGACGGAATCTTGCTCTGTCACCCAAACTGGAATATAATGGTGCGATCTTGGCTCACTGTAACCTCTGCCTCCCAGGTTCAAGAAATTTTTCTGCCTCAGCCTCCCAAGTAGCTGGGATTACAGGGACTGCCACCACACCTGGCTAATTTTTGTATTTTTAATAAAGATGGCATTTCACCATGTTGGCCGGGCTGGTCTCGAACTCCTGACCTCAAGTGATCCGCCTGCCTCAGCCTTCCAGAGTGCTGGAATTACAGGTATGAGGCACAACACCCAGCCTCAGTAAGCTATTGTGACAAGAAATGTTTTTATCTGATTAAGGATATTGTTGTCTTATTAGGATGCTCATGAATTTTTAAGTCAGTGTTTGGACCAGCTGAAAGAAGATATGGAAAAATTAAATAAAACTTGGAAGACTGAACCTGTTTCTGGAGAAGAAAATTCACCAGATATTTCAGCTACCAGAGCATACACTTGCCCTGTTATTACTAATTTGGAGTTTGAGGTTCAGCACTCCATCATTTGTAAAGCGTAAGTAGTGTCTAAGAAATGATTTCCCTTTTTACTTCTTTATGGCAAGTGATTAAAATTCTTCTATGACATACCAAATGCCATGAATTCTTTTCTGTTTTTAAGACAGGGTCTCACACAGTTGCCTAGGCTCTTGGGTGCAGTGGCACAACCCCAGCTTATTGCAGCCTGGATCTCCTGGGATCAAGTGATCCTCCTACCTCAGCCTCCCGAGTAATGAATTTTTATCTCATCTTCCTTTCTACGTCATAGGGGAAATATAAACCAACAGATTATATCAAACCTTTTTTTCAGAGTCTTTTTCTATAGAAATGCTTGGGCTGGGCACAGTGGCTCATGCCTGTAATCCCAACAATTTGGGAGGATGAGGTGGGCAGATGGTTTGAGCCCAGGAGTTCAAGACCAGCCTGGGCAACATGGGGAAACCCCATCTCTACAAAATATATAAAAATTAGGCAGGTGTGGTGATGCACACCTATAATCCCAGCTACTTGGAAGGCTGAAGTGGGAGGATTGCTTGAACACTGCAAGTTGAGGCTGCAGTAAGCCATGATGACGCCACTGCACTCCAGCTTGGGCAACAAAGCAAGACCCTATCTCAAAAAACAAAACGAAACAAAAACGCGTGGCAGAGTGAGAACTGAGGAAAATTTAAATACTTTATTATACACTTTAGTATTGCCTAACACTTAATTTTAATCTATAGTTTTATTTTTTTCATTCTACATCTTTTCCATTGTAGAATATCGATTTGTTTGGGAATACTTGTTTTTCTTTGTCACTGAAAAAAAAACACAACTTATTACTTGCTTTTTTGGTTGAACCCCAAATTATTTTTACTAAAAATATTTTCTTTTACAAAATAGATCCGAATTTGAATTATTTTTACCTTTTGCAATGTTTTTCAACCGTATTTACAGTAATTATCCAGACTTTCTACATTAAATTAATTTCCATACTTATCAGGACTTCTATAGCCTGCACATCACTTTAAAATATTTTACTTTGACTAATCTTCCAGTCATCTGTAGTACATCTCTGAATAGATTTTTTTCAGATAAAATGTAATTCTTCACAGTCTCTATATAAGAGAGAATTATTTCTATGACTTTCACACATGACTTAATGCAGAATTATTGACTCACACATAGTCTTTACCCATCAGTGTATTAAGTATACCGCCCTATCATATCCTATTACTCTGTGCCACTCATAAGAAACCTGACTTTGTGGGAATTTTTTTCTTTTTCTTCCTGAAAATCTGTGGTATTCTTTATTTTTGAAATTCACAGTTTCACTAGTTTACATCTAGTTATTAACACTTTTTGTTACTTTTGCCTTAATATGGTAGAGCCTTTTCATCTGAAGCTTTGGGATTTTCTCCAGCTCCAGAAAACTATTCTCTAAATACTGCTTCTTTTCCATTCTGGAATTTTCTTCAGAAATATTCATAATCCATATTGGTTCTCCAATTTTCTGTCCTCCATATCTATTTTTCTCAGGCTGCTCAAAATGATAGTGTTCACTGACATCTTTTCCAGCTATAACATTCTAGCATTTTTAACCAGAATTTTAATAAAGACAGTTTTGCATCAGTAGTCTGTGACACTGCTTGCTTTCATTCAGGACTTCATCAGACTTTTCCCCCTGGTGGATAAATGGTTGTCTAAAGAAAATATCCGGATCTTGCAAGTATGGTTCAGCTTATAAAAGCTGGAGAGTCCAACAGCAGTTAATAATATAATAGCCATTTATCTCTTCCTTCTAATGCACCTTCCAGACAAAATTTGTGCAAGTCAAAGTGAGAGGCAAAGTTTTCAGTTATTATTTCATTGAATTATGGGCGTACCATTCAAATTTTTTTTATAGGAAAATTTAAGTTGCCTCAGTTGAAAATGACCACAGGCAGTCCACCAGCTCTGTCAGTCAGGTCTGGGGAGCTGGACAGTGGGATCATTCAGGCAACCCAGAAGAAAGCAGGCCATATCAGGCTGGGCATGGTGGCTCCCGCCTGTAATCCCAGCACTTTGGGAGGTCAAGGTGGGTGGATCACCTGAGGTCAGGAGTTCGAGACCAGCCTGGCCAACATGGTGAAACCCCATCTTCATTAAAAATACAAAAATTAGCCAGGCGTGGTGGTGCACACCTGTAGTCCCAGCTACTAGGGAGGCTGAGGCAGGACAATTGCTTTAACCTGGGAGGAGGTGGTTGTAGTAAGCTGAGATTATGCCATTGCACTCTAGCCTGGGTGACAGAGCAAGACTCCATCTCAAAAAAAGAAAGAAAGAAGGCCATATCAGAGTAGTAGCTTCTACACTGTGCCAGTGGTGTTAGGCACTTTAATTGTACAGCACCCAGATGTTGGATATGCAGTTGAGGTATGTGCATCAATGCAATAAATGGCATGGGTCATGGGATATAGGCACACCAGGTGGCTAGACCGGGCAGGTTGTGCCAGCTGGGTGGGGATAGGGTTCTGTTGCTTCATTAGTAATTTTATTTAGGACAGTTCTCTAACACAAAGTAGTTTCTGGCTGAAGGAAGATTCCACACACATTACCCTTTGGATTGTAATTTTGTGTGTTTATCCTCTGCCCCATCTTGCTATAGGTTTGTTTGGCCAGTTTGGCAAATGTACTTTTTTTAAAAAAAACCATTACAGTTTAAACTGACTGCTTTTTAATTAATATAAGGCAATTCAGTGTATTAATAATATATTCTTGAATATGAGGGAAAAAAATTTTTTTTTTTTTAAGACAGAGTCTTGCTCTGTCACCCAGGCTGGAGTGCAGTGGTGCAGTCATAGCTTACTATAGCCTGCTAACTCCTGAACTTAAGCAATCCTTCCCACCTCAGCATCTAGAGTAGCCAGGACTACGAGCACATGCCACCACACCCAGCTAATTTTTAAATTTTTTCTAGAGACGGGCTCTCACTGTGTTGCCCAGTCTAGTCTTGAACTGGCCTCAAGCAACCCTCCCACCTTGGCCTCCCAAATTGCTGGAGTTTACAGGCGTAAGCCACTGTGCCCAGCTTTGTATTTCTTTTTCTCAAACCTGACATCTCATATGTCTGCAAGTCCTTTCAGCTCTACCTTGGAAATACATCCAGAATGTGACCTCTTTTTACCACTTTCATTGCCACTACCCTACACCAAGCCACTATCATCTCTTGTTTGAATTGTTGCAGCATCTTTTAAATTAGTTACCATGTTTCTGCAGTCTGTTTTAAACACATAAGCCAAAGCAATCCATTTAAAATGGAAGTTAGTTCATGTCAACCTTCTGCTTATAAAATTTAAAAGCCTGTGACTTGTATAACCTCATGTAATCTGCCTCTCAGCACTCCTACCCCCATCTCTCTTAACTCTCTGTCTTCATCTTCTGTCACACTTTTCCCTTGCTCATTCTATTTTAACGAAATGAGCTTCCTTGCTTTTGTTCAAAAACACCAGGATCATAGTGCCTTAGAGTCTTTGCACTTACCATTTCCTCTATTTTGAATTCTCTTTCCCAAAATTCTCTTATTTTTATTTTTATTTAATTGCTGATTTGTTTCTGAGACAGGGTGTTGCTTTGTCACCCAGGCTAGAGTGCAGTGGCTTAATCACAGCTCACTGCAGCCTCAACTTCCCTGGCTCAAGCAATCCTCCCGCCGCAGCCTCCCGAATAGCTGGGACTACAGGTGCACACCACCATGCCTGGCTAATTTTTTTGATTTTTTGTAGAGATTGGGTTTTCCAATGTTGCCTAGGCTGGTCTGACACTTGTGGGCTCAAGCCAACTTCCCACTTCAGCTTCCCAAAATGCTGGGATTACAGGCACTAGCCCCCACACCTGGCCCCCATATTCTCATTTAGATAGTGCCCTCACTTTTCCAGATCTTTACATAAAGGCCATTTGTTCAGTGATGTGTTTTCTTGCCATGCTATCAGATACTCTGCTCTGATCTTTCATTTCCCTCTTCCCTACTATGTATTTCCTCTTTACATATATCACTATCTAACATACTGTATGTTTTACTAGTGTCGATTTCATTGTCTCTCCCAGTATAATGATGGCTTCATGAGAGGAGGTATTTTTGCCTTGGTTTATTCACTGCTATCACCCCAGTGCCTAGAACATTTTCTGGCATGTAGGAGGCCCTATTAGGTTTTCAGTGCTGTGTAAGAAATTGCTTCAAACATATTAGCTTAAAACAACACCCATTTATTCATCCCAGCTCTGTAGGTCAGAAAACTAAGCACAGTATGGCTAAGTTCTCAGCTCAGAGTATCATAAGGCTGAAATAAAGGTATTACTGCCTGTGCTCTCATCTGGAGCCCAGGTTCCTCTTCTATCTCATTAAGGTCGTGGGTAGAATTCAGATCCTATGGTTATAGGACTGAGATCCTCATTTTCTTGCTAGCTGTCCACTGGAACCACTCATTTCCTAAAGGCTGCCTATAGATCCTTGCCACATGGCCCCCTCATAGGCACTTCACAACAGTGCTGTTTGCTTTTTTCCAGGCTAGTAGGAAGTATACATCTTGCTTACTTCAGACTTCTCTTTTTATCCTCTAGACCCAGATTTAAAGGGCTCATATGGGCAGAGCATGGTGGCTCATGCCTGTAATCCCAGCACTTTGGGAGGCTGAGGCAAGAGGATCACTTGAATCTAGGTGTTTGAGACCAGCCCTGACAACATAGCGATACCCTCTTCTCTACAAAAAGTTTAAAAATAGCCAGACATGGTGGTGCACACCTGTAGTCCCAGCTATTTGGGAGGCTAAGGTGGGAGGATTGCTTGAGCCTGGGAGGTCGAGGCTGTAGTGAGCCGTGGTCGGGCCACTGCTCTCCAGCCTGGACAACAGAGCAAGAGCCTGTCTCAAAAACAAACAGAAGGGCTCATATGATTGGATCTGACCCATTCAGATAATCTCCTTTTTGATTCATTCGAAGTTAAGATTAGTAACCTTAATTATGTCTGCAAAATTCCTTTGGGCCAGGTAAAATAACATCATCATAGGCGTGACAGCTCATCATTATCACAGGTTGGTTCTACCCACACTCAAAGGGGACAGAAATATACAAAGTCGAGGGTCACCTTAGAATTCTGCCTGTTAGAGAGGCACTCAGTAAATGTTCGTTGAATCAAAGACAAATATACTCTTATGTTTTTCAGTCTTTAGCTGTAACAGTAGGGAATTAGGGTAGAAATATGAATATTACCTAAAGTACTGATAAGACAAAATGAAAAACGGTCAGCTAAAGCTATTTAAAAGAAATTTGCCTCTAGGTAAATTGAATATGGTGTTTTAATCTCTGAGCTCACGTTTTAAAATTCTATAAAAAATATATTTGATAACTAAATCATTCTGCTGCCTAATAGAAGTATCCACATATGCACATAAAGAACATGTAGATTATTTATTTATTTAGAGTTGGAGTCTCACTCTGTTTCCCAGGCTGGAGTGCAGTAGTGCGATCTCGGCTCACTTCAAGTTCAGCCTCCTGAGTTCACACCATTCTCCTGCCTCAGCCTCCGGACTACAGGTGCCTGCCACCACACCTGGCTAATTTTTTGTATTTTTAGTAGAGACGGGGTTTCACCGTGTTAGCCAGGATGGTCTTGATTTCCTGATCTCGTGATCCGCCCACCTCGGCCTCCCAAAGTGCTGGGATTACAGGCGTGAGCCATTGTGCCTGGCCAAACATGTAGAATTTTTAAAGCAGCATTACTTATATAGCCAACAACTGGAAACAACCTAAATGCTCATCAGTACTAACATGGATAATTGTAGAATATTCATACAGATTAAAGCTATACAACAACGAAAATGCAGTAGAGTCATGCGCAGCAGGCATAGTTAAATATTACAATCATGCTGAACAAAAGAGGGGCCAACTAAAAGAAAACATATTGCATAATCCCATTATAAAAGGTTCAAAAACAGGCAGAACATCTATAGTGTTGGAAGTCAGAATAATAATTGTCTTTTGGGACCAGGTGTGGTGGCTGGTGCCTGTAATCCCAGCATTTTGGGAGGCCGAGGCAGGTGGATCACGAGGTCAGGAGTTCCAGACTGGCCTGGCTAACATGATGAAACCCCATCTCTACTAAAATAGTAAAAATTAGCCAGGCGTGGTGGTGTGCACCTGTAATCCCAGCTACTTGGGAGGCTGAGGTAGCAATTGCTTGAAACGGGGAGGCAGAGGTTGCAGTGAGCTGAGATCGTGCCATTGCACTCCAGCTTGGGCAACAAAAGCAGAACTCCGCCTCAAAAAAATAAAAAATAGTTATTTTGGGGGAGAAGGAAGGAGGGTAGTGATTGGAAAAGGATATGTGCAAGGGGGCTTCTAGGGAGTTGATGGTGTTGTTCTGTTTCTTTCTTTTTTTGTTGTTTTTCTTTTTTTTTTTTTTGAGACAGAGTCTCTCTCTGTCGCCCAGGCTGGAGTGCAGTGGCGTGATCTCAGCTCACTGCAACCTCCGCCTCCTGGGTTCAAGTGATTCTCCTGCCTCAGCCTCCCAAGTAGCTGGGATTACAGGCACGCGCCACCTCGCCTGGCTAATTTTTGTATTTTTTGTAGAGACAAGGTTTCACCATGTTGGCCAGGCTGGTCTCGAACTCCTGACCTCAGGTAATCCACCCACCTTGGCCTCCCAAAGTGCTGGGATTACAGGCACCAGCCACCACACCTGGCCCTGTTTCTTGATTTGAGTGGTAATGAATGTGTTAACTGATAATTTATCAAGCTGTATACCTGCGACAGGTTCACTTTTGTATGTTATGTTATACTTTAGTTTTTTAAAGTTTGGGGGTTGCTTATATAAAGTTTAAAAATTGGCCGGGCGTGGTGGCTCACGCCTGTAATCCCAGTACTTTGGGAGGCTAAGGCAGGAGAATCACCTGAGATCGGGAGTTCGAGACCAGCCTAACCAACATGGAGAAACCCCGTCTCTACTAAAAATACAAAATTAGCCGGGCATGGTGGCGCATGCCTGTAATCCCAGCTACTTGCGAGCCTGAGGCAGGAGAATCGCTTGAACCCGGGAGGCGGAGGTTGCAGTGAGCCGAGATCGCACCATTGTACTCCAGCCTGGGTGACAAGAGCGAAACTGCATCTCACAAAAAAAAGATTTAAGTAAAGTACTTAAATACTTGCAATTGAGGTTTTATCTGTATTAATTTAATAAGGGTTAAAGTAAGCATGAAAAAGTCTTAAATGTATATAGTTCTTATGCCTGGTGATAGTGTGTCAGTACCATAAGTTCTGTGGAAGAACAGAGTTTCTCAGGTATATTTGTGTTTCTTGTGTATTGGTCTAAATGCTTACATGTCTCATTTTATTCTTACAGATGTGGAGAGATTATCCCCAAAAGAGAACAGTTTAATGACCTCTCTATTGACCTTCCTCGTAGGAAAAAACCACTCCCTCCTCGTTCAATTCAAGATTCTCTTGATCTTTTCTTTAGGGTAAATAATATCTTTTGTATTTTCACATAACTAAATTTTATATCATTGATAGTTGTATTTGAATATTTGAAGTTGGTTTCTTCAAGGCAAAGTTTCTTTTCTTTTCTTTTTTTTTTTTTTTTTTTTTTGAGACAGGGTCTCACTTTGTCACCCTGGCTATAGTGCAGTTGCACAATCTCAGCTCACTGCAACCTCTGCCCCCAGTTTCAAGCGGTCCTCCCACCTCAGCCTCCCCAAGTAGCTGGATCATGCCACCATGTCTGGTGAATTTTTGTACTTTTTGGTAGAGTCGTGGTTTCATCATGTTGGCCAGGCTGGTCTCGAACTCCTGACCTTAAGTGATCTGCCCACCTTGGCCTCCCAAAGTCCTGGGATTACAGGTGTGAGCCACCACACCTGGTTTTGGCAGAGTTTCAACAACATTATTCGTGGGGAAAACAGATGAGAAGTTTTTGTAAATTATTATTATTTTTAAAAGCTTGATAAATCTAATTATAACTCATTGAAAAAGAAAATTAATTGCTTAAATAGATTATAAATTTAACTCAATAGCAAGCATTTAGACAATCTTAGAAATAGTTTGTTGGCCAGGCGCAGTGGCTCACACCTGTAATCCCAGCACTTTGGGAGGCCAAGGCAGGCGGTTCACAAGGTCAAGAGATCAAGATCATCCTGGCCAACATGGTGAAACCCGGTCTCTACTAAAAATACAAAAAATAGCTGGGCATGGTGGCGTGTGCCTGTAGTCCCAGCTAATCAGGAGGCTGAGGCAGGAAAATCACTTGAACCTGGGAGTGGGAGGTTGCAGTGAGCCAAGATCACGCCACTGCACTCCAGCCTGGCGACAGAACGAGACTCCGTCTCAAAAAAAAAAAGTAGTTTGTTATTTGTAAACAAATATTAAAGTATTTGAAGTAACATATTCTAAAATTTGGTAACATGAAATTAAAACTGTAGATATCACGTAAGTTGGTATCCTAAGATCTGCAGAATAAGAAAATATTCTTTGCTCTTTCTTAGGTTGTACGTACCCTATTAGAAACAGGAAGAAAGAATCATGTTTATCCAAAGCTGTAGATACATATTTGTGTCTGTGATATACCGTTACAGATATTGAGAAAGTTTCTGGGGCATAATCAGACTGTTGTTATAGCAGTCCTTATAAACTAGTGGAAATTTGCAAGAATCGATTCCCCCTTGATCTGTCTAGTAGCGGTCCTTGTTGTGTTGTAGCAAATTGGCAGGATTGTCTTCCTAAGGTATAAAAAATAAAAATAAGGCCGGGCACGGTGGCTAACGCCTGTAATCCCAGCACTTTGGGAGGCTGAGGTGGGAGGATCACGAGGTCAGGAGATCGAGACCATCCTGGCTAACACGGTGAAACCCTGTCTCTACTAGAAATACAAAAAAATTAGCTGGGCGTGGTGGCGGGCGCCTGTAGTCCCAGCTACTCGGGAGGCTGAGGCAGGAGAATGGCGTGAACCTGGGAGGTGGAGCTTGAAGTGAGCCGAGATCGCGCCACTGCACTCCAGCCTGGGCGACAGAGCAAGACTCTGTCTCAAAAAAATAAAAAAAATAAAAAATCTGGCTGGGTGTGGTGGCTCCCACCTGTAATCCCAAGGTGAGGCCAAGGGAGGCCAATCACCTGAAGTCAGGAGTTCAATACCAGCCTGGCCAACACGGCAAAACCCTGCTTCTACTAAAAATGCAAAAGTTGGCCAGGTATGGTGGCACATGCCTGTAGTCCCAGCTACTTGGCAAGCTGAGGCACGAGAATCACTTGAACCCTGGAGGTGGAGGTTGCAGTGAGCTGAGATCACGCCCCTCCCTCCCACCCAGTTGCCTGGGTGACAGAGCAAGGCTCTGTGTCAAAACAAACAGACAAAAAAATCTGTTTATTAAATGGTGAACGTTGAGCTCTACCCAAAGATAAATACTCTGCTTTTCTTTTAGTCATTTTTAAACTATTCTTGTTATTATCATAGACTTTGAAGATTTTCCTATGTATTTTTACCCCCATTTTTTAAGGATTTCTTGTTTCAGTGTTCTCTAGGTAATGGTATTCACCCCAACTTTTCATCCTTTTAAAGCAGTTGTTCTTAGTGGGCTGTCACGAGAAGATTGAGTTCCATTATGCGAAAGGGGTAGCGTTACACCTAACAGACAAGAAATTCTACCTAACCTAAAGGTGATCTTATCTCTGCTATGGCCATATGGTAAAATCTGGATATACTCTTGGTAGTGGTTCATATGTGTCCATGGGGAAAAGGCTGAAAAGGCTAAGAATCTTCTATTTTAGAGTCTAGTTACTATCATAAATTTAGATATATTCTTGGTGAAAAAGGAAATTAGAAGTTCTGAAATGGGGCATGATATTATAGGTATATTTTGAGGATTGGGTCTTAATTTGGTAAGGCTCATGGCTCTAGACACAGAATTTTTAAAACTGGTTCAGAGTTGTCATTCCACTAATGGAACTAATAAGACTAGAGCAAATTATTTGCATTTAAGATACTAATGCTGATTCACCTTCATGCTTTATTTTTCCTTCTTTTTATAGGCCGAAGAACTGGAGTATTCTTGTGAGAAGTGTGGTGGGAAGTGTGCTCTTGTCAGGCACAAATTTAACAGGCTTCCTAGGTAATTTTTTTTTTTTTTTTTTTTTTTTGCTATGGACTAAAGAATTCCCAGGTACATTTAATTGCTTTTCAATTTTTCTTTTTAAAGTTCATACAAATATTACTGAATAAATGAAGGTTACCAGAATGGATTGGTAAAGAGGGTCAGGAAAGCTGAAATGTGCAGAGTGTAAGAGGGCAGAGAGCTAGAATGCTTTTGCATAAGAAAGGTGACCAGGTGTGATAGCTCACGCCTGTAATCCTAGCACTTTGGGAGGCTGAGGTAGGAGGATCACTTGAGTCCAGGAGTTCAAGACCAGCCTGGGTAACGTAGGGAAACCCCATCTCTACAAAAGAAAGAAATATATATTTAAAGGAAGGAAGGAAAAGCGTTTGAAATATTGAAGAGAAAAAGGGTCTTGAGAGTTCCAAGAAAATGGCAACAGAGGATACAGCTGCTGAGACTTTGGAATAATTATAAGAACTAGCTAGTCAATTTTTAATTCAGTAATGTGTAATATTCAGTTATATTTTGTTGCCCTGTGTTGTGCTGTAGTCTTTTTCTGTTATCCCATACTTTCAGTAAAAACCTGCTATAGACACATACACACATGTATATAAGAATAAAACAGGGAGTAATTTTTTGCAGTTTGTGCGTTCCTTCATTCTAAGGATCTTATAAATTAGTAAATTTCCTGTAATCATAAGATAAATTTTCTGATATAGGAATGAAATTAACTTATATTGTATCTGCTCTGTATAAACATAAAACTGAAGTAGTTACAAAAAATTATTATGTGGTTACAGGACAGCTTTTAGTTCTTTCCAAGAATAGATCGCAAACACCAAGGTTGTTATTAACATTAAGTATTTATGTAGCACTTTGCCTACAGAGTGCTTTACTTTCTTTTATTAGCTTCAATATTCTGTCAGTAAGTGTGGAATTTCTGGAACCTAGCCCCTAGAGACTAGTTCTTTTACATTTCATAATCTACTCCTTTCTAGAAAATGGGAGTTGGTTTTTTTTTTTGGTTGTTTGTTGTTGTTGTTGTTGTTGTTGTTTTGATACAGAGTCTTGCTCTGTCCCCCAGGCTAGAGTGCAGTGGCACGATCTCAGCTCACCGCAACCTCTGCCTCACGGGTTCAAGCGATTCTCCTGCCTCAGCCTCCCGAGTAGCTGGGATTACAGCTGTATGCCACCACACCTGGCTAATTTTTGTATTTTTAGTAGAGACGGGGTTTTGCCATGTTGACCAGGTTGGTCTTGAACTCCTGACCTCAGGTGATCCACCTGCCTTGGCCTCCCAAAGTGCTGGGATTATAGGCATAAGCCACCGCGCCGGGCCAAGGAAGTTGGTTTTAAAGAAATGACTTTATAAAGGCTGGGTGTGGTGGTTCACGCCTGTAATCTCAACATTTTGAGAAGCCAAGGTGGAAGGTTTGCTTGAGACCAAGAGTTCAAGACCAGCCTGGGCAACATGGTGAGACCCCCATCTCTACAAAAAATGTTGTGTTTTTTGTTTTTTTCAAACAGAGTCTCGTTCTGTTGCCCAGGCTGGAATGCGGTGGCATGATCTCGGCTCACTGCAACCCCCGCCTCCTGGGTTCAAGCGATTCTCCTGCCTCAGCCTCCTGAGTAGCTGGGATTACAGGAACGCGCCACCACGCCTGGCTAATTTTTGTGTTTTTGGTAGAGACAGGGTCGCGCCGTGTTGGCCAGGCTGGTCTCAAACTCCTGACCTCAGGTGATGTGGCCGCCTCGGCCTCCTCAAGTGTATAAATCATAGCAGTATTATTATATTGACTTAAGAGACTTATATTTTTGGATTAAGAGAATTTGTTCTTTCCTGTTTGTGAGTGGTTTGAGGCCAGGAAGGTGGGAGGAAGAATCTTAAGGCAAAGAATTGGTTGTTACCAGCTGTCACTAAGGAAATTATGTGTACAGTTAAAAAGACTAGTTTTGACCTCACATGCTGGATGTCTTTTCTCTTTCCCATTCTCTTGCTATTTGGTTTTTCAAGTGGGGGGAAAAAAATGCTAAGGGGAATTTTTCTCCTTGTTTTTCTTTCTTTTTTTTCTTTTTTTTTTTTTTCCTGGTAGATCACTTGTGTTAAAGGTTAATTTATTCCAGACTTATGTGATAGAAGCTTCTGTTTGTCAAATCCTAATATTAGTTTTGTTCTACTTTTGTTCAATTTAATATTCAAAGCCACTCTTTAAATCCTAATGATTAGTCTTGTTCTACTTTTGTTCAGTTTAATATTCAAAGCCACTCTTATTCTTGAAGAGCCTGATGCCATTATCAAATCTGTTCACAAAGTTGGGCCTCATCTTTGAAGATCAGTGATTTTGACTATCATTTTCCTGTTTTATATTACCTTCCCCCCCACCTTTTACTGCTCCATGCATAGCAGGGCTACACTATAGGCAGTGTGTCCAGAGTAGCCTCATATTACCTTTTATTTTGGTTAGGTTATTTGAAATTCTAGTTAAAATATTTAATTTTGACATTGGTTTCATATCAGTTGTGTCCTTGTATTCTCTCAAATTGTATATTTGAAGATCCTGAGTTCTAGCACGCTTTTTAAAGAGAACTACAATCTATAACTTCAGTTTGCAAATTTTTGTTTGTGGCTTCTGTGATGAAGGCATATATGGTAAGAATCAGTTTTTTATAGATCATTTTTGTGTGTGTGCCTAGAACTGAAGTTTATTCCCATAAGATGTTTGAAATTCAATTTTTAAAGTGTTCTTGTGGGTTGAGAAATATATTTAATCCATCAAGCAGAGATCGTGTTCTGTGTGAGAAGTGAAAAGGTTACCACAATTTTAACCACAAAGAATTCAGTGCTTCTAAAGAGCTAAAAGCCTTTACAGACCCACAGATCAGATTTGGCATGCAAATTTTTGTAAAGCTTTTTTCTAAATGGGGAAAAGTTTTGTATTTCCTCCTTAGCTTTCTACAGAGAAAGTACTTCTGAAAATAAAAGAATAATTCTCATCAAAAATCATCTTGAAGTAATTAATGTTTACCATCAAATATAAGAGCTATGTAACATTTTAATAGACATTATTTTACTAGTAGTGGTTATATAAAACCTATTGCTTTTTAAACTATGTAACAGTGAAGTAAATAATTTAAGGATTTAACCCAATATCAGTGCCAAATTTAACATTCTTGTCTGCTATATTTTATTTATTTGTGTTTTTTCTAGGAACATTATAAGTATTTTACCCAAACCACACTAATCCACCATTATTTGTATGCTTTTTACCTAGCCCAATGCCTGGCACTAACAGGTATTCAGTAAATATTCTTTGACGTGTCTTTGGTTTGGCCAAATGGATTTTTTAAATCAAAAGTCGTCTAACATAGAGTGATCTCTTTTACTGTAAGAAAGATACATGTATTATGTATGAATTAGTAAGGTTGTCATCTCCTGTTTTTCAGGGTCCTCATTCTCCATTTGAAACGATATAGCTTCAATGTGGCTCTCTCGCTTAACAATAAGATTGGGCAGCAAGTCATCATTCCAAGATACCTGACCCTGTCATCTCATTGCACTGAAAATACAAAACCACCTTTTACCCTTGGTTGGAGTGCACATATGGCAATGTAAGTCCTTGAGAGACTATGTCTTTATATTCCCTTTTGAAATAGAAAGGCTTTAGTATCTAATCAAAAGAATGACTGAATTACATAATATGACTCCAAGGTAAAATCAGATCAATGGCCAGATGCAGTGGCTCATGCCTGTAATCCCAGCACTTTGGGAGGCTGAGGCAGGAGAATCGCTTGAGCCTAGGAGTTTGAAACCACCTATGGCAACAGAGCATGACCTCATCTCTACAAAAAATAAAATAATAAAGCCAGCATGGTGGCACACACCTGTAGTGCCAGCTACTCGAGGCTGAGGTGGGAGGATTGCTGGAGCCTGGGAGATGAAGGCTGCAGTGAATGGTGATCAGAGCAAGACCCTATCTCAAAAAAAAAAAAAAAAAGAAAAGAAAAGAAAAGAAATCAGACCAAGAAGGAGATTTTAATTTTGCTTTACTTTGTTTTAGTGTTAAATCACTGCCTGAAGTAATTGAAGAAAATGCTTAAAATTTTTCCAAAGTTATTAGTTGCTTTTCATAGTGAGGTGCTTTTTTAGGAAGTGCTCTTGGTTAGAGTGCTAGAAGACAGTTTGATATACTTCTTGAATATGAGTCAAACTTAGGTGATAATAAGAGTCACCTAGACACTAAAAATACTGATTTTTGTGTTTTTTCCCTGGAAGTTCTGTTTCAGTAGGTCTGAGATAGGCGCTTAGGAATCAATATTTTTAGCAAATGCTTCAGTTGACTCTTCAGGACATGCAGATGTGAGAAACCCTATACTCAATGTTATGCCTTCATGCATATATTATCAGCAGTGTAAAGAACTTAAATGGCTCCTGAAATTTCTCAAGAAAAAAAGAAGTAATCTTTACTTTAGGTTTTTGCTTCATCATGTATGCTGGGAAAACCTTCGGACTTCTTTGAGTGTTCCCCTTTTTTCTACATACTTGCATTACTTTGAAGCCATATGTTATGTCATTCTTTTCTATACTTGAACACTAGTTTGGTAGAATAATAAAATTGTAGAACTTTGAAGATGGAAGAGATTTTAGAGGTTTTTGTCCAAACCCTTAAGAGGACCAAGGAAATTAAATGATTTTCCTAAAGTCATACAGTTAGTGTCTGAAAGAGCCACGTCTCATAGAAGTTTACACTAGTGTCTCAAGGGTCTACTAATAAAGGCATGTGCCCAGAGAGTCTAAGTGTTTCTGGTTTTTTCCTCTCACAGCTTTTCACGTTTTTGCTTGGTGCATACTACCTTCTGCTGGTAGAGCTATTACTCTTGCTGGCAGTAGTACTATGTCACACTAATAGTGTATGATCACAGGCCTGAAGCCAAGCTATCTGACTGTACAATTTGATAGCTTTTAGACCTTGCACAGATTCCTTGACTTGTCTATAAGAAAAACAATAGGATGGTTGTGAACATTAAATGAGGTAATAATATGTAGAGTTCTTAGCACAGTGTCTGACATCCAGTAAATCCTCCATAAATGAGAGCTATTACTTTAAAAGAACTGAGACAAGGTAATTTTCTCCAAGTTATTTTTTTCATATGTATTACACTTGACTTCATTTCCAGTGCTGTCTATGTAGATTATTGGATCAAGGAGAGCCTAGAGATGGTATTTTATTTTCTCTTTTGGCCTCTATTGCTAGTATTTTTTTTTTTTTTTTTTTTTTTTTTGAGACGGAGTCTCGCTCTGTCGCCCAGGCTGGAGTGCAGTGGCGCATCTCCGCTTACTGCAAGCTGCGCCTCCCGGCTTCACGCCATTCTCCTGCGTCAGCCTCCCGCGTAGCTGGGACTACAGGCGCCTGCCACCATGCCCGGCTGATTTTTTGTATTTTTTTAGTAGAAACGGGTTTTCACTATGTTAGCCAGGATGGTCTCGATCTCCTGACCTCATGAGCCACCATGCCCGGCCATTTTTTTTTTTTTTGAGATGGAGTCTCACTCCGTTGCCCAAGCTGGAGTGCAGTGGTGCGATCACCACTTACTACAACCTCCGCCTCCCAGGTTCAAGCAATTCTCATGCCTCAGCCTCCCGAGTAGCTGGGATTACAAGCACCCGCCGCCAAACCCAGCTAATTTTTGTATTTTTAGTAGAGACAGGGTTTCACCATGTTGGCCAGGCTGGACTTGAACTCCTGACCTCAGGTGATTCGCCCACTTAGCTTCCCAAAGTGCTGGGATTACAGGCGTGAACCACTGCACCTGGCCTATTGCTAGTAATTTAAAAAGTATTATAATTGTTCAATTTTCAAGAGGACATAAAAGGAATTATAGTAAGAATAATTCATTTTATAATTTAAATATATATCTTTAATAATTCATTTGTATACATTATATATTTTCTAATTTTCTGATAGTTCTAGACCATTGAAAGCCTCTCAAATGGTGAATTCCTGCATCACCAGCCCTTCTACACCTTCAAAGTGAGTTATATTTCTTATGTACCCAAAATCTGTGTTTAAGGTTTTGGCTTACCCTAATCTCCAAGATTGCCTCCCTGCCTTTTCATTATTGTTTTTCTTTTTGCATGATAATGCTCTTTATTACCTATACTTTTGAAACTTTCCTGAATTTGGTTTAGAATATATTGAAGGATATAACAAATTTTAATCAGTGACACAAGGTTAGCTCATCCTCTCAATATTCTGTCTTAAAACTTTTAAAAACTTATTATTGTTAATATGTAATACTTTCATCCTAAAACTCTAAAAATTAACTGAGGACAAGGGAGTCTAGGGATTTAAGGGATAAAATAACCCCTATTAGTCTAAAGCACTCTTCCTTAAAGATAGGCATGGAATCCCAAAACATTTTTTACCTGTTGTTAGCCAGTCTGGAACTTCTTGTCTTTGACACCGAATAGGAGTTGTTTTGAAAGGGGACAGGAAAACAAGCAAGCATTCTACAAATGCCCTATTTTTTTGTTTAAGACCAAACTTTATCCAAGGAGGGAAGCACATGCCTTTTTTGTTTGCTTTTTAAATATATTTCCTCTAAGATTTTACTAGAGGAGTTCCTGATTAGATCATTTCAATTGATTTAGTTGTCGTTTGACTTTTTAATTAATTTTTCTAAAAATTTGATGGCCCAAAGTACTTTTAGAGAAGAGACATTTTTGTTGTTTAAGGGCTTTTGGGGGGCTTATATAACCATAAAATGACATTTGGGAACTGCTATTTTCTTTTCCTCCTGTTAATTATTTTTCAGTGCAATTAAAACCAGATGACTAACATGACTAGAAATCTGAAATGGTACCGATATGAATACTCTTGCCCGTTCTCAAGATACAAATGAGCAATACCACTTGGCTGCTTAGAAAGTGAGCAAGTGATGCATTTACAGGATGAATATTTTTCATTGCTACAGGCAAGCTGCCTTCTGTAAATATAGTAATCATTAATGGAATGCACTCTATGTACCAAGTCACTGTAGTTTCAAGAAAGAAATGATTTCATTGGGCATCATTGTACCTTGGCATGGTCATCTGTTCTCCAGGGTCTGCTGGTATGAAAATTTGGGAGTTGATCAATAAAGAATGATTAGGCCCTAGAAGACCTGTCATGCCGATCAAACTTAAAAGAGGCTGAGTTATGAACCAGAATACCATTGATTCTTCTACAATGTCCTTTGTCACAAATTTACCCTGGTGCAATGGTAGCCAGGTGTCATCCTCCTTCAGCAAAATATTTATCTGGGTAAACAAATTAATATGTTCAGGTTTGCTTGGTGAGCGTGAAATCTGAATTGAGGAATTAAGATGGCTAATTGGCTATTATACTAAAAACCCTTTTGAGCACATGGGAGGCTTTTCAAGTGTTCAGGTTGGAGTGCAGTGATATCCTGGCTGCTCTGAGCCACACACTATGTTTGGGCTTATCACTGACCACTTGCCTCTTTTCTTTGATCTACATTGCTATGTAATCTTCCTGATTTCCACTCTGGCCTCTTATTTCTTGGTGCCATTAGTCTATATGTTTATTTTCAGTTTTTACATTCAGGTTAATTGTATTTTCTAGTTTTCATTTTATATATATTTTTTGTATTGCATATGAATTTGTGTTAACCTCCATCAAAGAAAGTTCTTGTTCTTTGACCTTTACCACTTTTTTCTTTAGTTTATTTTCGGCTTACCTAGAAGACAACACAGTAACACCTTACTTATCTGGCATCATTAAAGGATTCCACATAAGTGAATTTTTATATAACTGAAGCTTACCTTTTAACGATTTATCTTTTAAAAGATTTTTAACAGTTTGGATGAAAATGTTTCTAAAATATGTTACACTGTTCCTTACATTCTTAAAATAACTAAGGATAATTTAAGTATATCTTAATGACTTAGAATCAGCATTTTAAGTATCAATTATTGCACTGTGTTTCAATATGATATTGCCCTCAGAGGCTCTTAATTATTACAAGATAGTTTGCTTTTACATTAAATGACTTTATAGTTCTTGTTTGCCTTTCTTGTGGTTATTCTTTCTCATTTCTTAGCTCTCATTTCTTGATGAACTTGATACACTATTTTATTCACCATTTCCTGGGAAAGAAAGGGTCCCTCTAAGTACATGGGCTTTGGAACTGCCTTCCTCAGAAGCCTTTTTTCTTACTTTGGAATCCCTATGTTCTGGAAAGTAGAGGTTGCCAGAAGTCTGACCTACAGATAAGTGGATAAGTGGAATGTTACTGTTATTTTTAAAGTGCATGGATCATAATTTAAAAGATCACAAATTAGTCTTCATGCACTTTGTTGTCAAAAACATTTATTCATTGCTATGCCTGCATGAATTCAATAGCATAATTTATAAAGACAATAGCAAATTTCATTGGGGTTGATCATTAAAAGAAAAAAGGCACAACATGATTAGTTTACTGATGATACGTAGTAGCATAAGAGTTGTCCAGTTTTCAAAGCATGGCTCTTTTGGAGTGGGGCAAAGGTAATGCTGAAATATACCTCTTTTGATATATCTTTTTTTTCTGTTAAGTAATTTTCCGTAATGGAAAAGCAATTTGTTTTGATATTTTTACAATAAAAGAATAACAAAGACAAATGTTTATCAGGCTTTTTTTTTTTTCCTTAAATTACAGGAAATTCACCTTCAAATCCAAGAGCTCCTTGGCTTTATGCCTTGATTCAGACAGTGAGGATGAGCTAAAACGTTCTGTGGCCCTCAGCCAGAGACTTTGTGAAATGTTAGGCAACGAACAGCAGCAGGAAGACCTGGAAAAAGTAAGTAATATTTTCTTAAAACATCTGACAAAGATTTGTTTATCTCTTACTGTCCAAACAAATGTCTTTCATAACCATCATCAAACTAATTAGTTTTAAAGAAAATGCCTTCTCTGGCTACAGAAATCAGTCTGTTTACAGATGGATCAAGACTTACGAGAAATTCGTTGTTCTAAACAAATTACTTTCTTTTTTTGCCCTTCAAAGCTACTTTTGCATATTCGTCCTCAAATAATTACTTGCTTTATTTTGGTAGCAGTTTTTTAAGACAGGGTATCGCTCTGTTGCCCAGGCTGGAGTACAGTGGTGTAATCACGGCTCACCACAGCATCGTTCTCCTGGGCTCAAACAATCCTCCTACCTCAGCTCCCCAAGTAGCTGGGACTACAGGCATGTACCACCATGCCTGGCTAGTTTTTAAAATTTTTTGTAGAGACAAGGTCTTACTGTGTGACCTAGGCAGGTCTAAAATTCCTGGGCTCAGGTGATCCTACCACCTCAGCTTCCCTAAGTGCTGGGATTACAGGCATGAGCCACTACTCCCAGCCTGTAGCAATTGTTTATGTGAGGGAACTGTAGTAAACATTTTACATCAACAGAGCAACCAAGTAATCTAATTGTTTAAATTATGGATTTATTAATTGGATTAATATATAGATAATTATATGGATAGTTAATACTTTGAAGATCTAAGCTTTTCTAGGTGTTTGCATTATCTTATGCTACTGTATTTTATTTTAAGCCTCCCTTTTAAATAATAGAATTATTTTAGTAGTTATTTTTGTTCTGTTTCCTATCTTACTTTAAAGCCAGAGGTAGTTTGTGGTTGTTCAACTTGAATGAGAAATGTGTGAAAGTCCAAAATTCTCCCAGAAAACAACTTTTGAATATTTACATAATCTTTTTTTTTTTTTGAGACGGAGTCTCACTCTGTTGCCCAGGCTGGAGTGCAGTGGCACGATCTTGGCTCACTGCAGTCTCTATCCCCCAGGTTCAAGTGATTCTCCTGCCTCAGCCTCCTGAGTAGCTGGGATTACAGACGTACACCACAACATCTCCCTAATTTTTGGGTTTTGGTTTTTTATTTAATTTATTTATTTATTTATTTTTGAGACAGACTCTTGCCCTGTCACCCAGGCTGGAGTGCAGTGGTGTGATCTTAGCTTGCTGCATCCTCCACCTCCCAGGTTCAGGCGATTCTCTGTCTCCCTAGTAGCTGGGACTACAGGTGCGTGCCACCATGCCTGGCTAATTTTTTTGTATTTTTAGTAGAGATGGAGTTTATCCATGTTGGCCAGGCTGATCTCGAACTCCTGGCCTCAAGTGATCTGCTGGCCTCGACCTCCCAAAGTGCTGGGATTACAGGCATGAGCCACCACGCCCAGCCTAATTTTTGTATTTTTAGTAAAGACGGGTTTTCGCCATGTTGGCCAGGCTGGTCTCAAACTCCTGACCTCAGGTGATCCACCGCTGGGATTACAGGCGTGAGCCACCTCGCCCAGCCTTCTTTACATAATCTTGATGTCGTGTTTATTTTTCTCATTTATTGTTAATAAGATCAGCTAACATTTATAATGGTGTAGTAGGCATAATGATAGAATATTTACTGTATAATCTATATATATCTGGAAGAAAATAAATTGAAAATACTTAGAGTAATTATCTCTGAGTAATCTATTTTGAATGAATTTATTTTATTATTTTTATGTATTCTCCAAATTTGTACAAAATATATACTTATTTCAATCAAGAAAAAATAATGTATTCTTATGTATTTATTATTTTTAAAGTTAGACTCACCATTTAGTTTATATATTGGTTATTGATTGTTAAATAACCCAAAGCATCAAAGAAAGGAAACTTTTTAGAAATAAAGTTGCTACTTTAAATACTAATTAAGATTGCTATATTTGTAGGTATTCTGGTTTCTTCTAAAAGTAACTCTCTTCTTCAGGATTCAAAATTATGCCCAATAGAGCCTGACAAGTCTGAATTGGAAAACTCAGGATTTGACAGAATGAGCGAAGAAGAGCTTCTAGCAGCTGTCTTGGAGATAAGTAAGAGAGATGCTTCACCATCTCTGAGTCATGAAGATGATGATAAGCCAACTAGCAGCCCAGATACCGGATTTGCAGAAGATGATATTCAAGAAATGCCAGAAAATCCAGACACTATGGAAACTGAGAAGCCCAAAACAATCACAGAGCTGGGTAGGTTTAATGAAGATTAAACCTCTGTGAAACAAAACATAACTCTTTCAAAGTTTTGTAGTGACAAATAACCTCCAAATAACGGGAGATAAATAGAAAAATTAGCTGAGCATGGTGGTGTGTGACCCTAATCCCAGCTACTCGGGAGGCTGAGGCAGGAGAATTCGCTTGAACCGGGAGGCGGAGGTTGCAGTGAGCCAAGATTGCACCACTGCACTCCAGCCTGGGCGACAGAGTGAGACTCCTTCTCAGATAAAAACAAATAAAGGGAGGTGAAGTGGATCTGTATATAACAGGGTTGATGGCATTTTCATTCTGTATTATAAAAAGCTTTGAAAAATGAGAAGCAAATATTGTGACTAGTACACAGATACTAGTGGTAAAGTATGCCATATCCCTTTAGGTATACATCACTAGTAAAACTAGCCTTCTTATGTGCATTTAATATATGTTTGTGTCAGTTCTGAGGTGCTTTTCTCACCACTGCTATTTCAGAAATTCATATAATTCTTTCATTTTCCTATATCTGAATTTACACCAGGTGTTAGGGTATAAATAATTCAAGTTCTCCATTCCCTGCACAATGCATTGCTTTTTCTATGTTTAGATGTATTTAGATACACAACTACTTACCATTGTGTTACAGTTGCCTACAGTACTCAGTACAGTAACATGCTTTACAGGTTTATAGCCCAGGAGCTATGCCATGTAGCCTAGATGTATAGTCAGCTATACCATCTAGGTTTGTGTTGAATATACTCGAAGATGTTCGCACAAAGACGAAATCACTTAACCATGCAATTTCTTAGAATGTGTCTTCATCATTAAGCAACACATGACTGTACATAAAATGCTATACTATTTTTTTGGTAATTTTTACTCATTTTTTGTTATCTAAAGCTATCAGTGGGAACAACAGAGCTGAGCCATCCTGCCTTGTACTGTGGGTGTTTTGAAATTTTTAGGTAGATAACTTTTACTATCTTTTCCTATGACCAGTTCAAATTTTTCTCTCTTGATAGCCCCAAGATCTAGACAACTATATATTGCTAATGTGTTTCAGGTACACCAGCCATAGGATTTTGGAAATGAAGAGAATACTAGAATATCAGGAAATTATTTTCTACATTCTCATAGTTGGAACCTCTTCAATTATGAATTATTTTGCATGCAAGTAAAATAAGAATTAGTATATCCCCATTTAACTGGAAGCAAAAACGTGATGGTTTTTATACACAGGCATTACTTTTTTCCTTCTTGATACAAGTATCATTATGCAGTCCCCTTACTACATTTATAATCACTGCCCTTAGGTATCCCTGGTTAATATTAGTGCTTTTGTCCCTTCCTGATTTATTTCCTGCTTTCTGCTCTCCTTTTCAGTTCTTTGCCCAGTCCTATAACTTCCTAAAATTAACAAAGGGACAGCTACAGGAAGAGGTAATATGTGGCAATGTCCTATATCATGCACTTCAAGGGAGCTACAGTTTTTATAGCCTGAAAGGAGACAGAGTAGTTGGAAATGGCAGTGGGTAGTAAAGAGGAAACCCACCCTGTCTCCAGGCTCTGGGGTATGGGGAAAAAAACAGCCTGTACTTAAAAGAACACTAGAAAAATCCATAATGGGAGGCTTTAGAAGAAAAACTGGCCCTGACTAAAGACTAAAGAGACCTGACAACCAAATGTAGTGAGTAACCTTAGGAGTCTAGGTTAGAAAAAATTCTACAAAAAATATTTTGGAAACAACTGGAGAAATGAGAATGTGGGCTATATATTGGAATTATAAATAGAATTACTGTTAATATTCTTAGATGTGATAATTGTTATGTAGGAAAATGTGCTTTTAATTAAGAGATTCAGGCTGGGCTGGGTACGGTGGCTCATGCCTGTAATCCCAGCACTTTGGGAGGCTGAGGTGGGTGAATCACCTGAGATCAGGAGGTCAAGACCAACTTGACCAACATGGTGAAACCCCATCTCTACCAAAAATACAAAATTAGCCGGGTGTGATGTTGCATGTCTGTAATCCCAGCTACTTGGGAGGCTGAGGCAGAAGAATTGCCTGAACCCAGGAGGTGGAGGAGGTTGCAGTGAGCCGATATTGCACCATTGTACTTCATCCTGGGCAACAAGAGCAAAACTCTGTCTCAAAAAAAAAAAAGAGAGAGAGATTCAGGCTGACGTGCTTTGGGGTAAAGTATTATAATATCTGCAATTACAGTGTATTCACATGGCTCCATAGAAAAGAAAAGTGTGAGTGTGTGTATATACACACTCAGTCTCCAAAGACAGCATCTAGTGAACCGTGGCTACCAGTATGCATACTCTTGTGTAGACCTCTTCACAGTGAATTTGGGAAGGCTATGTGAGTGCAATAAAATGTGATTGAATTGATTCTGTGCCAAGTTCGTGATTAAACATTAAGATGGCCTGGCAACTTCCCCTTTTGTGCTTTTGGGAACCCTAAGCTGCTACGTAAGAAGTTTGGCTGCCCTGCTGGAGAGATCACATTGCGAAGGAAAGACTCTTGAGATCACCAAAAGAAAGAGGATATCTAGCCATCCCAGCTAATCTTTCTTTTTTTTTTTTTTTTCCTGGGGCGGACCAAGTCTCTCTCTGTCACCCAGGCTGGAGTGCAGTGGCATGATCTCAGCTCACTGCAACCTCTGCCTCCCAGGTTCAAGTGATTCTCCTGCCTCAGCCTCCCGAGTAGCTGGGATTACAGGCGCCCGCCACCACACCCAGCTAATTTTCTTGTGTGTTTTTAATAGACATGGGGATTCACCATGTTGGCCAGGCTGGTCTCGAACTCCTGACCTCAGGTGATCCACCTGCCTCAGCCTCCCAAAGTGCTAGGATTACAGGCATGAGCCACCACGCCCAGCCCCAGCTGATCTTTCTAACCAACACCACAAAGGTGCCAAGGGAAAAAAAAAATCAAGGGAGACATGTTTTTTGGCCTGAGCAATTGGATAGATAATGGTACCATTTGCTGATATGAGGAAGGCACAGTTGGTGGGACAAGGGAGGAATAAAAATTAAACAGGCAAATGGAGATTTCACCTAGGCATTTCAATATACAAGTTTAAAGCTCAGGGGAGAAATTCAGACTAGAGATATGAATTTGATATTTCATCAGTTTGTGAGGCTATAGTAATACATGAGATCACTTAGAGAGCTTAAGTAGAAAAGACAGTCCAAAGAAGTGTCATGATCACTTTCTTTCAGCAGCCTGTTTTCTCAGTTTCTGATATTAATTCCAAAAGTCTTTTCTTCTACCCTATTTTGGTTGCCCACTTACAGAAGTCATTACCCTAGACCAGTGCTTCTCAAAGTGTGAACTTAGATCATCAAATATAATCTGTGAACTTCCTGGAAATGCCAATTATCTCCTTCCTCTTTTCTTCTGTCGCAGTAGCCTGACAAAACCCCAACTCCCAACTCAACTAGCTACTTTTTCCATACCTGCACCCAAGCTGGTGAAGATTGCTAAAGAAAATCACAAAACTGTGTTCCGTGGACTTTCCTCAAACTCAGGACTACACTCTTAAATGGGCACTAAATGCTACTAGTCAGTTTTGTAATACTTTCTTATTTGTTTTCTCAGTCTCCATGATGTCTTCCTGAAATCTGTACTTATTTCTCTCTTTTTCTCCCTCCCTCTCTCCCTCCCTCAAATATGCCAAGGCCATTCTCATCTCAGAGCTTTTGCACTTAAGGTCCTTGAGGGCAGGCACCATCTTGCTTTAATTATCACTATATCCCCAACTTCTACAACAGTGCTTGGCACATAGATTCTCAATAAATATCTGTGACTTAACAGTTGGGCTGTTTTGTGAATCAGCTGAGGAGGGGCAGGAAGGCAAAGTAAGGTTTTACAGTCTCTAGACACTAGCCAGAAGGAATAGTGTGTACAAAGACTCAGAAATGAGAAAGCCCACAGCAAGTTAGTGGACCTAAAAGAAAGTTCAGAATGATCGGCATGACTGGAGCATATTGTTGAAGGGGAAATGCAAAAGATGAGACTAGAGAGCTAAGTAGTCTCTGGTTTTTGCATGGCCTGAAGCCATGTTTAGGAATTTGGACTTTTGTTTCAAAGGCATTAGGAAGTTATTGGATATTTTAAGCAAACAATTATTTGATAAGGATTTATGTTTGAAGAAAAGATCATTCTGGCTACAGAAGTTAGAAAAAAACAGTAATACTTGAGACCTCTTAGGAAATTATTGCAGTAGTCCAAACAAGAAGTTAGTGGTGTCCTAAGCCAAGGTTTTGGCTTGAAAAAAAAAGTTGATGGATTCAAGAGATGCTTAGGAAATAATAATTTATCTTATGTGAGGAGTGAATGAGAGGGAGAAGTCACATATGATCCTCAGATATCTGTCTTTTAAAAGAAACTGTGGAAAATTATCTTATTCACTGAAATATAGAATATCAGGAAGAGAGTGGGTTTCAATTAGGGCGTGGGGAAGAAGCAAACAGTATATTCAGTGGAAGAATGTTGAGTTAAGGCCACACGCAGTGGCTCACGCCTGTAATCCCAGCACTTTGGGAGGCTGAGGTGGGTGGATCACGAGGTCAGGAGATCGAGACCATCCTGGCTAACATGGTGAAACCCCGTCTCTACTAAAAATACAAAAAATTAGCCAGGCATGGTGGCGGTCGCCTGTAGTCCCAGCTACTTGGGAGGCTGAGGCAGGAGAATGGCAAGAACCCGGGAGGCAGAGGTTGCAGTGAGTCGAGATGGTGCCACTGCACTCCAGCCTGGGCGACAGAGCAAGACTCTGTCTCAAAAAAAAAAAAAAAAAAAAAAAAGAATGTTGAGTTAAACACATGAATCCCCTTTGATCCATTGTACAGTCCTTAAAAGTGGATTATTATTTCATGGCCATGTTTGTCCCCATAGATTTTTAAATACGTTCTGTATCTGTCTGATAATCTTATCCTGAAGACAAATGTATATTGACTTTAGCATCTTCAAGCAAACTTCCTTGATCTCCTTTCTAACACATGGATTAGTTACTAGTATAATCCAGGATTGTCTGAGGTACATTGAATCATTGAGTGTTCAAAATTATTGGTTAAGAAAAATTATTCTGTCACGTTTTTGAGTACGTTTTGATAATAAAAATAATAATACTCATTTTATACTCTAAAATAGCAATATCAACCCCCAAGTCTTCCTTCCACTTGAAATGCTCATCATCAGCTAACTTTGTATATCTCAGTTCCAAATTTCCAAAACAGATAATCTGATTGGTTGAGTCAAATAATCCATTCCCAGTTCAGCAGGCGTAGGTAGGAGGGACAGGCAGGGTCATGTAGACTTCCAAGCTGCCCCTTCTAGGCCATGGCAAGGGTTGTTTCTCCAATAATAGAAGAAAGGAAGAAATTATTGACATCTCTAGGATAATTGTTTTTTGTGTGTTTAATTGGGATTATCTGTAATATAATTTTTCTGAACAATTGGGATTTTTCCACCAAATAAATTCTGAGTCTCTTTTCCTCTTTTAATAAATATTCACTCAGCAATTCAGTACAACTCAAAATGCTAACTAGTTGCTGACTTAGAATCTAAAGCCAGGATGCTGTAAGCTTCAGGGTTACCTGTGCCACAGAGAAATACAGTATTAGGAGCCGGGCGCAGTGTGGCTCACACCTATAATCCCAGCACTTTGGGAGGCCAAGGCAGGTGGATCACCTGAGGTCAGGAGTTCAAGACCAGCCTGGCCAACATGGTGAAACCCTGTCTCTACTAAAAATAAAAAATGAGCCGGGTGTGGTGGCACACGCCTGTAATCCCAGCTACTTGGGAGGCTGAGGCATAAGAATCTCTTGAACCCGGGAGTTGGAGGTTGCAGTGAGCCGAGATTGTGCCACTGTACTCCAGCCTGGCCAACAGAGTGAGAGTCGGTCTCAAAAAATAAAATAAGATAAAATACAGTACTAGGGCAGGTAAAGAGCGTATACAAACTCAATAACAGTATGTATAGCATGAGTATATAAAGGTAATTCTCGTTAGCCAGTTAAATACTTCTTGATGAGGAGGTTTACTTTAGTAATGTTTGATATAGTTAACGCTTGTATTTGTATTGAAAATTATCGTGGGCCGGGCATGGTGGCTCAATCCTGTAATCCCAGCACTTTGAGAAGCAAAGGCTGATGGATCACCTGACGTCAGGAGTTCGAGACCAGCCTGACCAACATGGTGAAACCCCGCCTCTACTAAAAATACAAAATTAGCTGGGCATGGTGGTGCATGCTACTTGGGAGGCTGAGGCAGGAGAATCCCAGCTACTTGGGAGGCTGAGGCAGGAGAATTGCTTGAACCCGGGAGGTGGAGGTTGCAATGAGCCACAATCACGCCCTTGCACTCCAGTCTGGGCAACAAGAGCGAAACTCCATCTCAAAAAATAATAATAATACAAAAATTATGAAATTGCCGGGTATGGTGGCTCACGCCTGTTAATCCCAGCACTTTGGGAGGCCGAGGTGGGCGGATCACTTGACGTCAGGAGTTCGAGACCAGCCTGGCCAGCATGGTGAAACCCCATCTCTACCAAAAATATAAAAAATTAGCCAGGTGTGGTGGTGAACACCTGTAATCCCAGCTACTCGGGAGGCTGAGGCAGGAGAATCGCTTGAACCTAGAAGGTGGAGGTTGCAGTGAGCGGATATTGTGCCGCTGCACTCCACCCTGGGCGACAGAGCAAGACTCAGTCTTAAAAAAAAAAAAAACAAAAAAAACATGAAATGTTATTGCTCTAACAATTCAGATAACCAGAAAAAAATCATAACTATTCTGTTTATTTTAGCTAGCCGTAGTCTAGAAATTGAGAAGGAACAGGCCGGGAGGGGTGGCTCACGCCTATAATCCCAGCACTTTGGGATGCCAAGGCAGGTGGATCACCTGAGGTCAGGAGTTCAAGACCAGTCTGGCCAACATGGTGAAACTCTATCTCTACTAAAAAATACAAAAATTAGGCCAGGCACGGTGGCTCACGCCTGTAATCCCAGCACTTTGGGAGGCTGAGGTGGGCGGATCACAAGGTCGGGAGTTCGAGACCAGCCTGACCAAGATGGTGAAACCCCGTCTCTACTAAAAATACAAAAATTAGCCGGGCGTGGTGGCGTGCACCTGTAATCCCAGCTACGCGGAAGGCTGAAGCAGGAGAATCGCTGGAACCCTAGAGGCAAAGGTTGCAGTGAGCCGAGATCGCGCCACTGCACTCCAGCCTGAGCAACAGAGCGAAACTCCATCTCAAAAAAAAATAGATAGATAGATAGATAGATAGATAGATAGATAGATAGATATAGATTAGCTGGGCATGGTGGCGGGCGCCTGTAGTCCCAGCTACTCAGGAGTCTGAGGCGGGAGAATTGCCTGAAAGAGGTGGAGGTTGCAGTGAGCCACTGCACTCCAGCCTGGGCAGGGGGAGGGGGAAGGGAGGAGGGGGGAGGGGATTTCTTACCTTCCTGAATGTTTTAAACACACACTGTATATTGCCATACACTCTTGATTTAGATATATACAATGCTTGTTTGATTATTAATGTTTAAACACATGTTCAACATACAGTGTAATAAATGGGGAAAATCGGCGAGGCACAGTGGCTCACACCTGTAATCTCAGCATTTTGGGAGCCCAAGGCGGGCAGATCACCAGAGGTCAGGAGTTTGAGAGCAGCCTGGCCAATGTGATGAAACCTCATCTCTACTAAAACAAAAATTAGTTAGGTGTGATGGCGTGCACCTGTAATCCCAGCTGCTTGGTGGCTGAGGCATGAGAATTGCTTGAACCCAGGAGGCAGAGATTGCAGTGAGCCGAGATAGTGCCACTGGACTCCAGCCTGGGTGAGAGAGCAAGACACTGTCCCCAAAAAATAAAAAAAAGAATGGGGAAAATCTCAATAGTAGCTTGATCATTTTGGCCTAATTCTTACTTCATTTGCTCTAAAAATATTTTATTTCCAGTACTTGGTCAAGTGACACTATGACCTATGGCTGTTTTTTCTTCCCCATCTTTACATAGTGTGTTTCTGATGATTAATTAACTTTTAGAACCATCACTGTAGATCATTTGTTCTCAAACAAGAACAATTTTGCCTTCCAGAGGACATATAGTAGTGTCTGTCATTTTTGGTTATCACAACTGTAGAGGGTGGATGCTACTAATATCTAGTAGGTAGAGGCCAGAAACACTGCTAAACGTTCTACAATGCACAGGACATACTCTTCTCCCCTCACCCCAACAAAAGCTTGTCCCACCCAAAATGTCAATAGCTCTAGGTTGATCAACCCTGACGTAGATCTAGTAAGGTGAAATTGTATGTCCTAAGCAAATTATAGATGAAATTAGGGTAAATTGCTTTATGAACAGTAGGTGTCACTCTAGTTCAGAAATTTCCATTTATTAGGATTTTCCAAATTAATGTTATGTTCTGCTTCCTCAGATCCTGCCAGTTTTACTGAGATAACTAAAGACTGTGATGAGAATAAAGAAAACAAAACTCCAGAAGGATCTCAGGGAGAAGTTGATTGGCTCCAGCAGTATGATATGGAGCGTGAAAGGGAAGAGCAAGAGCTTCAGCAGGCACTGGCTCAGAGCCTTCAAGAGCAAGTAAGAGATATTTATATTGCTACTTTCTCTGTACTTACCTTTCCTGAGAAATATAATAATAATAACTAATGTGTTGAGCACTTACTATGTGTCAGACATTGTTCCAGATGATTTACATAGAGTAAGTCATTGGGGAAAAAAAAGACTTGTTTGAGGCAGGGTTTGGTGGTTCATGCCTGTAATCTCAGTACTTTGGGAGGCTGAGGCGGACGGATCACTTGAGGCCAGGAGTTTGAGACCAGCCTAGCCAACATGACAAAACCCCATCTACTAAAAATATAAAACTTAGCCAGGCATGGTGGCACACACCTGTAGTCCCAGCTACTCAGAAGGCTGAGGCAGGAGAATCGCTTGAACCCAGGAGGCAGAGGTTGCAGTGAGCTGAGATCACGCCACTGCACTCCAGCCTGGGTTTGAAACAGGTACGTGGGTAGTGTTTCTTTTTTTGACAATCCAAATGCAATAAAATGTATTGTTGGTTACCTTTCATAACTATAATTCATTGCTTGCTAAAACAGGATGGGGTATTATAGATTATTCCTAGTCCAAATTTATTTTTTTCTTTTCTTTTTATTTTTATTTTCTATTTTAATTTTTTAGAGACAGAGCCTTGTTATGTTGCCCAGGCTGGTTTTGAACTCCTGGACTGAAGCACTCCTCCCCTTTTGGCCTCCTAAAGTGCTAGGACTACAGATGTGAGCCACCATGCCTGGCTTCCCAGTCCAGCATTATTTTGCAAGCTGTAGAAACAACCAGTATAACACCATGATTTTATAATTGTATTTTAAGGCAATGTATTTGTTTTGGTTATTTTCTAAGAATATAAATTTTTTATGAATTATTTGAACATAGAATTATCACAAATATTTTCTAAAATCTAATTTTCAGATTTTAGTATTAGAACATTTATCTGTCTTCCTGTTTATTTATTGAGATAGGGTCTTGCTCAGTTGCCCAGGCTGGAATGTAGTGGCTTGATCATTCCTCACTGCAGCCTCAAACTCTGAGCTCAAGCAATTCTCCTGCCTAGGCCTCTCAAGTACATGGGACCACAGGAGCATCCACCATGCCCGGCTCATTTTTTTATTTTTAGTAAAGACAGTGTCTCACTGTTGCCCAGGCTGGTCTCAAACTCCTGGGCTTAAGCAGTCCTCCCACCACAACCTCCCAAAGTGCTGGGATTATAGGCATGAGCTATTTGCCCCCAGCCCTTGCTCTTTTCTTTATGTAGTAACCTATTCTTCAATGTTCAGTTTATGCCATTTGTTTTCCACTGTTACAGTCACCTGAAATATCAGATTTATAGGCAACAGGATCTGACTTACAGGTCTGATTTTTCATAGTTATCTAATCCTGTGCAATCCAAGTCATGTTAGTAAAAATTTACCAAGACTCCCTAGAATGAATGGGTAGGTTTAGTACTTGTTTGAGGCCTGCTTTGGGTTCATCAGATAATCAGATTAAGAAATCTAAGCTGGGCACTGTGGCTCACGCCTGTAATCCCAGCACTTTGGGAGGCCAAGGTGGGTGGATCCCTTAAGGCTAGGAGTTCTAGACCAGCCTGGCCAAAATGGTGACACTCTGTCTCTGCTAAAAATACAAAAATTAACCTGCTGTGGTGGCGTGCGCCTGTATTCTCAACTAGTAAGGAGGCTGAGGCACAAGAATTGCTTGAACCCGGGAGGTGGAGGTTGCAGTGGGCCAAGATCACGCTACTGCTGTACTTCTGCCTTGGCTATAGAGCAAGACTCTGTCTCAAAAAAAAAAAAAGAAATCTAATTTCTCTAGATCAGTGGTTCTTAATCTTAACTGCACATTCAAATTTACTGGGGAGCTTTAAAAATACTGGAATGGGCTGGGTATGGTGGCTCATGCCTGTAATTCCAGCACTTTGGGAGGCTGAGGCAGGCAGATTGCAAGATCAAGAGATCGAGACCATCCTGGCCAACATGGTGAAACCCCATCTCTACTAAAAATACAAAAAAAATTAACTGGGTGTGGTGGCACGCACCTGTAGTCCCAGCCACCCGGGAGGCTGAGACAGGAGAATCGCTTGAACCTGGGAGGTAGAGGATGCAGTGAGCCGAGATCGTGCCACTGCCCTCCAGCCTGCCAACAGAGCAAGACTCCCTCTCAAAAAAAAAAAAAAAAAAAATCTTAAAAAATACTGGAGTGGGCCGGGCGCAGTGGCTCACACTTGTAATCCCAGCACTTTGGGAAGCCGAGGTGGGCGGATCACAAGGTCAGGAGATTGAGACCACCCTGGCTAACATGGTGAAACCCCATCTCTACTAAAAATACAAAAAATTAGCTAGACGTGGTGGCGGGCGCCTGTAGTCCCAGCTACTTGGGAGGCTGAGGCGGGAGAATGGCGTGAACCCAGGAGGCGGAGCTTGCATTGAGCCGAGATCACACCACTGCACTCCAGCCTGGGGGACAGAGCGAGACTCCGTCTCAAAAAAAAAAAAAAAAAAAAAAAGTAAAGAACTTCCCCACATTCCTCAAAAGGTAATATTCCAAACATCCATAAGGTTATAGAAAGCATTCTTAGCAAATGCTTCCAGAGAAACTGATTTTATCCTCATTAAGTAAGTTTAATCAGTACCTCTTTAAATACCTTAGTTTTTGTTCTTTTCCCTTTAGGAGGCTTGGGAACAGAAAGAAGATGATGACCTCAAAAGAGCTACCGAGTTAAGTCTTCAAGGTGTGGAGATCTTTTTAATTACATTTTTTTAATGGTAAAATTACCATTCACACATAGAAGAACATATAAAGAAAGTGTGTGTGTGTGTGTGTGTGTGTGTGTGTGTGTGTGTGTGTGTGTGTGTGTGTGTTTATTGTGGGGGAGAGCCTCTCACTCTGTCACCCAGGCTGGAGTGCAGTGGTGCAATCTTGGCTCACTGCAACCTCCACGTCCTGGGTACAAGCAATTCTCATGCCTCAGCCTCCCGAGTAGCTGGAATTAGCGGTTGTGCCACCACACCCAGCTAATTTTTGTATTTTCAGTAGAGACGGGGTTTCACCATGTTGGCCAAGGCTGGTCTTGAACTCCTGGCTTCAAGTGATCCACCCTCCTCAGCCTCCCAAAGTGCCGAGATTACAAGCTAAAATGTGTTTTTTGATAACAAATTTGAATACCTCCCAGGTAAAGAAATAGAACCTTAGAAGTAACCTTTATATCTCTCCTTTTTGTCTTCCTCCCAGAGGAAACCACTATTCTAACATTTGTATTCATCTTCAGCTTGCTTTTTTCAAAATAATTTTTGTCATCTATACCCATATCTCTAACAATATGTTTTTTAATATTGAAAAATTAGCAAGAACAATCTATCATCTGTTTAATGAAAGAATTATAATTTTGCCACTGTTACGACTCCTAGAAGAACATAATGTGGCTTCAGTTTCCCCGTGAATTTTCAAGAGCTTATTCTGGGGCAGTCAGTGGGCAGTCATGAGTGAGTGTATTCAGTAGCATAAGGTTCACATGTCGTAGCATTTGGCAGAACTAATATGTGGACCAGGTTTTAGAAGTCCATGAGTTAGGAAGCTGGAAGAAGTAGATGTAGGAATCTGTTTCTCAAACAGCTTTTACCTAATCTTTATTTTATCCCCTCCTTATCCCCCAGTTTCAGAGGTACCTGGTTCCTGGTTCTTCCATGTCTTCATTTTTTTGGAGACAGGGTCATGCTCTGTTGCCCAGGGCCTGGAGTGCAGAGGCGTGATCTCTGCTCACTGCAACCTCTGCCTCCCGGATTCAAGTGATTCTTGTGCCTCAGCCTCCTGAGTAGCTGGGACTATAGGCGTGCACCACCACACCCAGCTAATTTTTTAATTTTTTTTTTTTCTTTTTTTGAGACAGAGTTTCACTCTTGTTGCCGAGGCTGGAGTGCAATGGCACAATCTTGGCTCACTGCAAACTCAGCATCCCAGGTTCAAGCAGTTCTCCTGCCTCAGCTTCCCAAGTAGCTGGGATTACAGGCACCCACCACCACATCCAGCTAAATTTTGTATTTTTAGTAGAGATGAGGTTTCACCATGTTGGCCAGGCAGGTCTCGAACTCTTGACCTTAGGTGATCCACCTGCGTTGGCCTCCCAAAGTGTTGGGATTGCAGGTGTGAGCCACCGTGCCCAGGTTCCAGCTAATTTTTTATATTTCATTTTAGTAGAGATGGAGTTTTGGCATGTTGCCCAGGCTGGTCTCGAACTCCTGATCTCAGGCAGTTCACCCACCCGCCTCGGCCTCCCAAAGTCCTAGGATTAGAGGTGTGAGCCACCATGCCTGGCCTAGTTCTTCCATGTCTTCTTGTGTCTTTTGAACATTCAGTGATATAAATTGGATTAGTTTTCAACTTTTCCATTGCTGGCTTGGGGTATGGCTTTGGCTTTCTTAGGTCTGCTGAGTCAGTCACACATGTATTTCCAACTTCCAGAATTTTGAAGCTATATTCTCTTTTCCTGTTCTTCACATTCTTAGATTTTCTTTTTTCTTTTTTTTTTCTTTTGAGATGGAGTTTCTCTCTTGTTGCCCAGGCTGGAGTGCAGTGGCGTGATCTTGGCTCACTGCAACTTCTGCCTCCTGAGTTCAAGCGATTCTCCTGCCTCAGCCTCCCAAGTAGCTGGGATTACAGGCATGTGCCACCATGCCCAGCTAATTTTGTATTTTTAGTAGAGGTGGAGTTTACCATGTTGGTCAGGCTGGTCTCCAGCTCCTGACCTCAGGTAATCCACCTGCCTCGGCCTCCCAAAGTGCTGGGATTACAGGTGTGAGCCACCGTGCCTGGCTTCATTCTTAGATATTCATGTGATTGTAAATCACACTATACTGTGATTTTAGTGGAGCTAATTATATATTAAAGCAAATAACCATTTATGTACAAATGCTCCTGGGATTCTTTATTTAACACCATTAGTAAAGATGGATGCTTCCAGTGGACACGTATTATTCAAGAAAATACAGATCTTGTATTTGTTTAGTATATCTTACGTGAAATTTAAGAGTTAAAGGTTGAATTCTCTTTACTTTTTTGGTACGTTTCAAGAAATGATTTTTTTTTTATTTTTATTTTTTTGAGACAGAGTCTCGCTCTGTCACCAGGCTGGAGTGCAGTGGCGCAATCTCGGCTCACTGCAACCTCCGCCTCCCGGGTTCAAGTGATTCTCCTACCTCAGCTTCCCGAGTAGCTGGGACTACTGGTGTGCGCCACCACACCTGGCTAATTTTTGTATTTTTAGTAGAGAAGGAGTTTTACCATGTTGGCTAGGATGGTCTTGATCTCTTGACCTTGTGATCCGCCCACCTCAGCCTCCCAAAGTGCTGAGATTACAGGCATAAGCCACCACACTCGGCCAAGAAATGATTTAATACAAAGAAAAAAAGAACATTGACCTTTTTATAATCCTTTTTCTGTGAGGATAATTTATGTTTGCTAATGACACCAAGTACTTGAAATCTAACATATATAGCTTATATCATATAGAATTTAGTGAAATTGGATTATATGTAAAATTATTTTCTAGTTTTATATCTTTCTTATAAGGGTTAGATCCCTTTATCATATAAATATATTTAAAAGAAAAAGAGCGTTTCTTTTACAGATACCATGTCTCCCGTGTTCCCCACAGTGGGCTGAGCGTGTTGGACCGTCATATTACGTTTTATGTTTTCTTAGAATGATAAAATGTGTACCTCAAACTATTTTATCTTTCTAATTATATCTGTTATGTCTATTCCAAGAACTTTTTTTTTTTTTGGGACAGAGTTTTGCTCTTGTTGCCCAGGCTGGAGTACAATGGTGCAATCTCAGGTCATTGCAATCTCTGCCTCCTGGGTTCAAGAAACTCCTGCCTCAGCCTCCCAAGTAGCTGGGATTACAGGCATTAGCCACCACTCCTGGCTAATTTTTTTTTTTTTTTTTTTGTATTTTTAGTAGAGATGGAGTTTCTCTACCCCATCTCTGACCATGTTGGTCAGGCTGGTCTCGAACTCCTGACCTCAGGTGATCCACCTGTCTCGGCCTCCCAAAGTGTTGGGATTACAGGTGTGAGCCACCACGTCCATTCTATTCCAAGAACTTTTATAAGATTTTGTCTTTGTATTCTTCAGAGTTTAACAACTCCTTTGTGGATGCATTGGGTTCTGATGAGGACTCTGGAAATGAGGATGTTTTTGATATGGAGTACACAGAAGCTGAAGCTGAGGAACTGAAAAGAAATGCTGAGGTAATTGTTTTCATTCCTGAGTACAGTTGGTCAAATTCAGTGTCACTCTTCCCACTCTTTACTTCAAAGGCCCCACTTTCAGTGTCCACTGCAGGTTCATTTTGGCCCTTTCAGTAGCCATTAGATGGTCTCATTTTCTCTTGTCATTTGCTGTTCATTTTTCACATACAAGATTTAAAAAAACAAACAAACAAACAAAAAAAACAGGAATACATCCTGACCACTTTACATGCATGTTAGGTAAGAACTCAGTAAAGGCATGTATGTATTAAATTACCTTTAGTTGGCCGGGCATGGTGGCTCACGCCTGTAATCCCAGCACTTTGGGAGGCTGGGGCAGGTGGATCACCTGAGATCAGGAGTTCGAGACCAGCCTGACCAACATGGTGAAACCCTGTCTCTACTAAAAATGCAAAAATTAGCTGGGCGTGGTGGCACACGCCTGTAATCCCAGCTATTTGGGAGGCTGAGGCAGGAGAATCACCTGAACCTGGGAAGAGGAGGAGGTTGCAGTGAGCCAAGATTATGCCATTGTACTCCAGCCTGGGCAACAAGAGCGAAACTCCATCTCGGGGGGAAAAAATTACCTTTAGTTACACTGAATAACTGTATCATCTTTATAATTAAATACCAAAAACGGTTGTTCCTCACTGAAAACTATTGAATTGGTGATGTTAATTAGGGCACATTGAACTGTTTTTTTTTTTTTAACCCTTTTTCCCCCCTTAAATAATTGCTTTTTCTCCTCAAATTTTGATTATCCAGGATCCTACCATCCTAACACAATTACTCTCAGCACTTTGACATATTTCTTTGTTATTCTCACCTCCATGTATACTTTTTAAAAAGTCGTAAGTATAGTTTTTATTTCATTTGCTTTTTTGTTCTAGAGACAGAGTCTCACTGTGTTGCCCAGGCTGGCTTCAGACTCCTGGGCTCAAGGGATTTTCCTGCCTCAGCCTTCCAAATGGCTGGAACTAGAGGCACACACTGCCACACCCAGGTTATCCTGTTTCTTAAAGAGTAGTTATTTATAAGCTTATGTTTAATGGCTGTACTATATTGCCTCAAATAAATATCCTACTTATTTAACTTTTAGCTAACATTGAGTATTTGTCTAAGTTGTTTTTAATTTTTCACTATGATAATAAGTTGGGAAACTGTATGCTTATAGCATTTTCCTTATTTTATTTTATTTTATTTTTTAATTTTTTTGAGACAGAGTCTCGCTCTGTCACCCAGGCTGGAGTGCAGTGACACGATCTCAGCTCACTGCAACTTCCTCCACTTCCTGGGCTCAAGCGATTCTTGTGCCTCAGCCACCTGAGTAGCTGGGATTGCAGGCATGAGCCACTATGCCCAGCTAATTTTTGTATTTTTAGTAGAGATGCAATTTCACCATGTTGGCTAGGCCAGTCTCAAATTCTTGGCCTTGAGGGATCCACCCATCTCTGCCTCCCAAAGTATGGGGATTACAGGCCTGAGCCACTGCACCTGGCCAAACATAGAGTTGTTTTTTTTTTTTTTTTTTTTTTTAGGCAAGGTCTGTCTGTCACCCAGGCTGGAGTGCAGTGGCGTGTGCTCTTGGCTCATGCATTTTCTATATTTTAGAATTTCTCCTTTTATATTCTCCAGAAGTAAATTACTAAATCGAAGTTTATGAACATTTTAAGTTTCTGGTTTACATATAGCCATATTCCTTCCCCCAATTTTTTTTTTCTTTTCTTTTCTTTTCTTTTTTTTTTTTTTTGAGACAGAGTCTTGCTCTGTCGCCCAGGCTGGAGTGCAGTGGCCCGATCTCAGCTCACTGCAAGCTCCACCTCCTGGATTCATGCCATTCTCCTGCCTCAGCCTCCCGAGCAGCTGGGACTACAGGCGCCCGCCAGCTAATTTTTTGTGTTTTTTTAGTAGAGACAGGGTTTCACTGTGTTAGGCAGGATGGTCTCAATCTCCTGACCTCGTGATCTGCCCACCTTGGCCTCCCAAAGTGCTGGGATTACAGGCGTGAGCCACCACGCCTGGCCTTCCTTCCCCAAATTTTACCTTATAGTGCTGTCTGCAGTGCATGAATATCACTTTTTCAGTTTTGCTTTATTTTACCAAAAATATTTTAATCATATTTTTTAAAATATAAAAGTTCACTCTGATCCCTACAGCAACATAGCAACTCTTTTTAACATTTTTGTTCTATTGTCCAATGCCTAACTCTTAACGTAACATTTTTTTAATAGAGTTATAGTTACTATGTGCATTCATATGGGTTTGGAAAAAAGGTTAACATGTTCCTGATCCATGTAGTTTTTTTATATAACTGAACATTATTATATTGAATTGATATACTAACCAGTTAGCTATTATTGGATATATTGTTGGTTCCAGCTTTTCACCAGATAATGCCACAGTAAATAATTTGATACATATACTCTTCTTTTGACTTATTTCCTTAGAATAAATTCTTAGTTGAGGGTGGAATTCTTGGGTCAAAGGGTATGAACAGATTTTTTAATTGATTCTTACTATGCCACATACCAAAGCTTAGCCATGTCAGCTTTGATAATAAATTTATATTCAGTGTTTTGCTTTTATTCAAATGAAGACTTAAAAGTTATACCCACTTCTGTTTTCCAGACAGGAAATCTGCCTCATTCGTACCGGCTCATCAGTGTTGTCAGTCACATTGGTAGCACTTCTTCTTCAGGTGAATAGCCATCATGATTTCAGCATTTTATAAATGAACTAGTCAGCATTTGCTCTTTATTATATTGCTCTTTGCCTAGCTTTGTGAAGTGTGTTTTTCTTTTTCTTTTTCTTTTTTTTTTTGAGATCCAGTCTCACTCTGTTGCCCAGGATGGAGTGTAGTGGCACAATCTCGGCTCACTGCAGCCTCCACCTCCTGGGTCCAAGTGATTCTGCTGTCTCAGCCTCCCAAGTAGCTGGGATTACAGGCATGCACCACCACGCCCAGCTAATTTTTGCATTTTTAGTAGAGATGGGGTTTCACCATATTGGCCAGGCTGGTCTTGAACTCCTGGGATCAAGAGATCCACCCACCTTGGCCTCCCAAAGTGCTGGGATTACAGACGTGAGCGACCATGCCCAGCCCACGAAGTATAAGTTTTTCAAGAAAATCTTTGAAATCTACTTTGATCACACTCAATGTGCATTGTGTTAATAGGTGTAACTGTTTTGATTTCTCAATTCATAAGTGACCTAAATTCCCCTGAACAAAATACATTAATCAAAAATGGTGTACCAGTGTAGCATATGCCTCCTTGATTCTCTGTGTATATACAAATATTTTTTTCTTCTTTTTTCTTTTTTTTTTTTTCAAGAGACAGGGTCTCACTCTGTCACCAGGCTGGAGTGCAGTGGCACCATCATTAGCTCATTGCAGCACTGAATTCCTGGGCTCAGGAGCTCAAGAGATCCTCCTCCCTCAGCCTGCTGAGTAGCTGCGACTACACGTGCATGCCACCACACCTGACTAATTTTTTTAAATTTTTTGTATGGACGGGTTCTTGCTTTGTTGCCCAAGCTGGTTTCAAACTCCTGGCCTCAAGCAGTCCTCCTGCCTTGGCCTCCCAAAGTGCTGGGATTATAGGAGTGAGCCACTGTGCCTGGCCTGTATGTTTCTTCAATGGGTTTTAGACACAGTGTTGAGGATAAGGTGAATGTGGTAGCTTTTTTTCTTTCTCAAACTTCCTGCACCTGAGATAAAATTAATGCGTTTTTGTTTATTTTTTTGAGATGGAGTCTCACTCTGTCACCCAGGCTGGAGTGCAGTGGTGCTATCTCGGTTCACTGCAACCTCCACCTCCTGGGTTCAAACAATCCTCCTGCCTCAGCCTCCTGAGTAGCTGGGACTACAGGCGCACGCCACCATGCCTGGCTAATTTTTGTATTTTTAGTAGAGACGGGGCTTCACCATGTTGGTGAGGCTGGTCTCAAACTCCTGACCTCGTGATCCGCCTGCCTCAGCCTCCCAAAGTGCTGAGATTACAGGCGTGAGCCATCGCGCCCAGCTTCGGTGTGTTTTTAAAAACCTTGATTTTAAGATGTTATTTGTTTCAGGTCATTACATTAGTGATGTATATGACATTAAGAAGCAAGCGTGGTTTACTTACAATGACCTGGAGGTATCAAAAATCCAAGAGGCTGCCGTGCAGAGTGATCGAGATCGGAGTGGCTACATCTTCTTTTATATGCACAAGTAAGAAACTTTGCCAGATTCTAAATAATGAGTTAGAAATCACCGGAACTCTTTTTTTTTTTTTTTTTTCCTTTGAGGATAAAATGTTTCCATCAGTTGATTGGTTGAAAATTTTTGGTTTTTATCATCTTTGGTTAGGGTCTATCTCTTGATATTTCCTTGTAAGTCCAGAATATTTTCTCTCATAACTCAGCATTAATTGCTCATTACACAGTTGTATCTAGGTATGGAAGTTAAGACAGTTTGTTTTATGATAGAAGATGTCCTGTCATAAATAGTTTTGGTCATCCAGTTTTATCAGCTAGAAGATCTGATTTATATGGATGGGAATTACCTAGCATGTTCATTAAAGCTAACTGTTGTCAGTTCCCCTCTATTCTTAAAAATCAGCATTCAAAGGGTTAAGATCAAATGAGTGAGCTGCTTTTTAAATAAAATACAGGCATGAAATGGAATTGTGAAGGCCTTATCCATATCAATTTTATTTTACTTTTTCTCCTGCCTATTCTTTGGTTCTGCTTACTAAATTTCCAGTTTTATTTTTTGCTTGTTTTATCTTAAGGGAGATCTTTGATGAGCTGCTGGAAACAGAAAAGAACTCTCAGTCACTTAGCACGGAAGTGGGGAAGACTACCCGTCAGGCCTTGTGAGGAACAAACTCCTGGGTTGGCAGCATGCACTGCATATTTGTTACTGCTGCCCACCTCACCTTTCCTCTGCTGAAGGAGAATTTGGAATTCTACTTGATGCGGGAGCAACAAACAGCTCAGGGCCAAACCAAAAGACAAAAATTGGAGTAACGTAGAATGCTCCATGCTATTTTATGGAAACTTTGGTCTCACATCCGTAGCTGATTATCCTCTTTTTCTCCTATGAGTGGCACTTCTTTTGTCTTAGGAATACATGTTGTAAATATATATCTGTGTATGTGTGTATACACACACACAGACACACACACACACACACGGGATGAATGGAGCCTTAAAGAGTTAGGATGAGCCACCAGAATATGCCTGCTCAAAATTAATAGCACAGCAGTTTGGAGAAGAAATGAAGGTGTCAAAGAGTCCATTCACCTGAGAAATGTGTGAAGACATACTTATCAGTTGGCTTTTAGCTTTTATGTTCCTTGAGTAGTTTCACTCAAGTCTGTAACCTTTTGTGTTTCCTTATTAGTAAAATTCACTGGAAAGCCAGCTCTTCATGTTACACTAATGACAGTTTGTTCTCTTTGCAAGAGAGGGGCATTACTGTCACCTGACTTGAGGAGCTGTTTTGTTGTTGTTGTTGTCTGCAAATTTCATGAATTTGTGATGTCTTTGCTGTTTACATGCAGTCCCAAGAAATGGATTGTTGGTGCTTTGGAATATGTTACAGTCCCACATTTGATATTTCTTATATACTTTGTTTTCTCTAAGGAGATTTCTTCACACAGTATGTTCATCATATATCATCATCATTATTATGGTGGTAAAGATAGAATCTTTTTTCTTTTTTGTCATTCTGCCATGGAGCAGCATTACCCTAATGGATTGCAACCAAAACTTTAAACAAGTAGAAAGATAATATTTCTCCAATTGGGACTCCCCAGCAGGAATACTTAGGGATAAGGAAGAATGCTAGCATCTCTGTCTCTCAAACATAGGGAGGATAAGAAGAGTGTTCTTCTGGTAAAGCTAAAATTCTGGACCACTGAAGCTAAAAGCCCTATTGCAAGTATGAAATTAAGTACTTGAGCTGTAGGACAAACCTTGGGCATTTAACCATTTACTGTCTGGCTTTGCCCTTAAAATAGGGTTGCAATTAAAATGTGATTGGCTTAGGTAATCCCAAAAACTAACAAATAACAAAGGTGCATAATTTATTTATCTACTTTTTAGGTGCTCTGAGTTGAGGCAAAGTAGAGCGGCAACATTAAGTGCTATGCTAGTCACTTAGCTGACGTAACCAGCTTGGTTAAGCAGCTTATGAAACCATATAAAGAATTCTTTTGAGGATGGAATTCTGTCCACAAAATAATTTTGTGAGCCCAGATATCATTAGGATCACACAGAGTTAAATATAGAAAAATGAAACCATCATTATATTCTTTCGTGTTTTTTCTTTTATTATAAACAAGGGGATTATTCTTTAGTTCTCAGAGGTAGGGACAAAACCACATCAGGTTTTCAGAAGGAAAAAACATTTAAAAACCCACCATCACATGAGAGAATCACTTGAACCCAGGAGGCAGAGGTTGCAGTGAGCTGAGATCGCATCATTGCACTGCAGTCTGAGTGACAGAGTGAGACTCCATCTCATTAAAAAAAACGAAAACAAAAACAAAAAAAACACAAACCATCATCACAGAAGATGCAACATCTTTTCTGAAAGATTGCCTTAAGAGAGCTCCAGTCCTACTCTTGGAACTTGGATGTATTCTAATGTAGTAAACTATTCTAAGTTTTCATTCTTTGAATTATAAATGGCCTCAGCAGTTTTGCTCAACTACTGATAAATGCTTTGCCTCCTACCATCTACCTATATACCTTATTGTAATGAATGTTCCAAAATGGTAGAGTGGTAGAAAACGCCAGAGTAGTTTAGAGCAGAGGAAAATATTTGTTTTAAAACTAGCTTTAAAGTTTTGTTTCATTTCTACCAGGAGCCTCTTTGGTTTGGTTTGATTTTGCTTGGAAATAATTGGTTTTCTTATAAATGAGTGAAGCGGTGATAAAATTCTTTGGCTAGTTATTAATTCTTTTACGTGTCTTTGCATTTGAGAGGCACTGTTAAAAATTATTGGGAAAGATTTAAAGTGCAGGCTGCAATTAAAACATGGAGAAAAGTAGAAATAATGCCATAAGTCTAGATTGCCTCATGAAGCAGCCTCATTTGAATTGCTTTCATAGCTTTCATGTGTGTATGGTTTAGAAGTACACTTACCTCAGAAACCTGATTTGATCTTCATGTCTTGGGCAGGAGTTGTTGAAAATAGGTTATTGGAATATATAAGTTATCTCACTGCTCATGTACTTGCATGTTTGGGACTCAAATTTTACTTGATGTCTGTCCATTCTTGTGGCCCTATCAGCCTTCTCCTTCCTTTACTCCTTTAATCTACTTCTTTGACTACCAGTGGAGATTTCAGCTGGACTATGTTGATGGGGTTTGTTGTTGTTTTTGAGCTGGCTGTATATATTTTAAAATTATAAATAGATAATATATTATTTTTTGCACATTGTGATCAGTTTGCCCAGAATTGGGGATGGGGCAGTTAGCATGTTGGGGCCAGGAAGGGACAAGTTAGATAAGGACTGAGTGCTTCCGTTGCAGGCAGTTTGCACAATACCTAATTAACCTTCCTATTGAAAATACCAAATGTGTGGTTACATTACTTTAAATGACATTGAATTGGAACTTGATGGCAATTAGTTCTAGATACAACCTTTTGATCTTTGTTGGAATTTTAAGGGAAAAATGAACTAAACTTCATATTTGTTGATTTTAATCACCTAATAGTACTGAAGGTTGGAAAGTTGCATGTGGCTGGATGCTGTTAATTTCTTTAATAGCCATGACTATAATTTAAGCCTATGAGAAGATAGACTGTTTCGTAGGGATATATTCACATGTGTGTGCACACTCATGAGTTTTGTCTCAGCAGGATAGAATAAGCAAATCCATGAACTGGTCTTCTATTAATACTTTGATTCTAAAAATTATTTGTTTACTTGCTATGGTCTGTTCATTCTGGGCCTAACCTTAAAGGCTCAATAACAAATACAACAAATGTAAATATGTTTACATTTTAAGACATATGCAGTGGTTCTTACAGATCAGTTAATTAACTCCAGAAAGCAAATGTTAGACTACACATTTATTTTTCTCCTTGATCAAGTATAAAATTCTGAAACAGAGGCTTTAAAATTTAAAACCTCAGCAAAATAATCCATGAATTTACTGATTCTTCTGTATCGTGTGTAGTTACCATTATGTAACTATACACACATACAGCTACGGATATAATGAAAATTATCTGCAAACACCTAAATTAAAGAGAAAAAAAAGTAGTTTGTAAACTCATTTGTGATCTACTGAAAAGAGGTTATATTAAAGCAAATTAAAATATTTTCCTTCTCTGTCCTCTGAAATGACTGCAGTAGATACTCTTAGTTATCCCATTTAGGGTGGTTGGAGGGCCTTTTTAATTTAATTGACCCCCCGAGGTGGTCTTTTGTTTTAAACAGGGGGCAACAGCTGGATCTCCAAGTACATATGGATTTTGTATATATAGGAGATTTTTAGAAAAATCAACAACCTAACACCAGATTCAAGTCACATAAAAGTGTTCCAATAAAATGGATGGATGTCTTTTTCCTCCCCATTTTGCTTTATACTGAGTAATGCACTCTTGCAAGTGTATACAAAAACTAAATAGACTTCTGCCCTCCAACATCTTTTTATTGCATTACTTCAAAATCCTAATTTTGTCTCTACTGATATGTCTTATTAACATCTGAAAAAATATATATTTTTTATTGGAAAATTCTAATTTGTTAGGCCTTGAAAGTTTTGTGACAATTATTTTGCTGTGTTTAACCACAATCATTCACCTTATGGCATGCTTTGATTACTAGACTTCAGGCAGTCTCATTCATTGTATCATACTTACACACAATTAGTAAGTTGTCTCCATGTGTGCTATATGTCTGAGGTGTATGGAGTTTTTATTTAAAAAGTGTGCCAGTCTGAATATAAGCATTTGATTTTGTAACATTGGACTTTTCTTAAAAGTACAGAGGTTCAAAGTATAGGTATGTCCATTGGCATAAGAATAGAGTGGGTGAGGGTCTGGACCAGGTTCCAGGTTGGTCCAGTCAGATGCCAGAACAAAGAAGAACAGTCAACTAAACTGGTCTACTTCAAAAATAGTGGGCCTGTGTGAAGAGTGAGACCACATGTGGGTGTGCACACCTCTTGTCCCCAGGTTTCCCTCCCTTTGAGCTTTTCTTTCCCTCCCTAACTTCTCTGGCCTATTGTCATTGTTGTTTCTTTAAACTTAAGGAGAGAAAAACAAAAATGAGATTCCTACACTTTGCCTAATTGAGCCACTACCAGGTTTTCTGGCAGCTGTGGCCACATTATTTGTGAGATGATTTTTTTTCTTTATGTTCAGAGTGACTTTTGATTCTGATTCTTTATGTTTTGTATGGAGCGGCACTTTTATCTGTGTTTTAGCAGAACTGTTCCTCTGTATCCTTTACGGTTTTTCTTTGTTTTTGTTTCCTTTTTAAATTATGCATAGAGTTTTTTTGTGTGTATGAAATTAAAGCCTTTATTAACCTTCTTTGATTTGACTGTTATTTCTGAAAAGGACACATTCTTGCTGATACTTGTAACAACCTGTTCAAAGTTGTGGAAATCACCTTCTGTTGGCTTTCTGACATGGACTTCCTTGCAGCACTGTTACTTCTTAAAAGGAACAGAATGGCAAACCAGTGTCTGGCCGTAGTCCCCATTGATTCCTGTTATTTTCATCTGAGGAGCCTGTGAAGCTTTGCAGAGGCTTCTGGGTAAGTTTGTAAACCTAGCATTGGCCTTCACTAGGCTCTTGCTTTGCCTCATTATTAAGGGTTGGGAGAGGGAGTGAAGTAGCATATGCATTTCATACTTGCCTTTAGGTCTCAAGCCTAGCCCCAGTGGAAGTGCTGCTCTCACTGGTACTGTTTGGAATTTGTGAAACCTCTTAAGAGGGTAGTCTTGTGGACCATTCAACTCTCCTTCAGCCCTTTAACTTACCCACTGAGTAAGGCAGTAAGGAAAGTATATGTGAAAAGGAAAAGCTGTTACTCTGGGGAAGATGTAAACCTGCAAAGTGCTTCAGCCTACCTGCCATAGATAAAAATGAGTCATGATAGAGGACAAGCTAGGGTAGTGCCTCAGAACTCTAATGTTCCATGGAGTGTTTGTGCTCTTCTAAGAAGAGAAAACTATAGGAGTATTAAAATTGATGCAATACCTCAGGATAGAAACAATCTAGCGACCTTAGAAGTTGAAATGAGGACCATAGGCTCCTTTTGGGGTATCATCTTTCTGAAGGAATAGGTACATTATTAAACAAAACTGGCATTTGCCACAGAAGTTTGTGCTCATAGGCACATCTGCAAAATTTCACTTCAATTGGTGTAGGACTAATATCGGTGAGAAAATGAGACCCTACAATCAGGGTAGGGTACTGCTTTACAACCACAGCTACTCTTCTCAAAATAGTCCTTTTTCTTTCTTGAGGTTTTGTTGCTTCCATCGAGGCAGAGCAGAGAAGGCAGCTGGAGTCATCCCAAAGGCCTGAGTGAAATCTTCAATGGACAGGTGTTCCTAGAAGAAGAGAGGGACCAGAGGGCAAAGGTCACATATCCTTCCTTCCTCCCTCACCCTCAGGCACCGTTTGCTCTGATGAGTCATAGATGTGGTATATAATCAAATAAATGAAGAGTAAACAGAAGCAGTGTCAGGAGAGCCAGGAAAGGGATGGAGAGGAGGAGAGTATGGTATTTTGGTATTCCAGAGGTTTATCCCTGATTTTTTTTTTTTTCCAGACCATGTCTTGTTCTGTTGCCCAGGCTGGAGTGTAGTGGCATGAACTCAATTCACTGCAACCTCCGCCTCCTGGTTTCAAGTGATTCTCCTGCCTCAGCCTCCCAAGTAGCTGAGATTAGAGGCATGCGCCACCATGCCCTGGTAACTTTTGTGTTTTTAGTAGAGACGGGATTTTACCATGTTGGCCAGGCTAGTCTCGAACTCCTGACCTCAAGTGATCCACCCTACTTGGCCTCCCAAAGTGCTGGGATTACAGGTGTGAGCCAGCACACCTGGCCTGATCCCTGAATTTTTAACAATGAAAAAGATAGTAGTGTGGTAGATTGAGATTTTCTTTGTACAAGGGTCAAGTTCACATTAGCCCAAATAAGAATTAGGACTCCTCTTTCCAAGCCTTAGTTTCCTCTCTATTAAATGGGGAACTTTTTTTTTTTTTTAAGACAGTGTCTTACTGTGTTCCCCAGGCTGGAGAGCAGTGGCGCACGATCTCGGCTCACTGCAACCTCCACCTCCCAGATTCAAATAACTCTGCCTCAGCCTCCTGAGTAGCTAGGACTACAGGCACCTGGCACCATGCCCAGCTAATTTTTGTATTTTTAGTAGAGATGAGGTTTTGCCTTGTTGGCCAGGCTGGTCTCGAACTCCTGGCCTCAAGTGATCTGCCCGCCTTGACCTCCCAAAATGCTGGGATTACAGGCATGAGCCACCATGCCTGGCCATTGTTTTTTGTTGTTTTGTTTTTTGAAACGGTCTTGCTCTGTCACACAGGCTGGAGTGCAGTGGCACAATCTCAGCTCACTCCAGCCTCAACCTCCTGGACTCAAGCAATCCTCCCACCTCAGCCTCCCGAGTAGCTGGGACCACAGGCATGCACCACCACACCTGGCTAATTTTTGTATTTTTTGTAGAGATCAAGTTTCACCATGTTGCCCAGGCAGGTCTGGAACCCCTGAGCTCAAACAGTCCACCCGTCTTGGCCTCCCAAAGTGCTGGGATTATAAGCATGAGCCACCACCCCCAGCCAGAAACATTTCTTAAAGGCAAATTTTCACTTGCTTTTATGAAAATGAAAATAATACTACATATGAAAGTATACTGAAAACAAATTAGGCAGGTATGGTGGCACACGCCTGTAATCCCAGCTACTCTGGAGGCTGAGGCAGGAGAATTGCTTGAACCCAGGAGGCAGAGGTTGCAGTGAGCTGAGATTGTGCCACTGTACTCCAACCTGGGCAACAGTTTTCCATCTCAAAAAAAAAACAAAACAAAGTATGTTGTTCATTTACCTCCACTTAAACAGTGAATCCAAGCTGCCCACAAAGTAAGCAGATGAGCCCTATAAGGGTATCTGCTCAAGTCTGGGTAAATGAGATTTTATTAGGGCCAGGTGTGGTGGCTCACGTCTGTAATTCCAGTATTTTGGGAGGCCAAGTCAGGCAGATTGCTTGAGTTCAGGAGTTCAAGACCAGCCTGGGCAACATGGTGAAACCCCATCTCTACCAAAAAAATACAAAAGTTAGCCAGGCATGGTGGTGCACGCCTATAGTCCCAGTTACTGAGGAGGCTGAGGTGGCAGGATCACTTGAGCCCAGGTGGCAGAGGTTGCAGTAAGCCAAGATAGTGCCATTGTACTCCAGCCTGAGTGAGAGAACAAGAAAGACCCTGTCTCAAAAAAAAGATTTTATTGCTGTCACAGGACATACAACTCTTCTAGCAAAAGCCTGTCACCCTCAGGAGAAGTCTCCCTCCTGGGCCCTACTTTGCTTTGGCTCAAGTTAACAGACTGCCTGCAAGGGAAGTAGGGCCCAATCCAGCCCTAATGGATGGAGCAAAGCAGGAATCTAATTTCCATATACTGCTGTGGCACTTAGAAAGGAACTGAGGCGGATTTGAATGTTCTCATTTTCACATGATGCAGCTAAAGTTTAAGAAAGTCAGGCCGGGCGCGTTGGCTCACACCTGTAATCCCAACACTTTGGGAGGCCAAGGCGAGTGGATCACTTGAGGTCAGGAGTTCGAGACCAGCCTGACCAACATGGTGAAACCCTGTCTCCACTAAAAACACAAAAATTAGCTTGGTGTGGTGGCAGGCGCCTGTAATCCCAGCTACTCCGGAGGCTGAGGCAGGAGAATTGCTTCAACTTGGGAGGCGGAGATTGCAGTGAGCGAGATCGCACCACTGCACCTCCAGCCTGGGCAACAGAGCGGGACTCTGTCTCAAAAAAAAAAAAAAAAAAAAAGTCAAGGTCACTTGATTACAACATATGTTCCACTGCACCATACTGACTTTCTTCCTTGAGTATTCCTTGAGTTTCAGGTATACTATAAAGCCCTCTTGTCAGCTTTCAACTCCCAGACCTGCAAGGTAAACTATTAACACTTGCAGTTGGCCACAGTTTTACCATTATGGATAGCTTCATCACTCTTGGCTTACAGGTTTGGTTCCCAGTTAAAAGGCAACTTGTTGGCCAGGCGTAGTGGCTCATACCTGTAATCCCAGCACTTTGGGAGGCCAAGGCAGGTGGATCACCTGAGGTCATGAGTTCGAGACCAGCCTGGCCAACATGGTGAAACCCCATCTCTACTAAAAATACAAAAAATTAGCAGGCATGATGGTGGGAACCTGTATTCTCAGCTACTCGGGAGCCTGAGGCAGGAGAATAGCTTGAACCTGGGAGGCGGAGGCTGCAGTGAGCCAAGATGATGGCACTGCACTCCAGCTTGGGCAACAGAGTGAGACTCTGTCTCAAAAAAAGAAAAGAAAAGACAACTTGTTAATCCTCATCAGTTTTTTATATTCTTCTGTGAATGTGTCAGATTATTTTGTAGGAGCAGGTTTTGCTTAGAGCGGGAGGGTAGCGGCAGAAGGTACAACTGAGGTCGGGGGAAGGATTCCAAAAGAAGACACTAGGAAGGCCAAAGATCAAATTCAGAACTAAATTTTGCCTAGCTTTTTGAGTCAAAAAATATTTGTATAAACAACTTGTACCAGCTTCTGTCATCCTGTGAATGATCCAGAAGATTAGATAGCACAATTTTACCTTTTTACTCTTGGCTAAGAAATCACAACTGGAGTCACTACCTTTCTAAGCCTTGGGTGTCTTCAGCCATAAGATGAAGGAATTCACTGAAATGACCTTTGTTCCCAGCACTAAGATGATAATGATACTGTTTAAGGCAAGCTAAATACCCTCAAGGCACACTCAGTTAAGAGTCCCTAATTAAAGTTGCTATAAAACATCATCTCCCTGCCTTCATCTCTGCTCCTCTAAGCACCAAGAGGTAGACAGGGTAGAGGTGAGACCTGTGGGTTTCCTTTAATACTTAGGCTGCTCTGCTAAGGTGGAGTTGCCCTAGGGAACATTTTATTGACTCCCACAGAGAGCCCTGAATTAAACAGCTTCTTAGTAAACACCTATAGATGGATTTCAACCTCAGGGGGGTCTGATGCTCCAGTCTCTAACTTGTCAATAGATTTGCCTCCCACCCTGGGCATTCTCTCCTTAAGGTTCCTGGAAGCCTTCCCCACTCCCTGAGGCAGGGTAGTGAAGTGTTTGGTTTTGGTTTGGGGGTTCTTTTTGTTTTGGCGGGGAGGTTGAGACAGGGTCCTCCTGCTCTGTCACCCAGGCTGGAGTGTGGTGACACAATCACAGATCACCTGCAGCCCCAATCTCCTGGGCTCAAGCAGTCCTCCCACCTCACCCTCCCAGGTAGCTGGGACTACAGGTGCACGCCACCACACCGGGCTAATTTTTGTATTTTTTGTAGAGACAGGGTCTCACTTTGTTGCCCAGGCTGGTCTCAAACTCCTGGGCTCAAGCAATCTGCCCGCCTTGGCCTCCCAAAGTGCCTGGGATTACAGGCATGAGCCACCGCACTCGGCTGAGTACTTGGTTTTGGAAGAAGAGAGTAAATATAAATGATTTGGGGATCAGTGGATGGGGAGAAGCTGCCATACCCCAAATCTGTTTGTAGCACCCTCCCCCCAGGTTCCTCACAGCTGTGGCTGCTATGTCCTAGGTCTTTGCTCTCTCTGGTCCAGCCAGGCTGGCTCTTCCGCTTTGTCAAGACTGCTGGACTCTGACCCCTCAGGCTAGATAGCAGGGACTACCCATCCTAGTGGACTTGTATCTTTCCATTGGTCCTGTTCTTGAACTCTGCAGTCCTGCCAGCTGATTACCAGCCTCACCCATGCCTACATCCGCCTCCCTGTTGTTTACTCATCAGTGCACAAATACTTAGATTACTATCTTGCTCTGCCTGCAGCCAGACCCACCACCCCACTGTTGTCACTGGCTCACCTTGCAAGATTGGAGCAGACAGAGAGATCTGAAAACCTCTCCTACACTCCCACATGACACTGAACTCAGCTCTCCCACAAGAATGTATACTACTTCCATGATTAAAAAATCAGCTACAGGCCGGCCGGGCACGGTGGCTCACGCCTGTAATCCCAGCACTTTGGGAGGCCAAGGCGGGCAGATCACAAGGTCGGGAGATCGAGACCATCCTGGCTAACACAGTGAAACCCCGTCTCTACTAAAAATACTAAAATTAGCCGGGCGTGATGGCGGGCGCCTGTAGTCCCAGCTACTCGGGAGGCTGAGGAAGGAGAATGGCGTGAACCCAGGAGGCAGAGCTTGCAGTGAACCGAGATCGTGCCACTGCACTCCAGCTTGGGCGACAGAGCAAGACTCCATCTCAAAAAAAAAAGAAAAAAAATCAGCTTCAGTCCAGGTGTGGTGGCTCATGCCTATAATCCCAGCACTTTGGGAGGCTGAGGCGGGTGGATCACCTGAGGTCAGGAGTTTGAGACCAACCTGACCAATCTGGTGAAACCCTGTCTCAACTAAAAATACAAAAACAAATTAGCCGGGTATGGTGGCGCACGCCTGTAATCCCAGCTACTTGGGAGGTTGAGGCAGGAGAATTGCTTGAACCAGGGAGGTGGAGGTTGCAGTGAGCCGAGATTGTACCATTGCACTCCATCCTGGGCAACAAGAGTGAAACCCCATCTCAAAAAACAAAACAAAAAAATCAGCCACAGGCTAGGCGCAGCGTCTTATGCCTGTAATCCCAGCACTTCGGGAGGCAGAGGCAGGTCGATCACCTGAAGTCAGGAGTTGGACACCAGCCTGGCCAATATGGTGAAACCGTATCTCTACTAAAAATACAAAAATTAGCCAGGCGTGATGGTGTGCGCCTGTAGTCCCAGCTACTAAGGAGGCTGAGACAGCAGAATTGCTTGAACTCGGGAGGCGGAGGTTGCAGTGAGCCAAGCTTGTGCCACTTCACTTCAGCCTGGGCAACAGAAAGAGGCTCTGTCTCAAAAAAAAACCACAGAAAACTGATTTTTACAAAAGAATCTAAGCCTTCTTTGACTGCTTCTACCATAATGGGGCTGTCTTGAGTCTGTCTATTTAAAATTAGCAATCCATTTCTGCCTTCCATCAATCCTCTGGTTCAATAACATTGGCTGTCCTCCTTTAGAAACACCTCCATTATTGGCCGGGCGTGGTGGCTCATGCTTGTAATAGCACTTTGGGAGGGCAAGGTGGGCAGATCACCTAAGGTCAGGAGTTTGAGACCAGCCTGGCTAACATGGTGAAACCCCGTCTCTACTAAAAATACTAAAATTAGACAGGCGTGGTGGTGTGCGGATGTAATCCTAGCTACTTGGAGTCTGAGGCAGGAGAATCGCTTGAACCTGGGAGGCAGAGGTTGCAGTGAGCCGAGATCGCGCCACTGCACTCCAGCCTGGGCGACAGAGCAAGACTCCATCTCAAAAAAAAAAAAAAGAAAGAAATACCTCCTTTATGCTGCATGGCATGATGGTAACAGTGGGACTCTGAAGGCCTGGTTCTTGCTCTGGCTTTGCAACTAACTAGTAATGTTAGGCAAGTCACTTCATCTCTCTGGACTTCAGTTTTCTCAGGTGTAGAACAGGCAATAATAACAGCTTTCATTTGTAGAGTACTATGTACCAAGGGCTGGGCTTAGCTTGTCATCATACAGGGATCATCCCAATGTTACAGTGAGGACCCATGTGCCTCCTAGCCTCCCAGCAACCTCACAGGTGGGAGAATCCAGGAGAGAACACAGGAATGTGCTCTCTAAGGTAAAAGGCAGAATTGAAATTCTCTGAGAACAAAACACTTATATAAATATTGAGCCGAAACCCTTAACAGACTTTGATGTTCTGAGAGAGAAACTAGGTATCTCTCTTCTGTAGATCCCTTGATTCATTTGTAAGACTACTTTATGACTTATTATACAGAGTATATTATCTCTCCTCTCAATACCCCTAAGCTAGATTGGCAGCCTATTTTGGATCTTCATGAAGTGGGATTGAATATTAGAAATGTGTTCTTAGGCTGGGTGCAGTCGCTGTAATTCCAACACTTTGGGAGGCTGAGGTGGGAGGATCACTTGAGCCCAGAAAGTTGAGGCTGTAGTAAGCCATGATTGCAACAGCACTCCAGCCTGGGCAACAGAGTGAGATCTTATCTAAAATTTAAAAAAAAGTGTCCAGCCCCAAACTCCATTCCCCACACATACACAAAAAGTGTTTTGAACAAGCTCTTCTTGCTGTGCTAACCCCAGTTACCAGATGGACCATGTGCTGATGAGTCTTAAATTCATATCTCTGCCCTGGTGTTCCTCTGAATTGCTTGCCCACTGAACATGTATCTAAACCTCAAAGGACATAGCTACCACCAAACTCATGATTGTCTTCCCCTAAGCTCAGCCTGATCCAGTTTTCTATCTTGGAGAATGATGCTATTTTCTCTTCTCTCATACTCTTTATCCAGTAATTACCAAATATCATTGATTTTACCTCCTAAATGTTTCTCTCCACCTCCTCCACCATGACTTGTTCTAGGTTCCCACCTACCTGTCGGCCTGAGAGCAGCTGTGCTGTCTCTCCTAACTGGTGTTCCTATGGCTGCTCTTGCCACCTTCCAGGCTATTGTTCGATGAGAAGCTATAATTATTATTATTATTATCATTTTGAGATGGAGTTACACTCTTGTCGCCCAGGCTGGAGTGCAATGGTGAAATCTCGGCTCACTGCAACCTCCACCTCCTGGGTTCAAGTGATTCTCCTGCCTCAGCATCCCGAGTAGCTGGGATTATAGGCACAAGCCACCATGCCCGGCTATTTTTGTAATTTTAGTAGAGATGGGGTTTCACCATGTTGGCCAGGCTGGTCTCGAACACCTGACCTCAGGTGATCCGCATTCCTCGGCCTCTCAAAGTGCTGGGATTACAGGCATGAGCCACCGTGCCAGGCCAATGTAAGTCTGTCACTCTGCTACTTCAACCATAATGATACTCCCCTTCACCACCAGGATACATGATACGATCCTTAACTTGGGGTAGAAGGCACTGCCAGTTCAGCCCTGCCTCCCTCCCTGGCTCTGCACACCACCACAGCCACTCTGGCCCTCTTGCAGTTTTGCCCCCATTTTTATTCCTTGCCTTTGGGCTTCATGTTAGCTGTCCCTTCTCCAGAACTAACTTACTTTGCCTCAATAATTCCTATTTGTCTTTCAGAAAGAAATCTCTAAATCAGGCTCCTCTTTGTAATACCTTTTTTTTTTTTCTTTTTTTGAGACAGTCTCACTCTGTCACCCAGGGTGGAGTGCAGTGGCATGATCTTGACTCACTGCAACCTCCACCTCCCGGGTTCAAGCAATTCTCATGGCTCAGCCTCCCGAGTAGCTGGGATTACAGGCATACACCACCACACCTGGCTAATTTTTGTAGTTTTAGTAGAGATGGGGTTTCCCCATATTGGTCAGGCTGGTCTCAAACTCCTGACCTCAGGTGATCCACCCACCTCGGCCTCCCAAAGTGCTGGGATTACAGGCATGAGCCACTGCACCCGGCCCTGTTTGTAATACTCTTCACAGCTCCTGTACTTCACCTTTCTGGCACTTAACCCTGAAATTAAATAATAGTGTAACCAGGCTTCTCTGATCTCTCTCCTCCTGGGATATAAGGTGGCATGAAGGCAGGATCCCATCTGTCTTGTTCATCCCCAGCACCTAGTCACCTGCAGGGCCAAATCTGGGAGTCAACTATGGTGGTCCAACAAATGGACTTCTTTGTCTTCCTTTGAGAATCTGACCTACCTCCTTCCTGCTGGGGTCCACACCCTCGGGGAGCTCCTCTACAGGCTTGTTCACTAGCTGCTCCAGGGGGAAGATGGGCAGAGGCCCAGAACTGAGGTTGCTGTTAGCATTGAACACGTCCACTTTGGGGCTTGTGACCTCCTAGGAAAGAAAAGGAAACCACTGGTTACTTTAGCTGGTGCACAGCTACCTCCCAGGCTGCCTTTCTCTCTGAAGTCTCTAGGGCACCACCTTCAAGAAGCCTCCCATGTCCCACCCCACCCTGCCACACACACACTCATAAGAACAACATAGGCTGGGTGCAGTGGCTCACGCCTGTAATCCCAGCACTTTGGGAGGCTGAGGTGGGTGGATCACTTGAGGTCAGGAGTTCAAGACCAGCCTGTCTAACATGGTGAAACCGCATCTCTACTAAAAATACAAAACTTAGCCAGGTGTGGTGTCAGGCGCCTGTAATCCCATCTACTCAGGAGGCTGAGGTAGGAGAATCGTTTGAACCTGGGAGGTGGAGGTTGCAGTGAGCTGAGATTGCGCCACTGCACTTCAGCCTGGGCAACAGAGAGAGACTCCTCAAAACAACAACAACAACAACATAGAGCTTAGTGGTCTGTTCTGACCGAAGTCCATTGGTGGAAAATGACTCTTTTCTTTAACGATTCATTAACTTTCCCATGGCTTTCCCCAGAGTTGGAGATCTAGCCTGGATATTTATGACCCTGTCTCTCTTATCTGTTGTGAAATTGTCATCTATAAATTCACTTAACCTTGACCTATCTATACATGCCAGTCTGTACTGTCAGTCCACCAAGAAGGGTTTCATGAGTGCTGCAGGTTTTGACCATCTGTTGATTATACCCCAGTGTGCTTGTGAACTTGCTCTTGAATTCTGGACACATTCCTCAGAGTTAGCTCTGTCTTGTTCTCTCTATAAGCCTGTGAACTTCTCAAAGCAAAGGTTTTGATTTCATATTCCCGTGTCCCAGGCCTAAAGGCTAAATACATTTTTTTTCTTTTCTTTTTTCGGGTTTTTTTTTTTTTTTTTTTTTGAGACAGGGTCTGACTCTGTTGCCCAGGCTGGAGTGCAGTGGCACAATTTCAGCTAACTGCAACCTCTGCCTCCTGGGTTCAAACCAACCTCCCACCTCAGCCTCCTGAGTAGCTGGGACCACAAGCACGCACCACCACACCTGGCTGTTTTTTATTTTTTGTAAAGATGGGGTTTCCCCATGTTACGAAGACTAGTCTCAAACTCCTGGGCTCAAGCAATCCACCCACCTCGGCCTCCCAAAGTGCTGAGATTACAGGCGTGAGCCACTGTGCCCAGCCTAAATACACTTCTGTTAACTCACTGAAAGACCAAAGGAGTTGTAGTTATTCTACCTAGAGAAGGGATCCCAAAGGTGATGGAGTATAGAGACAGCATTATTTCTCAAAGTGTAGTCCATGGACTAACTACATGAAATTACCTTTTTAAAATAAGATTTAAAAGATGCAGATTCCTAGGTGCCAATTCTAAGTCTATAAACCAGAATATTTGGGAATGGGGCCTTGGAATCTGCATTTTAATATGCTTCCCCCTCACTCCCTGCCCCCATCTCCCCGACTTCTATGCATGATAAAATTTGAGAACCAGGCCAGGTGTGGTGGCTCATGCCTGCAATCCTAGCACTTTGGGAGGCCGAGGCTGGTGGATCACTTGAGGTCAGGAGTTTGAGACCAGACTGGCCAACATGGTGAAACCTCGTCTCTACTAAAAATACAAAAATTAGCCAGGCGTGGTGGCACACACCTGTAATCCCAGCTACTTGGGAGGTTGAGGCATGAGAATCACTTGAACCCAGGAGGTGGAGGTTGCAGTGAGCTGAGATCCTGCCACTGCACTCCAGCCTGGGAGGCAGAGTGAAACTGTGTCTCAAAAAAAAAAAAAAAAAAAAAATTGAGAACCATTTCACTAGGAAATTGAGGAAACAAAACCACTAGAGGCACTGAAGTAAAACAGCAAGAAGAATGAGAAGTGGGGGAGAAATAGGAGGGAAAGCACAGGACTCTGGTGTCTTCTCTGCAGCGTTCTTGGCTCCCACAGGTCTGACCACCAGCTGGCCACTGCAGGGCCCAGCCACCCCGCCCCGGACTCACAGCAGTGATCTGGCTCCAGTCCCTAGAGTTGCCAAGCTCCGCCTTCAGGTCCTCATAGGATTTGGTGTTCTGCACATAAAGTAAATAACAGATTAGACCTGGATCTCAGCAGAGGAGATGGATGAGAAGCCATTTTCCCTCAGGAATGAAAAGAAGGCTGGTCTGGGGCCTAGTGGTAAGAAAGGAAAGAGGATATGAAGGCTGAGGCTGGAGGAGGGTCCCTGAAAAAGGAGATTAGATGGTGAGATTGGGACCAGAGGGGCTGCCAGATCAGAAAAGTGGAGCGCAGGCTATATTTGTCCCAGCTCAGCCTGACATGGGGATGGGCAGGATCTTTTGCCACCTGCAGGGGCCAGGGCAAGAACCCACAGGCAGTATGGAGAACCCTGCCTAGGCTATGTAGGCTCTGGGAAATGCAGGGCTCCTGGGGATGGGTGGGGGTCCCCCCAGATAATAGAAGGGAGCCCTGCCACAGAGGAGTGAAGGGACCATGGCTCTGAGGAGTCCCATCTCCATATCCTAGAGCACACTTATGCTGAATGAATGAATGAATGAATGAGTGAATGAGGCTGAGAGAGAAGCCAGCACACACTTGAGGTGAGGGAAAGGTGATAACTAAAGTGGATTGAGAAAACCTGGCATCTCGATATGCTGCCTTGAGTAAAAACTAAAAGCCCATCTAACTGCAGAATTTAAAAAAACAAACCAACAAATTTAAGGAAATTAAGCTTTCTGCTTCCCTAAAGCCATCTGTTGTGACAATTTAGAGCACCCAGAGCCACCAGGCCAGGCTTCACTGTACCTTGGCCTTCTTCCTACCGAAAACCTTTGCTGGAGTTCCATTGTGGGTATCTGCCCCTTGCTTCTATGTGGGGCCAGTTTAGGAAACACCCCGTGGGAGGTTGGCACACCATCCCTCAGGTAAGGACCACACACATGACCCATTTTGCTTAGAATTTAGCACCAGGAAGACATTTGTCAGTCCTTTAGAACCAACGTGTTTCAGCTGGCATGGAGGATCCACCATGTTGCTGCAATGATGAGAACATTCTCACCTCTGCTGCCCAACACAGTAGCCAGCTGCCACATGTGGCTAGTGACAAACTGAATTTTGAACTGTGTTTAATTTTAATTTAAGTAATCAGTACATTTCTTACCTATACTATCCAGCAGCTTTGCTCTAAATGTAGTGCACAAACAAGGCACTATAATTAGCCTTGGTTTTTGATAGACTTCTTCCCTCTCACCAGAGGCCTAATGGCCTTAGTGCAGCCTTACTTTCTATTCTAAGCCTCCTCTAGCCCCTTTCTAAATCAGCAGGTCATATATCCCAAAGAGACAGAATGGCCTGCAGGAATCAGCACTGATCTCCAGGCAGGGCTAGAGAAGGACATGCTGGGATGAGGCCACTCACACTCCACTTGAAGGGATCCCAAGCCAGGAACCAGCCTGTGAAGGTGGGGGGCTCGTGTCCCTGCTTCACCACAATGATGGGGGTCTCAGGGTCACGCCCGCTGGGATGGGTCTTGAGGTATTCCTGTGCAGTGGTTGCTGCGGCCTTCTTCTCCTCCTCGTTGGCATGTTTCCCAATCCAGAAGAAGACCTATTGAGAAACCCAGGGGATCAGTCCATCCTTCCTGTCCTCCCTGGCCCACAGGGCTCTGCCTCAGTTGTCCAACAGTGAAACCCTGACCTTGACCCTGACTCTACCACTACCAGCCAAATGACCTAGGGCAGGCATCATCTGGCCTTGAATTTGTATCTGGGAAATTAGAAGGTTGGACAGATGCCTTGTACTTGGATATTCTGCAAATGTGTGTCTCCCAGACTGTCCAAAGCCCAGGATTCTCAAAAACACTCCTGCTGCCATGTGAAATAAATAGGACTTTGGGAGAGAATACGTTCTTCCCTGCAGCCCCTCTGAGCATGTTCCTCCCCACCTTCCTTCTTTCTTACACTTCTGGTGTTCATACCATTTCCAGGGAGAAATTATGTAAGGGCCAAGAAAACATTGACACTTACCTAACCTTAAAGCCACTCTTTCTTGGCCCTGGGGATTGAGGTGGCTGGGAAGAGGGGTCCCCAGGCCCTTGGTCCTACCTGGTCCCAGACATCTAGTAGGAACACATCATCCTCTTCCAAGTCATCCTGATTGAAGTCAGGGATCTCTGTGGCCAGGAAGCGCCCAGTCTTGTTGGAACACTCAAAGAGCCGGGGGGTGATGACCAGGTTTTCTTCCTGTAGTCTGCAGGATGGAGAGAAGATTGTACTGGCAGAAGGAAGGTGTGGCAAAAGGAGAATTGAGGACACAGAACTCTGAGGAAGGGACTCTGGCATAGAAAGGTCATCTCCAGCAAAATGCTCTATCTTCTGATTGATAAAAGGGTCCCCTCTCATTCCAAGAGTGCTCTGAGGAAGAAATTGTCACTGCTTTCTGGACATGCATTCCAGTGTCTTTTGCAGAGCCTTGTTAGGAAGTTCTTCCTGATATCTTCCCTCCATCCCTCCTACTGCTACTACAGTACATGCCCTTTTGCTTTTGAACTAGGGACTAGTAGATCATGGATATTCTCTAGAAAAACCATTTGAGCCAGTCACCGTGGCCCACACCTGTAATCCTAGCATTTTGGGAGGCTGAGGCAGGTGGATCACCTGAGGTCAGGAGTTCAAGACCAGCCTGGCCAACATGGTGAAACCCTGTCTTTACTAAAAATACAAAAATTAGCCGGGCACGGTGGTGGGCGCCTGTAATCTCAGCTACGCAGGAGGCTGCAGCAGGAGAATTGCTGGAACCTGGGAGGCGGAGGCAGAGGCTGCAGTGAGCTGAGATTGCACCACTGCATTCCAGCCTAGTTGACAGAGCGAGACTCTGTCACAAAAACAAAACAAAACCATTTGAAAGAGGGCTTGTGGCTGGGGCTCCTCAGCATCCCAGGCCTGTGTCAGGACCTAAAAGCAGGCTGGCCTCTGGCATCTTGTTACTGAAAGGCAAACCTCTAGCCCTGCCCCTTGCTTTGAGCTGCCTCCTATGGCCAGGAATTCCCTTTGCCAAGGAAATACCCCACCAGGTCCTGGGCATACTGTAGTGAGCAGCACAGACACAGCCCCTGTGCCAAGAGGCTCCAAGGGTATGGGCTGCCCTTTATTCATCTTGTAGCCCTGGGGGTCTGGCACAGTGCCTGACACACAGAGTCCTCAGTCCATGCCTGCTGTAGGCTCTGGGTGTAGGGATGGAGATGCTGGGCGGCTCCCCCACCTTGGTAACCTGGAGGCGGAGGGACCTGAGAGTTACCTCTTGGTGTTGGCATAGGGGGCCTTCCCACCCAGGGCCATCCAGAAGTTGGCTGGCTCCTGCCCTTCCACCACCACTTGCTTCTCCGTCCGGGAGATGGTGTCAGCAACCATCTTGGCCATCTCCCGCTCGTCCCCGCTACAACCCTAGGAAAAAAAAGAGTTGGCTAATTTCTAGTGCCACCCCTACCTCCACCCTCCTACTACATTCACTGCCCAGAGTTCAGGGGTCAAAGAGGGCTCTCCTGGGTCAGGACCTTGTGTATACAGGCCACACAGGGACAATTCCATGCTTTCTTCTGTCCTTGACACTCCAAAGAATAGCAGAAGAAACTAGAGAGTCTTTTCAAGGTTCGAGAGGGACTCCAAGAGGCTATGCATTCTTCTTACAGAGATCAAAGGAGAGGCAGTGACAGGCTCAGGGTAGTGAGAGAGAGCCCAAGACATAAAGACAGACCAACACAGGGACAGATGGAGGTGGCCAGAGAAACAGAACAAGAGAGACTGACTCCGACAGAGAGGCAGAGAATCTGAGGATGGTCATTGATGAGGCAGAAGGATAGACCCAGAGCTACTGAGGAGGGAGAGACTGGGCTCCAGAGGCGGCTGAGAATTGAGCAGGCACAACTTAGTTGGCCAGGGGTTCCTGCCCTGACCTAGGGCTGCTGCGAAACTGGGGGACTCCCAGGACCCACTTGCGGATGGGGAGGCCTCTAGACCCTGAACACACCTTCCCACACCATAGATAGCAGCAAGACTGGGTCTTGAGGACAAAGACATCATTGGAATTGAGGAAATTGGCCCGCGCTGGGACCTCAAAGGCCTTGGTGTTGTTGGCGCCAGTTCCCTGGACCTGGAACAGCCGTGTGGAGGGCCCGGTCTCCAAGTTGTTAGTTCGGGAGGTGCCTCCCTGCAGGTGAGGGCAGAAGACAGGGAGAGAGAGTCAGGAGTCACTTAGTAAAGAAGATGATGGGGAACAGAGGGGGATAGGGTAGGGCGGGGAGGTTTGCCCCTGAGCTCCTCTGATGCTCCGTCACCAGGTCTTTCTAAAACATTGTTTGCATCACAGCGTTTCTCTTTTCAAAAATGTTCAGTGACTCCCCATTGCTTCTAGCCTAAAGCCCAGCTCCTCAGCTTTGCCTTTGAAGGCCCCACATGACGAAGATGCAAACTGCCTTTGCAGACACTGCTGCCATCAAACCCTCCAGCTAGCTCTGCCAGGCTTTTTTTTTTTTTTTGAGACGGAGTTTTGCTCTTGTTCCCCAGGCTGGAGTGCAATGGCACTATCTCAGCTCACTGCACCCTCTGCCTCCTGGGTTCAAGCAATTCTCCTGCCTCAGCCTCCTGGGTAGCTGGGATTGTAGGCACCCACTGCCACGCCCGGCTAATTTTTATATTTTTAGTAGAGACGGGGTTTCTTCATGTTGGTCAGGCTGGTCTCGAACTCCCAACCTCAGGAGATCCGCCCGCCTTGGCCTCCCAAAGTGCTGGGATTACAGTTGTGAGCCACAGCGCCTAGCCTTTTTTTTTTTTTCCTTGAGACGGAGTCTCGCTCTGTTGCCCAGGCTGGAGTGCAATGGTGTGATCCTGACTCAGCGTCTCCCAGGTTCAAGCCATTCTCCTGCCCCAGCCTCCCCAGTAGCTGGGATTACAAGTGTGCACTACCACGTTTGGCTAATTTTTGTATTTTTAGTAGAGACAGAGTTTTGCCATGTTGGCCAGGCTGCTCTCGAACTCCTGACCTCAGGTGATCCACCCACCTCTGCCTCCCAAAGTGCTGGGATTACAGGCGTGAACCACCATGCCTGGCCAGTTCCACCAGGCTTCTGATGTTCCCCAGGGAGCCTCTCCCCCAGGCCCTTGTCCTTGCTGTGCCCCCTGCATTGCATGCCCTCATTTTGAACTACTGACCTCAGGTGATCCACCCACCTCAGCCTCTCAAAGTGCTGGGATTACAGGTGAGAGCCACCGCAACCGGCATTTTTTTTTTTTCTTTTTTTAAAGATGGAGTCTCCCTCTGTTGCCCAGGCTGGAGTGCATTGGCACAATCTCGGCTCACTGCAACCTCCGCCTCCCAGGTTGAAGAGATTCTTCTGCCTCAGCCTCCTGAGTAGCTGAGATTACAGGCACCCACCATCATGCCTGGCTAATTTTTGTATTTTTGTAGAGATGGGGTTTCACCATGTTGGTCAAGCTGGTCTTGAACTCTTGACTTCAGGTGATCCACCCGCCTCAGCCCCCCAAAGTGCTGGGATTGCAGGCGTGAGCCACCATGCCCGGCCCAATTACACGTATTTCTAAAGTAACCAAATGGGTTGTTTCTATTACCAGTTCCACATAGGTGATAGAACCTCCAGGGTAGTCTCCTATGAAGAATGGGCTTCACCTCAAGCCCTGCTCCCACCACCCATCCCCTTCTCCATCTCCCGGATGCCTGTCTTGCCACAGTGGTTACTGCCAGACACCTCAGTTCAGCAGCCACACCTGGTAGACCACCATGCGTCCCTTGAAGATGGACATAAGATGAGGTGGCTCCTTGCCCATTGGGACCCGGATCTGGACTGGTTCACCATTGTACTTCTGGTCCAGGATGACGGCTTGATAAGCTGATGCTGTAATTTCATCTTGGCTGGCCTGGCTGCCCTGGGGATGAGCAGGAGGGAGTGAGTGGGATTGGGTCAGCCCCCAATTCTGACCCCATCCTCAGCCTCAGCAACAACTCCATCCTCAAGTCTGAACTGGTCCTAAACCCAATTGTCTTCCCCACCAAACTCCACTGTGAAACAGCCAAAACCCCAATCTGAACCATACCTCAGTTCTGATCTCAACCTCAAACCTAATTCTTTCCCAGACCCAGCCCAGCCCTGACCTACCTGCAACCCCAGCCTTAACCCCAAACCTCCTCCTTTCCTTTCTGCTCCTTCTTCAGGGAGACATCACAGGCACCACACCACTCAGTCCTAGACACACTCCCTGCTCCCTCGCATCTAGACACAAAAACCCATGGGCAGAGCAGGTGACAAGAATGTGCAGAAGGCAATGAAAATTGGAAGGGAGACTCAGAGAACCAAAAGGAAAAGGGCTGTGAATGGGGGTACTAGCGGGACCTCATAGCCAAAGCAGTCCTTCTTGAAGGGGTGAGCACCCCATCCCCAGAGGTATTCAACCCAAGGGTGATGGCCACTTAGCAGGAGTATGTACAAGGCAGAGCTAAGCCGGCTGTGCTCTGGGTGGGACGTGGCGGGACCTGACCTGCCAAACGTAGAGCAGGTAATGCTGCTTCTCGCCGATGAGGTAGGTGTAGAGCAGCAGGTAGCAGTCGCCCCCATAGAAGTGGCCTAGCCACTTGGAATCCACAGGTACCAGCTCTAGGTTCTCAATGCGCCACACCTAGGGCCAGTATCAGGCCAGGGTGAGGTCCAGGACAGGCTCCACCATTCCTGCTCCACCCAGCACGGGCCTCTCTGCCCTCACATACCTGCACTTCCCCACTCCCATCATCTACCATCTTCTGCTGGGCAGCCACCTGAGGCTTGACATGCATGGATGTGGCATCGAACTTCACCTGTTCCACTTTGGCTAGAGTGGGGGAAATCATGAAACCAACTGTCACCAGCTGAGGTCTCCCAGGTCCTCACAACAGCCCTGAATGGTGGCTACAATTCTTAGACTCATTTTCAGATGAGGAAACCGAGGCAAGAGAGATTCAGTAGCTTACCTGGTTGCACAGAATGTGGCAGAGCTACAATAGAGAACCACATCTCCCTCCCTCTAAAACTCCTGCTCCCAGGGAGCCAGGAGAGGCATAAGAGCAAGGCTTTAGCTTTGTTGATCTACGTCCTGACCCCTGCAGCATTCAGACTTCAAGCCTTGACCTTGTCTCCCAGCTCAATAGGGAGCTGTGCAATGTTGGGGGCTGTACACTATTACTTGTCCTCTCCTAGGTGCTGGGCACCGAGCTTGCCCTCAGCAAATACTGGCTGGTAAGAGACTGAAGCTGTTCGGTTTTCAGGGAGGCCCAACCCCATCCCAAATGAAATATCACATCACTGACAGCTCCCCTTTTTTTTTTTTTTTTTTTTTTGAGATGGAGTTTCGCTCTTGTTGCCCAGGCTGGAGTGCAATGGCATGATCTTGGCTCACTGCAGCCTCTGCCTCCTGAATTCAAGCGATTCTCCAGCCTCAGCCTTCTGAGTAGCTGGGGTTACAGGCATGCACCACCATGCTTGGCTAATTTATTAGTTCTTTTTTTCAGTAGAGACGGGGTTTCACCATGTTAGGCTAATCTCAAACTCCTGACCTCAGGTGATCCACCCGCCTCAGCCTCCCAAAGTGCTGGGATTACAGGCATGTGCCACCATGCCCAGCCCTCTCAGCTCCCTTTTTGTGACAACTAGAGTTTGTCCACGTCCCCATCTGCTAGGACAAGCCCAGAGCCAGCGTAAAAGTCTTCGTTGAAGATGCACGTCAGGGAAGGAGGGTGGGTGGTGGACCAAGTGGCTCTCCTGGCCCAGCTCCTGGATCCTGGCTCCCTCACTGCCCCCGCCTGGCCCTCACCCACGGAGCCCACAGTGTGGGTTTTGCCTAGGCCTGAGGTCCGGTTGGACGCTGTCCACTTCTGGAAGAGCTGCTGAAAGACGGCCGACTCAGCCCCATCATTCTGCACCTCCACCTGTGTGCTTGGTGGGTACTGCTTGGCTTTGATGAAGTTCTGGAAGAGAAAGGGGTGGCTGGAAGCTATGCACCTCCCCTAGTCCCCACTCCCAATGCAAGCCAAAACCTAGCTCTAACCTAACCAGATCCACCATCAGATCTACCCCGGCACCAAAACTGAACCCAAACCCAATCCCAATGCTAATCCCCAACCTAACCCTACTCTGACCCCAGCCTCAAGGTCAAATCTGATACCGCCTGAAACCTAACACTGGCCTCAAGACTCACTCTGACCTCAGCTTCAAATCTAATACCGAAACACAACTCTGACCCCAATCCCAAAGCCAAATCTAACGCCTAATGTGACCCTACCTCAATGCTAATCCTAATGCCCAGTCCCCAATCCAACACTGGCCCCAAGCCAGTTAGGGTTACGACTCCAGCCCCAGCAATGACCCCAAACTCTGACTTGGCCCTGGTCTGAGCTGACCCAATCCCCTTTTGTAGGAAGCCAGCCTCCCTCCATTTCTCCTTCCCTTCTCCAAACTCAGCTCAGGTGCAGGGAGGTGAGAGCCCACATCCTGAGGTGGCCCCAGGGTTGCCTGGTGGTTGGCTCCCTGGTGTGCAGAGAACCCCGAAGATGACCACAGAATGGCCCCTCAGGCCCCTCCCATTGGGCCGGGCCCAGCCCTCATCCTGCTCCTCCCAGCCTTCCCTGCCTCTGCCTGGCACTATGCCCTGGTCTGAGCCTGCCTGCCCACCCCATGCTGCTATCTGCTCTCTCCCTCCCATCACTCTGCCCTCCTCCTGGACCCTCCCCCGCCCCCACCACTACCAGCGCATGGCTCATGGCTCCCTTCTTCTCCTGCTCATTGGCTTTCTTCCCTTTCCACACGTAGATCTTCAGGCCCCCCTGGTCCAGGATGTAACAGTCCTAGAGTCGGGAGAGGTAAGAGTCTGATGGAGCTGGAGGTGCTGGACTGGGAAAGCCTCACACACAAAAAAGTCTCTCCCTCCCAGGCCCACCCCAAGCCCCCTGGAATTTTTCCTGCTTGAGGGAAAGGGGGCCAGGCTGCAGTAGGCTGAGGGGTCTCCAGACCCTCTTACCTCGTGACTGAGCAGGTCCTGTGTCAGTGGCCGTGTGGCGACTTCCCTCACCACCAGATTCCCCTCGGAGTCAGACACACTGCAGGACAGAAGCAAGGCATAGATGGGGAGGGGGCCCAAGTCCCTCAGCCAGGGCACCTTCTCCCAGGGAGTCCCCAGCACCCAGGAAGACCCCGCTGGGCGCTCACTGGTACAGTTTGAGTGCAGCCTTGAGTGCCGGCTCCACCACCGTGTCGGGCACGGCCGCCTTCAGCTCCCTGCGCTTGCCCAGCACGTGGTTCATCACCTCCATCAGCTTCGGGGATGCCAATTCATTCTCTCCGTCCACCACGCCTACATAGGTGCGCCCTCCCCGCTCCTGGTCTCGGATCTCCTTGGCCAGAGTCATGCCCTGCAGGAAGGCCCCTGGTGACCCATCGGGAGTAGTCGGGGAATGAGGCAGTGTCTGCCACCCTACACCCTGCCAGGCAAGCCCAGACCACCTACAGCAGCCACAGGGGTTGAGACCCCTGCCCTGCTTTTCCCCGTCGGAGGGGTCAAGCTTTTAAGGCATGTAAGGAAACCAGGGGGAAGGCAGCTGGGAGAGCAGGTTTCCCCACTGTCAGGGAGGTGCTCAAGCGGGCTTGCTGGGCCTTCTGTTCTGACAGTGTGGGAAATGTGTGCTTAGACTTCACAGTTCGGGACACGAGCTGAGCCCCAAGGATCACAGTACTCAATCATGTTCATGCCTGTAATCCCAACACTCTGGGAGGCCGAGGCGGGTGGATCACCTGAGATCAGGAGTTCAAGACCAGCCTGGCCATGGTGAAACCCTGTCTCCACTAAAAATACAAAAAATTAGCCAGGTGTGGTGATGCACGCCTGTAATCCCAGCTACTCGGGAGGCTGAAGCAGGAGAATCACTTGAACCCAGAAGGCGGAGGTTGCGGTGAGCTGAGATTGCGCCATTGCACTCCAGCCTGGGCAAAAAGAGCAAAACTGTGTTTCCAAAAAAAAAATCTCTTTGCACCCAAACATGCCTGCAGTCTCACAGTGCACACACAGCGTCAATGTACTGTGAGTATAAACACACGTATGTCCATGCCCATTTCATTCACCACTGGATCCCTAAGGCTTGGCACAGGCTCTGTCACACTGTAGAGACTCATTCTATCTGAGTGGATTGACCACAAGTACACACACGCAAACTCCAACATGCATGCCTGCACCAAACACATGGAGACTGAGCCACCTTCAAACATGCTGTCCCCAGCAGTCAGCGGGGAGAGGCCTGGGGAAAGGAGCAGGTGGGGGCAGTCTAGGATTCGAGAGGGAGGTGTGGTGCATGGGCAGGTTTACCCTGAGTCTCTCCATACGGGTGCTTTCCGGTCCATTCCACTGGATGATAAGCTTCCCAAGGTCCAGGAGGAAAACATCCCCTCGGTTGAAACTCTTCCAGGACATCTCTACCTAGGGAGCCACAGGGGAGGCACAGACCCCACTCAGAGCTCACCTATCATCCATCATCTTGGCCATCCCTCCCTGCCCCTCACCCCTCCTCAGCCCCTGCCCTCCACCCTGGGCCTCACAGCCCTGGCCGATGCTCCAGTGGGGCCTGCCTACCTCTCCAGCTACCACGTTCCTCTTGCCCTTGACATGCAGCAGCCTCTGGACGTCATAGGAGTTGGTCTCCACGTGCTTCATGCCAGAAGCCACGCCCCCTTTCCGGATCCTGAGAAGAGAGGTGAGCTGACCCAAGGAAGTGGGCTGGGAGGTGTGCCTGGCCCCTGTTCTCCCAGGTCCTGGCTGCCACGCTGGGGTCACGTGAGGGCCAGGGTGGGAGTAGGCGAGGTCAATGAGGTGCTGAGGGCGCAAACTTTAGGGAGTCACTCACTGTCAGGTCCTGAAAGTGCAAGGTCTGCCTGTGGCATGCCCTTGCACGACCCTGACAGTGAGAGCAACCTTAAAGTCTGCACCCTAGATCTTCACTCGTCTTGCCCTAGTCCCTGCCCTGTGGAGAGGCCTGCAAAGATAGGGTCATGATATATTAAGAGTAGGAAATATATTAATAGGCCAGGTGCGGTGACTCACACCTATAATCCCAGCACTTTGGGAGGCCGAGGTGGGCAGATCATTTGAGGTCAGGAGTTCCAGACCAGCCTGGCCAACATGGTGAAGCCCCATCTCTACTAAAAATACAAAAAATTAGCTGGGCATGGTGGCGGGTGCCTGTAATCCCAGCTACTCAGGAGGCTGAGGCAGAAGAATTGCTTGAACCCAGGAGGCGGAGGTTTGCAGTGAGCCGAGATCGCACCATTGCACTCTAGCCTAAGCGACAGAGTGAGACTCCATCTCAAAAAAAAAAAAAAAGGAAATGTATTAATAAATAGGGACAGAATCCTGAGGACAGGGGATCAAAGTGGAAGAAAAGAAAAGAATGGAGAGGTGCCACTCCAGTGCCCATGGCAGTGGACTACTGCCATAGCGTGGGAAGAGAGGAGCAAGACAAAAAAAGAGTGGGAACTGTGGCTAATTAGAGAGCCCTCAGCCTGTCCTACAGGTCAGTAACAACTCAGCTCCAGAGTGTGTGTTTTCCTGGGGAAAGCTAAGCTAGAACTTCAACTTGTATAGAAAAGCCAGCAGTCTGGGCTGGGAGTGGTAGCTCATGCCTGTAATCCCAGGACTTCAGGAGGCTGAGGTGGGAGAATCACTTGAGCCCAGGAGTATGAGACCAGCCTGGGCAACAGAGCAAGACCTTCGTCTCTACAAAATATATATATTAAAAAATTAGTGCTGGCCAGGCATGGTGGCTCACGCCTGTAATCCCAGCACTTTGGGAGGCCAAGGCGGGCAGATCATGAGGTCAGGAGATTGAGACCATCCTGGCTAACACGGTGAAACCCTGTCTCTACTAAAAATACAAAAAAATTAGCCGGACGTGGTGGTGGGCACCTGTAGTCCCAGCTGCTGGGGAGGCTGAGGCAGGAGAATGGCGTGAGCCTGGGAGGCAGAGCTTGCAGTGAGTTGAGATCGCGCCACTGCACTCCAGCCTGGGCGGCAGAACAAGACTCTGTCTCAAAAAAAAAAATTAGCTGGGCATGGTGGCTCGGGCCTGTAGTCCCAGTTACTCAAGAGGCTGAGGTGGGGCCAGACGAAGTGGCTCACGCCTATAATCCCAGCACCTTGGGAGACTGAGGCAGATGGATCACTTGAGGTCAGGAGTTTGAGATCAGCCTGCCCGTGGTGAAACCCTGTCTCTACTAAAAATACAAAAATTAGCCAGGCCTGGTGGTGTGTGCCTGTAATCCCAGCTACTGGGGAGGCTGAGGCATGAGAATCGCTTGAGCCCAGGAGGCGGAGTTTGCAGTGAGCCAAGACTGTGCCACTGTACTCCAGCCTGGGCAACAAAGCAAGACTCCATCTCAAAAAAAAAAAGGAAGAAAAAGAAAAGCTGTCGGTCTTGGTTTTTAGTGTGATAGGCCTGCATTAGAGATGGGGGAGCAGCCATTTGCCCGTTGGCCAGAGTTGGGGGGCTTGATTAGGCACTGAGCTCTCCAGGACATTCAAGTAGGAGCTGATTTACAGAGATTCACGAGAGTTATAGAATTTCAGAACAGCCTCCAGACCAAGGACAGAGCAGTGGCAGAAATAAGAGTTAGGGAGTGGAAAGGTGAGGGACAATCACCAAAAACTCATGAGGGTCCCCCTCGTGCCTCCCCCCACAGCTTCAGGGTCCCTTCCCCGCCCCAGGTCACCTCCCCCTGCTCCAAGTGTTCTTCCCAGGCCTGAACAGGTCTGGGTGTCCCTGCCTCTTCAGCTCAGCCCCAACATCTCTATCCCTACCACTCATCCTCATTCCCCCGGCCTGCAGCCCACCCTCCCTACACAAGGCCTTGCTTGAAGTAGCCTCGGAAGGCCTCGCTCTCGTTGCCCTGGACCTCGCGGTGCTGCACAGCCCGGCCCTTCAGGAAGTCATCCATCTGTGTGGTGTAGATGGCAGCTGCCCCCTGCTCATCCAGGGATGAGTCCTGGCCAATCCAGTAGTGGATGTCATAGGACAGGCTGCTGGCTGTCTTGTGGATCTAGGGAAAAGGTGTCCAGTGTACCCGAGACCCTGGGCTCCCACAGCCCCTCCAGCTCTGTGTGACCTCCCACACACGTGCCGTCCAGGACTATGGGGGAGCGTGGCACAGGGCAAGTGCACTAGGCTGGCGGTTAGGAGCCCTGAGTCATGGCCCAGCTCTACCATTGACTCTCTGAGACATGGCTTCTCCTCTCTGGGCCTCCCTTGCCTCATCTCAGAAATAACTTGCTTGTGCCAGGCACAGTGGCTCACGCCTGTAATCCCAGCACTTTGGGAGGTCGAGGCAAGTGGATCACCTGAGGTCAGGAGTTGAAGACCAGCCTGGCCAACATGGCAAAACCCTGTCTTTACTAAAAATACAAAAATTAGCCAGGTGTGGGGGCAGATGCCTGTAATCCCAGCTACTCAGGAGGCTGAGCCACGAGAATCGCTTGAATCCAGGAGGCAGAGTTTGCAGTGAGCCAAGATTGTGCCATTGCACTCCAGCCTGGGCGACAGAGCGAGACTCTGTCTCAAAAAATAATAATAATAAATACATAAAATAAAATAAAAATTTAAAATGAGTCAATATAAAGAAAAAAATACAAATGTCTTAATAGTACAGGTGGTACCAGGGTATGGTGAAAATCAAGGTGATATGAAGATGACTGCCAGGCTGGGCATGGTGGCTCATGCCTGTAATCCCAGCATTTTGGGAGGCTGAGGCGAGTGGATCACCTGAGGTCAAGAGTTCGAAACCAGCCTGATCAACATGGTGAAACCCCGTTTCTACTAAAAAATACAAAAAAATTAGCTGACTGTGGTGGCACGTGCCTGTAGTCCAAGCTACTCAAGAGGCTGAGGCAGGAGAATCGCTTGAACCCGGGAAGTGGAGGTTGCAGTGAGCCGAGGTCGCTCCACTGCACTCCAGCCTGGGTGACAGAGTGAGACTCCATCCGGAAAAAAATTTTAAAAAAAGAAGATGACTATGGATTGTGGAAATGTGGACTCAAGTTAGGGTGATACGGCAACAACTCAGAAGTTTCCCCAAGACTGTGAATCCACAGAAGTTGACCTCAGCTGGGAGCTCAGTGGATCAAGGGCAGCAAGAGCCTCTGACCTCTGTGAAGCCCCCACAGGGTTGGGCACTTGGGCATACCCAGTAAATTGTGTCTTGGGGTGAAGCCAGGCCAACTCTCCCCACGGCCCCCAGCCTGTTTCCTCCCTGACACCACAGTGGGTTTTGCTCTCTGCTCAGCCCCCTCCCCTGCCCCTGACTCACAGCCAGGATGATGTAGCAGTCACCATCGAAGAAGCTTCCAAAGGTGCTGGAAGGAACAGGCACCATCTGCATGGCCTAAGGAGAGAAAGAGGGTCAGAGGGGCTGCCCTGGACCACCAGGACCCCTAGGCCTGGGAGGAGGGCCCAAGGGGAGGAGGCGTCGGAGACAAAGAGCCGGGCCCAGGAATGAAAGGAGAGAAAAGGAAGAGAGGAGAAGAAAACTGTGAGGGGCGGGAGAAGGAAAATCAATGGAGGGAAAGGAAGGGATGAGTGAGGAAGAGGAAGTGGAGAGGAAGGTTGAGAGACAGAGGGAGAAGAAATGGAGAAAGGGAAAGGGAGACCAGCCGGGGTGTGGATGATGCGGGAGGTGAGGGGCTGAGCTCTCAGGGGCTTCAGGGCAGGAGCAGAGGAAACGAAGAGAAATCCCAGGCCTCCCTCCTTGGCCTTGCCTCCCTCCACCCCAGGCCTGAGCAGCCCCCATGCCCAGACAGGGCCTCACCTCGATCCTCCATATCTGCAGCCCCGGGGTGGTGATGTTGAGAGAGCCTTTGACTTGGGCGCTCAGCTTGGTCATGGTGAGTGAGCCTGGGGGAGAAGGCGTTGGGAGCAGGGGCACCCTGAGTTCGGATGCTGCCCTTCCAGCCTGCCCCTAGAGAACTCCCAACAGTGCCAGGAGGTCGCAGGCTCAGGGGCTTGGGGGAGCACAGAGGGTTACTCCCCACTCAGGGACCATTTCCGCTTGTTTAGTACCAAATCCGCAGTGTCTAGCACAGTGACTTTGCTCAATAAGGAAGAGAGGGGGAGGGAAGGAGTGAGAGATGGATGAATGAATGAACAGAGTGAACCCTCCCACTGTGAACTACTCTCTGCCCGCTAAACTGGAAGGAACCCCCCTCCCCAAGCTTTTCTCCTCATGTCAGCCCTTTCTCCATATTATTTTTTTCTTCTTCTTCTTTTTGAGATGGAGTCCCGCTCTGTCGCACAGGCTGGAGTGCAGTGTCGTGATCTTGGCTCACTGCAACCTCTGCCTCCCAGGTTCAAGTGATTCTCCTACCTCAACCTCCCGCATAGCTGGGATTACAGGCGTGAGCCACCACGCCTGGCTAATTTTGTATTTTTAGTAGAGACAGGGTTTCCCCATGTGGGCCAGGCTGGTCTCAAACTCCTGACCTCAGGTGATCCACCTGTCACAGCCTCCCAAAGTGCTGGGATTACAGGCATGAGCCACTGTGCCTGGCCGGCCCTTTTTGCTTGGACCTGTAGCTGTATTCGCTCCTGCTGCTCATCAGCCTCAGCTGGGGAGCTTCGGAACGTGCTGATGCTCCAGGCTCTGGTGATTCTGATTTAATTAGGCCAGGGTGGGGCTTGGGCATGGGTGCTTTATTTTCTGCCTTTTGGGAGGTGAGGCATGGGTGCTTTTAAAACTCCCCAGTGATTCTGATATGAACTAGGGCAGACAGCCACTAGTGCCCAGTTATTCTCCTCCCTAGTTTTGAGGTTCCTCCTCATCAGGCCAGAGGCCACCCCGATCTCCATGGAGCCTATCACCCAGCCTGGCAGAGAGCTGCCCTCCATGAATGCTCCTTGAACTGATGAATAATGAATGAGAGGGCATGTGGCCGACAGGTCAGGCCTCCACTCGCTGACAGCCTGAAATCTCACTATCTAATCTCTCCTTGCACCTTGACTTTGAGTCACCTCTTAGTGACTTGGCCTTTTAGTACTTAGAAACTCCCTTTTCTGAGCCCTGAGGGGTGGCTGCTGCTTCCCTGGCGTTCTAGAGTTGGAGGTAAGGCCCTGCCCAGTCTCTGATCATTGCCTGCTCCGACTGATTAGCAGCAGCTTGCCGTGTAACTGTAGGAGCCCCTTGGGCTTGGGTCCTGTCTGATGGCCTGTTGGCTATGGCCTTCTCCATCAGGCAACCATGGTCTCCTCCATCAGGTATTTTTCAACCTACCAAGTCCCCAGGGCTCCCAGGATTCCTGGTCCAGCAGAACCAGGTTGGGTATAAAGGAGGAGACCGTTTTCTGTTTCATTTCTGTCATCACCTTTGTCTCTGTCCCCTTCTTTTATTTATTTATTTATTTATTTATTTTTGGGACAGAGTTTCACTCTTGTTGCCCAGGCTGAAGTACAATGGCACAATCTCGGCTTACTTCAACCTCCGCCTCCCGGGTTCAAGTGATTCTCCTGCCTCAGCCCCCCAAGTAGCTGGGATTACAGGCGCGAGCCACCAAGCCCAGCTAATTTTTGTATTTTTAATAGAGACGGGGGTTTCACCATGTTGGCCAGGCTGGTCTCGAACTCCTGACCTCAGGTGATCCACCCGCCTCAGCCTCCTAAATTGCTGGAATTACAGGCGTGAGCCACCGCGCCGGGCCCCGTCCCTCTTTTTCTTTGACACTCACTAGCTGTATGAACGTAGACTTCCCTTCTTCATCTATGAGCTGAGGGGGTCAACTTAGGGGGTTAACTAAATCGATGATCTCTAAAGCCTCACCCAGGGACATGCTGATTCCAGGGTTAACTGGCAGCAAGAGGAATAGAGGGTGGACATGAGCAGGCACTTCTTGCTTATCAGAGAGGGGATTCAGGGGAGCAGAGACTTGAAAAAGCCAGCGCTCCCCCTCCCCAGAGAGAAATCAGGATTGGGGCCAGCCCCCACAGGCCAAAGGTGGGCAAGGGGACTCAGGAGTGGAAGCTCTGAGATGTGGCCCCCCTACCTGGTGTATACCCTCCAGATGCTCCTGCCCTCTACCCATGTTGGTCAGAGCAGATGCCTCTCCTCCACCCCTTGGTAGGGCCTCCTCCTCACTTCTCCTGTCTTCCCTGAACTTCCAGGAAGACCAGGGCCCGTCACTTCCCCCAGCCCTGCCACCGTGGACTCTGGTTTGGATTTGAGTTGTCTCCTCCTTCAGTTTTAATTCACTGGCTTCCTCCACTCCTGGTACTTTCTCTTCTGTGTCCCCAGACCAGGGAAGGGCATGGTCACCCCAAGACCCCAAAGTCAGCCATCTGTGCAGCATCCTGGACTCTTTCTGCTCCTGCCCTTCCATCCACCTAAACTCCCTTGAGTCTCCCCACTACACACAGCCCCCTGGCCCCTCTCTGCTGGCACTCTGCCCTCTAGAAATGCCACACTGCTGGCGGCCCCACCCCCATGCTGCCTCTCACCCCACGCCTGCTTGCACTGCTCCAATATGGAAAGCTCTCCCCACCTTTCTGACACTAACATGCTCTTCTAGACTCAATTTAGATCTCATTTCTTCCAGGAGACCTTCCTAGAATCCTCAGCTGGACAAGGGGCCCCTCTGCATCCTGGACTGTCCCTTCTCTTGGCCCCCTGACCACATGGTGATGAAATAACCTGTTTGTAAGTTGGAGGTCCCTGAGCTCCAAGACCTAGATATGTTTGTCTTTGCAGCCCCCAGCTCCTAGCACATAGTAGGTGCTCAACAAATACTCATGGGCTGGGCGTGGTGGCTCACGCGTGTAATCCCAGCACTTTGGGAGGCCGAGGCAGGCGGATCACGAGGTCAGGAGATCAAGACCATCCTGGCTAACACGGTGAAACCCTGTCTCTACTAAAAATACAAAAAATTAGCCGGGCGAGATGGTGGGCGCCTGTAGTCCCAGCTACGCGGGAGGCTGAGGCAGGAGAATGGCGTGAACCCAGGGGGTGGAGCCTGCAGTGAGCTGAGATCACGCCACTGCACTCCAGCCTGGATGAAAGAGTGAGACTCCTTCTCAAAAAAAAAACAAAAAAAAAAAAAACAAATACTCATGATGCTGAAAGGCTGAACTGTGGGATGGAAGGAGGACCCTCCCAGGGCACTGGAGGGGTTTGGGCTCCCACTGTCTGCAGGTCCATCTTGCCTTTCTTTCTTTTTTCTTTTTTTCTTTTCTTTTTTTTTTTTTTTTTTTGAGACAGAGTCTCACTCTGTCACCCAGGCTGGAGTGCAATGGTGCAATTCTGGCTCACTGTCATCTCCGCCTCCTGGGTTCAAGCGATTCTCGTGCCTCAGCCTCCCGAGTAGCTGGGACTATAGGCGTGCGCGAGCACACCCAGCTAATTATGTATTTTTAGTAGAAACGGGGTTTCACTATGTTGGTCAGGCTGGTCTTGAAGTCCTGACCTCAAGTGATCCACCCCACTTGGCCTCCCAAAGTGCTGGGATTCCAAGCATGAGGCTCTGCACCTGGCCCACCATGCCTTTCTTATCTGAGCCCTGTTGTACTTGAGTTGCGGCTCTGTTGTAAGTGGGGTGCTGCCACGGCTCCTAGTTCCCAGTCGTGCAGCTCTGAGCTGGACAGGAATGTGGTGGGGCAGTGGGGGTGAAGTCCCACCCCTCAGACAAAGGACATCCTCCTGCTTCCCAGGCTCATGATAGAAGAGGGAATGGACACCCGCCAAGACCCTCCAGCCCAAAGGCTCTGCCCCAGCAGATGATGTCCCGAGAAGACAGCAGCCAGTGTGTCCTCAGAGCCTGGTCTGCAGCTAGCTCCCATTCCTAGTTCTGCTGAATGGGCCCACAGTGGCTGGGGAGGCCAATGGGGCAGCTCCGGGTAGAGGGGAGATGGGGCAGAGGTGCATGCTAGGGTGGCCCGGCATGGCCCAGGACCTAAGGCCCTGCCACCTCCAGCCCCTTGCCTCTGCCCTTGCCTCTGTGTGTGCCCATTCAATTGCTGGTGGCTGTTGCTCATATGCTAGGAGCCAGGAGGCAGGACCCGGAGGTCCCAGGAGTGTCAGAGGAATGGTGACACAAAGAAAAAAACACTTCAGATGAAGAACGCACGGGCAAAGAGATGAGCTGGTGGGGAGGGGGCTCGGGGAGTGAGGTCAGGGAGACCAACTAGTCCCGGTCTGCCCAGCACTGTCCTGGTTTTAACTCTAGAAGTTCCAGGGCAATTGGGATGGTGACACCCAAAGTGGGATGGGGCTAGCCACAGGTAGGAGACTGAGAGAGCCATTGTCTGGGGCAGGGCCTGCAAAAGTCTCTCCCTGGAGGCCCAGGGCAGACACACTGGGCTCCCAGCACTTCTCACGCTATCCAGAGTGTCAAGCCTCCCCTTCGAGCCCGTACCAAGGTGCTCCAGGAGGCCCCAAGTTGCCCGAGAAAAGCAGAGGACCCCGTCCCCTCGCACCACCTAAGGTCTCCATGTGTTCCCACCAGGTTGCCTTACCTGTCTTGGGGAGGCAGCTGCCACCTGGGAGATCTCAGGGAATTGTGGCAAGCTGGCTGCAGAAGAGCGACCTTTGTCCCCACCCCCCCTCCTCTAGGAACTGCCTTCACCATATAAGGGAAGATAGGGCCCCAGAGAGGTGAGGGGGTGGGGAGGCAGGTGCTGCCAGGTCCCTGGGAGCCCAGAGCCCTCCACAGCCTGACAATGAGAGCTGATGTGCCCCACCCTTGGCTTTTTTTTTTTTTTGAGCCTCACTCTGTCATTCAGGCTGGAGTGCAGTGGTATGAATTCGACTCACTGCAACCTCCGCCTCCCAAGTTCAAGTGATTCTCCTGCCTCAGCTTCCCAAGTAACTGGGACTACAGACATGTGCCACCATGCCTGGCTAATTTTTGTATATTTAGCAGAGACAGGGTTTCACCATGTTGGCCAGGCTGGACTTGAACTCCTGACCTCAAATGATCCACCTGCCTCGACCTCCCAAAGTGCTGGGATTACAGGTGTGAGGCCCGGCGCCCAGCCCCTCCCTTGGCTTCTGAGTGAGCAAGGGATGGGGTGCTTTTCTGCCCAGGGCCCAGGCCCTCACCACAGGCAGACAGCACTGTCCAGGTAGGGTCAGCGGCGCCTGAACCTTTCCTCCTACCAACCAAGAGAAGGAGGCTCAGCTGTCCTCCCACCTGCCCTGGGGTGAATGGTTCATGGAGAAAGAGAGGCAGGACTCTAGGGTTGCAGAAGCCCCAAACCCAGGAATGCAGGGACTTATACTCAGGGCCCCTCCAGAACAGATGGGAGGTCTCTTAGAGGTCTCCTAGAGGTCTCTTCTCAGCATGACCCTCACTTAGCAAGGGCCCCAGTGAGCACAACTGCTCCTCCTCTCCACCCTTAGGGGCACTGGCTCCACCTGGAGTGTTTTTTTTGTTTTCGTTTTTTTTGCTGAGATGGAGTCTGTCTCTGTCGCCCAGGCTGGAGTGCAGTGGCGTGATCTCATCTCACTGCATCCTCCGCCTCCTGGGTTCAAGTGATTCTCCTGCCTCAGCCTCCCGAGTAGCTGGGATTACAGCCGCACACCACCACGCCCAGCTAATTTTTGTATTTTTAGTAGAGACGGGGTTTCACCATGTCGGCCAGGCTGGTCTTGAACTCTTGACCTCGTGATCCGCCCACCTCGGCCTCCCAAAGTGCTGGGATTACAGGCGTGAGCCACTGCACCCGGCCCACCTGGAGTTTTTATGAGATGCCATAAACCAGTGCCTTTGAACTCTGTTCTGCTACCCTCTCCCAGAAGCCAAGGTTTCCATGTCTGACCCCTGACCCTAGGGGATCCATCTCACTCAGGCAGGAAAGTTGTGCAGCCAACTCCAGCGTGGATCTCGCTGAGAAACCAGCTTCACACGCAAACTCAGCACCTTGGGCAGCTGCCTCCCAGACTGCAGAAATTCTCCTATCACCTGTGAAGCCTGGTCCTTAGGAGGGTGACGTGAAGTGGGCTGGGTGAGGGCAGTACGTCCTTCTCATCACAGCCTCCCAAGAGTTCTGGAGACCAAATGTACAGTAGTCCCCCCCTTATCCAACGGGGGATACATTCCAGGACCCGCAGTGGATGCCTTAAAACCTCGGATCGTACCGAACCTGGCTGCCATCAGCTGGAGCATGTTTCTGTTCGTGTCTTCCACCCACAAATTGAAGCCCCTTCTATTTTCATTAGCACTTATCCTGCACTGTGGCTGCATTTTGCAGTTTGAGGTACACCAGCAAAATTAACACAAATTTCTGTTTCCTTCTTCACAATTTCATGAACAGAAGATGCATTCTTATCATAGATCTTAGCAACCTCAGTATATGATGTTTTTTGTTCTTTCCTTATTGAGAACTATTACCTTTTCATTTAAAGGAAACATTTTATGGCTTCTTTTTGGCACTTCCAAATTGCCAGCATCGCTACTCTTGCATTATTTAGTAAAATAAGTGTTACTTTGGGTGGGGGGTTGTCTTTATTTTTGTTTTTTGGAGATGAAGTCTCGCTCTGTCACCGAGGCTGGAGTGCAATGGCATGATCTCGGCTCACAGCAACATCTGCCTCCTGGGTTCAAGCAATTCTCCCATCTCAGCCTCCCGAGTAGCTGGACTACAGGTGCATACCACCACACCCAGCTAATTTTTCTTGTATTTTTATCAGAGACATGGTTTCACCATGTTGGCCAGGCTGGTCTCAAACTCCTAACCTCAAGTGATCCGCCCACCTAGGCCTCCCAAAGTGCTGGGATTACAGGCGTGAGCCACTGCGCCCGGCCCAATAAGGGTTACTTTGAACACAAGCCCTGCAATGCCATGACAGTGGATCTGATAGCCCACACGGCTGCTAAATGCCCATCAGGGAGCATGCAGCATGTGGAGGTAGTGGACAAAGGGATGACTCACGTTTCAGGTGGGATGGAGTGGGGCGGTGGGAGATCCCATCACGCTACTGAGAATACTGTGTAATTTAAAACTTATGAATGGTTTATTTCTAGAATTTTCCATGTAGTATTTTCAGAACATGGTTGACTATGAGGTACCTGAATTGGTGGATAAAGGGAGACTGCTGTGTGTTTGCGCACATGTGGGCATGTGTGCACTATATGTGTGTGCACACGCTCATGTGTTGTCTGGAAAGAGGAGTAAACACTGGAGTTGCTATTTTGTTTCTTTTAAAAAAAAAAATCGCTGGGTGTGGTGGTGCACACCTGTAATCCCCGCTACAAGGGAGGCTGAAGCACAATAATTGCTTGAACCCGGGAGGCAGAGGTTGCAGTGAACTGAGATTGTGCCACTGCCCTCCAGCCTGGGTGACGAAGTGAGGCTCTGTTTTGAAAAATATACACATATATAAATATAAAAATAAAAATATATAATCCTGCCTCCTATGTCACAGGTTATGAAAAAAATAACACTTTCTTGTGAATAAAAAGGAGTATATATATATATATATATATATATAGAGAGAGAGAGAGAGAGAGAGAGAGAGAGAGAGATACACTCGATTACAAGGACAAGAAAAAGGAAGGTAAAAACTCACCTATATTTTCAATATAGAGATATTCTCCAGATAAATCACTGTCACTGAATTGTTTTGGAATATTTCTTTCAAGTCATTGTCCAGTACAGGTAGATACCTGTCTGTCTGCATGTTCATATATATATATATATATATATATATATATATATAGAGAGAGAGAGAGAGAGAGAGAGAGAGAGAGAGAGAGAGAGAGAGAGAGAGATGGAGTCGCACCCTGTCACCCAGGCTGGAGTGCAGCGGTGCAATCCTGGCTCACTGCAACCTCTGCCTCCTGGGTTCAAGTGATTATCCTGCCTCAGCTGCCCAAGTTAGCTGGGATTACAGGTGCCCGCCATGATGCCCGACTAATTTTTGTATCTTTAGTAGAGACGGGGTTTCACCATGTTGGCCAGGCTGTTCTCGAACCCCTGACCTCAGGTGATCTGCCTGACTCAGCCTCCCAAAATGCTGGGATTATAGGTGTGAGCTACCATGCCTGGCCTATGTGCATATATTTTTAACTGTCATATGATATATCTTATTTTGCAATTTCTTTTTTTTTTTTTTTTGAGACAGGGTCTTGCTGTGGCACCCAGCCTGGAGTGCACACTGGTGTGATTATGGCTCACTGCAACCTCGACCTCCCTGGACTCAATGATCCTCCCACCTCAGAAGTAGCTGGAACCACAGGCACACGTCACCACATCTGGCTAATTTTTGTTGTTGTTGTTGTTTGGTAGAGACAGAGTTTCCACTATGTCGCCCAGGCTGCTCTCAAACTCCTGGGCCCAAGCAATCCACCTGCTTTGGCCTCCCAAAGTGCTGGGATTACAGGTGTGAGCCACCGCACCCAGCAACTTCATTTTCAGTTGTTTTATAGTAATTCATTAGACAGTACAGTTTATGTAACCAATACCTCATTATTGGACTTCCAAATTATATCCAATTATTTGATACTACAAAGAATGTTGTGGCAAATATTCTTATTGCTAAATATTTGCCATTAGATTACATTCACTATCTCTTTGGGATAGATTCAAAAAAGTAAGGCCGGGCGTGGTGGCTCATGCCTGTAATCCCAGCACTTTGGGAGGCCGAGGCAGGCAGATCATGAGGTCAGGAGATCGTTTCAAAACCATCCTGGCTAACATGGTGAAACCCCGTCTCTACTAAAAACACACACAAAAAAAAAACAAAACAAAAATTAGCCGGGCGTGGTGGCGGGTGCCTGTAGTCCCAGCTACTCAGGAGGCTGAGGCAGGAGAATGGCATGAACCCGGGAGGCGGAGGTTGCAATGAGCCAAGATCGCGCCACTGCACTCCAGCTTGGGCAACAGAGCAAGACTCTGGCTCAAAAAAAAAAAAAAAAAAAAAAAAAAAGTGAGATTGCTGAGTCAAAGATGTGAATAGGAAAACTGTCTTCCAAAAAAGCTGCATGAATGGATAGTCCCGCCTGCAATACATGAGTGGCTGAATCTCCACCTCTCCCCAGTGCTCTGGTACAGTATCGATGAAGCTCTCTATCAGTTTGATTGACAAAAAAGAAAACAGTCATTGTGTTGATTTATGTTTTTTTATTATCAGTGAGACAGACCATTTTAAACTATATTTATTGGCTATGTCTCCCCTTGTGAGTTTTTAATTAATTTGTTGGGATTGTTTATATAGTTAATGTCTTAAGGCTGGTAATTTGCCTACCATTTATGTGATACTTGTCTCTAGTTTCTTGCTTGCCTTTTAATTGAGCCGGGAGAATCTTTTGGTGAACATGTTCTTAAAAATTGTTTCCAATGTCTTTGTTATGATAAATGTCAAACACATAGAAAAGTGAAAATAACAGTACATGGACTTAAGCATTAACATTTATCATATTGTTTATTTATTTATTTGTTAAGACTGTATCTCACAGGCTGGAGTGCAGTGGCACGATCTCGGCTCACTGCAACCTCCGCCTCCCAGGTTCAAGCGATTCTCGTGCCTCAGCCTCCACAATAGCTGAGATTACAGGCATGCACCACCATGCCCAGCTAGTTTGTGTATTTTTAGTAGAGACAGGGTTTCATCATGTTGGCCAGGCTGGTCTAGAACTCCTTACCTCAAGTGATCCACCCACCTGGGCCTCCCAAAGTGCTGGGATTACAGGTGTGAGCCACCATGCCCACCCCAACCATTTCCTTTTATTGTTATATCTCTTCAGTGTTTTTCTTTTGTCTACAGTAATTTTATTTATTTTAATTTTATTTATTTATTTTTTTTTTGAGATGGAGTCTCGCTCTGTTGCCAGGCTGGAATGCAGTGGTGCAATCTTGACTCACTACAACCTCTGCCTCCCAGGTTCAAGCAATTCTCCTGCCTCAGCCTCCCCAGTAGCTGGAACTACTGGTGCGTGCCATCACGCCCAGCTCGTTTTTGTATTTTTAGTAGAGACGGAGTTTTACCATGTCGGCCAGGATGGTCTTGATCTCTTGACCTCATGATCTGCCCGCCTCAGCCTCCCAAAGTGCTGGGATTACAGGCATGAGCCACCGCACTTGGCCTATTTATTTATTTTTATTATTATTTTTTGAGACAGAGTCTTGCCCTGTTACCCAGGCTGGAGTGCAGTGGCGCAATCTTGGCTCACTGCAACCTCTGCCTCCTGGGTTCAAGCAATTCTTCTGCCTCAGCCTCTCAAGTAGCTGGGATTACAGGCACCCGCCACCATGCCTGGCTAATTTTTGTATTTTCAGTAGAGATGGGGTTTCACCATGCTGGCCAGGCTGGTCTCGAACTCCTGACCTCAGGTGATCCACCTGCCTTGGCCTCCCAAAGTGCTGGGATTACAGGCATGAGCCACCACGCCCAGTATTTTTTACATGTAGTATATGCTGAACATTTTGTCTTCAGTATTTTTTAATCTCGAAGAGTTCTTTCACATTTCCCCCCCATGACATTGACTTACCTGAGTCAAAGACAGTTGCCCTGTAGAATGTTCACATTGTGGAACTGAGCCTTTCCTTACGGTATTATCTAATTTGTTACATTTCCTTCTGCACTTCCCACAAACTGAAAGTGCAACTAGTAGGTCCTGGTTAAACTCTTTTTTTCTTTTTGAGACAGAGTCTCGCTCAGTCACCCAGGCTGGAGTACGGTAGCACTATCTCGGCTCATTGCAATCTCTGCCTCCTGGGCTCAAGCGATTCTCCTGCCTCAGCCTCCCAAGTAGCTGGGATTACAGGCGCCTGCCACCACACCCAGCTAATTTTTGGTATTTTTAGTAGAGACAGAGTTTCACCATCTTGGCCAGGCTGGTCACAAACTCCCAACCTCAGGTGCTCCGCCCTCCTCTGCCTCCCAAAGTGCTGGGATTACAGGCGTGAGCCACTGCACCCAGCCTAAACTCTTTTTTCAAGAATACTTCATAGAACAGTGCTTCTCAAACTGTAATGTTGTTAAGAATCACCTAGAAATCTTTGTAAAGTACCTATTCTGGTTCAATAGAACTGGTGGGGAGGGGAGCTGAGATTCTGCATTAGTAGCAAGTTCCCAGGTGATTTTGCCTTTCCAGGTGATTTTCCCAGTTGAACCATTCTTTCAGTAGCATGCTCAAAGGTATTGACTTTGCATGGCATCAGAAGGAATATATAATATCAAGTCATCCCTGCATGAGTGTTGCAAAGGTGGATCCCTTGGTTACAGCAGTGCCAGGCAGATACCCTTATGTTTGTTGTTGTTTTAGATTGGTGAACTACCCATGTCCACAGATACCCTTCTGTATTGGAAAGGCACAGCTCCCCCTTTACAATTAGAAGTCATCTTGGGGCCGAGTGCGGTGGTTCACACCTGTAATCCCAGAACTTTGAGAGGCCGAGGTGGGCAGATCACTTGAAGTCAGGAGTTCGAGAGCAGCCTGGCCAACACGGTGAAACCCCATCTCTACTAAAAATACAAAAATTAGCCAGGCATGGTGGGGCGCACCTGTAGTCCCAGCTACTCAGGAGTCTGAGGCACGAGAATCAGTTGAACCTGGGAGACGGAAGTTGCAGCGAGCCGAGATTGTACCACTGCACTCCAGCCTGGGCAACAGAGCGAGACTCCATCTCAAAAACAAAAACAAAAAAACACAAGGCTGGGCACAGTGGCTTATGCCTGTAATCCCAGCACTTTGGGATGCCAAGGCAGGTGGATCACTTGAGGCCAGGAGTTCAAGACTAGCCTGGCCAACATGGTGAAACCCTGTCTCTACTAAAAATACAAAAATTAGCCTGGGTGGTGGCAGGTGCCTGTAGTCCCAGCTATTCGGGAGGCTGAGGCCAGGAAAATTGCTTGAACCCGGGAGGTGGAAGTTGCAATAAGCCGAGACTGCACCACTGCACTCCAGACTGGGCAAAAGAACGAGACCCTGTCTCAAAAAAAAAAAAAGAAAAAGAAAAAGAAAAGAAAAGAGAAAAGAAAAACAAGAAGTCATCTTGGGGTGACAATTTGGCAGCACAAGTTTTTGATTTTTTACTTACCACTTTCTACTTCTTTTATAATACTCATTTTTAAATAACTTTTCCTTCATCTTACAGTGAAGTATTAATTACTTTTTATTTTTATTTTTCAGACAAGGTCTCACTCTGTTGCCCAAGCTGGAGTGCAGTGGTGCAATCAGGGCTCACTACAGCCTTGACCTCCTGGGTTCAAGAAATCCTCCCACCTCAGCCTCCAGAATAGCTGGGACCACAGGCTCTCGCCACTACCTCTAGCTAATTTTTTGTACTTTTTGTAGAGATGGGGTTTTGCCATGTTGCCCAGGCTGGAATGGAACTCCTGGGCTTAAGCAATCTGCCCACCTGGGCCTCCCAAAGTGCTGGGATTACAGGCATGAGCCACCGCACCTGGCTTACTTTTTATGTCTATTACCCCTCCCTCCCCCAGTGTTTTACTCCCTCTGTCTCACCCCAGTGTTTTACTCCCTGCTACACCCAGGAACCTGGTGCATAGTAGGCATGCAATGAATATTTAAAGGAAAGAAATGGAAATGGAACTTATGATTTCTTTTTTTTTTTTTTTAGACAGGGTCTCACTCTGTCACTCAGGTTGGAGTGCAATGGCGCGATGTCGGGTCACTGCAACTTCCGCCGCCCGGGTTCAAGTGGTTCTCTTGCCTCAGTTCCTAAGTAGCTGGGATTACAGACGTGTGCCACAACGCCCAGCTAATGTTTGTTATTTTTAGTAGAGACGGGGTATCACCATGTTGGCCAGGCTGGTCTCAAATTCCCGACCTCAAGTGATCTGCCTGCCTCGGCCTCCCAAAGTGCTGGGATTACAGGGGTGAGCCACCATGCCTGACGGAATTTATTATTTCTATCTTGGCTATTATATTTAGGAAGCTGAGTGAGTGTGTTTTAAATTTGAACTCTTTTTATTTTTATTTTTTATTTATTTGGTTTTATTGAGACGGAGTCTTGCTCTGTTGCTCAGGATGGAGTGCAGTGGCATGATCTTGGCTCTGCTCTGTCTCCCAGGTTCAAGCGATTCTTCTTGTGATCCACCTGCCTCGGCCTCCCAAAGTGCTGGAATTACAGGTGTGAGCCACCACGCCCAGCCTATTTTTATTTTTAAAATTGAATAAGGCGGAGTGTGGTGGCTCATGCCTGTAATCCCAGCACTTTGGGAGGCCAAGGCAGGCAGGTCACCTGAGGTTGGGAGTTCGAGACCAGCCTGGCCAACATGGTGAAACCCCGCCTCTACTAAAAATACAAAAAATTAGCGGGGCGTGGTGTCAGGTGCCTGTAATCCCAGTACTCGGGAGGCTGAGGCAGGAGAATCACTTGAACACAGGAGGCAGAAGTTGCAGTGAGCCAAGATCGCACCACTGCACTCCATCCTGGGCAACAAGAGTGAAACTCTGTCTCAAAAAAAAAAAGTAAATAAAATAAAATTTAGTAAATGTACCTGGTAAAATAATTCAAATTACAAACAGATATGTAATAACATGTGTCTCTTATACATTAGATGAATCTCACTCCCCCAGCCTCACTCCCCAAGATTAGCCACAATTATCTTCTCAGAGTAAGTGAAAGTATATATTTATATTTGCGTCTATTTTTATATTTTGCCTTAATAGGAGTACACCATCATTGTTATGAATCTTGCCTTGTTTCATTTAACAGTATCTCTTGGAGATCATTCTATATCAGCTTGTATAGTTCCTCCTCATAGTTTTCACGACTACATGGTATTCAATAACAAAATGTATTTAACCAGTTCTTTATTGGTGGACACTTAGATTATTTTAAGTGTTTTGCTATTACAAATGATACAATGGGCTGAGTGCAGTGGCTCAAGACTGTAATCATTGCACTTTAGGAGGCTGAGGTGGGTGGATCACTTGAGCCCAGAAGTTCGAGACCAGCCTGGGCAACATAGTGAGACCCAGTCTCTATTTTATTATATTTTATTTATTTTTGAGACAGTGTTTCGCTCTTGTTTTGCCTAGGCTGGAGTGCAATGGCAGGATCTTCGCTCACTGCAACCTCTGCCACCCGGTTTCAAGCGATTCTCCTGCCTCAGCCTCCTGAAGTAGCTGGGATTACAGGAATGCGCCACCACACTCAGCTAATTTTTTTTTTTTGTATTTAGTAGAGACAGGGTTTCACCATATTAGTCAGGCTGGTCTTGAACTCCTGACTTCAGGTGTTCCACCTGCCTCGGCCTCCCAAAGTGGTGGGATTACAGGCATGTGCCACCGCACCTGGACCTATTTTTTTTTAAATAAAACAAATTTTAAAAAATGATACAATGGGCCAGTGGCGCATGCCTGTAATCCCAGCACTTTGGGAGGCTGAGGCAGGTGGATCACGAGGTCAGGAGATCGAGACTATCTTGGTTAACATGGTGAAACCCCATCTCTACTAAAAATACAAAAAATTAGCTGGGCGTGATGGTGGGTGCCTGTAGTCCCAGCTACTCGGGAGGCTGAGGCAGGAGAATGGCGAGAACCCGGGAGGCTGAGGCAGGAGAATGGCGAGAACCCGGGAGGCAGAGCTTGCAGTGAGCCGAGATCATGCCACTGCACTCCAGCCTGGGCGACAGAGCGAGACTCCATCCAAAAAAAAAAAAAAAAGTTGTCTGCATTAAAAAAATATTTTTGGCCAGGTGCGGTGGCTCACACCCGTTATCCCGGTGCTTTGGGAGGCCAAGGCGGGTGGATCAGAAGGTCAGGTTTGAGTTTGAGACCAGCCTGGCCAACATGGTGAAACCCTGTCTCTACTAAAAATACAAAAAATTAGCCGGGTGTGATGGTAGACACCTGTAGTCCCAGCTACTCAGGAGGCTGAGGCAGGAGAATCGCTTGAACCCATGTGGTGGAGGTTGCAGTAAACGAAGGTCACTGCTCTCCAGCCTGGGCAACAGAGCGAGACTCTGTCTCAAAAAAAAAAAAAAAATTTTTATATACATATGGATATTCTCAAATCACTTTCCAAGGAGGTTGCACCAGTTTACAGGCCTGTTTCCCTACATCCTCTGGAGTGATTGTGTGTGTGTGTGTGTGTGTTACAAGCAAACAGGGAATCTCTGCCCCACACCAGGCTCTAGTAGAGACATTTTCACATCTGACATCTCCAAAGCCAGAAGACATCACCTTCCTCCAACTCCTCCACTCCTGCCCCCAGGGCCAGCTAGCCACCTCTTCCTGCCAAGTTTATCTCCTATGTCACATCCATCCCTCCTTCCTTTCCTCTTTTTTGAGACAGTCTTGCTCTGTCGCCCAGGCTGGAGTACAGTGGTGTGATCTCGGCTCACTGCAAGCTCTGCCTCCCGGGTTCAAGTGGTTCTCCTGCCTCAGCCTCCTGAGTAGCTGGAATTACAGGCGCCTGCCACCACGGCAGGCTAATTTTTTTTTTTTTTGAATTTGTAGTAGAGATGGGGTTTCGCCATTTTGCCCAGGCTGGTTTTGAACTCCCGAGCTCAGGCAATCTGCCCGCCTCGGCCTCCCAAAGTGCTGGGATTACAGGTGTGAGCCACTGCACCCGGCCCCTTCCTTTCCTCTTTATTCTGCCTAAGTTCAGGTCTTCATCCTCCATGTTTGGGACCACGCCTGTGGTCTCCCAATAGGGTCTTGTATCCTTGTACGCCTAATTTAGCTTCCAACGTGCAGCTGCCAGGTTTCAGCACAGCTCACTCCTGCTCAGGGTTCCTCAAAGGCACCCTCTGCCTGCAAGAAAAAGGCTACTCCCAGCCAGGCGCGGTGGCTCACACCTGCAATCCCAGGACTTTCAGAGGCTGAGGTGGGAGGATCGCTTGAGCCTAGAAGTTCCAGACCAGCCTGGACAACATAGTAAGAACCCATCTCCACAAAAAAAAATTTAAAAATTAGCCAGGCGTGGTGGTGCATGCCTGTAGTCCCAAATACTCCTACAGGCTGAAGCGGGAGGATGGCCTGAGCCCAGGAGGTTGAGGCTGCAGTGAGCCATGATCATGCCTTTGCACATTAGCCTGGGAGACAGAGACCTCGTCTCAAAAAAAAAAAAAAAAAAAAAAAAGAAAAGAAAAAAAAGAAAAAAAGAAAGGCCACTCCCTTGGTCTGGCCATAGATCTGCATAATCTACCCCCTCCTGCATTCTGCGGCCTCATTTCCTCATTTCCAAACTCCTCTGAGCCTCGCTACTGCAGGGAGTGTTTTCCAATCCTCCAGGGCTGCCCAAGTAGGGCTAGGTGTCCCCTGTCCTCACCCGCCTTCCATGGTTCTCCCGTGCTGCATTTGCAGAATTGCAGTGACCATCTGTTCACGTTTCTTTCTCTCCACCCTAGGATGTGAGTTCCCTGAGAGCAGAGGCACAGCCTGGTCCTGGCACGGTGCCTGGCACACAGTACGCACCCGATACATGTGGTTGACTTGAACTTCATGTGGGTACAGGGTGTGTAGGTGGTGGTGGTGGGGAAGCCTCACTGTGGTCTCAAAGTCTGGAGCTCCTTTGCGTGTTTATCTGGCCTCTGCGATGCACATCTGGGAGGATCAGTGTTTGCATGGAGAGCAGGAAATAAGAGCAGGACCCGAGGATGAGGGCAGAGACCGGAGAGGACTGTGAATTTATATAGCCAAGGGCTCTTGTGGTCCAGCCCAGGCCAAAACTGAGACTAGGGTAACTGCAGGTTTTTCCAGGGTGCTTCTTGAATCTTTTTTACCAGAGAAAAGTAGTGGAAGGAGGACAAAGGGCGGCTTCACACAGCGCTGACTCCCCCTCACACAGACTTGGGGACCGATCAGCGTCTGGGGCACCAAGAGGCCGCCTGGGGGCTGGATTCAGGAGGTAAGGTGTTGAGCAGACACGATGGGGAGGTGGAGCTGGGGCGCAGGCACCAACACCTGAGAGGCATTTCCCCCTTCTTCCCTGGGTGTGTGCGGTGGGGGCTCCAGAAACGCCCGACCCCCGGGAAAGGGGTGAGTGAGGTGGGCCCCATCTTTCCAGCCCCCGGGGAGTTCCTGCGTCCGCGAGGACAGGGAGGCCTCTAGCGGCTGGCGTGGGAAGCAAGCAAAGGCTGGCTGGGGACGGCGGGAGGGCATTTCCTGCCGGCGCCTGGGGCCGCGCGGTTTCGCAAAGGAAGTGCCTCCCGGACGCGGGGCGGGGCGGGAAGTGGGGCGGGGGCGCGGCCAATGGCTGCTCAGAGGCCGCAGAGGGGCGGGGGGGGCCGAGCCCCGGCGCCGGCCCCACCCAGGCCGCCCGGCAGAGCCAGGCGCCGGAGCCCGCCGCACCCAGGCCAACAAGTTCTGCCGCTGGAGCCTCCACCCAGAGCCTCGCCCCGCTCCCCGCCTCTGCCTTCGGAGCCGCACAAGCCCCGCCCCTCTGCTCCAGGGCAGAGGCCACGCCCCCTCCCCCGCCGCATTCCAGGACTGCCCCTACCCAGGCCTTCGAATTTTGCTTTCCAGCTACTAGTATCCTGTCGTCTGTGTCCAGGCACTTAATTAGTCCTGCCAATAGGGCACATCTCCATTTTGCAGACCACATACCCGAGGCGGGAAGACGTAGACGAGCACAGCCTGGAGGCTCAAATTTGTGCTCTGACGCTGCCCTTCCCACCTGAAGTGTCGAGGGCCGGGCAGCCCCTCCCTCCACCAACAGCCCTCTAGGTGTGCTGAAGCGGGGGGGGGGGGGCCCACGGCAGCCGCAGGTGCAAGGCACACACCCCACTTGCTGAAGTCCCCCGCAATAACCACAGAAGCAGGATAGGGGTCTGGCTTTCTCTTTAGTTCTCATCACACTAGGGCTCTCAGTCACAGAGAAGGCACTTAAATGGGAAGGCCACCTGATGCAGGCCAACCATATTCACCCCCCGCCCACCCGCTCTGGGGGAGGGGAGCACAACGACATCACCACTTGACATCCCCCTTGGCACTGGTATGTGGGTCCCCTTAACCGTTAGACCCTGGGGAGAGCCCAAGGCCTTGACCTCCGGAATCGCCATGTTAGGAGGAGGGGCTTCAGAAACAGTTGGAAGGCAGGATATCCTGGGAGCTGCCCCCAGCCAGCAGGGGATCAGGCAGGGGGCTGTAGGAGATGGGTTGGCACAGGGGAAGGGGACAGCTTGGTCGGGCTTCCTGGAGATCCCCAAACCCCACAGAAGGTCCCACCTCCTACAGATCCCCCAAAGGCACCGGTGAAGGATGGGCAAGGAGGCACTGATGAGCTGGCGTAGAGACCCCCCACACACACTTAGCTGGTGGGCCTAGCATATGCTGGGCACAGAAGGTGCTCAAGAAATGTTTTTTTGAATGAATGAACGGAGCAAAGGGGTGTGAGGGACAGAGGACAGGGCCTGGGCCCCTTGGCCCAGCTTGTTCCATTCAGAAAATAGCAGTTTAAAAAATGTAAAAATCCTTTCCCTCCCTCCCCCCAACTTCTGGGCCCAGGAAAGGGGCAAGGGAGGGGTGTCTCTACCCTGACCCTTCCCTCTCTCCTTCCCCTAAAAATCTATATACACATGTACATATTTATATGGCACCACAAGGGGGGTCCTGCCTATGCCCCCACGCTCAGAGCTGGGGGAGCCAAGCCCCGGGGCTGGTTAAGGCAGAAGTCTGAGGTCATTGCTTGGATGATGCAGGGAGCAGCCCTCAGCTGTCGGCCCTGGAGAAGCTGCACTGTGGGGCCTGAAGGACAGACTCCTGCTGCCTTCCCCAGTGGTAACAGACCTCCCCTCCCTCCAAGGCAGAGGCAAAGGTTGGTAGGGGCCCTCTCAGTCCCAAGGGAGGAGGTGGGGCAGGGGGAGGGGCTGGTTCTCCCCTCCCAGCCTAGAGCTGTGCCCCTGGGAAAGCTGGGCGGGGAAGAGGGGGCTCTATGCAAGGCACTTGATGTCCACCGTTCCCAGACTGGGGGTCCAAGGCAGGAACCCTGCCCCCAGGAAGCAGAACCGGAAGGGGCCAAGGGGCCCAATTTGGCAGCAGAGAAACATGGCAGCATGGACAGAGACAGAAAAAGGGAGCAGCAGGCAGGGCCCCCCAGGTCCCCTGAGAATAGGGGAGGAGGTTTGAAGGCACTGACACGGGGCCTGGAGCTCACGGTCCTCAGTGCAGCCTGCTGCCCCTACACCGCCTGGTGGGGCTGGTGGGGGAGACGCCCGCTTCCCCATGGCACTGAGTGTGGCGGCGGCCCATGGGTTTTCCTAACAAAGGCCTGGGCAGTCTTCCTGGGAGGAGGTGTGGGTATCATTGGTCAGGGGCAGGTCCTGGCCCCATCACCCTCACTAGCTCCCTGGCCGTGGCTGCCTGAGCACTGAGTACACGTCGTCCACACGGCTGAGTTGCTCGAAGAAGGGGAGGAGGTCGTGGAGCTCTGTGTCACTCATGTTGTCAAACCACGAGGCCACCGGTACCTGGGGAAGTGGGTGTAGGAAGATGAGGGGGGCAGGTGGTCCTGGGTGCAGAATTTCCAGGCCAGCCCTATGTAGCCACTACTCAGATCATGCAGTTTCTGAAAACCCCTCACCCACAGTGTTCAAACTTTTTTGACAGCAATCCCCAGGAAAACACATTTATAACGTAACAATGCAAAAGCTTCACAATTCCTAACCTTATCTGTGCGAAGCACTCGGATACTTTTTTTTTTTTTTGAGGCAGGGTCTTGCTCTGTTGCCCAGGCTAGAGTGCAGTGGCACAATCTTGGCTCACCACAGCCTCTGCCTCCAGGGCTCAAGTGATACTCCTACCTCAGCCTTCTGCATAGCCGGGACTCCAGGCATGCGCCACCACGCCTGGCTAGTTTTTGTATTTTTTGTAGACATAAGGTTTCACTATGTTGCCGAGGCTGGTCTTGAACTACTGGGCTCAGCTACCTGCCCACCTCAGCTTCCCAAAGTGCTGGGATTACAGGCATGAGCCACTGCACCCGACCGGATATTTTCTATTCTATTTCATTTTGTTAAAATTCCCAATCAGAACCCACTAAATTAATTCTGTGGGCCATCAGTAGGTCACAACTGGCAATTCGAAAAATTGAAACTTTCCAAACTCCGTTGCCCTGTGGGGGCCCCTGTGCATGGCAGATGCTCTGCTTTGTGCGAGGGGAAAAGACCATATGGCTACAGGGCAGGTGGATGAGGGGAGTGGGCGGCAGGCACAGGCAATGAATGCAGGAAGGACTGGGAGGGCACCCACCCCCCAACTGGGGATCCAAGAGGCCAAGGTGGCCTGAATGGACTGACCCCTTCCTGGGTCTCAGCTCCTGTCCCAGTCCCAGTCCAGCCCGCACTCACAGCATTGTCTGGATGGAAGACATAGGAGGCAGGTGAATTGTCCAGGATGAGCACCCGCCGCAGGTCTCGACCCAACCGGCTCAGGTCCTTCACGTAGTTCCCCCGGTGGAAGACGCAGGACTCTCGAAACAGCCGGGCCCGGAAGGCCCCCCATTTGTCCAGCAGGTCAGCTACTGGGTCTGCGTACTGGGAGCAGGAGGTGGGTCATCCTGGGGCCCGCAGGTTCATTGGGCTGCATGCGGGAGGTAGGTAGGAGGGCAGGGTTGCCCCGGGACCCCTGTGGGGCTCACCTTGGCGAGGCTAGCAGTGAACAGCACACATTCAAAGAGCTCGCCCATTCGCTGCAGGAACTCATCCACGTGAGGACGCTTCAACACGTAGACCTGGGGGGCGGGCCAGTGAGGGGGCTGCGGGCCAGTGGGGCAGTGTGGGGGTGGCCGAGGGCTGGCAGGGCATGGGCCAGGGAGGCAGAGGCGCACAGGAAGGAGACTGGGCCCGCAGGCTCCGCTTGGCCAGCTACCCTGACCACTGCTGGGGAAACTGTACCCACCCCCCGCCAGAAAACGATCAAAACTTCCACTCCACTGGCCAGTCCTACCTCACGAGGTCCCTAATTCCCAATCCCTTCCCCTGCCTCAACCTCAGCCTAGTGCAGGAATCCAGGGGCAGCCCCCTCACCCCAAGGCTGCAGGGCACCGGTCCCCGAGCCAAGTAATGGAGAACAGGCTGGACAGCACACAACCTATCCTGAATTACTTGAACTGGGTCCCGGGCAGGGTGGGGCGAGGGAGCACAGCACGGGGGAGCCTAGAGGAGGAGCCCACTCTGCAGGCTTGGAGTCAGCACAAGCCCTTGAGGTTCTGTGTGACTTTGGGACAAGTCTCACACCCTCTCTGGGCCTCTGACATTCCACATGTATCCAATTCCCATCCGAGGCGCTCCGGATTGGTGGGAAGAGCCTAGGGTCTGGAGGCAGATGCCAAGCCCACCACTGCCTCTTCCTGGCCCTCACCTGGTGGACCACCCCATCAATCTCCACAGGGATGATGAAGTCCGCGTTGTTCACTGGCTGTGGGGGGAAAAGAGCTGCTGGAGTTGGAGGAGGAGCCCCAGGGCATGGGGTCCAGCACACACCTCCCTCCCAGGCCAGGGTGGGGGATGCCCCCCGAGACCCGGGCTGAGGGCTGTTGAGCAGGGCCCACCTTGAAGGAGCTGTGCACCAGGGTCTCGTCCAGGTCGATGACCACGCAGATCTTGTCTGAGTCCTGGGCCTTGGCCTCAGGGAGCAGGTATTGGACTGGGGTCTGCTGTAGGGAGGGCGGGGCTGGCTGGGGTGCCTCTCTCCGGGCCTGGTCCTTCCTCCCACGCAGGCTTCTCCCCCTAGCCGTCTCCAGAGGAACCCCAGGCCCCAGGAACAGATACTTCCCCCTTCCCAGCTTTGCCCCTGCCAGCTCTAGGGCTTGGGTAGGCCTCTTGGCTCTTTGAGACCTCTCTAAAAACCAAGGTAGGAAAAAGCTTCCACTTATGAGGGAGAATTCAGTTTCCCCACAGTGGGCAGGGCCTGGCAGGGGAGGCTGCCACCCTCCTACTCTGCACCTTTCAGGTCTGCAAGTCCATCCTGAAAAGCTCAGTCAGGAGCCCCTTCCCCTAAAGCCCTGAAGACTGAGTCCAGGTGCCCCCGTGGCCCCACCTGGCCCCCACGCACCTTAGGGATGGCGCCATTCTCCTCCACAAGCAGGGGCGCCCCGCTGTGAGCAGGCAGGGCCTCCCCATCATCCCGGCAGACACAGCAGAAGAGTGAGTGGAGGATGCCCCGGCTTCGGGGCTTCTGGGAAGCTGCTGACTTCTGGTCACCTGAAGTAGGGAGGCACAAGTTGGAGGCTCGGTGCACACTGGCCTGCAGAATCCTGCATGTGTGCCCAGGTGTGAACCCCTGAGCCAGGAGGATCTTGCCGTGGCCCCTTCATCCAGACACACGAAGGCAGCTCCTGACTTTCTCTGAAACGCCCCTGTCAGGGCTCCACAATCAACTGCAAGGCTCCTGCAGCTCCCAGACAAATAGGTCTAGCAGGTATTAAGGCGCCCACATAGGGAGTGCGTGGCCTGGAGAAGGAGGTCCTGGGGTGCTCTCTCCCTGCCTCTCACAGCCTCCATGACTGCTGCTGATCAGCCCCATTGCGGTGCCTCCTGACCCCACCTTACCTGAGCACCCCTGCTCAGGACAGCCAGGGCCTGGGACCCAGGGCAGTCCACCCCTGCCCTCCCTCCATCCTCTCCACCCCCGTGGGTACGAAGTCCTCACTGCGGCTGGGCCCAGAGGCAGGGGTGCAGTCCCGCGGCCTGGGGCCAGTGTCCAGTGGCCATCTGTTTGCCCTGCCCCGCCCAGACCTCCGACCTGGAGCCCAGCAGCCTGATTGACAGATACCCCTCCCACCCCACCCCCCTCCGGCCCCCTGCAACTAGCCTTTCCACCTTGCCCTCAGTTCCGGGGCAGCCAGACCCAGGCGAGGGTGGGCAGACCTGGGGGCAGCGTCCAGATCCTGAGGTCCACACGGGGAAAAGGAGAAGACAGACCCCCCCACCCCGGCCCAGCCACGCTGGGGGACGCAGCCTCGTCGGGGCGGCGAGGCTTTGCGGGGTGGTGCGTGCCCACTAGGCGCACGACTCTCCCCGCGGGCGCCAAGCGACTCTTGGAAGTGCCGGCCGTCCTCTCTGTGCCTCCGAGGGGGTCGGCGCCTCCACGCGTGACGCGAAGTTTGTGGGGAACGTAGCTGTGTGTTGGCGGGAGATCCCTCCAAGCCTCCCCAGCCTGCTGTCACCTCGGCGCCCCCTCCCAAGACCCTACCGGACCGCAGCCCGGGGGGGTGGGGGTGGGGGGTGGGGCGGAGTCTCAGCGGGTGGCCCATAGGCGCCCTCCTCAGCTCCCCCATCTCCCAGCCCCATTGGCGCCAATGGTGGGGGGGCGCCCATGCACCACGCAATGCCTGCCAGGAAACCCCCGAAGAGTTCCCTCTCTATTCCTGCCTCAGTTTCCTCACCTCGAGCGAACAGGAGCGCCCCAAAGGCGCCAGGCCCCGCCCCGCGTCTCTGAGCCTCCTCTGAGTTCAAACTCTCTCCCTGCTCCCTCTCGGGCTGGGAGCTTCGGGCACAGCTAAGGCGGCCGCCCGGGGCGGCGGCGGCGGCTCCCCTGGGGAAGATCCCGGCCCCTTCTCTCCTCCCACGGCGCCCCGGCTTCGGCCCCCTCCCCGCAGCCCCGGTACCTTTGCCCCGCAGCGGGCCCCGAGCCTCCTCCTTGCTGATCTGAGTAATGACGGCCGAGCTGTCCATGGGGCCGGGCGCGCTCCGCTCCGGCCGGACTCTGGCCCGGGCGCCCGGCCTCCCCCCCGGCTGGGGCCGGAATCGGGGCGCGGGGGGGAGGGGAGGGGTGGGAGGGAGGGATCCCCGCGAGCTCCGGAGGGGAGGGGAGCCAGGTTCTAGGGGGGAGGGGGAGGGAGGGGGCGCGGAGGAAACTTTGTTACAACATGGAGTTTCCTTCCCGCGAGGCGGATGCAAACATGGAACCCAGGCGCCGTTTCAAGGCTCCCCCTTAAAAGGGCAACGGCTTCGGCGTGACCTGGACTCGGCTGCGGCTTTCGCCACTTCTGGGACCGGCGCGGCTAGGCGGACTGGGAGGCGGGCCGGGCCGGGTTCCTGCCGCGCTCCAGGGGGCGTCGCCTCCCTTCCTGCCGCCCGCCGGCGGGGCTGAGTCTCTGCGGCTGCGTGGCAGGCCCGGCACCCGGCTCACCGTTCCAGGCCGCCGAGCGCCCTCGGCCAAGGCCCGCCCGCCGGGAGCGCCCACGCCGGGGAGTGCCCGAGTGCGGCGCGGCTCCACCTCTGCGTTTTCTGAAGACCCGGGACTAGAGGCTTCTCGGTTTCCTCGTTGAGGACTTGGAGATAGCACTACCTCATCTGTAAAATGGGTCTTCTCTCCTGTCTGGTGGTCGCAGAGATCACCTCGCAAGGACGTCAAGAGCCAGCGAAGGCTCTGCTGGCCCGAAACAGCTGTGCAAACCTCAGAATCACGCTCTTGAATGGGACGGTCGCCGCCCCCCGCAGCCCCAGGGCGAGGTGCCCCCGGTCTGTAGGACGTGAAATTCTAACTCTCTGCCCTGGGAAAGCCCCCTGCCGACCTCTCCCCACGGCCCCACCCGGGGCCCCGCACGTCTACCCGCCGCGCACGGGCCACCGCGCGTTCCCGCCTGAAGTTTTCGTACGCGCTGTTCCTTTCGCGTAGCCAAATTCCACCGACCTCGAGGAAATGCCACCTTCTCCAGGGGCCTTCCCAGACCCCCTCCCCTGCCCGCGGTCGACGGCCGCCCTGTGATTACTGGGGGTGCGGTGGGAGTCACTGGACTCGCTGCCGATCCTAGGAGCCCAGCACGGCGCCGCACGCGGTGGGCCCAAAGCCCGACCGTGGGGGACCTCAAACCAGAGGCCCTCAAGGCCCGTTCCACCCGGCCTGTGGCGCAGTGCTGGGCACTTGGGAACGGAGGTCCCTGTCTTCTCGCTGCAAGCCCCTCCGTGGTGCGCGCCGTGGGTCTGCGGGTTGGTCTTTTTCCTCGTTTATGAAGTTCTTTTCACTCGTCGTTACTATTTTGTAAGTTCACCATTTAAAAATTAATAATGCCAAGCCCGACAAACACCCCTCGGCACTTCCTCCCCTCCCCCTCTCCCGCGGGCCTCCGTGGCGGGGCGGGGCGGGCGCGTCCTGTCCCGTCCGGCCGCCGGGTGCGACGCGGCGCACGTCCGCCAGGCCCTGCCGAGGGGGAGCCGGGGAGGGGAGGCCCCGCGCGGGGGCCGGGAGGGGAAGGGAGGGGAGCGGCGTCTGCCAGAAGGCGCGGCGGCTTCGTGCGCTGAGGCTGGGAGTAGGGGCGGGAGGGGACTGTCGGGGACTGATACCCCGGTCCCCGGGCTGGATCCCTCGGCCCTCCTCCTGCTCCTGGGTAGCCCACGGGGCGGCCACCATTGCGCTTCATCACCGTGATCGCCACACGCTGCTGGCGTTTTCCTAGGCCTGCTCTGGCTGCGCCCCCTAATCTCATTTACCCCTTAGAACGGCCTCCTTCTTAACCCATTTCACAGATGAGGAAACTGAGTTTCAAGAAAGGAAGCGACGTGCTTCGGGTCTACCGGCAAGGGCAAAGGCGGGATTCCAGCCTGGGAGCGGGACATCTGTCTCCCCTGCGGTCCGGCCCCCTGGGTGGGGCCTCGGCTTTATCTCCGGATGCGGGGCCCTCATGACCCCAAAAGGAAGCGTGTGGCGAGGGACTGAGTGGAGTCGTGGCCTCGCCCTTGGCCTGGGTTGGGTGGCGCGCTTTCCTCTCCCTCTGTGAAGGGGGCTGGTACCTGGCCGGCTGTCCCCACACCCACCATTCCCAGACGCGCCATCCTGAGCTCACAGGATTCCTCAGGAATCCCCCACCTCCTCCACCCCATCTTATCGCCACTTCAAGCCGTTGCCCGTGCAGTTCTTTTCCCAGGGAGACCTAACTCCTCCTCCCAGGCTCCCAAAGCGGCAGAGGTAGCCGCGCCTTCTGCCTGGAGCCCTGGACTTATCTCCCCACGCCTGGGGCGGGTAGTTAGTTACGGAGTGAGCGAGAGGCCAGGATTGCGTGGGGGGAGGGGGGTCCTTCGAGTGTCCTCACTGTAGGGGTTGTCTACACCCAGCTGCCCTCTGTCTCTACAGGTGGAGGTCGCTTTATGCACTCTATTTTTTGTCTGTTTTATCATTCGCACCCCAGGAAAAATAAAATCATGGGGGCCACAAGTCAGAAACGGGGAGGGGCAGGAACGGGATTCAGCAAGGTGCTGTCTGGCACCTGTGGATTTGGAAGCGTCTCTTCCAACACAGTCCCTCAGTTTCCCCATCTGCCAAACAGGGCTGGTAAAAGCCCAACCCAGGGGGAGGCGGGGAGCCGTGCACAAAGTCGGGGTGCATTCAGCAGGCTCTTGGGGAGTGCCAAGTGCGACCACGCCCTCCCTGGGAGGCCTAAAGGGAGCTTCCAGAAGAGCAACTCTGCACCCCTCTTCCTGGAGGGTCGATTTGAGGCCAGGCTGGAAGAACCAGAGCTACTATGGGGGGAATGGGGGCAGCTCTAAGTAGACGCCTTCCAGTGTCCAAATGACTGACCTTGGCGCGACCTCATCACTAGCCCTTTGCCCAGGTCCTGGGTAGCCCTTTAGCCGGGTCTCCGTGTCTTCTTGACCAACCTGCCCATTACTCTGCCGTCCCCCGTCCTGCCCCACAAGATCTAAGACGTCCCCAGAAAGCTTCAGGTCTTGGCAGATGTGCACACACGTGCCCCCATGCTCCTGGCACTCTCATTCCTCCTGGGCTGTCCTGTCAACACTCCCCCCTACCGCCGACCCCCCCTTCAGCAAGATTCAGTCCCCTTCCCTGGCTGGCGTCACGGGCAGCGCCCTTCACCGCATCCTGCCACAGGGACTTGTTTGCACAGCTGTCTCCCGCCGCTGGAGTGTGGGGTCCTTGAGAACTGACATCTTTAATTCGGGACTTTGCCGCCCTCCCCAACTTGTAACACAGAGCCTGGCAGAGGACTGGCACTCAATGCCAAGAGGGGTGTGTAGGGGGTACAACGGGGGCACTTCCAGGAGGCTAAAGGATCTGGGAGATGCCTTTCTTCGCTAAACGTCCCCCATCCATCTCCTCCTTCAGCTGGCATGGACCCATCTTCTCCAGTGCCAAACCCAGAGGAGGCGGGCGGCCCTCTTGCCCAGGTACCCTCTGCAGCGCTTGCCCAGGTCGCACCAGACCGGTCCCATCTCTTCTCTCCTTGAGGGACCCACTCGCATCGTTGCCCTTTTAAGAAAGAGGAAATTCTTCTCATAAACAAGCGTCCGGACCTGAGCGCGGAGCCAGGCCGCCTGCCCTGCTGGGTCCCCAGGAAATCGGGGGTTCTTCCAGGTGCAACACCCGGCCCAGGTTCAACTCTAGGGAAAGGCCTGTTGGCCTCTCCTCGCTGCGGCCCTCCGCAGGTCCTGGGCTGGGGTCTGAGGGACCCGACGAGGCTGGAGGAGGGACTTGGGGGAGCCTAGAAACAGCCTAGGGAACGTCTATAAAGTGCAGCCCCTGAATGGGGCGAATGGGTGCCCAGCCGCTCCCTAAGGCAGAGGGGGCTCCCCGCCCACACAGCTTCCTCCCACCCACTCTCCCCGAAGGATTCTGGGGCCCCTGGCGCGAGCCCCGAGCGCCCGCCTCCCCGCGTCGTTCCGCCTGGCGGGGAGGGGTGAGGCCGGGGCGGGATGGCGGGCGTCGGGACCGTCTCTGCCCCTAGGGGGAGCAGTCAGCAGAGAGGGAGCGGTAACGGCGCGGCGTGGGAGTCGCGGCCGCCGGCTCCCCTGAGGAAACAGCAAATAATTTGGGCCTCAGAGGCACAGACTCTTGGGTTCCTTATGACCTGGTGCCTGACGGAGAAAGAAGTGCGCCGCCGTTTTACTGTCTGGAAAATGGGTTGCAGGCGGAACAGAAAGGCTGCGGCGAATAGGAGCGGACCAGACCCTGGTGTAGGGGTCTTCTGGATGCTTTAGAGACTTCGTGCCTTCCCGGTTCCCATTCCCTGCTCCTTTGGACGAGAAGGGAACTAGTATTTATTTAACTTTAATCAGGCCGGGTTTGGTGGCTCACGCCTGTAATTCCCAGCACTTTGGGAGACGGAGATGGGCGGATCACTTGAATCCAGCAGTTCGAGACCAGCCTGGCCAGCATGGCAAACCCCGTCTCTGCTGAAAATACACAAATTAGCTGGGCGTGGTGGCGCGCGCCACTCCCGGGGCTGAATAAAGAGAATCGCTTGAACCCAGAAGGTGGAGGTTGCAATGAGTTAAGATTGCGCCACTGCACTCCAGCCTTGGCAACAGAGGGAGACCCTTTCCCTGTCTCAAATAAATAAATAAATAGATAGATAGATAATTTAACATTCATCAGACACTATTTCAAGCTCCAGTTTGGAGCCTGTGTCCCGCCCAAGTCCTCAAGCCCTCACCCCACCCACCCTTGGGCTGTCAGGTCACGCCTGCAGGTGCTCAATAAATACCTTTTGAAATGTTTTTCGTTTGTTTGTTTTTGTCCCAAGTGCCAGACACTGTGTTAAAGTGCTTAACCTCCATGGCAAGGGTGGTGGTGTCTCCATTTTACAGATGAGGACACTGAGACCCAGAGGGTAATCACATGGCTGCGCTAGGAAACAGCAGGTCCCTAAAGCCCCCAGGTTGGCTGGTCTCAGGAACTGTCCCACTCTATCCTGCTGCCTGCACGCGCCCCCTCCACATCCAGCAGGCCAGTCACGTCATACATGCCACTCCCAGCCAGGCCCTGGTGTGGGCCTAGCCAGAGGTCTCCCCTTTCTGGTCCTCTTCAAGGAGCCCATACAGGAAGTGGTGGTGGGAGCTGTGGGCCAGAAAGGTGGCTCCGTGGGCAAGGCAACAGGTCCAGACCTGGGGGAGGGGCAACCATGAATTGGGGAGATGCCAAGACCTCTGGGGAAGCCCCATTGTGTCCCCCCAAACCCTCCCCATTGGTTGCCTCTTGTCCTTCCCTCATCCATTCCCAAGGCATCCCCTGGCCCTACTGTACCAGGTAGGTGCTGAGGCCCAGGTAGGCTGCGGCCAGCAAGGCTGCAAGGCCGAAGTAGGCAGGGTGGGGCAGGCTGGGCAGATAGCTGACCACGAAGTAGAGGTTGATGGCGCAGACTAGCACCATGATGGAAGAGGTGACGACCTTGTTCAGCCTGGGGGACACGAGAGAGGCTCAGGACTGGCTGGTTGCTGCTGGCCCACCTGCATCAACTCCTCTTCATCTCCCAGCGCCCACACTGGGGGTGGGGATACACTGAGGCCGCTTCTCTGGTCTGTGGGACCTGGAGCAGACAGACCCCCTCCCCACCTCCTGCCTCCTGGGCCCTCCAGGCTACACACTGGCGGGATTTGGCAAGAGCTGAGTCTGAGGCGAGAGTGAGGCGCTCAGGCTCTAGAAACAGCCCTCTTCCCTGGATTCCAGTCTTGGCTCCTCAACTTGCTAGCTGTGTGAACCTGGGTAAGTCCCTTAACCTCTCTCAGCCTCTGTGGCTTCATTGGGATAATGGGGAGAATTGTAGCTCGTACCTCTGGGTGGCTGTGAGGATGAAATGTGGTGATGCAATCCAGCACTTGGGAAAGGGGGTACTCACAGGCCATTGGCAAACTCCTGCATGAGGGTGGGCATGCTGGTGAACGTGAGGATGGGCAGCACGGCGAACGGGAGCTGGGGAGAGCAGCAGGAGCCTAGGCTGAGGAATTCTGCCTCAGAATATGGCAAGGGTGGGGGCAAGATGGGCGTGGCTTGACACCCTCTGTGTGGGTGTGAGCTCAACTGCCCTAACCACACTGAGCCTACTTCCCCGTCTCCTGCCTTATCAGGTTGTGGGCTCCAAAGCAGGAGAAAGTGTTTGGGGGCTCTGGCACCAGGTTGCTTCGGTTTGAATCCAAGCCCTGCCACTAGTAACTTAACTGAGTGCATCAGTTTTCCCATCTGTAAAATGGAATAATGAGCCTGGGCAACAAACATAATGAGCTTTTGTCTCTACTTAAAAAAAAAAAAAAATTAGACCTGCCTCAGTGGCTCATGCCTGTAATCCTTGCACTTTGGGAGGCCAAGGCGGGTGGATCACCTGAGGTCAGGAGTTTGAGACTAGCCTGGCCAACATGATGAAACCCTGTCTCTACTAAAAATACAAAAAATTAGCTGGGTGTGATGGTGGGCGCTTGTAATCTCAGCTACTTAGGAGGCTGAGGCAGAAGAATCGCTTGAACCTGGGAGGCAGAGGTTGCAGTGAGCCAAGATCTCACCACTGCACTCTAGCCTGGGTAACAAGAGTGAAACTCCGTCTCAAAAAAAAAAAAAAAAAAATTAGCTGGGTGTGATGGCATGCACCTATAGTCCCTGCTACTCGGGAGCCTGAGGTGGGAAGATTGCTAGAGACAGGGAGGGCAGGCTGCAGTGAGCCATGATTGAACCACTGCACTCCAGCCTAGGTGACAGAGGGAGACCATCTGGGGGGTGGGAGGGGGGAAGGATAATGGTGATTCCTACCCTCCTGCCCCCCAGGGTGGCTGTGGGGACAATGGAAGCCTTGTAGGCAAGATGTGCCTGGGACAGGGCCTGGCAGGCCCATGCAAGGCTCAGCGTGGGGGTTGCTGGAGGTCCTGTTTCGCTCAGCAGTGGGCAGGGCTGGTGGGGTTGGCGCATCTCACCAGCAGGCTCTGCAGCACGTTGAGCAGATCATTGAGGCCCGACAAGTCCCTCAGGTCCCGGAAGACAGCCACGAGCACGGTGGGCAGGATGGCGCAGGAGCGGGTGAGGAGGACACGGGCGAAGCGTGACCACCGCAGCCTCAGGAAGCCCTGGGGTGGGGGTGAACTCCTTGGTGAGGAGTAGACAGGACTGGGGATTCCAGAGGAGAGATCCTCTGTAGTCCCTCAACCGATTTATCCCTGGGGGCATGCTCTGTTTTTCCACTGTTGAACTGGGACAGCTCTGTCCCTAGGTGGCAAGAGGGGATGGGTGGGGAGAAATGGGGAGCTCCCATCCCATAGCTGGTTGCTGAAGACTAAACAGTTTTGGGGAAAAGGCTTCTGTTAGTCCTGGGTCTGCAGCTTCCAGCAAGTCACCTCATCTGTCAGGATCTGTTTTCTCATCTGTAAAATGGGGCTTATAGTGTCGCCCTCTGGGCTACATGAAGGAAACAAAGCTGAGTGGGGTGGCTCACGTCTGTAATCCCAGCACTTTGGGAAGCCAAGGCGGGAAGATCACTTGAGCCCAGGAGTTCGAGACCAGCCTGGGAAACATAGGAAGACCACATCTCTACAAATAATTTTAAAAATTAGCCTGGTGTGGTGGCATGAGCCTGTAGTCCCAATGACTCGGGAGGCTGAAGTTGAGGCTGCAGCGAGCTGTGATGGCGCCATTGCACTCCAGCCTGAGCAACAGAGTGAAATCCTGTCTCAAAAAAGAAAGAAAGAGCCGGGCGCGGTGGCTCACGCCTGTAATCCCAGCACTTTGGGAGGCTGAGGAGGGCAGATCACCTGAGGCTGGGAGTTCGAGACCACCCTGACCAACATGGAGAAACCCCGTCTTTACTGAAAATACAAAATTAGCTGGGTGTGGTGGCCTGTAATCCCAGCTGGTCAGGAGGCTGAGGCAGGAGAATTGCTTGAACCCAGGAGGTGGAGGTTGCGGTGAGCCGGAGATCGCGCCATTGCACTCCAGCCTGGGCAATAAGAGCGAAACGCCGTCTCAAAAAAAAGGAAAGAAAGAAAGAAAAGAAAAGGCCGGACGCAGTGGCTCACGCCTATAATCCCAGCACTTCAGGAGTCCAAGGCGGGCGGATCACGAGGTCAAGAGTTTGAGACCAGCCTGGCCAACACAGCAAAACTGCGTCTCTACTAAAAATACAAAAATTGGCCGGGTGCGGTGGTTCACACCTGTAATTCCAGCACTTTGGGAGGCCAAGGCAGGCGGATCACTTGAGGTCAAGAGTTCAAGACTAGCCTGGCCAACATGGCGAAACCCTGTCTCTACTAAAAGTACAAAAATTAGCCAGGCCTGGTGGCAGGTGCCTGAAATCCCAGCTACTGAGGAGGCTGAAGCAGGAGAAGCTTGAACCTGGGAGGGGGAGGTTGCAGTGAGCCGAGATCGCGCCACTGCACTCCAGCCTGGGCGACAAGAGCGAGACTCCGTCTCAACAACAACAACAAAAACAAAAACAAAAAAAAAGGAAGAAAAGAAAGAAAAGAAAAGAGGACCCACAAGGCTCGGAGTTCTAGCCCCCAGTAGTGTGCCTGCTGTCCTTGGACCCCTTGCCCTCCTGGGCCCGCCCCCTGCCCTACCTCCATCACGAACTGTCCCGCGTAGGTGCCCGTCATGGTGGAGCTCTGCCCAGCCGCCAGGAGACCTATGGCCCAGATGTAGAGGGCCGCGGGGCCGAACAGGCAGCCCAGGATCACGCCCTGCAGGGACGAGTGTGGTAGGACCGGTGGCCCTGCCCGAGGCGGGGAGCCTCTCTGGGTCACGCCCTCCCCACCCACCCGCGCTCACCCCCTGGTAAATGTCCACGGCCACGGTGGCGTTGTTCATGGGGAAGATCTTGGCGTAGTCGTGGAGGCTGCTGTTGGCACAGATGTTGAACTGTGGGTACCAGGGCAGTAGAAGGAAGATGTGAGGAGCACGCTCAGCCTTGGGAAACTGGACTGCCTAGCACTGACCAGGGTTCCAAAACTGGTGGCCCAAGGCTGAATCTGGCCAGACATATTTTGTTTGGCTAACAAAATAAGTTGGGTTTTGTTTTGTTTTACTTTTACGTTTTGTAGCGATGGGGGTCTTGTCATGTTGCCCAGGTTGGTCTTGAACTCCCGGGCTCAAGCGAGCCATCTGCCTCAGCCTCCCAAAGTGCTGGGATTACAGGCGTGAGCCACCGCACCCGGCCGGGTTTTTTTTTTCTTTAATGTGGATTTGTTGCCAACATTTAAAATTGAGAAGGCCTGGCATAAGAACCCAGTTTCCAGCTTCTTTTAGGTTCGTAAGAGCTGGCATCACCACAGAGACAGCTGGCTGCCATGCCCTCTTCACACTGTCCACTTCCCACAACTCTGCGCCTGCCTGGTCTTGAAGACAAGGGTTTGCAGTCCTGATGTTGATCTCCCTCCTTGTGCCAAGGAACAGAGTGAGACCCAGGGAGGAGTGTGACCTCCCAAGGTCACAGAGCAAGGCAGTGGCAGTGCCCAGGTCCTTGGAGGCCTGGCCACCCCTTCTCCCACAGGGCTCAGCATTCAGGAAGCCCCCAACCCTGGCTGCAGTTGTTAGAGCCTCATGACTGAGATCCACTCAGAAGGGGAGACAGACACAGGTCCCAGATCCCAGAGAGTCAGGGAGGAGCTGGCTAGTTCCTTTTCCAGTATTAGCACAAATGTCATCTCTTCCAAGAAGCCTTTCCTGACCACCTGGGCTAATGCAGACCCCACCCCCATACCCCCAACTATGCTTCTTCACCCCCTTTATTTCTTCCCACTCTGTACTTCCCTTGGGTATTCATTCCTGTCTGCTCACCTCCCTCCCTATTTAAGCTGCAGAGAGCTGGGTCTTTGTAGCATTGACTGCTGTATCCCCAGGGTCTAGGATGTGCTTGGTATATAACAAATGCTCAATGATTATTTGCTGAATGAATGATATCTGCCAACAGGGAAGATCATCAGGGCAGAGACTCAGAAGGGCTCAGCTGCATTGCCTAGGGTCCTCGGCAAGGCTTACAGGACATGAGTACGTGTGTGGCCTCAGGTGCGGGGGAAAGTGTGTCTCACCGCAGCCTGGTTGGTTTTCTGGTAGAAGGCCTGCCCAAAGACAGCCATGACAAAGAGGTTGATGATAAAGGAGACGGACAGGGCGATGGTGGCCTCAATCAGGAAGTACATGTTGGCTTCTCTGATGTCTGCTCGGCGGGCCCGGTCTATCTCTCGAGACTACGAAGATCAAAGGGAGAGGGAAGTGCCAAAGTCCCTCAGAGCCACCACAGTGTCCCCCACCCTCACACTTCTATGTTCTCCCCAAAGCCCAGTACCTTCTTAAGTCCCCTGCGTGGCAGTCTGGGGCAGGTTCAGGTCAGCCGATGGTTTCCTACATCTCTGTTCTTGCCACAGAGGCCTTACCACTGTAAGCCACTGTGTGGGTGAAGCAAGGCTGGCCTTTGAGGTCCCTGGCTACCTCAGGTCCTGACACGCTCCTTCACTCACCTTGTTCCATCCTCAGACGTGTCCAGCTTACTTTATTTTATTTTTTAGAGACAGGTTTTGTTCTGTCACCCAGACTGGAGTGCCGTGGTGCAATGCATGGCTCACTGCAGCCTCCAACTCATGGGCCCAAGTGATCCTCCTGCCCCAGCCTCCTAAGTAGCTGGGACCACAGACACACACCACTACAACCCGCTAATTTTTAAATTTTCTGCAGAGACAGGGTCTTGCTAGGCTAGCCTTGAACTCCTGGGCTCAAGCATTCTCCTGTCTTGGCCTCTTAAAATGCTGAGATTACAGGTGTGAGCCACTGTTAAGCTGTTAGGGACCCAAGCCTTGTTCACTTCTGCCAGTGGCCTTTGCACTTGCTTTCCCTCCGCTTGTAATATCTTTTCCCTGATCTACTTCCCCAACTTTCAGTCATTCTCTATCATATTTCTCTGTTTTGTTTACTTCAGAGTCCCTTTCGCAATTATTATTATTATTATTATTATTATTTTGACAGGGTCTCACTGTGTCACTGAGAGTGCAGTGGTGGGATCTCAGCTCACTGCAGCCTCGACCTCCAGGGCTCAAGCCTCAACCTCCTGAGTAACTAGGACTACAGGTGTGCACAACACCCAACTAATTTATTTTATTTTTTATTTTTTGTTGGTAGAGACAGGGTTTTATCATGTTGCCCAGGGTGGTCTCGAACTCCTGGGCTCAAGCGATCCACCTGCCTCTGCCTCCTGAAGTGCCGGGATTACAGGCGTGAGCCACCTCGCCCAGCTCTATAGTTCTTGTTCTTTTTCTTTTTTTGAGACGGAGTCTTGCTTTGTCACTCAGGCTGGAGTGCAATGTCACCATCTCCCCTCACTGCAACTTCCGCCTACTGGCTTCAAGCGATTCTCCTGCCTCAGCCTCCCGAGTAGCTGGGATTACAGGCACGCGCCACCACTTCCGGCTAATTTTCTGTATTTTTAGTACAGACGGGATTTCACCATGTTGGCCAGGCTGTTGAGGTCTCAAACTCCTGACCTCGTGATCCGCCCGCCCGCCTCGGCCTCCTGAAGTGCTGGGATTACAGGCGTGAGCCACTGCGCCCGGCCTATAATTCTTTCCTTTGTTGGTTTACTTGCTTGTCATCCGTCTACCCCACTAGCACGGAAACTCTAGAAGGGCAGAGGCCTTGACGGTCTGTTCCTCCCAGCGCACAGTAGACACTTTTTCTTTTCTTTTTTTTTTTTTTTTGAGACAGAGTCTCGCTCTGTCGCCAGGCTGGAGTGGTGCAGTGGCAAGATCTCGGCTCACCGCAACCTCTGCCTCCCGGGTTCAAGCGATTCTCCTGCCTCAGCCTCCCGAGCCGCTGGGACTACAGGCGCGCGCCACCACGCCCAGCTAGTTTTTGTATTTTTAGTAGAGACGGGGTTTCGCCATGTTGACCAGGATGGTGTCGATCTCTTGACCTCGTGATCCGCCCGCCTCCGCCTCCCAAAGTGCTGGGATTACAGGCGTGAGCCATGGCGCCCCGCCTGTCCCTCAATTATTACAGGCTCCGCAAATCCTGAGGGAAGGAGCCAGAGGGGAGGGGCTCCAGGCTTGGAGGCGGAGCCAGCATGGCTCCGACTGAGTGAGGGGGTCTCCTTTCCCCTCCCCTCTGCTCACCTTGACCAGGGCCGAGTGCAGGTAGATGTTGTGGGGCATGATGATGGCGCCAACAATGCCCACCGCCTGCAGCAGCTCGGGGTGGCCGCAGCCCGGGCACGAGGGCAGGAACAGGCCCCGAAGAAGCGCTCCCTGCTCAGGACGCGCCACCACATACTGCAGGGAGGAGCCTGGTCAGGACAAGCCCCGCCCCTCGCAACCACGCCGCGGTCACCATTTCTCAGCCTCCATCCCACCCCAGCCCCCCGCAGCCCGCGGCCAGAGGGAAGGGAGAGGAATGATCTTGGGAGGTCCACAGTGGGGTTGCAGCACTGGCTTCCTACCTCATAGCCAAAGGTCAAGGCCATAATGGTTATAAGGAGTCCAAAAAAAGCTTCCAGCTTCCGCAGCCCTACGGAGCAGAACAAACAAACTAAACAAACCAACGAAAAAAATCTGTGACATCAACAATTCGTAATGGCTAATACTACGAGCGCTTCTAGGCACAGTGCCAAGTGCTTAACATATGTTACCTCACTCAGTCTTCACAACCACCCTCTGAAGTCTGTGCTATTATTTCCCCATGTTACAGGTGAAGAGAGGCACGTCCAAGTAACTCGCTAGAGGCCACCCAGGGAGAGTGAGGGAGCTCAGGTGCGCTCCCAGGCTGTTCGATGTCAGAGCCCTTCTCCCAGTACAGCACCCTCACCACCACCACTCCCCTATGAGGTGGGGTGTGCACCCACCGTAGTTATCGAGGAAGAGGAAGAAGAAGGTGTCCACGATGGTGATGAGGACGCCACCCCAGAGTGGGATTCTGAAACCAGAGTGGCCCGGGTCAGCCCAGCCTGGTCCAGGGGTCTCTAACTCCTACGGAGCCTCAGGGCTGGAGACAGGAATCTGGCCTCCTGGGAGCAGGACCCTAAGCGCCCCCAGACAGCTAGGGCAAGGGGAGTGGGAGTGTGGCATAGAACAGTCGAGGCAGGGCAGAGCTAGAGGAGAGACCTGGCACCCGGCGCAGCAGGGAGTTTGGGGCTGCAGTCCCAAAGTCCTGCATGACTCACATCTGTGTGACTTTAGACAAGTCACTTTACATTTCTGGAAAACAGGGCAGCAGCCCTGCTTCAGAGGGGACAGCAGGATAAAATAGACTCTGGGAGGGACTGGTTAGGGGGGGAAGTAGCAGCAGCTGTTCTCTGCCTGGCCTGAAGAGTTGGGGTACACTGGGGTGGTACCGTCCAGCTGAGAGCAGATTGAATGCAATGGCCGTGCCGATGACTTCCTGCATGTCGGAGCCCACAATGGCTAGCTCGATGGTCAGCCAGAGGACGGTGCGGGGCACCTATGGGGAGGAGATGATCCTTCATTAAGGGTGGGCCGGTTATTTGCCTGTCGTCTCAGACTACATTTGTCTGTCGTCTCAGACTACATTTACTAGACAGTCTGGCCAATGGGCTTCCTACCTTATGTAGGAAGAGCATACAGGAGATGGAAAGGCAGAGATAAACTTTTTTTTTTTTTTTCGAAATAGAGTTTTGCTCTTGTTGCCCAGGCTGGAGTGCAATGGCATGATCTCGGCTCACCACAATCTCCGCCTCCCGTGTTCAAGCGATTCTCCTGCCTCAGCCTCCCGAGTAGCTGGGATTACAGGCATGTGCCACCATGCCCGGCTAGTTTTGTATTTTTAGTAGAGACGGGGTTTCTCCATGTTGGTCAGGCTGGTCTCGAACTCCCGACCTCAGGTGATCCACCCGCCTTGGCCTCCCAAAGTGCTGGGATTACAGGCGTGAGCCACCGCCCCAGGCTGAGATAAACCATTTTCTCCCCCTGCTTCTTGTATTTCTGGCAGTGGCACCAGGCAACCCGGACTCTGGCAGCACTAGTGGCCATTTCATCAGCATCAATAATGCTTCCAGGAGCTCAGCAGCAAAGGATGGCTCTGGGGCTTGTGCCAGAGGTGTAGCAGCTTTCTGATCTTTTTGTAACACCCTCTTCCCTTGCCCCTCAAGCCCTCCCAAACCTTTCAATCCCTGCATTCAATACCTTTGAAATGTCCAGTGCTGTAATTTCTGTTTTCCAAACTGGACACTCACAACAACGAAGTCCCCAGGGTCCACCCCAACCAGTGACCATTCCTGAGCTGATGCCTCCCCATTTTTTGTCTTGGGCAAGTCTCTTTCCCAAATTTTAATTACCCCTTCTGTGAAATGACATGCCTCTCATGTCCCTCTAGGCTATGTGCTATCAGTTTGAGCCTCAGTCTTTCCATCTATCAAATGGAATTGGGGCCGGATGCAGTGGCTCATGCCTGTAATCCCAGCACTTTGGGAGACTGAGGTGGGTGGATCATCTGAGGTCAGGAGTTTGAGACCAGCCTGGCCAACATGGTGAAACCCCAGCTCTACTAAAAATACAAAAATTAGCCGATGATGGTGGTGGGCGCCTGTAATCCCAGCTACTTGAGAGGCTGAGTCAGGAGAATCACTTGTACCTGGGAGGTAGAGGTTGCAGTGAGCTGACATCGCACCATTGCACTCCTGACTGGGCGACGGAGCGAGACTCCGACTGAAAAACAAACAAACAACAACAAAAACAAACAGACTTGGGATGCCCCATGTGAGATGATGTATTTATTTGATCGTGGAAGCTGAAAATGGCTGTTTGGGGTTTGGGGCCAGTGGTTCTCCCTGTCCAGGCCCCCCAAGCTCACCTTAGGGTAGTAGAGATGGCAGACCTCGCCCAAGTCCTTGCCTGTCACCACGCCCAGACGTGCAGCCAGTCGCTGGCAGAGCAAGCCCAACACGGTGGCCCAGAGCAGCACCCAGAGAAGCTGTGAGGAGGCAGGGAGAGGCCTTCAGCCAGAGAGGCCAGCCTCAGAAAGCCCCTGAGCTCGTGGTACCCTCTAACCAAGCATACTCCTCGGGGAGGGGGTGGGAGAGATGGAGTCCCATCCTGGCTGGGCGCTGGTAGCTCACCCTGTAATCCCAGCACTTTAAAAGGCTAAGGTGGGAGGATTGCTTGAGTCCAGGAGTTCAAGAGCAGCCTGAGCAACATAGTGAGACCCCCATCTCTAAATAAATAAATAAATTACGCCAGGCAAGGTGGCTCACACCTGTTATCCCAGCACTTTGGGAGGCCGAGGCGGTGGATCACTTGAGGTCAGGAGTTCAAGACCAGCCTGGCCCACACAGTGAAACCCCATCTCTACTAAAAATACAAAAATTAGCCAGGCGTGGTGGCATGCACTACTCAGGAGGCTGAGGCAGGAGAATCACTTGAACCCGGGAGGCAGAGGTTGCAGTGAGCCGAGATTGTGCCACTGCACTCCAGCCTGGGTGACCGAGTGAGACTGAGTCTCAAAAAATAAAATTAAATAAATAAATAAATAAATATACATATATATATTTTAAAGAGAGGAGTCCAGTCCCCTACCCCCCACACAAATGCCCCACCTTCTGGCAGGGCTGCCCTGGGGACCCTTTTCGGGCCCATTTGAACTTAACACCAGCTCCCAGGCCACATTGGAGAAACATGGCCAGCAGGGGCCTTCAACACTTAGCCTGGTCACCTCCCTCTCGAAAGTGTCCCCACTCAGGTCCCGACTTAGTTACTTTGAATCCCGCCACGGCGCCAGCCTGAAGATCTGACTCGATGTTTCCTGGGTCCAGGAAAGCAATGCTCATGAGGAAGCCAGGCCCCGTGAAGGCCCATAGCTTCCGCAGGCTGAAGGTGCCCTGTTGGGGGGTGGGAGGAGTAGAGTGAGGGGGTCCTGGGTATAGGGATGGTGGCAGCTGGCCTTGGCCATCCCCTAGAGGAGCCCCAACAGGCTCATCAGCCCAGCCCTGCCCTCCATGGCCCATTCCTGGGTCTGCCACCCAAGGGATGGGGAGGGCATGGGTGGAGGAAGCAGCATGCTCTGATGAGTCACAGAGGATCTTTTTCTGGATCTGTTAAGCTCAGCAGCCGGCTTGCACCTGAACTGCCTGCCCCTCAAGCCCTGACTTGTCAGGTCCTCAGAGACCTCACAGGGGGCTGTCTAAGGGGGTGAGGGGGCCAAGCTTCCCTAGCCCAGCTCCTCCCTTGCCAGCTCCTTTTCAGACCACGGGGCCTCCTCTCTGTGGTCCGCTGAGGCTATGGTCCCCCCACCCTGTTCCAGAGCATGGCATATTGACTTAGAAATCTGCTGAAGATATTGGAGGCTGGGAGCGTTGGCTCGTGTCTGTAATCCCAGCACTTTGGAAGGCCGAGGTGGGTGGATCACTTGAGCTAAGGAGTTTGAGACCAGCCTGGCCAACATGGTGAAACCCTGTCTCTAGTAAAAATACAAAAATTAGCCTGGCATGGTGGTGCATGCCTGTAATCCCAGCTACTCGGGAGGCCGGGGCAGGAGAATCGCTTAAACTTGGGAAGCGGAGGTTGCAGTGAGCTGAGATCGCGCCACTGCACTCCAGCCTGGGCTACAGAGCGAGACTCCATCTCCAAAAAAAGAGAAGATACTGGAAATGCAGGTGACAGCATCCTAGATGCTAGATGCCAGCCTGCAGCCTCCTTCACTTCTCCCTATGCCCTTTCCTAAATGCTATAACATGTCCTCAAGGCTCCAATCCCAATTCCCCCTGGGCCTCTTTTCCTTCATAGGAAAGCTGAGATTCATTGAGAAAGTCATTTAATCGCTTTTAGACAAATACTGAAGCACCCCAGCTAAGCACTGGGGACGGAAGCAGGAAGGGGCAGTTGCCACTGTCCACCACTGCTGCTCAGACCTGGAAGGGACTTGCCACCCATGATCATAAGGAGACCCCATTCTCCAGCCCATGGGATCCTTCAGGATCCTGTCAATCTTGCAAGCCCCCAGGAAGTTTCCAGCATCCCACCGGTTTTGTGTCTGGGATGGGGATCTTCTCACTCAGGTAGGTCTCTCTGGGAGGTGCTTGCTGTGGCCCTGGGCTGGTCGGGCTGGTCGGGCTGGAGATGGAACCATAGCTGGACCCGCTTAGCCTTTGGGGACCCTTGTCACCTGTGGGGGCCCATGAAGCATGGTGAGTGTCCTGCCTCTTTCTGGTGGCCCAGAGTTAAAGCCGCCTGATCCTTTCCCTCCTCCTCCCGGAAAAGTGGAGAAACTAAGGTCCCTGGCCCCCATCTTGGGTCCATCACCTCCACCTCTCAAACAAACATTCCAGATGTGTGGGACATGGCAGCTTCAGAATTACTGTCCTCTCATGTGAGGACAGATGCCCAGAGGCAGATCTCCTGCCACAGAGAATGCAGAGAGACCCTAGGCTCTAAGAAGGGCAAGCTGAGGCCACATGTCTGCCCCTTGGCTGGACCCCTCACCTTCTCCGGCAGCCCAGAAAGCTCCAGGGGCTTTGATCCACGGACTTCAGACAAAGGAAAGGTAGACCGCTTAGGGGTGTGAAGGACTCCACCCAGTGAGATTGAGTCTGGTGTCCAGAACTGTGTTCTAGACTAGGACTCCCACGGGGGACCAGAGGCTTCCACAGGGGACCAAGGGCTTTCTTGCTTCCTCAAGTCTCCACCAGCCTAGTGATCTCCTCCACTCCACCCCCCAATCAGGCTCTGTCCCTAGGGGCCACTACTCACCTGTCATTGAAATGCCGACTTCAGGTACTCTGGGAGTGTGAGCGGTGCTCTGGGCAGCTCCTCAGCCTGCACCCCCTCTCTGGGCACTGGTGCAAGTAAGTGTGCCAGCCCACGCCCTGTTACCCATCCGCAGCCGAGTGCCCTGCCTCTTACATCAACATTCGGTTCACATCGGCCGATTCACACACACACACAACATGGGGCGTTGTGAAACATTTTCCAAAGGCAGAAGTGGCCAGCCCTGGCGGAAGGGTCTGGTTACCCATGGAGTGGACCTTTGTTCCCCTCCCAGCCTGCCCTGTGCCCCACAACACATCTGTTCCCCTTCCAGGCACCCCGTGTTCTGTGCCTCCCAAGTTAGCTCTGATTTCAGATGCTTCCTGCCCCTTGCGTATTCATGTCAATACCCCATGACCACACCCCCCTCTGCCACACACACACACACACACGTACACACACACGTACACACACACAGAGTCAGGTCTTTCTTATTCTCTTTGATCTGGAGTTCCAAGACCCCTCGTTGGCCTAATGCGAGTCTTCATGTCCTCAAAGGCTTCAGTTTCCCTTTGAGGGCCACAGAGGAAGGCACTGCAGAAGGGACATGCATTGAAGATTCAGACCCAGGACGTCCCCAGAAGATGGGGCACTGGGATCTGGTCCTGGTTCAACCACTGATTCACTTGAGATTGTCACCAGATCATGTCCCTTCTCAGAGTTGTTTATTCTATTCCACCCCCACCCTTTTTTTTTTTGGTTTTTCGTTTTTTGTTTTTTTTTTTAGAGACAAGGTCTCGCTCTGTCACCCAGGCTAGAGTGAGGTGTGAAGTGCAGTGGTGCCATCTTAGTTTACTGCAGCCTCAAACTCCTTTTTTTTTTTTTTTTGAGACAGAGTCTTACTCTGTTGCCCAGACTGGAGTGCAGTGGCATAATCTCAGCTCACTGCAACCTCTGTCCTCCATGTTTAAGCAATTCTCCTGCCTCAGCCTCCTGAGTAGCTGGGACTACAGGCATGCACCACCACACCCGGCTACTTTTTGTATGTATGTATGTATGTATGTATTTATTTACTTTGAGATGGCGTCTTGCTCTGTCACCCAGGCTGAAGTGCAATGGCGCGACCTTGGCTCACCGAAACCTCTGCCTCTTGGGTTCAAGTAATTCTTCTTCCTCAGCCTCCTGAGTAGCTGGGATTACAGGCACCTGCCAACCACACCTGGCTAATTTTTGTATTTTTAGTAGAGATGGGATTTCACCATGTTGGCCAGGCTGGTCTCAAACTCCTGACCTTGTGATCCGCCCGCCTCAGTCTCCCAAAGTGCTGGGATTACAGGTGTGAGCCACTGTGCCCAGCCAATTTTTGTATTTTTTTTAGTAGAGACGGGGTTTCACTATGTTGGCCAGGCTGGTCTCGAACTCCTGGTCTCAAGTGATCCACCCACCTCAACCTCCCAAAGTGCTGGGATTACAGGTGTGAGCCACCATGCCTGGCATATAGCCTTAAACTCTTGAGCTCAAGAGAGCCTCCCTTCTCAGCCTCTCGGGTAGCTGGGAATACAGACCTATGCCACCATGCTTGACTGTTTCTTCTATTAACTGAGGGGCTCACAGGAGTTTGAGACCAGCCTGGGCAACATAGTGAGATCTCATCTCTACAAAAAATTTAAAAATTAGCTGGGCATGACCGGGTGTGGTGGCTCATGCCTGTAATCCCAGCACTTTGGGAGGCTGAGGAGGGTGGATCACGAGGTCAGGAGATCGAGACCATCCTGGTTAACATGGTGAAACCCTGTCTCTACTAAAAATACAAAAAAAAACCCAATAAACAAACAAACAAACAAAAAACAATTAGCCGGGCGTGGTGGCGGGCTCCTGTAGTCCCAGCTACTCAGGAGGCTGAGGCAGGAGAATGGTGTGAACCCGGGAGGTGGAGCTTGCAGAGAGCCGAGATCGCGCCACTGCACTCCAGCCTGGGTGACAGAGCGAGACTCCGTCTCAAAAAAAAAAAATTTGCTGGGAGTGATGGCCCACACCTGTAGTCTCCATTACTTGGGGCAGGGCTGAGGTGGGAGGTTTGCTTGAGCCCAGGAGGTTGGGGCTGGCATGATCAGTGAGCCGTGATCATGCCCCTGCACTTCAGCTTTGGTGACAGAGTGAGACTGAGTGAAAAAAAAAAAAAAAGAAAGACTCAAACTGGCTAAGAGGTCAAAAATGTAGCTGCCCAAGGATGGCAAGCAGGTAAGATAAACTATGAGAGAGGTTGGGAGTAAGAAAAACTGCATGGGAAGGGAGAAAAAAATGAAAGAAAGAAAAAGAGGCCGGGTGTGGTGGCTCACGCTGTCATCCCAGAACTTTGGGAGGCCGAGGCGGGCAGATCACTTGAGGTCAGGAGTTCGAGACCAGCCTGGACAACATAGTGAAACCCCGTCTCTACTAAAAATACAAAAAATTAACTGGGCGTGGTGGCACATGCCTGTAATCTCAGCTACTCTGGAGGCTGAGGCAGGAGAATTGCTGGAACCCAGGAAGCAGAGGTTTCAGTGAGCTGAGATCAAGCCACTGCACTCCAGCCTGGGAGACAGAGCAAGACTCTGTCTCACCCCCCACCACAAAAAACAACAACAAAAACAAACAAACAAACAAAAAAAACAAGAAAATACTATGAAATCCAGCTTGACTCATGCCCACTGGAGTGAGTGGTGGCTCACTCCTGTTAATCCTAGCACTTTGGGAGGCTGAGGTGGGAGGATTGTTTGAGTCCAGGAGTTTGAGACCAGCGTGGGCAACATAGTGAAACCTTGTCTCTACAAAAAATAAAATTAGCCGGGCATGGTGGTACTCACCTGCAGTCCCACTCAAGTGATCCACCCACCTCAACCTCCCAAAGTGCTGGGATTACAGGCATGAACCACTGCACCTGGCTGATTTTTTATTTTACTTTTTCTTTCTAAATTTTTTAGAGACAGGTCTCACTATGTTGCCCAGGCTGGTCTTGAACTCCTGGCCTCTGGTGATCTTCCCATCTCAGCCTCTCAAATTGCCAGGATACAGAGTCACGAGGATTACAGGCCCCCAGGCTTGGCCAATGGCCAATGATTTAATCACTCATGCCTACATAATGGAACCTCCATGTAAATCCTAAATTGTGGGTTTCAGGGAGCTTCCGGGTTGGTGAACACGTTGAGATTCGGGGAGGGTGGCATGTCTGGAAAGGGCAGAAAAGCTCTGGGCACTCCCTCCATCCCTTGTCCATTAGGCTGTTCTTGGGTGTATCCTTAATAATAAACCAGAAAGAGCAAAGTGTTTCTTTGAGTTCTATGAGCTACAAGTTACCAAACCTGAGGGTCATAGGGACCTCCTGTTTGTAGCTAAATTGGAGAGGAGAGTGGGTAATCTGGGAACCCACTACCTGCAACTGGCACCTGAAGTGGGGGCAGTCTTGTGGGACTGAGCTCTTCACCTGTGGGGCCTGTGCTGGCTCCAGGTAGTTCATGTCAGAATTGAGTTAATTGTAGGAAACCCAGTTGTTGTCCACAGAGAATTGGATAATTTTGCTGGTGTGGAAAATTCACACATTTGGTGTTAGAACTGTTGAGAGTAGAGAAAGAGAGTTTTTCCTTCTAGAGAGGTTTACAGGCCCAGAATTGACCTGGGTTATAATTTATCCCCATGTTGAGTCAAAAACTATTTTTTTTTTGAGACAGAGTCTCACTCTGTCACCCAGTCTAGAGTGCAGTACCGTAGCCTTGAACTCCCATGCTCAGCCTCCCGAGTAGCTGGGACTACAGGTGCATGCCACCAAGACTGGCTAATTTTTGTATTTTTTGTAGAGGCAGGGTTTTGCCATGTTGCCTACGCTGGTCTCGAACTCCTGGGCTGAAGTGATCCGCCTGCCTCAGCCTCCCAAAGTGCTGGGATTACAGGCTTGAGCCACCGTGCCTGACCCCGTCAAAAACTTAGATGAAGTTTGGGAGGCTAGGGTGGGAGAGGCAGCCAATTTTCTGGCTCCTCATTGATGGACGAGGCTGGAGGAACTAGAGAGGTGTGGGAAGAGGGATGAATGATGGGTCCAGAGAGGAGACAGCAGCATCATGGCTTGTCACTCACTGTGCAATCCTATTGCTCACGGTACTGTCACCATCCCTTGCCTCAGAGGTTTGCACGTATTTCCTAATCACTGCTTTGGGCTCATGTGGGGATGACTGGGGTTGAGGCTGGGATGTCTTCCTTTTTTGCATCTTTTGTGGGACCTTTCCTATAGTTAGAAACTCAGTAATTGTAATTGATCAGCCATTGATTAATATGCTGCACAACCTCTAACTTAAGAGGCAATATAGTGTAATAGTTAAGAACAGAGGTCCTAGGCTACGTATCAGAGAGCAGGAAGCTATGTGAAGAGTTACAGAAATCTGCAAGGGCATCTCTTTGGGTCTGGAGCTGTTGCTGAATACTAAACCTTGCATGGGTGGGGTGTTAGTTCATGAAGTCTAATTCACTCAAGATTCCATATATAGCTAAATATAAAGCTATAGAATGTTTAGAAAAAAAACCTAGGAGAAAATCTTTAGGATCTAGGACTAGACAAAGACTTCATAGACTTGATATGAAGACCATGATCCATAAAGGGAAAATTTGATAAATTGAACCTCATCAAAATTAAAAACTAATTAAAGGCCAGGCGCGGTGGCTCACGCCTGTAATCCCAGCACTTTGGGAGGCCGACGCGGGTGGATCACCTGAGGTCTGGAGTTCAAAACCAGCCTGACCAACATGGAGAAACCCCATCTCTACTAAAAATACAAAGGGAGGGGAGGTTGCAGTGAGCCGAGATGGCGACATTGCCCTCCAGCCTGGGCAACAAAAGTAAAACTCAGTCTCAAAAAAAAAAAAAAAAAAAAATTAAAAGCTTTTGCTTGGTGAAAGACCCTGCTACGAAGATAAAAAGACAGGATACAGACTTGGATGACATATTTGCAAACCACATGTCTGACAAAGGTCTAGTATCTAGAAATATAAGAATCTCTTAAAACTCAACAGCTAGGCTGGGCGTGGTGGTTCATGCCTGTCCAGCACTTCGGGAGGCCAAGGCGGGCAGATCACCTGAGGTCAGGAGTTCGAGACCAGCCTGGCCACCATGGTGAAACCCCGTCTCTACTAAAAATACAAAAATTAGCTAGGTGTGGTGGCACATTCCTGTAATCTCAGCTACTCAGGAGGCTGAGGCCAGAGGATCGCTTGAACCCAGGAGGCGGAGGTTGCAGTAAGCCAAGATCGAGCCACTGCACTCCAGCCTGGGCAACAGAGTAAGACTCTGTCTCAAAAAAAAAAAAAAAAAAAAAACTTAATAGTTAAAAAAAATAGGCCAGGCGCGGTGGCTCATGCCTGTAATCCCAGTACTTTGGGAGTCCAAGATGGGTGGATCACAAGGTCAGGAGTTCAAGACCAGCCTGGCCAAGATGGTGAAACCCTGTCTCTACTAAAGATACAAAAAATTCGCTGGGCATGGTGTCGTGTGCGTGTAATCCCAGCTACTTGGGAGGCTGAGGCAGGAGAATCACTTGAACCTGGGTGGCAGAGGTTGCAGTGAACCGAGATCACGCCACTGCACTCCAGCCTGGGCAACAGAGTGAGACTCCATCTCAAAAAAAAAAAAATAAATAAATAATAATACAACAGCCAGGGGCGGTGGCTCATGCCTGTATTCCCAGCATTCTGGGAGGCCGAAGCAGGTGGATCACGAGATCAGGAGATCGAGACCATCCTGGCTAACATCGTGAAACCCTGTCTCTACTAAAAATACAAAAAATCAGCTGGGCATGGTGGCACGGCCTATAATCCCAGCTACTCAGGAGGCTGAGGCAGAAGAATTGCTAGAACCAAGGAGGCAGAGGTTGCAGTGAGCAGAGATCGCACCACTACACTCCAGCCTGGGTGACAGAGCAAGACTCTGTCTCAAAAACAAAAAAAAAAACAAACAAAAACCACAACAATGAGCAATGAGAAATAGGCAAAAATCATGAACAGATATTCACCAAAGATGATGTACAAATGGCAAATAAACACATGGAAAGATTTGCAACATTATTAGCCATTAGAAAAAAATTCAAATTAAAATCATAACAAGATTCTGCTATTCAATTATCAGAATGGCTAAAATAAAACATAGTGATAACACCAAATGTTAGCAAGGATATGGAGAAACTGGATCACTCATATGTTGCTCGTGAGACTGTAAAATGGTAGTCAGTCTGAAAAGAGTTTGTAAATTTATTTTTAAAGTTTTTTTTTTTTTTTTTTTTTGAGACAGAGTCTTGCTCTATGGCCCAGGCTGGAGTGCAATGGTGCGATCTCGGCTCACTGCAACCTCTGCCTCCTGGGTTCCAGCGATTCTCCTGCCTCAGCCTCCCGAGTAGCTGGGACTATAGGCATGTGGCACCATGCCTGGCTAGTTTTGTACTTTTAGTAGAGATGGGGTTTCACCATATTGGCCAGGCTGGTCTCGAACTCCTGACCTCAGGTGATCCGTCCGCCTCGGCCTCCCAAAGTGCTGGGATTACAGGTGTGAGCCACCATGCCCTACCTAAAATTTTTTAATTATTATTTTATTGTATTTTTTAGTGACAGGGTCTTTTTCTGTTGTCCAGGTTGGAGTACAGTGGCATAGTCATAGCTCACTGCAACCTCAAACTCCCGGGCTCAAGTGATCTTCCAACTTCAGCCTCCCAAGTAGCTGGGACTACAGGAATCCGCCACCATACTCAGCTTATTTATTTATTTATTGCAGAGACAGGATCTTGTGATGTTACCCAGGCTGGTCTTGAATTCCTGGGCTCAAGCAATCCTCCTACCTCTTCCTTTCAAAGTGCCAGGATTACAGGAATGAGCCACCACATGCAGCCCCTGTAAATTTCTTAAAAACTAAACATGCAACTACAATACGACTTAGCAATTGCATTCCTTGGCATATTTCCCAGAGAAATGAAGATTTATGTTCACACGAAAATCTGTGTACAAATTTTTATAGCATCTTTATTCATAATAACCAAAACTGGAAACAACCCAGATGTCCTTCAACAGAGGAATGGTTAGTCAAACTATGGTCCATCTATCCCACAGAATACACTCCTGGGCATTTATCCCAGAGAAATTAAAACTTATGTTCACAGGAAAACCTGTACATAAGGCCAGGTACAGTGGCTCACGCCTATAATCCCAGCACTTTGGGAGGCCAGGGCAGGTAGATTGCTTGAGCCCAGGAGTTTGAGACCAGCCTGGGCAGCAGAATGAGACCCCCCCATCTCTACAAAAAATGCAAAGATTAGCTGGGCTTAGTGGCATGCGCCTGTAGTCCTAGCTACTCTGGAGGCTGTGGTGGGAGGGGCGCTTGAACCTGGGAGGTGAAAACTGTAGTAAGCCGTGATTGCATCACTGCACCCAGCCTGGGTGTCAGAGCAAGACCTCCCTCAAAAAACAAACAAACAAAAACCAAATACTTAAAAATTACAGTAAAAAAAACCCCAAAAACACCTGTGGGCCAGGTGCAGTGGCTCACACCTGTAATCCCAGCACTTTGGAAGGCTGAGGCGGGCTAACTGCAACCTTCGCCTCCTGGGTTCAAGCAATTCTCCTGCCTCAGCCTTCCGAGTAGCTGGGATTACAGGTGTGCGCCACCACGCCCGGCTAAGTTTTGTATTTTTAGTAGAGACGGGGTTTCACCATATTGGTCAGGTTGGTCTTGAACTCCTGACCTTGTGATCTGCCTGCCTCGGCTTCCCCAAGTGCTGGGATTACCGGTGTGAGCCACCACACCCGGCCAGCTAATGTATTTTCACTGTACCTTTTCTCTGCTTAGATATGTTTTCTTTTTCTTTTTATTTTTTTATTTACTTTTTTTTTTGAGACGGAGTCTCGCTCTGTTGCCCAGGCTGGAATGCAGTGGCCTGATCTTGGCTCACTGCAAGCTCTGCCTCCCGGGTTCACGCCATTCTCCTGCCTCAGCCTCCCGAGTAGCTGGGACTACAGGTGTCCACCACCACACCTGGCTAATTTTTTGTATTTTTGGTAGAGACAGGGTTTCACCATGTTAGCCAGGATGGTCTCAATCTCCTGACCTTGTGATCCACCTGCCTCGGCCTCCCAAAGTCCTGGGATTACACGCATGAGCCACTGCGCCTGGCCTGCTTAGATATGTTTAGATACACAAATACTTACCATTGTGTTACAATTACCTACAGTATTCAATACAATAGCATGCTATACACATTTTTAACCTAGGAGCAGTGGGCTATACCATACAGCCTAGGTGTGTAGTAGGCTATGCCATCTAGGTTTGTGTATGTAAACACTCTATGATGTTTACACGAGGGCAAAATCTCCTAATGACACATTCCTTAGAACATATCCCTGTCATTAAGTGACACAAGACGGCATATCATAAAACAAAATGGGAAAACCATCCAACTGAACAAGAATGGATTTTATGATGCTGGTGTTGGAATAGCAGATTATTAAAGGAAGAGCCTGACAGATTCAATAGGCTAGGTCTGCACCTTCCAGGGACACTCCAGCCCTGGCTTTTTATTTTGTCTAGCTGGATGTCAAAATGCTAGACTCTTCTTGCTTTTAGGTGTTTTTTGTTTTTTGGGTTTTTTTTTGAGACGGAGTCTTGCTCTTGTTGCCCAGGCTAGAGTGCAATGGCACGATCTCGGCTCACTGCAACCTCCTGGGTTCAAGCGATTCTCCTGCCTCAGCATCTCGAGTAGCTAGGATTAAAGGCGTGCGACACGCCCGGCTAATTTTTGTATTTTTAATAGGGACAGGGTTTCACCATGTTGGCCAGGCTGGTCTCGAACTCCTGACCTCGTGATCCACCCACCTTGGCCTCCCAAAGTGTGGGGAGTACAGGCGTGAGCCACTGCACCTGGCCTAGACTCTTTTTTTTTTTTTTTTTGAGACAGAGTCTCGCTCTGTCGCCCAGGCTGGAGTGCAGTGGTGCAATCTCAGCTCACTGCAAACCTCCGCCTCCCGGGTTCATGCCATTTTCCTGCCTCAGCCTCCCAAGTAGCTGAGACTACGGGCACACGCCACAACGCCCGGGTAATTTTTTGTATTTTTAGTAGAGACAGGGTTTCACCGTGTTAGCCAGGATGGTCTCGATCTCCTGACCTCGTGATCTGCCTGCCTCGGCTTCCCAAAGTGCTGGGATTACAGGCGTGAGCCACCGAGCCCAGCCCGGCCTAGACTTTTCTTGTAGGACTCCATCTGTAGCATTGCTCTTAGCTTATCTGCTCTCATTAAGGCCTTTTGTGGGAGGGGAAAAAAACAACAACACAGACACAGGTAGGCATTTGGGCATTTGCCTAACCCACTTCCAGAGTTTCTCAGTCTCTGGGGCAGCAGGCAATGCTTTAGTTAGGCTCCCACACTTCACTATCTTCTCCTGAGTTCCTTGCAGTAGCTCAGACTCCTTCCCTCAGTGCTCCCTCCCTCTCACCTCTAGGCCTTTGCATATGCTGCTTCCTCCTGAAACAGCCTCTATACCCTTGGCCTGGTGAATGACTTCTTGTCCTTCAGGATTCAGTTCTGGTGTGACCTCCTCCAGGAAGCCATCCTTGATCTCTCCCAGGCCAGGCTATGTGCTCCCTTAGCACAATGCCCTCCTCTTCTACCCAGGCAAGCCACAGCAGTGAGACTCCCAGTGGTGTCAATGCACTAAGGAACAACGCACTGAGGCCGGGCCCAGTGGCTCACGGCTATAATCCCAGCACTTTGGGAGGCCGAGGCGGGCAGATCACCTGAGGTTGGGAGTTCGAGACCAGCCTGACCAACATGGAGAAACACCATTGCTACTAAAAATACAAAATTAGCTGGGCGTGGTGGCGCATGCCTGTAATCCCAGCTACTCGGGAGGCTGAGGCAGGAGAATCGCTTGAACCCGGGAGGCGAAGGTTGCAGTGAGCCGAGATCGCATCGTTGCACTCCAGCCTGGGCAACAACAGTGAAACTCCATTTCAAAAAGAAAGAAAGAAAGAAAGAATGCACTAGTTTCTGGGTGCCTGGGGAAGGAGAAAGTGTAAAGTCAAGCCTACTCTGCATGTATTAAAGCAGGAAGGTGACTCTTCTCTGTTCTGGGATCTGTCTCCAGAGAGTTACATTTGATCTGTTTAGGAGAGTGGATTGGCACATGGGCTCTGGAGCCAGACTCTCTGAGTCCAAATTCTGGCTCTGACACTAACCAGTGTGTGGCCATGAGCCTTGACCTCTTCCTCATCTGTAATATGTGAATAGCAATAGAAACCACCTCATAGGGATATTGTGAGAATCACATGTATTATGGGTTTCCTCTTAATATTGTTACTATTTTAAAAAAGATTTTTATTTTATTTTGTGTTTTAGAGACAGAGTCTCACTCTGTTGCCCAGGCTGGAGTGCAGTAACAAGATCATAACTTACTGTACCCTTGGACTTCAAGACTCAAGGTATCCTATCTCCTCAGCATCCTGAGCAGCTGGGACTACAGGTAACTGCCGCCACGGCTGGCTAATTAAAAAAATTTTTTTGGTGGGGCGCAGTGGCTCATGCCTGTAATCTCAGCACTTTGGGAGACCTAGGTGGGTGGATCACTTGAGGTCAGGAGTTCGAGACCAGCCTGGCCAACATGGTGAAATCCCTTCTCTACTAAAAATACAAAAATTAGCTGGGTATGGTGGCCCACGCCTGTAGTCACAGCTACTCAGGAGGCTGAGGCAGGAGAATCGCTTGAACCTGGGAAGTGGAAGTTGCAGTGAGCGGAGATGGTGTCACTGCACTCCAGCCTGGGTGACAACGCACAGCTCCGCTTCTAAATAAATAAATCAGTTTTGTTGTAGAGACAAGGCCTCACTACATAGCCCAGTCTCCTATTCCTGGCCTCAAGTAATCATCCGGCCTCGGCCCCCAAATTGCTGGGATTACAGGTGTGAGCCACTGAGTCCAGGCTGTTATTACTGTTTATTTCCTTCCTCCTCCCTGGAGCCCCATACTAGGACAAGGCTGCATTAGGCACTCTCACTGCATGTCTACATTCCCTTCTTAGCCCTTCCCATGCCCTATACTTTTATATCCCCCCATGGGATTACTGGGGGCTGTCACTTCCTCTCTAGGCTGACTGTGGGCGATGCAAGTGGCGCCTGGCCTGTTTGCTGGCCACAGCATCCCTAGATCCAGTGCCTGGCACTTCAGAATTGCTGAACATGTTTTTTTCTTTATGCTGAGAAATGCATCTCTGTTTTTTTTTTTTAACTTTTTTTTAGAGACAGAGTCTGTCTTTGTCACCCAAGCTGGAGTGCAGTGGTGCAATCACAGCTCACTGTAGCCTTGAACACCTGGGCTCAAGCAATCCTCCCCCCTCAACCTCCTGAGTAGCTGAGACTATAGCCTTGTGTCACCATGCCCAGCTGACTTCTTGTATTTTTTGTAGAGACAGGGTCTTGCTGTGTTATCCAGGCTGGTCTCAAAATTCTAGACTCAAGTGATCTGCCGCGTGGGCCTCCCAAAGTGTTGGAATTACAGGCATGAGCCACTGCTGCCGGCTGAGAAATGTACGTCAGTATTATGGAGCAAGAGGACGGAGTCACAGTAGTTCTGGGAACAAATACTAAGATTTTAAAATAAACCAGTTTTGAAATAGACATCACAGAGGAGACAGGGAAGTGGCTCAACTCCTCCTCCCTATTGCAGGCACCTGATGTAAGAGCTCAGTGAAGGATGAACCTGCGTGTGTTGCAAGCTGCTGCCTTGGCCTCCTCCAACCGCTGCAGGGTTTCTGGACTAAAGGGAGCTCTGTCGATCTTTCTGGGAATGTTCTGGGTGCATGGGGTTGGGTCAGCCTGTTTCGGTTCCCCACAGATGAAGAGAACTTGCCAGAGCCTAGGCGACCCTCTGTGATCCTGCCCTGCCCATCTTGCAGTTACTGCGTGTTTTTCTCCTGCCCCTTCATGCTCCAGCCTCAATGGCCTGTTCCCAACATGCCATGCTCACAGCCTTTGCACTTGCTGTTCCTTCTGCCTAGAAGGCTTTTCCCTCAACTCTTCACAAGTCTGACTCCTTATCATTTAGGTCCCAGCTCAACTGAGACCCTAGAGAGGCCTTTCCTGAAGTCCCCACCCTCAACTCTCCATCACTGCAGAAAGTTCTATTGGGTACCACTGCTCTTGACCACAGACATGCATTACACTTTCCTACTTCTGTCCTTTGCTCATGTTATTTGCTTTGCCTGGAATGCTTTACCTCACCTTAACAGAAATCCAACCCCTGTAGAATTTGGCAATATGCTAAAATAAAAGTCTTAAAATTAGTTCAGCAATGTAACTTGTCAGAATGTATCCTTAAGGAAATAACTTGTTGATATATGCAAAGATTTAGCTACAAGGATGTTCAGTGCAACACTGTTTATAATAGCAAAAATAGAGGCTGTGTGCAGTGGCTCATGCCTGTAACCTCAGCACTTTGGGAGGCTGAGGGAGGTGGATTGCTTGAGCACAGGAGTTCAAAAGCAGCCTGGGCAACACAGGGAGACTGGTCTCTGAAAAAAAAAAGAAAAAGGAAATTGAGGCTGGATGCAGTGGCACATGCCTGTGATCCCAGAACTTTGGGGGACCAAGGTGGAAGGGTCAGTTGAGGCCAGGAGTTTGAGACCAGCCTGGGCAACATAGTGAGACCCTCATCTCTTAAAAAAAGAAAAAAAAAATTTAGCCCAGTGTGGTGGTGCATGCCTGCAGTCCCAGCCACTCAGGCTGGGGTGGAAGGATCGCTTGGGCTCAGGAAGTCAAGGCTGCAGTGAGCAGTGATTGTGCCATGGTACTTCAGTCTGGGTGACAGAACAAGAACCAGTCAAAAATAAATAAATAAAGTTCCCTGGAGTTATAAAGACCAGATCAAACAATCTAGAAAAGGGCTTGACAGAGTGAACACTCAACAAACACCAGCTGCTTTTATGCATAGGAGAGTAGAGAGGATATTTGCCAAAACGTTGAGCAGCTGCTTCTAGGTAGAGAGAGTAAAATGATTTCGTTTTCTTCTTTTGGTTTATCTCCCTTTCCCAAGTTTTATCTTATGAACATGTATTTCTTTTGAAATAAGGGAGAGGGACAATAAGAAATATTTTTAAAAAATCCTTCAAGGTTCAACTCAAGTGATGGTCCTCCATGAAGCCTTTTGTCTGTGATTCTCAGGTCCTCCCCCCAGCCCCGCATCCAACCCAGCCTTGTAGGTGTCTGGTCATACCGTCCACTAGAGAGCAAAGCGTCTCTGGAGTCTGCAGCAGCAGGTCTGACGAACGAACAAGGGAAGGAGAGAGCCTGCACCGCCACCACTCCCTCAGGGGAGCTTGCCTAAAGTTTGCTACTGAGCATCCGGACAGAAGCCACTGGCCAGCACTGACGTTCCACGAGGAGCCCAGAGGATGCGACGATCATCTGCCCATTATTTTTACTCTCGGACCCCCCACCTCCGGAGTCTGGGGGTCCCTCTGTGTCAGTGGGAACCGGGAGGAGCTCGAGCCTGAGTGCTAGCTGCGTTTGCGAGATTTCAGGGGGTTTGAGCTAAGCCAGAGGTGGTCCACGTCGGCCCTCCTCCCTCCCCAACCCCCCGCCGCTTGTTATTTTTCTTTGGGCGGTTGGTTGGGCAATTATGCTCTGCGACCGTAAGATCTGAGTGCCAAGGCGCCCGCCCCTCCGTGCTAACCTAGTAAGAGTGTGGGCTTTTTCTTTTTTTTCTTTTCTTTTCTTTTTTTTTTTTTTGAGACGGAGTCTCGCTCTGTCGCCCAGGCTGGAGTGCAATGGCGCCATCTCGGCTCACTGCAACCTCCGCCTCCGGGGTTCAAGCGATCCTCCTGCCTCAGCCTCCTAACTGGGATTACAGGCGCGCGCCACCATGCCCGGCTATTTTTTGTATTTTTAGTAAAGATGGGGTTTCACCGTGTTGGCCAGGCTGGTCTCGATCTCCTGACCTGGTGATCCGCCCGCCTCGGCCTCCCAAAGTGCCGACAATACAGGTTTAAGCCACCGCGCCCGGCCGAGTGTGGGCTTTCAAGTCCAACGTTGAGGTTCAAATTCTGCCTCCCCACCTGCCAACTCCAAAAGTTAAACTTTCTGTGCCTCTGTGTTCTTATCTGTAGAATGGGGATAATGATGAAAACAGCATCTAGGAGGAAAGGCTGAAATCTACTCGAGGTACGACGGTAACGGTTCCTATTTCTAGCCCGAGACACTAGACGCTAGCCAGGGACGCTGTCGACGGGCGCTGCAGAGAAGCGGGAGGGCCCCATTTATTCCCCCAAAACCGCAGCCCGGAAAGCGCACCCGCCCCGGCGCGTCCCGCCCGCGTCCCAGCCCGACCCCTGGTTTCCTGCCCTGTCCGGGCCTGGGCCCCGCTTAGGCCGCCCCCGAGCGGGCGTCTCCCTCCGGCTCCAGGGAGCGGAAAGGGTTGGGCCGGTGGGAGGAGCCCAAGGCCGGTGACGACGGACGCCACGGGTCGAAGGGGCCGAAGAACTCGGCGGCGAAGGTGACCACGTCCTCCGGCTGGCGCAGCAGCAGGAAGAGCAGGAAGTCGGAGATGAGCGCGTGGGCTTCGGGGTGCTGCCGCAGATAGCTGGCGTGGCCGAGCCGGAGCTCCTCCTGGCAGGGGACAGAGCCCGAGCCTCAGCCGGACGGGACCCCCGCGCCCCAGGAGCCCCCAGCCGCTCGCTCCAAGGAGAGCTAAGGGGCGCTGGAGCCTTCTAGCCCCTACGGGTGTGCATTTCAATCAGGTGCAGAGATCAGTAATGAATTTAAGGCCCATGGGGGAATGGGAACCCCAGGCTGGTGGAGCCTCCCCTCACCTTCCGGTCCAGGAACTTCGAATAGAGCTCCATATCCTCCTCCCATACCAGGGGCTTCTTCTCAAACACTGGGCGTGGCTCAATCTCATCTAGGTGGGGAACAAGGAAGGCTGGGCGTCCCTACCCCGGAACCTTCCTTGGATACACAGCGAGATCCCGAGAACACCCAAACAGAAGGCTCAGGTGAAACCCCAGGATTCTGCCCACATGGGCAGAGTTGCAGGAAGGGACTTCCAGTAGGAAAGATCCTCCTCTTATTGCTTGGGGTCAGGGGCTGGAGGGCAGATGTTCTCCAGCTGATTCCAGGCTCCTGTCCCGTTTACAGCACACTGGGTCCAGCCCCCTGCATCCTGGAAGGCCCAGGTTTCCCCACTCCCCTTAACTCTCCCTGCCTGCACAAGGCCTGGGCTTCACTCACCCTCTTCCCTCAAGATGGGCATCTTGGTGATGATGCAGCACCCTGGGGAGCCCACCTGTATTCTCTTGGCCAGGTGCCTGGAGTGCAACACAACATGTGAGAGTGAGAATCTTCCCAGACCGCCTGCTATGGACTGAATTGTCTCTCTAACCCCCAGTGTGGTGGTATTTGGAGGTAGGGGCTTTGGGGAGGTCATTACGTTTACATGCAGTCATAAGGGTGGGGCCCGAATCAGATAGGATTAGTGCCCTTATGAGAAAAGGGTGATGCCAGAGAGCTTTCTCTTCACTCATGCACGGAAGAAAGGCCATGTGAGGACACATTGAGAAGGCACTTGTCTGCAAGCTAGGAAGACAGCCCTCACCAGAAACCAACCCTGATGGCACCATGATCTTGGACTTCCTGCCTTCCAGCAAATATATTTCTCTTGAAGCCACCCAGCCTGTGGTGTTTTGTTATGGCAGCCTAAGCAGACTCCTACATGACAGTGCCCCTTGAGAGACCTGTCCCGGGCCTCTTTACTTCTGCCTCCCTCTCTTGTTTATTAAGTTCCTGGGTGGTGTTCATTTCTGGATCTCCAAATAACGCACAGGGCTTGGCAAGTATTAGGCCCCCTGTTTAAAAAAAACAAAAAGGATCTTTAGAGGTACAGCACTCGAAAATCATGGAGCCTCTTGGCCAGGCACGGTGGCTCACGCCTGTAATCCTAGCACTTTGGGAGGCTGAGATGGGTGGATCACTTGAGGTCAGGAGTTTGAGACCAGCCTGGCCAACATAGTGAAACGCCGTCTCTACTAAAAATACAAAAAACTAGCCAGACGTGGTGGTGGGCGCCTGTAATCCCAGCTATTTTGGTGGCTGTGGCATGAGAATCACTTGAACCTGGGAGGTGGAGGTTGTAGTGAGCCAAGATTGCATCCCTGTACTCCAGTCTGGGTAACAGAGCGAGACTGTCTCAAAAAGAGAAAGAGGCCTGTCGCAGTGGCTCACACTTGTAGTGGCTCACGCCTGTTATCCCAGCACTTTAGGAGGCCAAGATGGGCAGATCACTTCAGGTCAGGTGTTTGAGACCAGCCTGGCCAACATGGTGAAAGCCTGTTTCTACTAAAAATACAAAAATTAGCCAGGCGTGGTGGCAGGCACCTGTAGTCCCGGCTACTTGGGAGGCTGAAGCAAGGGAATCACTTGAACCTGGGAGGCGGAGGTTGCAGTTAGCCAAGATTATGCCACACATTCCAGTCTAGGTGACAGAGCGAGACTCTGTCAAGAAAGAGACAGAGAGAGAGAAAGAGAGAAAGAGGAAGGAAGGAAGGAGAAAGAAAGAAAAGAAAAATTATGGAATCTCCTGCTATGCGGCATTCAAAATAAAAAGGTTGGCCTGGAGCTGTGGTGCATACCTGTAGTCCCAGCTACTAGGAAGGCTGAAGCAGGTGGATTGCTTGAGCCCAGGAGTTGGAGGCTGCAGTGGGCTATGATCGCACCAAAACCGAAAACATACTAAGTTATGAGATAAAGCCAACAATGTTTTGATTACCTTTTCCCCAGTGTAGTGATTATGTGAATATCTATTCTGAAATTTTAAGAAATAAACTCGACTGGAGTCTGTCTCAAAAAAACAAAACAAAACAAAAAAACAGAAAGAAACTCTTTCTTCCACCTGAATTTTCTTTTTCTTTCTTTTTTTTTTTTGAGACGGAGTCTTGCTGTCACCCAGGCTGGAGTGCAGTGGCGCGATCTCGGCTCACTGCAAGCTCTGCCTCCTGGGTTCACGCCATCCTCCTGCCTCAGCCTCCAGAGTAGCTGGGACTACAGGCGCCCACGACCACACTTGGCTAATTTTTTGTATTTTTAGTAGAGATGGGGTTTCACCGTGTCAGCCAGGATGGTCTCAATTTCCTGACCTCATGATCCGCCCGCCTCAGCCTCCCAAAGTGCTGGGATTACAGGTGTGAGCCACCACGCCCAGCCCTGAATTTTCTTATGATTTGGAGCCAGTGCTTTGCTGGAGACTGCACGGCAGCCTGCCACAGGCAATTCTTCCAGCACAGTGATTTCATCAAGTGTGCAGTCATTCAGACCTTGGTGTTTTTCAGTATTATCCCTTACACAGTGGTGGCTGCACTAGCTACACCCCAGGCCTGTGGTGTGCAGTGAGAAGGTTTGGGAGGCACTGTGAGGGTTAAGAGGACGAGCAAATAAATGAAGAAAGAGTGAATGATATGGATAAAGCGGAGGGACACTCCTATCTCAATGCCAGTTCTTCCTGGTGCTATCCCCAGAAGCAGCCGGTCTCCTTGAGCACCTACAAGCTCAGCACCACCCCTCTGGGCCCACCATCAGCAGCTCACCCATCGGAGAGCAGGTAGTACTGGCAGGACATGGGGATGCCCTCCTCCGCGTGGACAGTCTGCTCCACGATGAAGACTTCAGCCTGCTGATGGTCTACCTGGATGGTCTGGAAGCCCAGGTTTTGCTGGCAACAGCCAAAATTGGGGGGTGGGAGGTAAGGTGGATGCCCGCCAAGGGCTCCCCATCATCTTACCTTAGCCTTTTCTCCATCTCATAACAACCTCAAGACATTTAATATTGCATCTCCAAACCTCCAAGCTGAGTTGGCGACCCCTCATAGGGAGCTAGCTCCAGGTTGCCCTTGCCCTGACCCCTCCCATGTCATCTCGCTGACCAGGTGCTTCTAGTTGGCAAATTCTGTTACAGGGATGAGAAGCGGTATGCGGGGGGGTGTGGGAGCGGAGAGGTAGGATGAGCTACTAGGGCCAGTGGGTGGAGGTAAAGTGAGGCTCAGAGGTGTGAGACCAGACAGATTTGTGGCCACCTCAGACCTGTGCTGTTGCTGGCAGGCTGTCCCTGTTGTGATTAAAACTTAAACCCCTGTTGTAGCTGCAGCTATGGAGAAAAAAGTGCTAATGTTAAACACATGTTTCAAAGAACACGGAGGGGAATGGATTGTGCTTGTTCATGTCAAATGCATTGCTGCTTGGTGTGTTTTGATAGACAAGCCTGGAATGTAATTTACAAAGATGGTCAAAGAAACACAAATCAGCCCCCAAAGTGTCTCACTGGAAATTGTGTGTTCAGTGGCATGGCTTTAAAATCACTGATTGCAGGAAGTCCTAGGCATGCTGATTATGAAATTTTAGTTAAAAACAAAAAACAAAACAAAAACGGAACACCCTTTGGGGTTAAGAAATAATAAAGGAATATTTCAGTAAAGTTGGACATGTTACACTTCCTAAAGTTAAAAAATGATTTATTTTTATTTATTTATTTTTTTGAGACAGAGTCTCCCTCTGTTGCCCAGGCTGGAGTGCAGTTGTGCGATCTCAGCTCACTGCAACCTCCGCCTCCTGGGTTCAAGTGATGCTTCTCCTGCCTCAGCCTCCCGAGTAGCTGGGATTACAGGCACTTGCCACCACACGCAGCTAATAATTTTTGTATTTGTAGTAGAGACAGGGTTTCACCATGTTGGCCAGGCTGATCTTGACCTCCTAACTTCAAGTGATCTGCCCACCTTGGCCTCCCAAAGTGCTGGGATTACAGGCATGAATCACTGCGCCTGGCCAAAATGACGTTTTTTTTTTTTTGTTTTTTTTTTTTGAGACAGAGTCTCGCTCTGTCACCCAGGCGGGAGTGCAGTGGCGCGATCTCGGCTCACTGCAAGCTCTGCCTCCCGGGTTCACGCCATTCTCCTGCCTCAGCGTCCTGAGTAGCTGGGACTACAGGCGCCTGCCACCACGCCCCGCTGATTTTTTTTTTTTGTATTTTTAGTAGAGGCGGGGTTTCACCATGTTAGCCAGGATGGTCTAGATCTCCTGACCTTGTGATCGGCCCGCCTTGGCCTCCCAAAGTGCTGGGATTACAGGCGTGAGCCACCACACCTGGCCCAAAATGATGTATTTTTTAAATCAGCCCTGCACTATATTTATTTTTCCTGGACTGACTTCTGTGCGGAAGGGTTGCTTCTCTGAACTGTTCCCACTTCTCAGTCACTCTCAATTCATCTGCCCCACACTCCCAGACAAACATGCTTTCCTGCCCTTGAAAGCCCCATTCCCACCTGTGCTGTTTTCTCCCCACCTGCCTCCCTTTTCTACTCCACAGCTGTTCCCCATCTCAGTGCTTTTCACGCCTTTTCTAGTTCGCTCCCAAGCCAAGTCCCCTGCCCAAGGGGACCCCTTACATAGGTCAAATAGCAGAGTTTGCCCTCGGTGTCCAAGGTCAGGAAGCGGGCATTGCTGGGCACCATCCGCCGCCAGGCCATCACCCTGAGCAGCACCAGGTTGGCAGCCTCTGAGATGAAGCCCTTGATTGAGCTCCAGGGGAAAGAAGTCACTCCAGTCTTCACTTCCTGTTCAGAACTGATCTGGGTCAGGGTCCTGGAACCAGGAAGGGGCAGGGGACAGGAGGGTGGGCAAGCCAGGTGTTGGGCATACGGTTTTGTTTTTTTTTGAGACAGAGTTTCGCTTTTTGTCACCCAGGCTGGAGTGCAATGGCGTGGTCTCAGCTCACTGCAACCTCCGCCTCCTTGGTTCAAGCGATCTCCTGCCTCAGCCTTTCAAGTAGCAGGGATTACAGGCTACCATGCCTGGCTAAATTTTGTAATTTTAGTAGAGACCGGATTTCACCATGTTGGCCAGGCTAGTCTTGAACTCCTGACCTGAGGTGATAGGCCCCCTCTGCCTCCCAAAGTGTTGGGATTACAGGCGTGAGCCTTTTTTTTTTTTTTTTTTGAGACAGGGTCTTGCTCTGTTGCCCAGACTGGAGTGCAGTGGTGCGATCTCAGCTCACTGCAACCTCCAGCTCCCAGGTTCAAGCGACTTTCCTGCCTCAGCCTCCTGAGTAGCTGGGATTACAGGCTCACGACACTACGCCCAGCTAATTTTTGTATTTTTATTAGAGGGGATTTCACCATATTGGCCAGGCTGGTCTCCACTCCTGACCTCAAGTGATCCGCCCGCCTTGGCCTCCCAAAGTGCTGAAATTACAGGCGTGAGTCACCACACGCCTGGCCTTCAGCCGGTCATATGGTTTTTAATGAATGAATCCTTGTCTTTTTTTTTTTTCCTTTTTCTGGAGAACGGGGTCTCGCTATATTGCCCAGGCAAGTCTCGAACTCCTAGGCTCAAGCTATCCTCCTGCCTCTTGCTTCTGAGAGCTGGGATTACAGGCGTGAGCCACCGCGCCCAGCCTAATGAATGAATCGTTAGTCTGGACTCCTGGCTTCATCTAATCTGGTCCCCGCTCAGAGTTCTGAAGAGGACATTGTGAAAGAAAAATAAATCTTGGGACCCCAAATCACTAAGCCAAAGGGAAGTCAAGCTGGGAACTGCCTCAGGCAAAGCTGCCTCCCATTTTATTCCTAAACAAGGTAGCTACTAAGAGAAAAAAAAGCTATATAACTCCCTCACTATTTGCCCACAAGGAAATTCCTTGTGGACAAAGGACAGACAGAACTCAAAGTCATCCCTCTGCTCACGTGAGATAAATGCATATCTGATGGCTTTCTCTGCTCTATTGTTTCACTAAGCCAGAGTAAGGCATAAGTGACTACTTTTCTAACCCCCATAGCATGTAAATTGTGTATTCAGTGAAAGGCTAATCGGAAACTTAAAAGCATGTCTCTTATCTACCTATGACTTGGAAGCCCCCTCCCTGCCTCGAGTTGTCCTGCCTTTTCCAATGAACCAATGTACATCTTTTTTTTTTTTTGAGACGGAGTCTTGCTCTGTCGCCCAGGCTGGAGTGCAGTGGCGTGATCTCAGCTTAGTGCAAGCTCCACTTCCCGGGTTCACGCCGTTCTCCTGCCTCACCCTCCCGAGTAGCTGGGACTACAGGCGCCTGCCACCACGCCTGGCTAATTTTTTGTATTTTTACGTCTGGTGAACCAGTGTACATCTTACACGTGTTGATTGATGTTTCGTGTCTCCTTAAAATGTATAAAACCAAGCTGTAGGCTGGGCGTGGTGGCTCACGCCTGTAATCCCAGCACTTTGGGAGGCTGAGGCGGGCGGATCACCTGAGGTCGGGAGTTTGAGACCAGCCTGGCCAACAGGGATGAAACTCCCTCTCTACTAAAAATACAGAATTAGCCGGGCGTGGTGGTGCATGCCCATAATCCCAGCTACTCGGGAGGCTGAGGCAGGAGAATCACTTGAACCCGGGAGGTGGCGGTTGCAGTGAGCCGAGATCACGTCATTGCACTCCAGCCTCTGCAACAAATGTGAAACTCTGTCTCAAAAAAAAAAAAAAAAAACAAGCTGTGCCCCAACCACTTTGGGCCCATTTCCTCAGGACCTCCTGAGGCTGTGTCATGTGCGCGTCCTTAACCTTGGCAAAATAAACTCTCTAAATTGATCTGGACCTGTCTCAGATATTCTGGGTTCACAGTGTGTAGTGCAACTCCCATCTGGCTCTCATCCTTACCTCACCCTCCTTGATACTTCTGGTCACAGCCAGCTGATCATCCTGCTTCAGCAAACTCATCTTCCGTTCCATGGGGAGGATGAGGAACTGAGGGCCAGAGCATGCGGGGGAGGATCAGGGACTCCCTGGGTCCCCCAGAGGTCACCTGACCCTTCTCCATTAATGAGAAAACTGAGGTTTAAAGATTGTGACTTAAAAAAAAAGCAGCCGGGCCGGGCACAGTGGCTCACGCCTGTAATCCTAGCACTGTGGGAGGCCGAGGTGGGCGGATCACGAGGTCAGGAGATTGAGACCACCCTGGCTAACACGGTGAAACCCCGTCTCTACTAAAAATACAAAAATTAGCTGGGTGTGGTGGCACATGCCTGTAGTCTCAGCTACTTGGGAGGCTGAGGCAGAAGAATTGCTTGAACCCGGAGGCGGAGGTTGCAGTGAGCCGAGATCGCACCACTACACTCCAGCCTGGGCAACAGGCTGTTTTTGAGACTCCATCTCAAAAACAAACAAACAAACAAACAAAAAACCAAGCAGCAGGGCCAGGTGTTGTGGCTCATGCCTGTAATCCCAGCACTTTGGGAGGCCCAGGCGGGCAGATCACTTGAGGTCAGGAGTTCAAGACCAGCCTGGCCAACATGGCAAAACCCCATCTCTATTAAAGATACAAAAATTAACCAGGTGTGGTGGTGCATGTCTGTAATTCCCAGCTACTTGGGAGGCTGAGACAGGAGAATTGCTTGAACCCGGAAGGTGAAGGTTGCAGTGAGCTAGATTGCACCACTGCATTCCAGCCTGGGTGATAAGAGCAAGACTCTGTCTCAAAAATAATAATAATAATAAAATAAAAAAAAAAAAGCAGCAGCAACAAAAACCAAAAAACACCTTTCATACACAGTGAAGCTGAAGAATAGCAGTCGTGTTATGATGCAATATAAAGTTCAAAAACAGTGCACTTCAGAACACTGGTTTTAAAAGATGGGGGTGGGCCAGGTGCAGGGACAGCAGGTTGCCACTGATAAGTTCTCCTGATACCCAAACTCTGAACCCAGCCCACACCAGCCCTCCTCCAGCCTGAGAGCCCAGTGCCTCCCTGGAGGCCTGGTGGGCTGGCCTTTCCCAGAGCCTAGCCTTCCCTGGGGGCCTGTTTCACCTGGCCTCCAAGTCTCCCAGCTCTGTGCCCCTCACACCCAGCCCCAGCCACTTAATTAACTTGTGGAATGTGAACATGACCTGTTTACACACTGGAAACTACTCAAGTCTAAAAACCTTCCCACAGAAACCAGAAACCATCCCCAACATTTTTTTTTTTTTTTTTTTTTTTGAGACAGAGTCTCGCTCTGTTGCCCAGGCTGGAGTGCAGTGGTGTGATCCTGGCTTACTGCGACCTTCGCCTCCTGGGTTCAAGCAATTCTCCTGTCTCAGCCTCCCGTGTAGCTGGGATTACAGGTGCCCACCACCATGCCTGGATAATTTTCTTTTTGTATTTTTAGTAGAGGTAGGGTTTCACCATCTTGGCCAGGCTGGTCTTGAACTCCTGACCTCATGATCCACCTGCCTCGGCATCCCAAAGTGTTGGGATTACAGGTGTGAGCCACTGCGCCCGGCTAATTTTGTGTTTTTAGTAGAGACAGGGTTTCTCCATGTTGGTCAGGCTGGTCTTCAACTCCCGACCTCAGGTGATCCGCCTGCCTCAGCCTCCCAAATTGCTGGGATTACAGGCGTGAGCCACCGTGCCCAACCTACATCTTTTTTCTTCTTTTTTCTTTTTTTTTTTTTTTTGAGACAGGGTCTCATTCTGTCACCCAGGCTGGAGTACAGTGGCACGCACATTGCTCACTGCAGTCTTGACCTCCTGGGCTCCGCTGAACCTTCCACCTCAGCCTCCCAAGTAGCTGGGACTACAGACACACATTACCACACCCAGCTACTTTTTGTATTTTTTGTACAAAATTTATAAACATTTTTGGTGGGTTTTGCCATGTTGCCCAGGCTCAAACTCCTGGGCTCAAGGGATCCTCCCACTTTGGCCTCCCAAAGTGCTGGGATTATAGGCTTGAGCCATTGTGCCTGGCCCACCCTCATTGTTTTTTAATTTTTTTCTTGAGACGGAGTCTTGCTCTGTCACCCAGGCTGGAGTGCAGTGGCGCGATCTCGGCTCACGGCAATCTCTGCCTCCTGGGTTCAAGCGATTCTCCTGCCTCAGCCTTCTGAGTAGCTGGGACTACAGGCGTGCACCACCATGCCTGGCTAATTTTTGTACAGATGAGGTTTCGCTATGTTGGCCAGGCTGGTCTCGAACTCCTGACCTCAGGGTGATCCGCCCACCTCTGCCTCCCAAAGTGCTGGGATTACAGGTGTGAACCACTGTGCCCAGCCCACCCCCGTGTTTTAAAATCAGTTTTCTGAAGTGCGTTGCTTTTGAGCTTTACATTGCATCATAACACGATTGCTATTCTTCAGCTTCACTGTGTATGTAATAGGTTTTTTGGTTTGTTGTTGCTGCTGTTTTTTAAGTCAAAATCTGTCTTCTCTCCCCTGGATTGGGTCAAGGCTGGGGCCCTGGGAAGTACCTTGATGAAGTCTTGGCTGTGCTGTTCCATGAGCTCCAGCTTCTCTGAGAGATAGCCTGGGGTGCAGGGACACAGGCATTGACGTCACAGGAGATGTGGGTCAGAGGCTGAAGGAAGGGAAGGTGGTGGCGCAGCTGGAGGACTAGGTGTAATACGGTCCCAGAAAAACTACAGGATGGGTAAGATGTGCCCTCATCCCGAGTCCATGAGGAACTCGCTCATCCCTCTCCCACCCCGTGCCTTGTCCTGGTCCAAGGCAAAGCCAAGGGCTTGGTCCTGAAAAAAGATTCTAGGAATTGGTGGAGGGGAGGGTTGGAGGAAGGGGAGAGTGACGGGCATCAGGCAGTAGGAACGCTACCCAGGAGGGAATTTCCGCAGAGCATTTTGTCCAAGAAGCCTCGGCTAGAGGCATGCACGAAGAGGCAGTATGTCAGCATGCCGAGTTTTTCCTGGTATTTCCCTCTCTGCACCTCAATGGTCAGCTCTCCCTGAGGCTCCCCGGTGTCTGAGACCATGGCCAGCGTCTCAGAGAAGAACAGCATCTGTAGCTCCTCCTTGTCTGGGGTGAGGGGCCCGTGGGAACAGATAAAGCCCCTGCTCCTGGGCCCCAATCCAATCCTCTGACCCCATGACCACCAGTGTCCCCACAGTCCCCACCTGCCTCCTCATCCCACAGCCTTCCTCACTGGCACGGACAGGTGAAGACTCCTGCCCCATGTCCCCATGTCCCCGGGGGGCCTTCCCTTGAAGAATGTCAACAAACAGGCCTCAGGCCTTTTCTGAGTCCCAGGAGAATCAAGGAAGAGAGAGAGAGAGAGAGAGAGAGAGAGAGACTGGACTTTCTTCCCTCCTCTCCAGACTTGCACCCCTCCCGCACCCCCAACCCCGACACTGTCTGAGCTCACGGAGGGAGCTGAGGAAGTCGATGGCTTCAGCATTGGCCTCTGGGAGTGGCAGACACTCCGGACCCGAGGGCTGGTGGTCCTTAGCTCTGGAGCCTACAGAGGGATGAGAGGCTAAGATGGCAGACCCTGGGGAGAAGGGCAGGGGTCAGGGAGGCAAGGCAGGGTACCTCAGTCCTGGCCCCAGCACCCAAGAACAGAATCCTCTAAGACTACCCCGAGGGTGGATTGGGAAGAAAGAAGAGGATCCCCGCCTCCAGCCCCAGCAGTCCTCTTCCCACCTGTGGAGTAAACCTTGGAGGACATGCTGTGGGCCTGCCTCTACCCGGTCTGTGTCCAGCTGTCTCCATGGCAACCAGAGCTGGACAGTGCCTCTTAAAGGGCCATCAACCCACTTTACTACACCCAGACCTTGGAGGGAACTGACACTGCAGGTTTGGGGCTCAGCACAAGCTTGAGGTGTTGTCCAGCAGAGGGAGCATTTGATATATATTTTTTTCTTTTTTGAGACGCAATCTCGCTCTGTCACCCAGGCTGGAGTGCAGTGGCGCATTCTCATCTCACTGCAACCTCTGCCTCCCGGGTTCAAGCAATTCTTCTTGAGGTCTCAGCCTCCCGAGTAGCTGGGACTACAGGCGCACACCACCGCGCCCAGCTAATTTTTGTATTTTTAGTAGAGATGGGGTTTCACCATATTGGCCAGGCTGGTCTTGAATTCCTGAGCTCGTGATCCTCCTGCCTCAGCCTCCCAGAGTGCTGGGATTACAGGTGTGAGCCACCGCGCCTGGCCCACATTTGATATTCTTAAGAGGCAGAGTGAAGAAATGGGTCATTAGAATGACCTTAGAAGAGGCCAGGTGTGGTGGCTCACACCTGTAATCCCAGCACTTTGGGAGTCCCAGGCAGGTGGATCACTTGAGGCCAGGAGTTTGAGATCCAGCCTGGCCAACATGGTGAAACCCATCTCTACTAAAAATACAAAAATTACCAGGGAGTGGTGGCACATGCCTGTAATCTGTCTCAAAAAAAAAAAAATGACCTTAGAAGATATGAACGAAAGTCAGACAGAGTCTCAAATGCACACTATCCAATTAGCTGCTACATGAATATCTCTGCAAGTTACAGTTCTAATACATGTAACAATAATGATAACAACAATGACAACATAGCAAACTCTTTGACTGGACTTATTCCTGGTGAGGCGCTTTTTTTTTTTTTTTTAGAGAGTCTCACTCTGTTGCCAGTCTGGAGTGCAGTGGCGCCATCTTGGCTCACTGCAACCTCTGCCTCCTGGGTTCAAGTGATTCTCCTACCTCAGCCTCCTGAGTAGCTGGAACTACAGGAGTGTGCCACCATGCCCAGCTAATTTTTGTATTTTTATTTTTATTATTTTTATTTATTTATTTGTTTGTTTTAATTATTTTTGAGAAAGAGTCTCACTCTGTCACCCAGGCTAGAATGCAGTGGCATGATCTCAGCTGCAACCTCCTCCTGCCAGGTTCAAGTGATTCTCCTGCCTCAGTCTCCCAAGTAGCTGGGACTACAGGCACCCGCCACCACACCTGGCTAATTTTTGTATTTTTAGTAGAGATGGGGTTTCACCATGTTGGCCAGGCTGGTCTTGAACTCCTGAGCTCAAGTGATCCACCTGTAGAGTCCAGCCCTACGGGGCTTAGCGGGTGTTCTCCCTGTGTGTGGAGACGAGAGATTGTAATAAATAAAGACACAAGACAAAGAGACAAAGAGAAAACAGCTGGGCCCGGGAGACCACTACCATCAAGACATGGAGACTGGTAGTGGCCCAGAACGGCTGGGCGCGCTGATATTTATTGCACACAAGACAAGGGGGCACGGTAAGGAGGGCGAGTCTTCTAAGTGATTGACAAGGTGAAGCAAGTCACATGATCACAGGACAGGGGGCCCTTCCCTCTTAGGTAGCCGAAGCAGAGAGAGAGACGGCAGCATACATCAGCGTTTTCTTCTATGCACTTATAAGAAGGATCAAAGACTTTAGGACTTTCACTATTTCTTCTACCGCCATCTACTACAAACTTCAAAGAGGAACCAGGAGTACGGCAGGAACATGAAAGTGGACAAGGAGCGTGACCTTTGGAGCACAGCACCACAGGGAGGGGTTTAGGCCTCCGGATGGCTGCGGGCAGGCCTGGATAATATCCAACCTTCCACAAGAAGCTGGTGGAGCGGAGTGTTCCCTGACTCCTCCAAGGAAAGGTGACTCCCTTTCGCGGTCTGCTAAGTAATGGGCGTCTTCCCAAACACTGGCACTACCGCTTGACCAAGGAGCCCTCAAGTGGTCCTTATGGGGGCGTGACAGAGGGCTCACCTCTTGCCTTCTAGGTCACTTCTCACAATGTCACTTCAGCACCTGACCCTATACCCGCCGGTTATTCCTAGGTTATATTAGTAATGCAACAAAGAGTAATATTAAAAGCTAATGATTAATAATGTTTATAATAATGATTGATAATTATCCATGATCATCTCTATATCTACTTTGTATTATGACTATTCTTATTCTAACTATTTTCTTTATTATACTGAAACCGTCTGTGCCTTCAGTCTCTTGCCTCGGCACCTGGGTAATCCTCTGCCCACACTTCCTTGGTCTTAGACCTGCGGGCCTCCGCCTGGTCAGCCAGGAGCTTCTTGTAGGCCTTGTCTGCTTTCAGCTTGTGGATGTGTTCCAGGATAATCCGCTTGTTTTTGAACACATTCCCCTTCACCTTCAGGTACAGGCTGTGATACATGTGGCGATCAATCTTCTTAGATTCACGGTATCTTCTGAGTAGCCAGCACAGAATCCTCATTCTCCTTATCCACGTGACCTCTGGCATTCGGACGTTGGCTGTACCCTTCCGCTTACCTATGCCCGTGTGCCTGCCCTTCCGGGAGGCCAAGGTGTTTTTCTGGCATGGAGCCTGGGAATGGACCATCACAGGCTTGCCGATGATCAGCCCATCTTTGATTAGCTTTCGGATCTGCTGATGGGAGCTGGCATTGGCGATTTCATTGGTCTCACTGGGGTCCAACCAGACCTTCTTGCCACAGCAGAGGACACTAGAAGCGAACCTCTTCTAAAGCCTGAGCATATTTATGGCTGCGGCTGCAGCAGCGAAAGGAAAGAACTCTGTTATTTCAGGTTCTTAAAATGTTTAAAATTGGTATATTAGAGTGCTTAAAAGATACGTCTGCAGATTCAAGTTTAAATTGGGTTATTGAATAATTGATTTTGAATTTTAAAGTTTCTTATTGAGATTGCAAGTAGAACCAGAACATTAAAAAAAATAAAATTAAGATTTACTGTATTTATATGTTTACTTTTATTAGGTTGCAGTAAAGGTATTTGGGAGGCTGGTTTATCAATCAATCGCTTTAAAAAAGGAAATAAAATATATTGGATGAACAACTGCAGTATAAGCTGCCTAAAGCAGTTTTAATTTTGAAAAGAAGACCAACCAATTATTAATTAAAGCCCCCTTGGCTGGGTGCAGGGGCTTACACCTGTAATCCCATGGGAGGCCAAGGTGGGTGGATGATTTGAAGCCAGGAGTTGAAGACCAGCCTGGGCAACATAGTGAGACCCTGTTTCTAAAAAATGTTAACATTCACTAGATTTATGATGAGAATTATATGACTGGTAAGTTGAACTTAAAAGTTTTAAAAATACTTTTGTTTGTTTGTTTGAGACAGTCTCGCTCTGTCCCCCAGGCTGGAGTGCAGTGGCTCAATCTCGGCTCACTGCAAGCTCTGCCTCCCGGGTTCACGCCATTCTCCTGCCTCTCAGCCTCCTGAGTAACTGGGACTACAGGCGCCTGCCACCACACCTGGCTAATTTTTTTGTATTTTTAGTAGAGACAGGGTTTCACCACGTTAGCCAGGATGGTCTTGATCTCCTGACCTCGTGATCCGCCCGCCTCAGCCTCCCAAAGTGCTGGGATTACAGGCGTGAGCCACCGTGCCCAGCCAATACTTATGTTTTAAAATTTATATTTTCCTATTCAACATAGTATTGGAAGTTCTGGCCAGAGCAGTCAGGCAAGAGAAAGAAAAAAAGGGCATTCAAATAAGAAGAGAGGAAGTCAAACTATCCCTGTTTGAAGATGACATGATCCTATATCTAGAAAACCCCATCATCTCAGCCCAAAAGCTTCTTAAGCTCATTAGCAACTTCAGCAAAGTCTCAGGATACAAAATCAACGTGCAAAAATCGCTAGCATTCCTATATACCAACAACAGGCAAGCAGAGAGCCAATTCATGAACGAACTCCCATTCACTATTGCCACAAAAAGAATAAACTACCTAGGAATACAGCTAACAAGGAAAGTGAAAGATCTCTACAAGGATAACTACAAACCACTGTGCAGAGGACTCAGAGATGACACAAACAAATGGAAAACCATTCCACGCTCATGGATAGGAAGAATCAATATCATAAAATGGCCATACTAGTCAAAGCAATTTATAGATTCAGTGCTGTCCCCATTAAACTACAATTGTCATTCTTCACAAAACTAGAAAAAACTATTTTAAAATTAATATCAGATGAAAAAAGAGCCCAAATAGCTAAAGCAATCCTAAGCAAAAAGAATAAAGCTGCATCCATCACGCTACCTGACTTCAAACTACACTACAGGGCCACAGTAACCAAACAGCATGGTACTGGTAAAAGAACAGACACATAACTTTGTAACAGGTCTGGAAGCTCTGAGTTTATCTTGGGACCTCAAGAGAGGATCACCCAACTCACAGGTGTTAGAGGATACAAACCCATGGCTGGGCTTGGCTTTAAAAGTCTTATCTGAAATTCCTTGTGAAACAGAGTTTCATTAAAGCCAATGCAAAAGGCCTATGTAAGTAAAAATAACCATTCTTGCTGCACTTTACGCAAATAATCAGGCCAAGTATAAGATTGTAGGATATAATAAATTCCTCTTCAAAGGTTTTAGCCTATAAATTGTTAAGCACAATGAGTTCTGAGATCCTCTTCAAAGAACCAATGTATCAGTATATTCAGCTCTCCTGTTCTTTGTTCTTCATTTTAAAGTTTCTCGTTCTTTACATCTCCTTGCCCCTAGTTACAGTAAACAACCCCCTCCTAGCCTCTATCACCTGCTCTGAACTTAGTCACCCTTGGTCACCTGCTCTGTTGTTAGTCATCCTGAGTCACCTGTTCTGTAACCATCCTTCCTGCCAAACTACCTATCCCACCACTCTGGCTCATACCCCTGCTCTCTTTAAAATAGCCAATCAGAATTAGCTTAGACTGTGTGGTCCAACCCTAGCCAATAGGGGAAAGACACAGCAGTAGGGACTAGCTGAGTTAGGATAAGAACCCCTTCCCCTCCCTTGTTCAGGTGTGCTCTCGCCATTGCTCCATCCGTGAGACACACCCTTGTATGGAAGTAAAATTGCCTTGCTGAGAAAATTAAATTTATGTTTGAGTGCTATTTCTTTTCTTTTTTCTTTTTTTTTTTTTTTTTGAGATGGAGTTTCACTCTGTGGCCCAGGCTGGAGTGCAGTGGTGCGATCTCGGCTCACTGCAAGCTCTGCCTCCCAGGTTCACACCATTCTCCTGCCTCAGCCTCCTGAGTAGATGGGACTATGGGCGCCCACCACCACGCCTGGCTAATTTTTTGTGTTTTTAGTAGAGACGGGGTTTCACCGTGTTAGCCAGGATGGCCTTGATCTCCTGACCTTGTGATCTGCCCACATCGGCCTCCCAGATTGCTGGGATTACAGGTGTGAGCCACCGCACCTGGTCTTGAGTGCTATTTCTTTTGCAGCCCTGATAATTTATTTCTAAAAGGACTAAAGTTTATTCATAATTAGTGCTTACCAAAAATGAGGACTGAAGAGAAAAATTTTGATCCAAAGCTTATCATACATTTGTCATTAAATCCTAGTTTCATTAATTGTTTTTAAACTTTTTGCTTACATTTTAGACTAACCCTGCTTATTCCTGTGAATCAAGAGGTGATCTTCTGCAGCTTGGAAAAAAAAAAGCGATGGGTAAGGTAAAAAGGTGAATCAATACTCTAGTTCTGGGCAATTATCTTGCAAATTTTGCCAGGTAAAGAAAGTGAGTAAGGTGCTCATAACCGGGAGGTTTCTTTGTTTGGGAAAATAAAACCAAGGAACTTCAGAGACCCTAAAAGGGGAATTCTATATCTTGGCAAGTAAAAAATTTTTTTTGAGACAGAATTTCACTCTTGTTGCCCAGGCTGGAGTGTAATGGCACAATCTTGGCTCACTGCAATCTCCGCCTCCCAGGTTCAAGCAATTCTCCTGCCTCAGCCTTCTGAGTAGCTGGGATTACAGGCATGCACCACCATGCCCCGCTAATTTTTTGTATTTTTTTGTAGAGACGGGGTTTCTCCATGTTGGTCAGGCTGGTCTTGAACTCCCGACCTTAGGTGACCTGCCCACCTTGGCCTCCGAAAGTGCTGGGATTGCAGGCTTAAGCCACCGCGTCCGGCCGGCAAGTAAAATATTAGGTGGAAATTATCTACCACACTACACTTGTGGAAATTGCTGTCCTCACTCTACTATTTGCAATAGTGTTATACACAGTAGCACCTTCTAACTAAAATATTGGACAGTTTCCATTGCTGTCCTATTTTGCTTAATTATTATCCTTATAACCGGGATAATAGTTATTGACAAAAAGGAAGCATAAAAGTTTTACTATCACTAAGTCAGCTAGGACTTTTTAATTGGGTTTAGTGATGCACTTTTTTTGGTGGGGGATGGAGTTTTGCTGTCTTGCCCAGGCTGGAGTGCAGTGGTGCAATCTTGACTCACTGCAAGCTCTGCCTTCCGGGTTCACACCATTCTCCTGCCTCAGCCTCCTGAGTAGCTGGGACCACAGGTGCCCGCCAGCACGCCTGGCCAATTTTTTGTATTTGTTTAGTAGAGACAGGGTTTCACTGTGTTACCCAGGATGGTCTCGATCTCCTGACCTCATGATACGCCCGCCTCGGCCTCCCAAAATGCTGGGATTACAGGCATGAGCCACCGCACCTGGCCCTAGTGATGCACTTTTAAATGAAACATGCTGCTTTTGGATTAACACCTAGTAAAGTAAAGGAAAATCTACAGGTACCTAAAGATAAAATCAAAATTATTAACAGGCTCAGGGAAAATGCCAGCTTCAGCCCTCAGTGGCTACAATCCCTCTTTAATAAATTACAGTCTTCTTTATGGAATGGTTAATCCGTTTATTAAGCCCTCTCTTGCTTATATGTCTTGTATTGATATTTGGACGAAGTCTACTCAGTACTATAACTCAAATTGTTTCTTCTCGCCTAGAAGCAATCAAACCCCAAATGGTGCTGCAAACTGAACCACACACGGACACGCCATTCTTCCAAGAACCCCTAAATCAACCCCAGCAGGAGCCCTGGCTGCTGTTCCCCATTCAACATCCCTTTTCAGTAGGAAATAGCCAGAAAGAGTCGTTGCCCAAAACCCCTTAACAGCAGTTAGCGTGATATCGCCGCAGGGAGGAATGTGGTAGGAGTTATTAAGAATAAGAAATTGAGGCCAGGCACGGTGGCTCATGCCTGTAATCCCAGCACTTCGGGAGGCTGAGGCGGGTGGATCATGAGGTCAGGAGATCGAGACCATCCTGGCTAACACGGTGAAACCCCACCTCTACTAAAAATACAAAAAATGAGCCGGGCGTGGTGGTGGGCGCCTGTAGTCCCAGCTACTCAGGAGCCTGAGGCAGGAGAATGGTGTGAACCTGGGAGGCGGGGCTTGCAGTGAGCAGAGATCGTGCCACTGCACTCCAGTCTTGGGCAACAGAGCAAGACTCAGTCTCAAAAAAAAAAAAAAAAAAAAAAGAAAGAAATTGGCAGGTGAGGTGGCTCACGCCCCTGTAATCCTGGCACTTTGGGAGGCTGAGGTGGGCGGATCACAAGGTCAGGAGATCAAGGCCATCCTGGCTAACACGGTGAAACCCTGTCTCGACTAAAAATACGAAAAATTAGCTGGGTGTGTGGCATGCACCTGTAGTCCCAGCTACTTGGGAGGCTGAGGCAGGAGAATCGCTTGAACCCGGGAGGTGGAGGTTGTAGTGAGCCGAGATCGCACCACTGCACTCCAGCCTGGTGACAGAGGGAGACTCTGTCTCAAAAAACAAAAAAAAGAAGACAGCCGCCCCGTCCGGGAGGGAGGCGGGGTCCAGCCCCCGGCCGGCCAGCCGCCCCATCAGGGAGGGAGGGGGGGACAGCCCCCGCCCGGCCAGCCGCCCCGTCCGGGAGGTTGGGGGCGCCTCCGCCCGGCCGCCGCCCCGTTGGGAGGTGGGGGGCGCCTCTGCCCGGCCACCCCTTCTGGGAAGTGAGGAGCCCCTCTGCCTGGCGGCCACCCCATCTGGGAGGTGTACCCAACAGCTCATTGAGAACGGGCCATGATGACGATGGTGGTTTTGTGGAATAGAAAAGGGGGAAATGCGGGGAAAAGATAGAGAAATCAGATTGTTGCTGTGTCTGTGTAGAAAGAAGTAGACATAGGAGACTCCATTTTGTTCCGTACTAAGAAAAATTCTTCTGCCTTGGGATGCTGTTGATCTATGACCTTACCCCCAACCCTGTGCTCTCTGAAACATGTGCTGTGTCCACTCAGGGTTAAATGGATTAAGGGCGGTGCAAGATGTGCTTTGTTAAACAGATGCTCGAAGGCAGCATGCTCGTTAAGAGTCATCACCACTCCCTAATCTCAAGTACCCAGGGACACAAACACTGCGGAAGGCCGCAGGGTCCTCTGCCTAGGAAAACCAGAGACCTTTGTTCACTTGTTTATCTGCTGACCTTCCCTCCACTATTGTCCTATAACCCTGCCAAATCCCCCTCTGCGAGAAACACCCAAGAATGATCAATTAAAAATAAATAAATAAATAAATAAAAGAAGACATACATGTGGACAACAAACATATGAATAAAAGCTCAACATCACTCATCATTAGAGAAATGCAAATCAAAACCACAATGAGATACCATCTCACACAAGTCAGAATGGCTGTTATTAAAAAGTCAAAAAATAACAGACGCTGGAAAGGTTGTAGAGTAAAAGGAACGCTTATACACTGTTGGCGGGAGTGTAAATTTGTTCAACCAAAGTGGAAGACAGTGTGGTGTTTCCTCAAAGACCTAAAGACAGAACTACCATTCGACCCAGCAATCCCATTACTGGTTATATACCCAAAGGAATATAAGTTGTTCTATTATAATGATATGGTGTGGCTTTTTGTCCCCACCCAAATTTCATCTTTTTTTTTTTTGGGACAGAATCTCCCTCTGTTGCCCAGGCTGGAGTACAGTGGTGCGATCTTGGCCTACTTCAACCTCTGCCTCCCGGGTTCAGCGATTCTCGTGCCTCAGTCTCCTGGGTAGCTGGGATTACAGGCGCTCACCATCATGCCTTGCTAAGTTTTGTATTTTTAGTAGAGACGGGGTTTCACCATGTTGGCCAGGATGGTCGTGATCTCCTGACCTCGTGATCCGCCTGCCTCAGCCTCCCAAAGTGCTGGGATTACAGGCGTGAGCCACCACGCCCGGCCCTTTAATCATTTTTATGAACTGAAAACCAGTGTCACTTGTCAAAAATAAATATTGAACCCAAATATAAATATAATGAAAACAAAACGATGTTGTTAAAGCTTAACTACAGACATTTCCCAACTAAAGTATGAACCTGGATCCCGGGTCTTTCTTTCCAAAGACATTAAAGACAGACTAGTGCCAAGACCGTGTCCTTGAAGTCCAATTGATTGCTGTGCTGTGGCCATGTACAGCCACCCTACTTTGGCCAGTGGTACACTTGTGTATCTCAAGCTTTGGGAAACATTGAGATAAGCAAATCGTAAACCCTGAACAAATGCCCATGGGCCTTGGGAAGAACATATTTTAGGCATCATTTCTCTCTCTCTTTTTAAAAAAATTTTTTTTTTTTTTGAGACAGAGTCTCATTCTGTCGCCCAGGCTGGAGTGCAGTGGTGCGATCTCGGCTCACTGCAACCTCCGCCTCCTGGGTTCACGTGATTCTCCTGCCTCAGCCTCCTGAGTAGCTGGGATTATAGGCTCCTGCCACTATGTCTGGCTAATTTTTTGTATTTGTAGTACAGATGAGGTTTCACTATGTTGGCCAGACTGGTCTCGAACTCCTGACCTTGTGATCCACCCGCCTCAGCCTCCTAAAGAGCTGGGATTATAGGTGTGAGCCACTGCGCCCAGCCTTTGGGCATCATTTCTGATCAAAACTCTTGAAGTGCCTAACTGCAAGTTAGCAGGCCTGGAACTGAGATGGGAAAACTGTGAGAAAGTTCTCTGCTGTTTTCACTCATGTAGCAACAAAGACAAGCTGTTGGGTGATCAAGTCTTGATTAAATCATTCATTCATTCAACATTTATTGAGCGCCTACTGTGTGCTAGGCACCGTGCTAGGCGCAGAAATACAGAGATGCATAAGATACAGTCCATGCCCTTAAGGATTCACAGTCTAGAAGGGGAGACAAACATGTAAACAAGTAAAATACAGTGTGATAAGTGCCACAAGAGAAGCATTGACAAAGTGCAGAGGTAGCCTGGAGGGGAGGGGCACAGGGGTTGCCTTCCTGGAGGAGGGGGCCTTTGAGGGGATCGTGAGAGATGAACTTGCCAGGCAGACAAGGCAGGAGGAGCAGGGGAAGGCATTCCAGTCGGAAGAAACAGCATGAGCGAAGGCACAGAGGCATGAAACTGCATGTCTTGCTTGGTGAGTGGGGAACTCTAACTAGTCTGGTGGTATTGCTAAAGTGTACTAGAGGCTGTGGCTAGAGAAGGGGGCAGAGGCCAGATCATGAGGGGAAACTGAGGGCAGGGGCATCTTGGAGGGTCACCAGAGGTGAGCAGAGCCCGAGGGCAGGCTTTGACACAGGAAAAGAGGGCTCCTGGCTGACTCAAGGTACACCTGCCTGAGGACCACAGGGTTCCTCGCTGTGGCTCCAAAGGGATCTCGACCCAAGAGTAGAGGAGCAGCAGAGCTGGAGGTGAAGCAGAGGGGTCGGGCCAGGTCTGGGACCCAGAGCTGCCATGCACTCCCGCGCTCTCACAGACTTCTGATTTCCAACCTGCACGTCAGAGCCCCCTCCTGCCAGCCGGATGGGGGCCTGGATCCAGTGGGAAATCACATGGGAATATGGCTGGCAAACTGCAAAGGGCCAGATGAGTGTCAGGTTACAGAATAAATCTTTACTAACTCAAAGAAGAAAAGGGCTGCGGATAAAACAGGAAAGGTTAGATGGAGGAAGGCGGGCAGACGGGCCTAAGAACAAGGGCCAAAATGAGAATACAGCATCGGCCAAAGAGGACCGTGGCTGTCTCTCCCCTGGCAAGGAGGGGCCCTTTTGGCCCAGGGCAGAGGCAGAGGCCAGTGGGTACAACCAGGCCAGATGTGCAAGGAGAGCATGTGACCTGCAAGACTGTGGGGCTCCACACTCCAGACTCCAGTGTCTCCTTAGCCCAATGAGGAGGTTTCCTTGGCAATCAGGACCCTCCTTCTTCCAGGCTGTAGGGAGGCCACTGAGGCAGAGAGTGGCCAGCCAGCATTCCAGCCCTTCAGTGTTCTTAGGAATGGCTCTGTCTGAAAAATGGCTTTGCAGGGATGGGTGGGGCAGGGAGGCTGTGGGAAGAGGGCAGAGTCTCAGGACACCAGAGTCCAGCTGCCCATCTGAGTGGTGCTTTTGTAAGGCATCACACTTGAGGCCACTGTGAGGGGCTGAGCTTCTTTCCCAACCATGGATGGGGGAAGGGCAAGATGGACCCTGGGTTCCAGGGCTACAGTGAGATGAGGCCTCCTGACGGAGAAGCTAACAGCAGCCCCCATGTCCTTGCTGCCGTCCCAGGAGTAGGGAAGGAGGAGGGGACCCTCCCAGTTGGTAGGGTCTGGAGATGTCCCGAGACCCCTCCTTTCCTCTTGCCGTTGATGAGGCAGCCTCGCGCTGCGGGGTTCCCAGCCTCCAACAGGCCCCCTTCTTTTGGCCTCACAGTCTCATCGCCTGATCCCTCCCCTCCCCTGAGCAGTGTGGGGGGATGATGCCCGCTTGGGTGCCGATGGAGGTGGTGGTGTTAGCGATGAGAAGGATGATGAGGTGTTGGTGGTGGCGGCCTCCCCATGCGGGGAGTGGGCTGGGCTGGGGGCGCTGGGGGCATCACTTGCTCTTGTGCATATCCTTCAGCCGGCGGAGCTCTTCCAGGAGCTGGGCCCGGGAGTAGTCATCATCCCCAGTGGGGCCCGGCCCCGGCCCCAGAGCCTCCTGTAGCGCCAGGCAGTGGGTTCTCAGGAACGGGTTGTAGGAGCGCTCCTCTCCCAGGGTAGATGGGCACTGTGGGTGAGAGGAACCAGGTTTGGTGGAGAGAAGCTGGGAAATGGACCCAAGACAGAGAAGCCTGACCCGACCCCTGCCCCATCCTGGAGTTCAGGAGTTCTGACTTGAGGGCCCATGGGCCAAAGAGGTCAGAGTTTTGGGGAGGTGCTCGCAGGCCTGGGGTCAGCATGGATGGGTTCCCGTTGGGGCTGAGTGCCTGCCCACACAGCTCCTCCTGGACCCCGAGTCCCTCACCGTGCCCTTGCGCTCCAGCCGCTGCCGCTGCACCCACTGCATCTTCCTCTCCCGGGCCAGGTTCTCGGGCTCCACCACACCTGCAAAGCCCAGGTTCTCCTCTGCATACTCATGACCTACCGACAGCCATGAGGGTGAGACACAGAGCAGAGAGAGATTGGTGGTACAGTCAGAACAGTCTTCCCTGCCCCAGGTCCAGGCTGATGGGCACCTGACAACTAGGGATGAGGTCAGCACTTCCAGGAAAACCCCAACTGCCAGGAGCTGCTTCTCTAACTGTGGGCACAAGTCAGCCATGGGTGAAAAGGTGGCAATAGTTCCAGGGGAAAAAACCACTAGACCTGGAGCTGGCAGGCCTGCATCTAGCCCTGACTCCACCAAGCCTAGCATGTGACCTCGGTCTAGTCATGGCCCCTCTCTGAGGCACAATTTTCTCATTTGGCAAGTGGAGAGAACAATGATGCCACCAGACACAGATGTACCTGCTGTGTTCCTGGTGCCTGGAACAGAGCCTGGTATGTGTTAGGTGCACATAAAGTACTTGATGAATGAATGAATGAATGAATATATGTTCTGAGGATTAACAGATATCTGTGAATGTTTTTATGCACCACAAGGCAATGGTTACATGCAGAGTGGATTTACTGACTTCTCCCCAGATAAGCAAAGGCTATTTTCTGTTCTGGGCTAAGGCTATGAACAATTAGACATCTCTCTGGAATGCCCTGGGGCCTGCAAGGCTCCCAAGAGGCTGAAGGCTGACTGGCAGGGGAAGGTAGTGTGAGAAGCAGAGGTGGTACGGAGCCAGCACTCCAGGAAGAAGGGAGGCCAGAACTCTGTCCCTACCCCTAGAGGTGGAGCTGTGTCGCTTCTGGGCCAGGAACTGGGCTGGCCTGCTTTCTAGGGGAGTGAGGGGGTGGGAAGGCCCTTGTCCCAGGCTGAGCGTGGGGCTGGAGGATGGGGAGTAGTAAGGGGGTGTCTCACCAGGCCACAGAAGGGTGTCATCCCCTAGCCCCAGCACAGTGTCCAGTGAGCTCAGCATGGTCTCTGCATTGCCCTCAAAGGTCCGCCCTGGGTGGGGGTTGGAGGGTATGTCACAAGGTGCCAGGATAACACAATATGGCATAAGGCACACCCAGACAGGTGGGAACCAGCTTGTAATGCTCTGGCTGGCCGTCAGCCCTGACTGTGCACTTTCCAGACCCACCCCAGGCATCTATTCCCTCCTCACTGGGAACTGGGCCCAACTGGTCACCCCCTGACCAAGCCCATCCGAGGCCTCCGTTGCACACAGTGACACCTGAAGGGAGGGGCTGTGGAATCTTCGGGCTGCAGGCCCCAGGCTTGGTAGACGCAGGGCTGCTCTTTCCCACGGAACACTTCTTCGCCTAGGCTGCCCTTTGGGATTTCATGCAGCCTGGGACTTGTGATCCTCACCCACCCACTCACCTAGCTGTTCTTAACTTTTCATAACCTAGTCCTGCCAGTCACTGTATCAGAGAACCAGTCTCCACCCAGGGGAAACTAATTCCCTGCAGGGCTTTACTCAGCTACAGACATTCTCCCATTCTGTCCCGCAGCTGGCAGAAGTCTTTTTTATTTTTGAGACAGAGTCTCATTGTTGCCCAGGCTGCAGTGCAGTGGCACAATCATAGCTCACTGCAACCTTGAATTCCTGGGCTCACCACCACACTGGCTAATTTTTGTATTTTTTGTAGAGACGGGGTTTCACCATGTTGCCCAAGCTGGTCTTGAACTCCTGGGCTCAAGCAATCCACTTGCTTTGGCCTCCCAGAGTTCTGGGATTACAGGCCTGAGTCACTGCTCCTGGCCTATATTATTTATATTATTTAAATTTTTTTTTCTGTTTTGTGACAGAGTCTCACTCTGTCTTCCAGGTTGGAGTGCAGTGGCGCGATCTCAGCTCGCTGCAACCTCTACCTCTCGGGTTCAAGCAGTTCTCCTGTCTCAGCCTCCCTAGTAGCTGGGATTACAGGCATGCACCACCATGCCCGGCTAATTTCTGTATTTTTAGTAGAGACGGGGTTTCACCATGTTGACCAGGCTGGTCTTGAACTCCTGACCTCAGGTGATCCTCCCACCTCAGCCTCCCAAAGTGCTGGGATTACAGGCATGAGCCACCACGCCTGGCCTATTTTAAAATTTTTTTGTAGAGACAGTCTTGCTATTTTGCCCAGTCTGGTCTCCAACTCCTAGCCTCAAGTGATCCTCCTGCCTCAGCCTCCCAAGGTGCCCCAAGGGAAGTCTCAAGGATTAAAACCAATCTGAGTAACACAGATGGAAGTAACTGCCACGGCAACATCTGTGCTAAAACTAAGGCTTCAGTGCTCTCCATGGGACTGTGGCTGCCCTGGCTTCTGTCTCTCCCTCCTCTCCCAGCTCCTCTCTCTTTCGGGGAAACTCACCACAGCCAGAGAGGAAGAGCAGGTCCCCTGAGAAGAGGCAGGAGGGACCCTTGTAGGGCTCCCCATCCAGTAGGTAGACCAGATGGCCTTGTGTGTGGCCAGGTGTAGCCAGGGCCCGGATCTGAAGCCGTCCCACGCTGACCACATCTTGATGACACAGGGGACTGGGGAACAAGGGAGCAGGGGACAGAAGGTATTGGATCTGTGCCATGCTGATCCCTGTCCCCATCCCAGGCCCAAGGGGCTGGGTGATTCACAAGAGAGTGGGCTTCCATACAAAAGAAGTCACCCCAGTGCCTCGGGTCTCAGGTCCGAACCCTCCCCCTTTCCTCTTTTGGGGACTATGGCTGGATCAGTTGGGGGATGGGCAGTGCCAGTCTTCAGATAGGCTGGGATTGGGCCAGGAAGGGCACTGGCAAAGATCCACCTGCTGATACCCCTGAAACACTTCACTGAAGGCTGGGGGTGGGGGAAAGGGCCCATGGAAGGGCCATCCCTTGCCTAGGTCAGGGACTTACTGGGTGAGGTAGGGGATGCCGTCCTGAGGGCTCCCGTACACCCGACAGTCCCGGTGCCGCCGGCTGAGGTCACGGTTCCCTCCACTGTGGTCCCTGCAGGACAGCAGAGACAGGCAGGGGGCTTCGAGGGGCAACTGTACCTAAGCCCCCTTCTTTACCACAGCATCTCCAGGCCTTTAAGTGCTGGGGCTGTGGCTTCTGGACTAAGCCAAGTTGTCCACACCTCTAGGCCTTTGTTCAAGCTGTTCCCTTGCCCAGAACATCGCCCCCAACAACTCAAGCTGGCCAATGCCAGCCGAGCTTCCTGAACCCTCAGCTCAGGTCATCATCTTTCAATTCTCCAAGTGGATCTGATCACACCGTGCCTGGGCCTCCCATCCCTGTTCCCTGTGCCAACTGTTACCTAAATATCACATACTTCTTTTTTGAAGACAAGGTCTCACTATGTTGCCCAGGTTGGGCTTGAACTCCCAACCCTCTTGCCTCCGCTGTTATATACTTTGATACAGGGCTACCTCCCCTATTGGTCTTAGAATTTCCTTGATGGAAGAGTCATAACTTTTGTCCATGCCCAGTGTGCAGTAGGTATCTAATACATGCCCATGAAATGAAAGAGAAATGACTGCCCTGCCCTCTGGGGCTTCAGAAGCTTGATCAATGGAGTGGTGGGAGACTGTCCCCTCTCCTCCCTCCCTGCTGGTGTCCAGGTGACTTCACGAGGAAGGCGGGTGCCGGCCCGTACTGACTTCTTGATCTCTGGCCCCGGCCGTCCTCAATGGGCCCAGTCCTGGCAAGCCCAGCTGGGACAAGGGTGGGCCAGGGAAGACGGGAGCCCCTTACCAGTGCTTGTGAGTACACAGAATGGCGACCAAGGTGACCCCTTCCTTTTCAATGGAAGCCTGCGAGAGAGAGGAGGTTTGGAGACTGGGGAGCAGGATGCAAGAGGCACTTGAAGCAGCAAGAGCCAGGAGTGTGGGCGCTGGTGGAGAGGAGAGGAGAGCATGGAGAGATGAAGCAGAGGAAAGGGATGGAGCTGGAGGGGAGAGATCCAGGAATGTGAAGCACGGGGCACATGGAGGCAGAGGGACACTTGTACATAGAGAGAGGCAGACACAGAGAGATAAGGAATGGGAGGGAAAGACAGAGAGACCCAGATACTGACAGACAGAGGTGACAGAAAGAAAGGGGGTCTGAAGGGGGCCAATGGGAGTGAAAGCCAGCCTGGAAACTCACTAGACCCAGAGTCCTGGGCCAACACCCCCAGCCCTCTGGCTCTGCATCCCCCACTCCTGCTCTCCCCTTCTGCCCAGCCATGCCCTGTACCCCCCTTCCCCAGGCTATGTGTGCGCATGTGCACGTGTGAACATGGAGCATATGGGACACATCCCACGGGCAGACGGACAAGGGTCAGCCCTCTCTAGCAAGGCGAAACTGCCAGTCCCCAAGGTGACTCCAGGCACCCCCTGCTCCCTGCCCTCCCCTCACCTGCACAGCCCGAGGGTCTGAAGGGTCCACAGCCACAGCCAGCTGGGCCTGGGTGTCGATGATGAGGTAGCTGTAGTTGTCCGAGAGGACAGGGATGGGAAGCACCTTCACTCCTGGGGACAGAGATGGGCTGTGGGCGGGGTAACAGGCAGGGAGCCCAGGGGCTGGGGTATGTGAAGGGGAGCAGGCGGGGAGGGTGGGGGCACAGAATGGGGGATGCTGGCCGGGGCAGTCAGAGCTCACCATTGAAGAGGCGGGGCTGGGTTTTCGAGTGGCCTTTAGGGTAGCGATTCCGAGCCCTGCGCAGCTGCTGTCGGTAGAAGAGGTACCCGAGCCAGGTGCGGGTGTACAGGCTGTACCTAGAGGGCGAGTGGGTGGCCTATGATTAGCCTTTTCTCCCTAGCTCCCCTAGACTCCTTCGTGATGCCTGCAGGCCCCACATCTCCATTCCTTTGGTGACCCTGTGAGCCAATGCAATTCCACTCTCACTTATTATGTGCCTACTGTTTGCCCTGCTTAGCACTCAGGACAAGATGGAGAATGAGACGGACACACCTAGAACTCAAAATCTATCAGGGAGACATGAACTGAGGAACTCACAGAAGAAAATTGGAGAGGCCAGGCGCAGTGGCTCACACCTGTAATCCCAGAACTTTGGGAGGCCGAGGTGGGCGGATCACCTGAGGTCAGGAGTTCGAGACCAGCCTGACTAACATGGCGAAACCCTGTCTCTACTAAAAATACAAAACTTAGTCGGGTGTGGTGGCACACGCTTGTAGTCCCAGCTACTCAGGAGGCTGAGGCAGGAGAATTGGGCATCGCACCACTGCACTGCAGCCCAGGCCAAAGAGTGAGACTCTGTCTAAAAAAAAAGAGAGACTTGGAGAGTGAGGGGTTTAATCTAGCCCAGGGTCTAGCACCTCTGATGAAGTGACATTTGCAGGGAAGAAGGAGTAGGAATTAGGAGGCTGAAATGAGGTAGAAAAAATATTTCAGAAAGAACAGTGGTGGTCAGACTTTAGCATGCATCCTAATCATCTGAAGAAGGTTGGGTACAGTGGCTCACACCTGTAATCCCAGCACCTTGGGAGGGAAGGAGAGAGGATCACTTGAGCCCAGGAGTTCGAGACCAGCCTGGGCAACATTGTGCCCTATAGGGTCTCTACACACACAAAAAAAAGAATAGCTGGGCGTGGTGGCACACGCCTGTGGTCCCAGCTACTCAGGTAGCTGAGGCAGGAGGATTGCTTGAGCCCGGGAGGGTGAAGCTGCAGTAAGCCATGATTGCACCACTGTACTCCAGCCTGGGTGACAAAACAAGACCCTGTCTCAAAAAAAAAAAAAAAAAAATCATCTGAGGCTGGGTGTGGTGTCTCACGCCTGTAATCCCAGCACTTTGGGAGGCCGAGGCAGGTGGATCATCTGAGGTCAGGAGTTCAAGACCAGCCTGACTAACATGGTGAAACCCCGTCTCTACTAAAAATACAAAAATTAGCCGGGTGTGGTGATGGGCACCTGTAATCCCAATTATCTTTTTTGTAGAGATGGGGTCTCAGTTTGTTGTCTAGGCTGGTCTCGAACTCCTGGGCTCAACAAATCCTCCTGCCTTGGCCTCCCAAAGTGTTAGGATTACAGGTGTGAGCCACCGTGTCCCACCTGAAATTCTTTTTTTTTTTTTTTTGAGACAGAGTCTCGCTCTGTTGCCCAGACTGGAGTGCAGTGGTGCAATCTCGGCTCACTGCAACCTCCACCTCCCAGGTTCAAGTGATTCTCCTGCCTCAGCCTCCCGAGTAGCTGGGATTACAGGCTCACACCACCATGCCCGGCAATTTTTTGTATTTTTAGTAGAGACAGGGTTTTGCCACGTTGGCCAGGCTGGTCTCAAACTCCTGACCTTAGGTGATCCGCCTGCCTCGGCCTTTCAAAGTGCTGGGATTACAGGTGTGAGCCACTGTGCCTGGCCAAGCCTGAAATTTTTGTTTGTTTGTTTGTTTTTGAGAGGGAGTCTCACTCTGTCGTCAGGCAGGGGTGCAGTGGTGCAATCTCAGCTCACTGCAACCTCTGCCTCCCAGGTTCAGGCGATTCTCCTGCCTCAGCCTCCTGAGTAGCTGGGACTAGAGGCGTGCACCACCACACCCAGCTAATTTTTGTATTTTTAATAGAGATGGGGTTTCACCATGTGGGCCAGGATGGTCTCGATCTCTTGACCTCGTGATTTGCCCACCTTGGCCTCCCAAAGTGCTGGGATTACAGGGGTGAGCCACCGTGCCCGACCCTGAAATTCTTAATGATTTTATCTTTGACCTTGTGTCTTGCAAGTGGAGCCTGATAGGACAGTGGGACATGCAGGGAGCAAGAGACACACACAGTGAGTGTGCTCCGTTCCTCGCTTATCATACCTATACAGAGTCTGCAATGCCCATGAGCACACAAATCTGGGGGACACACAACGCATGGGAGTTCAACAAGACTCAAAGCAAGTACAAGGCGAGTGCACACCTATGACTGACCCAAGAGGCCAAGCTTTCAGTTCAAACTAGAACGTGCTTCAAGTGCACAAAGACAGAGGTGTTCTAAGAAACACGAATGACCAAGGAACTCTGCTGCATCCTTTCTTGCTTTTGTGTTATCCACCTATTTATGCTGCAAATAGCGATATAGAAAGGAAAGGGAAGATAGGGTAACCAATCCATCCTTTTCCTTTCCATCCTTCCTTATTAACTAGCAAGCCAACAGTGCTGGCAGAATGTGCACGTATTAAGAATTGAAGGCCGGGCGCGGTGGCTCATGCCTGTAATCTCAGAACTTTGGGAGGCCAAGGCAGGTGGATCACATGGTCAGGAGTTCAAGACCAGCCTGGCCAAGATAGTGAAACCCCATCTCTACTAAAACTACAAAAATTAGCTGGGCGTGGTGGCAGGCGCCTGTAATCCTAGCTACTTGGGAGGCTGAGGTTGTAGTAAGCCGAGATCTCACCACTGCACTCCAGCCTGGGCGACAGAGTGAGACTCCATCTCAATAAAAAAAAAGAAAAGAATTGAAGGCTGGGTGCAGTGGCACACACCTGTAATCCCAGCTCTTTGGAAGGCAGAGGCTGGTAGATCACTTGAGGTCAGGAATTGGAGACCAGCCTGGCCAACATGGTAAAACCCCATCTCTGCTAAAAATACAAAAATTAACAGGGTGTGGTGGTGGGCGCCTGTAATCCCAGCTACTTGGGAGGCTGAGGCAGGAGAATCACTTGAACCTGGGAGGCGGAGGTTGCGGTGAGCCAAGAAGATCACACCATTGCACTCCAGCCTGGGCAACAAGAGTGAAACTCTGTCTGAAAAAAAAAAAAAAAAAAAAAAAAAGAATTGAAGGCCAGGTGTGGTGACTCACTCCTGTAATCCCAGCACTTTCGGAGGTGGTGATGGAAGAAGTGCTTGAGCCCAGGATTTTGAGACCAGACTGGGCAACATGGCGAGACCCTGTCTCTACTAAAAATGCAAAAATTAGGCAGGCATGGTGGCATGCACTTGTGGTCCCAGCTACTTGGGAGGCTGAGGTGGGAGGATCACTTGAACCCAGGAGGTCAAGGCTGCAGTGAGCCATGTTTGCACCACTGCACTCCAGTCTGAGTGACAGAGGAGACCCTCTCCTGGTAAGAACTAAATACACATCCATGTATAAGCTAAGAAATATTAATTATGTCGTTTCTGTGATTCTACAGGAGTTAAATGTCCTTATATTTGTATTTAAAACAGGCATTGCACAATATTAAGCAAATGGTAAAATTCCTGCTAATAATTTAAATGCTTCTTACTTAGAATGACATTAAATAGCAAATTAAAAACATCACAGGTCAAAATAGAGATTGTAGAAGAAAAAAAGCTTCATATTTTAGTACTTTTAATGGCTATTTTTTCCAAACTTTTTTTTTTTTTTTGAGATGGAGTCTCACTCTGTCACCGTGCTGGAGTGCAGTGGCACGATCTTGGCTCACTGCAACCTCTGCCTCCCGGGTTCAAGTGATTCTCTTGCCTCAGCCTCCCGAGTAGCTGGGATTACAGGCACCCACCACCACGCCTGGCTAATTTTTGTACTTTTAGTAGAGACAGGGTTTCACCATGTTGGCCAAGATGGTCTCAATCTCTTGACCTCATGATCAACCCGCCTTGGCCTCCCAAAGTGCTGGGATTACAGACATGAGCCACCACGCCTGGCTGACCCTAAGTCTCTACAAGGATTGACCGTGTATGTGGGAGCAGGGGCAGCCGCTCTTCAGACCCCTAAGGGGAGAGCTAGCTGATTTGTCTGCAAGCAGTTGGGTCAAAACCAAGCAGGTTTCCATGGCAATTTGTAGATATGATTTAGGTAAAGTTTAATCACTGCATTGTCTGCTCTATGTACCCATGGGTTTATATTGATTGGCAATCTGGGCACATGGTTGAAGGGCTTTGCCAACCTTTATTTGTCTTTATGTTCCTTTTTCGTAGGCCTTCTTTTTTTTTTGGTTTTATTTCTAAATTAGATTTGGCCAACTTACATTTCTTCAACAATATTTACTGAATCCTTGCTATTGGCCAGGCACTGAACACACACTGAGCAAGGCAAACTCACTGTCCTTGTGAAGGTTCTATCTAGTAGGACAGACAGGACAATTAACATTTTTTTTTTCCAGATGGAGTTTCACTCTTGTTGCCTGGGCTGGAGTGCAATGGCGTGATCTTGGCTCACCGCAACCTCCACCTCCCAGGTTCAAGCAATTCTCCTGCCTCAGCCTCCCAAGTAGCTGGGATTACAGGCATGCGACACCACGCCCGTCTAATTTTGTATTTTTAGTAGAGATAGGGTTTCTCCATGTTGATCAGGCTGGTCTAGAGCTCCCGACCTCAGGTGATCTGCCTGCCTCAGTCTCCCAAAGTGCTGGGATTACTGGCGTGAGCCACCGCGCCCAGCCCATTTTTATTTATATTTATATTTATTTATTTATTTATTTATTTTTTAAAGAGATGGGATCTTCCTCTGTCAGCCAGGCTGGAGTGTGGTGGCTCAGTCACAGCTCACTGAAGCCTGAAACGCTGGGGTTCAAGCGATTTTCCACCTCAGTATCCCGAGTAGCTGGGACTACAGGCATGAGCAGACATGCCCAGCTAATTATTTTTATTATTTTTTTGAAGAGAAGATGTCTTGATTCGCTCCCAGGCTAACACCGAGAGTTTCTAACACACAAGAGCACACTCTTAACACCTGGAGACCCCAGTCAAATCACCCAAGTATGATGAGAAAGAGGATATTTGCATAATCTCAAAGTATCTCCTTCACAAAATAACCACTAATTATAAAGGCCATAGAAACCTGGCTAACTCCACCTTAAGCCAGTGATCAAAGTTAATCTCACCAGTAACAATATATAGACATCATTTGCCTCTTGGTATGATGCACTGAGGAGGGCATAAGATCACTTCTGTGGTATTTGTGCCAAAAATGCAAATCTATAATTCTTTTTTTGGGTCTTGCTCTGTCACCCAGGTCAAGAGTGCGGTGATGTGATCCATAGCTCACTGCAGCCTTAATGTCCTGGGCTCAAGCGATCCTCCCGCCTCAGCCTCCTGAGTAGTTGGGACTACAGGTGCGTGCCACCATGCCAGCTAGTTTTTTAAATTTTTAGTATAGAGATGATTGCCCAGGCTCTACTCTTCAAATGTTGCCCAGGCTCTACTCTTCAAATGTATTGACAAGATGAAAGATAGACTGAGAAACTGTCCCAGACTGGAGGAGACCAGGAGATAAATGCAACGTGGGATTCTGGACTGGATTCTAGATCAGAGAAAGGGCAACAGCAGGGAAAAATAGTGAATTTGAGTAAGCTCTGAGAATACTTCATAGGATAGTATTGATGTTAATTTCTTGGTTTTGATGACTGTACTGTGATTATGAAAGACGATAGTATTCAGGGGCGAGAGGCATATGGGAATGCTATATACTATTTTGACAAGTCTGAAATCATTTCAAAATGAAAAGTTGTGTTTGTTTGTTTGTTTTTAGACTGAGACTTGCTCTGTCATCCGGGCAGGAGTGCAGTGGCATGATCTCGGCTCACTGCAACCTCCATCTCCCGGGTTTAAGCAATTCTCCTGCCTCAGCATCCTTAGAAGCTGCTATTACAGGTGCCCGCCACCACGCCCGGCTAATTTTTGTATTTTTAGTAGAGACAGGGTTTCACCATGTTGGCCAAGCTGGTCTGGAACTCCTGACTTCAGGTGATCCACCCGCCTTGGCCTCCCAAAGTGTTGGGATTATAGGTGTGAGCCACGGCGCCTGGCCCAAAATGAAAAGTTAAAAAATAAAATTAAATAAAATCACCCTTTCCTCTGACAGACACCACCTTGCACCGATGCCTGAGTCCCATTCCTGTCTTCATTTCTCGCTACATGGGCTTATGGAAAGAACAGAGGCTCTGGCAACAGAAAGATCTGGGCTCCCATCATAGCCTGGCCCCTGTTGACTCTGTGACCTTGGGCAAGTCATGAGTTTCACAGATGAGGTTCCTCATCTATAACATGGCAATGCTGTGACTTACCCCGAAGGACTGTGTGAAGATTAAGTGCCTAAAATAAGAAAACTAATGTAAAGCACTCAGCCGAGAGCCTGGCAAGTGGAAGATGTTTAGCAACTGTTGTTTCCTTCCCAAATTCAGCCAGGAAGTCCTCCCAGCTGCTAGAGCAGGGTCATGCACATCTGGGAGGGGTGATAAGCTCCCCGCCTCCCCTTACTAAATGCTGACTACGTGTTCCCAGGTTCTGTCCCTAAGAAAGGACAGATCTGTGCGGGCAGGGACTCTGCACCAAGAAGCCGCAGTAAACAAGGCCCCTCCTTGTCACTCGCTGTATCTGGCAAATACTGTGCATGATGGACACAGTGGAGACAGCAGAAACAAGGCAGAAGGGGTCCTGCTTTCGGGGAGCTTGTAATGTGGGGAAAGGGAGGGCCAACAGACATTAAACCAGAAACCGGATTAGTCAGCAAACTGCCAGTAACTATGGCTGGGGGTGGAAAAGAGTGGCCGGAAGGGAAGAGGCCCTACTGTAGACAGGGTGCCCAGGGAAGGCCTCGTCCCCAGAGGGTGACATTCGTGCTGGAAACTGCAAGACCGAGCCAGCGGCATGGACGGTTCTGGGTGATGTGGCACCAAGGCAGGAGGAGTGTGGAATTTTAGGAATTGTCAGGAGGCCTCGGAGTCTTTGGGCAGGGCTGGAGGGACCAACAGTGCTGGAGAAGGGGTTGGTGAGGTGGGCAGGGGCCAGGCCATGCAGAGAGTGGAAAATGGCTGGTGGTTGTTAGAACAGGGTGCACAGGATCAGACTCCCTTTCTGAGAGCTCACTGGGCTGCTGAGTGGAGAAAAGGGGCAGGAGGTACCGAGTCATCCAGGTGGGAGAGAGACAGGGGCCTGGATAGAGGGGGTGCTGAAGGTGGAGAGGGTGGGGTGGCAGGGGGATGGGAGACCTGTGCCTGGCTTGGATGTGGGCTAGGGACAGGTTGCAGTCCTTGCTGGCCTGAGGTCTTGATCTTTGGGCAAAGCAGGAGAAGGCAGGGCTGAGATGGGGAAGGAGGAAGGGAAGGGGAGAGCAGCCTGAGGACCTAGTGGCTCTCCCCAGCCCTGTGCCCTGCCCTGCCAAGGGCTTCCACAGGACTCTCTAAGCCACTTAGCTTAGGCTCTCCCTCCATCTGCCTGCAGAATTGGTGAGTGACAGTCCCCATGGTCAGCTCCCCATCCTGCTTCTTCTCTTTCTGGGAAAGGCCCCCTGTCCTCGCAGTTGCATTTAGCCCTCTCCCTGGCATATGCAACCAAAACAGGATCCCTCTCAATTTTGCCTTCCACTGCCCCCAGCGCAGCCTCACCTGTGAGAACAGGCCCTGGAAACTCACCTAGGGCCTTACAAGAGCCTCTGTCCCCCAGCTCTCTACCTCCAACCCAAACTGCAAAGCACTGGCAAAAAGAAGTTCCTAAAGCGCCGCATTTTGCTGAGACTTGCTCCTGCTCAAAAGTCTTCAGTGGCTCCTCACTGCTTATTAGCAAATGTCCAACTTCCAGTCAGGCCTTCTGGAAACTGAGACCACAGCAGGGACTGCCTCCTCCCCTCCTGTACCGCCCAGTGATAATCCCGTGCTCCCAAGAGTGAAAGGGCGGAAACCCCCTAAATGACTGCCACCAGCAAAATGTACAAATAAATCCCAACATACTCAGACCTTGGAAAACTGCACAGCAAGGGAAACACATGATCTAGAGCAACAGGTTTCAACATTCACAAAGCTCAAGCACGTATTGTTATGCTGAGACATACCACAGAGAAAACAATATGACTATATTCATTAAAAATACAAAAGCATGGCTGGGCGCGGTGGCTCACGCCTGTAATCCCAGTGCTTTGGGAGGCCGAGGTGGATGGATCACCTGAGGTCAGGAGTTGGAGACCAGTCTGACCAATATGGTGAAACCCCGTCTCTACTAAAAATACAAAAATTAGCCGGGCATGATGGTGCAAGCCTGTAATTCCAGCTACTTGGGAGACTGAGGCAGAACTGCTTGAACCTGGCAGGCAGAGGTTGCAGTGAGCCAAGATTGTGCCACTGCGCTCCAGCCTGGGTGACAGAGCAAGACTCCCTCTAAAATAAAAAAATAAATAAATAAAAATAAAAATAAAAAGCATGCAAAACAATCCTGTATATTTGTTTTGGGTTTTTTTTTTTGAGACAGAGCTTCGCTCTTGTTGCCCAGGCTGGAGTGCAATGGCATGATCTCAGCTCACTGCAACCACCGCCTCCCGGGTTCAAGCGATTCTTCTGCCTCAGCCTCCCGAAGTAGCTGGGATTACAGGTGCCCACTACCACATTTTTTGCATTTTTAGTAGAGACGGGTTTCACTATGTTGGCCAGGCTGGTCTTGAATTCCTGACCTCAGGTGATCCACCTGCCTCGCCCTCCCAAAGTGCTGGGATTACAGGCATCAGCCACCATGTCCGGCTGGAACCTGTGCCCTTCTGTCTTCAATCCCCCGTCCCACCTTCCCAGGATGTCACTGCCCCATGTTATGGCCCCTGGTTTCTTAAGCCATTACCAGAGATACGGCTTCTTCTGTTGCTGGAGGCAAGAAGCAGGAACTCACTCCCCTAACCTCAGTTTCCCTTTCTGTCAAATTGAGTGCTCCCTTGCAGGCTGGGCCAGTAAGTTCATGTGACTCACAAGAAAATACTGATGCCCTAGGCCCAGATGTGGGTTCACGCTCTCTCCATGGGCTTCCCAGGCACAGTCAGCAAGCTGGGATCCAGGACAGTGCTTCTCTAAGATGGGCCTTGGCCCACCTATATTAGAATGATCTGGGGGTGCTGGTTAAACAAAAAGATTCTGACCTTCTTCTCCTCCTCCCTCTTCCTAGATTTTGATTCAGCAGTTCTGGGGACAGGAACTACCCATCATCACCTCACCAAAAAGAAAATAAAATTTCCCAATTGGTCCTCTGGGACTTAGGTGGGAGGCAGAAAAACCATTCTGCAAGATGGGGAGCAGCCAGCCTGGGCAAGTGGCAGCTGCCCCAAGGGACCCTCCCTGTGGGGTTACAGCTGCAGACAGCACCAGCACCTCCAGTGTAGGGTCAAAGTGCACCTTCCACTCCTTGCCTCAGTGAGCCAGCAGTTGGTGTCTCTGGTATCTGAATGTGAGCCTCCAGCCCCGTGGGAGGCAATGTGGGACAGCTGGGGACAGTGAGCCACTGCCCCCCCAGACGCCCCTCCCTCTGGCACACAGTGGAAAACACACAATGAAGCTCTTCTCTCCTCCGTGGGGCCATTTCACCATCCTGGGCAGCCCTGAGAGAAGCCTGAAGGTTTTCAAGCCTCTGTCCCAGCTAGGCCCAGGGCCGGCCTCAGGCCAGGGGGAGTAGGAAGGAGGGTGGAAGGCAGGGGAGCAGCATAACAGGGGCTCTGCCTCCCACAGAATGATCTGGAAAGCCCCTATTGCCAGGGTCACCTGCCTTGACTCCTCCCTTCCTCCTACACCCCTTAAATGTCCCCCCGATCCCACAAGGCCCCAGACTCCACTGGGACCCAACAGGCAAGCTCAGGCTGGTGGGGCCTGGCCGGGGACTGTTCTGGTTTCTCCCTTCATGTCCTCAGGACCCAGACTGCCCAGGCTCTGCATCTCACCAACGACAGGGCACTCCTAATGAAACAGAACTGAAAGTGCCTGTCTGAGAGCTGAGGGACCTGGAGGGCCACCAGGACACAGTGTTCTATGGGACCCGAGGTCTGCTTAGAGGCCCCTCAGGAATGCAGAGAGCAGCTCCATGTTTTGTGCATTCTCAAAACTGAGGAAACTGAAGAAGATAACAAAACAGCTAAAAAGCCCTTGAGGGTAAGGGTTTCCCCGAAGTTGCCAGCATGCCTGGGGGCGTGGGGACTTCCGCATGCACAGGAGAGGGACAGGGCTGCTCCGTGGTCAAAAGAGGAGATCCCCAGGTCAGGGTCTGCCATCGCCCTGCCCATCCCAGGACAGGTTCTTCCCCAGACTTCACAGCCCTCTCCAGAGGACGCCCATCTGTCACTGACGGAAGGGGAGGGGCTGCTGAGGGCTCTTGGCTAGGACCAGAAGCACAGTAAGAGCTGGTGGCCTCTCCATGGTCTCAGCCCTGGCTGGGAGGCCTTGGCTAGTTCTGTCTCCATGTGTGTAATCCCAGGCCACCTGCCCGCCAAGGGCTCTGGGCTTTGTTTAGTTTTGGTTTGTTTCTTGTGGCTTTCCCCTTCTCTCCTCGCTCATCGCAATCCCAGGCCTTCCTGATTCGATCATGCTCCCTGAGCTAGGCCTGAGGGTCCCAGAGGGCCACCAAGGACACAGGGTTCTAGTGGAGCCGGGTCTGCTCCAAGGCCCCTTAGTTTTTGCTTGATTGTTTGTTTTGACACAGAGTCTTGCTCTGTCATCCAGGCTGGAGTGCAGTGGCGCGATCTCCACTCACTGCAACCTCTGCCTCCCAGTTTGAAGCGATTCTCCTGCCTCGGCCTCCTGAGTAGCTGGGATTACAGGGGTGCGTGACCATGCCCAGTTAATTTTTGTATCTTTTAGTAGAGATGGGGTTTCGCCATGTTGACCAGGCTGGTCTCAAACTCTCGGCCTCAAGAAATCCACCTGCCTTGGCCTCCCAAAGTGCTGGGATTACAGGTGTGAGCCACTGTGCCCGGCCCCAAGGCCCCTTAGGAACACAGAGCAGTCAGGAAGGCCGGTCCGTGAACACCTAACTCCAGTACAAGCAAGAATGCGCACGGGAAGCTCGAAGAGGGAAGACAGTGCTGGGGGCGGTCTGGAGACAGAGGTTCATTTTGACTGAGGAGGCCGGGCAGGCTTCATGGAGAAAAGGGCACCTGAGCCAAGCTTTTCATTCATTTATTCATGCACGCATGCATTCATTCAGAAACTTTTTTTCTTTCACATCAGACGGATACCGTGCTGACATCATCACAAGGTTTGAGGGAGGTGCATCTTACCTATGTGTGTGAAAACCCAGTCATACTTAGGAATTACAAAAGGATCATTCAGAGGCATTTAGTAAGGGCCACCTAGGTGCCAGGCACTGTTCTGGAATCTGGGATACAGTCTTGAACAAAGTTTCTCCCCCTGTGTAGCCATATTCTGGTTGGGGGAGAAAAACAATCAACATTTAGTGTGTCCCATGGTGATGTGAACTAGGGTGAACATAAAGCCAGAGAGGGGACAGGGTGCAGGGGTGAGGGTGGTGCTATTTTTATGTGAGGTGGTCAGGGCAGGGCTCTCAAATAAGGCAAAATTTGAGCAGAGACCTGAAGGAAGTGAGGCAGCAAGCCATGTGGAGCCACAGAAAGGCCTGATGGTAGGGTTGTCTTGGTGTATTTGAGGCCTGGGATTACGACCGGCAGAAACAGAATTAGCCCAGACCTCTCAGCTAGGACTGAAGCACCGTGGAGAGGCCACCAGCTGTGGCTGAGACAGAGGAACAGGCTGAAGGGTGCTAAAAGATGTGGTAAGGATGGGCAGGTCACAGAGGGCCCTGAAGCCACTCTTCGAATGGACTTGGACTTCATGAGAGAGGTGGGAACTCGCCGGAGGAGTTTGAGCAGAGAAGTAATCCATTCCTGACTTAAGTAACAGTTTCCTTTTTTTTTTTTTTTTTCAGATGGAGTTTCACTCTTATCACCCAGGCTGGAGTGCAATAGCGCAATCTTGGCTCACTGCAACCTCTGCCTCCTGGGTTCAAGCGATTCTCCTGGCTGGCCCAGAGTGGTGGCAGTGGAGGCAGGGAGAAGTGTTCACATTCTGGGTACCTTTGAAGGTGAGCTTTGAAGATGCAACAGAATTTGACAGTAGAGATGTAGGGAGGAAGGAAGGCAGGACAGGTCAGACAGAAGTGCAGGAACAGCTCAGGCCTGGGGGAGATGAAACTGGGCAGGTCTGTAGGGGGTGTGGGAAGGCTGCAAAGGCCTGGGCGAGGGGCGTGGCTCCATACTGTCGGCAATGTGGCTTGCAGAAGGGGACACTTGATCAGAGCCACACTTTGAAGACGAACCAGGCAGCAGGGGGAAGCTGTGTCAGTGGGGAGAGCAGAGAGCAGCAGGGAGGCATGAGGCTGCTGTGGGTGCTCTGGCCACAGTTCTCCACGGTCCCACAGGCCCCAGAAAGGAAAAGGATCCTGCTCCCCTCCTGCCAGGCTGCGACATGGATAGCCCAGCTCACTGCATCTACCTGGCCTCATTCGGGGGGCTGGGAGGATTCACTCAAGGACCCTTCCATCAGGCTTCTGCCACTCTTGAAATCAAGCCAGTGGGACGCATTGGCCCCAGATAACGGCTTTCCTCTTGCAGAAGTAGAGCAAGCTAGGTCCGTCCCAGGGGGGGTTGCCAGGGTCAGGAAGGACCTTCTATGCCTAGGAATGGAGAGGGGGCTTGGTCAGGGAGGGAAGGCTGTCACTAGGACTGGCTTTCTCCACAGGCCAGCTGCTACCCACCTCCTCGGCTCTGCAAGACACTCCCAGACCTGCCTGTGTCCTATTCGTCTCCCCTCTGCAGACAGAGGCTCTCCTCAAGACTTTGTTCTGCAAAACCCCCACCACTACCCCTAAGAAGGCAAAAGGGCAACTGAGGCATGAAGCAGGGGGCACGCACGGGGGAGTCCCACATTCCTGATCTGACTCCCCAGGCATATTGTGCTGCTTCTGGGGAGCTTGCCACGGCCTGCCTCCTCCCGGGTTTGGGCCCTTGTTTATATCTGTTCACCTGTGCTTTCCCCTTCCCTGCAGAACAGCGATCAGAACCTGTTCATATCTGGGACCCCACAGTCCTTACCTAGGGCAGCTAGGTGTTCCCTGGCTGAATGAAGGGATGTGGAGTTTCCTGCTGGGTGGTGGGTAGGACAGGCTTGGAAGACAGGGGTGGAATTAAGTAAGGAAGCTCCAGAAGGACACAGGGCCATAGATACTCTCCCACCCAACTCCAGGCCACATCAGGAACACCTGCTAACATTTCCTGAACACTCTTTTTGAGCCAGGCCCTGTGTATTTTAGATGCGGTTTCATTTGATCTTCACAGGAGCCCTATGAGGTAGGCATCCCCAACCCCACTTTATAGATGCAAACAACTAAGGCACAGAGAAGTTATTTGTTCAAGGTCACATGGCTACTAAGCAACAAAACTAGGATGCAAAAGCAGATTTGTTCGACCCCACATGCTGTGTGCTTTGCTACAATCCACACTGTCTCCCAGGCCCCACAGAGCCCCAAATGCATGTGTCTCACCAGTTTCACCTGTGGCCACTGTGCTCAGCTATCCTCATCCTAAGACAATTGTAGTTATGGTTAAGGAAAGCCTTTTATTAAATTGCCAAACACCAGGGATGATGATTACTAATGATAACATGGTCAACAGCTCTCCTCCCGGTGAGCCTGGTGTTTCCATCATTGCCTTTCCACCCCCAGTAGAATCCTCTATTTGCGATCCTCCCAGCCACACCTTCAGGTTGGTAGTGCATGTGCCCTCCCCCTCCCCATCATGTCCTGTCCCATTCCGTTCCCCCTCCCTCCCCATCCTTCCTGGAGGCACCCCTAGCACCAACACCTGCCCATTTCCCCCCTACAGTTTCCTGCAAATATCTCCTTTCCCTCCCAGCAGCCAGCAGCATCTCCCCCTGGGGACTGGACTGATTGTTTCCCAGACTATGAGGAGCAGGGTCTGGAATTCTGACTCCAGGCGCACCCTTCTCTCTGCAAATTTGAGGAGTGGATTCCAAAGCAACTTTGAAATCCAGACACAGGAAAGCCTGTAGAAATACTGCATTTTGAAGAAGCTCTCCAATGATTAGAGTTTTGGAGATTTGTAAAATCCCACGTCTCAAGTTCCAGGCATACCCACACCCTCAAGATTCTGAGATAGTGATCCTGGCATTCTGATCTCAGGAATTCTGATTCCAGTTCCTTATGGAAACTTCTATTTTCCACTTCCTCAGGCCATTTGTATGACCTCAAACTTACTAATTTTGAAAGCTAGAAGTAGATTTAAAAATCTTTCCCCAGATAAGGCTGTAAAATTCCCAGAAATTTTGTGGGGAGAAAATGTTTTCATTAAAAATCCCAAATATGGGCTGGGCGCAATGGCTCCCACCTGTAATCCCAGCACTTTGGGAGGCCAAGGTGGGCAGATCATGAGGTCAGGAGTTGAAGACCAGCCTGACCAACATGATGAAACCCCATCTCTACTGAAAATACAAAAATTAGCTGGGTATGGTAGCAGGTGCCTGTAGTCGCAGCTACTCAGGAGGCTGAGGCAGGAGAATTGCTTGAACCCGGGAGGCGGAGGTTGCAGTGAGCTGAGATTGTGCCACTGCACCACTCCAGCCTAGGGAACAGAGCAAGAGCCCGTCTCAAAAAAAAAAAAAAAAAAAAAAAAGGCCGGGTGCGGTGGCTCATGCCTGTAATCCCAGCACTTTGGGAGGCTGAGGTGGGCAGATCATGAGGTCAGGAGTTTGCAACCAGCCTGACCAACACGGTGAAACCCTGTTTCACCATGCTGAGATCATGCCATTGCATTCCAGCCTGGGTGACAGAGCGAGACTCCGTCTCAAAAAAAAAAAAAAAAAAAAAAAAAAAAGAAAATTATTTAGATACCTTCATGTTTGGGATTTTTTTTTCTTTTTCTTTTTTTTGTTTTTTGAGACGGAGTCTCACTCTGTCGCCCAGGCTGGAGTGCAATGGCTGCGATCTCGGCTTACTGCAACCTCCCTCTCCCGGCTTCAAGCAATTTTCCTGCCTCAGCCTCCTGAGTAGCTGGGATTACAGGCGCTTACCACCGTGCCCAGCTAATTTTTGTATTTTTAGTAGAGATGGCGTTTCACCATGTTGGCCAGGCTGGTCTCGAATTCCTGACCTCAGGAGAGCCACCTGCCTCAGCCTCCCAAAGTGCTGGGATTACAGGCGTGAGCCACCGCACCTGGCCTAAATATTTTTCAATCTCATTATTTTAATGCAACGTGCAGAGCAATGGTAACTTACTTGGCACATTATCTAAACTGCGACCAAGGTTTAGGATATTAGAGATGTGAATGCCCCAAAAGGCACAAACACAAGATCCCCACCCCACCCTCCAGCACCATGTTTTTCTAGTTATCCTGCCTTTATATCTGCATTTCTTAGACTGTGAGTGGAATCCTGCGCCTGAAGCTTCTGGGCGTGTGGGGTGGTCTGGGGAGGAGAGGGTGAATTGCACAATGTCTGCTCGGAAGCTCGGGAAATTCCCAGGCTTAGGCTCTCCCCACAACCTGGCCTGTGGCCAGGGCTCTCACAATTCCCATCCCCAACATTACTGTCCCTAAACTGGGGCTTGAGGTCCTGACCCATGGCCAGGCTGGTAGTAGGAAGGGGACAGGGGGCCTCGGAGGCCTGTCTTCTTCCCTGCCTCTCAGTGTCCCTGGGGCTGAACAGTGCTTGCTAGGCACCACCCTCCCCTGGGGCCAGGAAGGAAGGGGTAGAGGGAGGCAGGAGGGCAGAGTGAGCGGGGGAGGGTCGACGGAGACAAATCACTGGAAAAGTGGGCAGAGTCAGTTGGGTCAGATTTCACAGCCTGGGGCTTCCACACGGGCCAGGCTTTGGTTAGAAGGAAAGGGACATACTGGAATCCAACAGGGTTGGGACTCTTGCTTGGGACAGAAGAACCTAACTTGACTGGTGAGGAGTTGGATGCTGGGGAGTGGGACAAGGACATACGAAAGGAGTTGGCGGTTTTAAATGTCAGACGGTGGGAGGCATTCCTTCTCTCCGGCACTTGCCATCGGAGCCCGGGCATCTGCTGACCTCACCCCCGGACAGGGACGGTCTTCCCAGCCCTGGCTCCTGCACTATCCCCCTGTCCAGCTTCCTGGTCTCCAGCCCATTCTGTGGCACTTTGCTCCAGATGTCCTCTCACGCCCTCCTTCCGTGGCCACCCTGGCCCGCCTCTCCGATCCTCCTTCCCCAGCTTATCCCAATTGTCCAGCCCCCCAAATCCCTCAGGCCCCCCAACTCAGTGGCTTCTCCAGTCCGTCTCCTCGATCCCTCTTCCCTTAGACCAAGCCCCTTCCTAACCGCCACGCCCACCCCCAGCTCCAGCCCCCGCCTCCCAGTCCCCTCTCCCAGCGCGCCCGCCTCCCGAGCCCGCACGCTTCGGAGCCCGGGCACTAACCCGATTCGGAAGAGCAGCCGCTGGCTGTGCGCCATGAGCAGACCGCGGAGGCCCCGCCGCGCTCGGCAGCCGCGGGGGCTCACAAGTAGGACGAGGACAAGGACGAGGAGGAGCCAGCAGCCGGCGACCCACTGCCACGCCGCGGGCCAGCCCTGCCAAGCCATGCTGGGGGCAGGCACGCGCCGGCCGGGCGGGGCTCGGCGTTGCTAGGCAACGGCCCGGCCCCGGCCCCCCGCGGGGAACCTGCCTGCCGGCTCTGGACGTGGGGGCGTTGTGGCCCCGCCCCGCCCATTGACCTCTCCTTTGGACCCGCCCCCTCACCACCTCCAGCCGGGCAAGCACCCCGAAGGCCACCCGGCTTGGGGGGCGGCCTGGCTCCGCCCGGCTGGCGGCCAGGAGGCGGGGCCACAGCGGGCCGCGAGCCTGCGCTGATCGGGGTCCACAGTCGCCTGAGCCCTGGGAAGGGGCAGGAGCTCGCAGTTCGCCCCGCCCGCCTCCCCGTCCAGGGCACTGCTACACTTTCTCAACTGGCAGAAACCTGAGAGATCATCGGGGTCAGCTGCCATTCATGGATTTATTCATTCGCCGAATTACTTTTCTAGCTCCTCCTATGTACTTGGCACTCTGCCAGGCTCTGAGGAGGATGCAAGGGTCAAAGGCACACTGTCTGCATTCCTGGAGCCCACAGTCCGGAATCTAGTGAGGCGACGAACCAAATAAGCGAGCAAACAAAATTATATCTGTTTATGCATACACATACATATGCGCGTGATAAATTGCGAAAGGAAGTCAAGGAGGGGGCAATGATATGGAGCACAGAGAGGGCCAACTTAGATGGGGGAGGGCCTCCCCAGCGGACGACATAAGTCCTGCCCTGAAGGATAGGAAGAGGCCACACAAGCTCTGGAGGAGCAACATGACCTAGGATATGTAGCCATGGGTGGCACAGAGGGGCCTAGGGCTGGGGCATTCCCACTCCCAAACCCAGGGCGATTTCCACATCACCGTTCCCAGCTCCCTCACTGCTGCCCTCCTGATGGATTCTAGAAGTTGTTAAGGTCCCTGGAATGGAAGCAGGTGTGAGGACAGGCGTGGTGGTGGTGAAATCTACAAATTTAGGCACAGGAGCCAGGGCTGGGCTTGTTTTGGCTCCAGCCCTAGCTCTGGCCCAGGACAGGAAGGGAAGGAAATGCTCTAAAGAGTCAAGCTCGGCCAGGCGCGGTGGCTCACGCCTGTAATCCCAGCACTTTGGGAGGCCGAGGGGGGCGGATCACGTGAGGTCGGGAGTTGGAGACCAGCTTGACCAACATGGAGAAACCACGTCTTTACTAAAAATACAAAATTAGCCAGGCATGGTGGCGCCTGCCTGTAATCCTAGCTACTCGGGAGGCTGAGACAGGAGAATCGCTTGAACCCAGGAGGCAGAAGTTGCGGTGAGTCGAGATCGTGCCATTGCACTCTAGAGCAAGACTCCGGCTCAAAAAAAAAAAAAAAAAAGAGTCAAGCTCGGCCGGGAGCGGTGGCTCACGCTTAATCCCAGCACTTTGGGAGGCTGAGGCCTGCGGATCGCTAGGTCAAGAGATCGAGACCATCCTGGCTAACACGGTGAAACCCCATCTCTACTAAAAATACAAAATTAGCCTGGCATGGTGGCATGCACATGTAGTCCCAGCTACTCGGGAGCCTGAGGCAAGAGAATCGCTTGAACCCGGGAGGTGGAGGTTGCAGTGAGCTGAGATTGTGCCACGGCACTCCAGCCTAGGTGACAGGGGTGAGACTCCGTCTCAAAAAAAAAAAAAAAAAAAAAAGTCAAGCTCACCTTTGCTGCTGCTGGGAGGTTCTGGGAGGGAGATGGGTGAGGGATATGTTAAATTATCTTCAAACTGAATTGTAATTCCAATACCTGAATCTGGGTTTAATCCAGAAAACCCAGACAGACCTGGAGTTTCTTCTATGTGGGTACATCTTGAGGGACAGAGCCTATGGCCTGCTCCCTCCCTGTCTCCTCGCCTGTAATTAGGTTGCTTCTCAGTGCCTGGCATATAAAGGGCTGGTACCGCAGAGGAGACAGAGGAGTGAGAAAACTGATAAGCCAATTTGCAGATGACCCTTGTAGGATGCAGGAGTTTGCATCTCCGTGTCTGTGTCTGTACATGCAAAGTGAAGGATCATGGAGGCATCATCAAAAGTCATTGTGCACACAACTTTCTGCAGGTAAGGCTGTGCCAGGTAAGGCTATATCAGGCATTCTATCAAGAAATTAAAATGCAGTCCTGTAATCTGAAACAGGAAATGCATGCTCAAGCATGAGCTTGTAGAGAACACAGAGATGACCAAATTCTAAATCTCAAGCCAGACAATTAACAAGATTATAGATAATAAATCCAAGATATGTTTGATGAAACATATGGAGTCAAGGCGGGACTGGGAAAAGGAGTGAGGGTGAGTGTTTTAGGGGAGTCATGCAGGCCCAGGGAGCCATAACCCCACCCTTAGACTGTTCTGGAAGACTTCTAATGTCTGCTGCAAGTGGGCTTTAGTTTCACTTCCTCTGCCATAAGAATTTTCTATCCCATCCAGGCTGATGCCTTATTATTACCCCTCTCCTGTACTTTATACCCTAGAATACTTAACTACTTAGGTATTGTCTCAAGCTATCATATTGTTTCACACCCCCATGCCTTTGCACATACTGTGCCTTCTGCGTGGAGTGCCATTTATTCTTTGTTCCCCAAAGACTCAAATTGGGTGTGATCTCTCCAAGAAAGCTCTTCTTGAACCCTCCCAGCAGGATCCTTCATGGGCTTAAGCATGTCCCCTTTTGTGCCAACTCTGGGTCTTATTCATACTTTTTTTTAAAAATAGAGACAGGGTCTCACTCTGTCACTCAGGCTGGAGTGCAGTGGCACAATCATAGCTCACTGCAGCCTCAAACTCCAGGGTTCAAGCAATCCTCCCGCTTCAGCCTCCTCGGTAGTTGGGACTCCAGGCATGAGCCACAGGCACTGGCCTGCATATTTTCAAATAGCTAGAAGAGCAGACTTTGAATGTTCCCAGCACAAAGAAATGATCAATGTTTGAGGTGATGGATATGCTAATTACCTTGATTTGATCATTACGCCTTGTATACATGTATCAAACTATCACACTGTGCCCCATAAATATGTACAATTATTGTGTGTCAATTAAAAATAGTAATAAAAGCAAAAAAGAGTAGGGCCAAGGATTTAATTTATTCATCTTCAACTCTCCAGTGTCTGGCATAGTGCCAGGTACATATTACATACTCACAAACGTTCTTTGAAATGTCAGACTCCTAACCGTATCCCACAAAGCCCCTGCTCAATAGGGCCCAGCCTGTCTCTTCAACCTCCTCAGATGCCTTTCCCTTGTCACCACGGACCAGCCACACTTCCTCAAATGTGCCACGCTCATTCCCACCTCAGGGCCTTTGCCTATGCTCTCTCCCCTTGGAACATTCCTTCCCCAGTTCTCTGAATTGGAGGCAGCTTCTTAGCTGTTGGGTGTCAGCTCAAACGCCAACCCCTCCATGTGGAAATAACCTGTATCTTGAGCTGAGTGCTGGCTACATGGCATATGCCAGTGGCTTTCAACAGTGGCGATTTCGCCTCCCAGAAGATATATGGCAATGTCTGGGGACATTTTTGATGGTCACAACTGTGTGGGGAGGAATGTTACTGACATTTAGTGGGTAGAGGCCAGGTATGCTGCTAAACATCCTATAATACACAAGACGGGGCCGAGCGCGATGGCTCACGCCTGTAATCCCAGTACTTTGGGAGGCTGAGGTGGGCAGATCACGAGGTCAGGAGTTTGAGACCAGCCTGACCAATACAGTGAAACCCTGTCTCTACTAAAGATACAAAAATCAGCCAGGTATGGTGGTGTGTGCCTGTAATCCCAGCTACTCAGGAGGCTGAGGCAGGAGAACTGCTTGAACCTAAGAGGCGGAGGTTGCAGTGAGCCGAGATCATGCCAGGGCACTCCAGCCTGGGCGATAAAGCAATACTCCATCTCAAAAAAAAAAAAAAAAAAAAAAGACAAACAAGAAAGACAGTCCCCAGGACAAATGGCCCCAATGTCTGCAGTACAGAGGTTGAGAGTCTGACATACGCAAATTGAAAAACTCACCAAGTTGTACATTAAAGATTTGTGCATGGCCAGGTGCAGTGGTTCACGCCTGTAATCCCAACACTTTGGGAGGCTGATGAGGGCGGATCACAAGGTCAGGAGTTCGAGACCAGCCTGGCCAACATAGTGAAACCCCGTCTCTACTAAAAATACAAAAGTTAGCCGGGTATGGTGGCACAAGCCTCTTGTCTCAGCTACTCGGGAGGCTGAGGCAGGAGAGTCACTTGAACCCAGGAGGCGGAGGTTACAGTGAACCGAGATCATACCATTGCACTCCAGCCTGGGCGACAGAGCAAGACTCTGTCTCAAAAAAAAAAAAAAAAAAAAAAGAAAAAAAAAAAGAAAAGATTTGTGCACTTTACTATATGTAAAGTATACATCAAATTAAAGAAAAAATGTTACTCCCTCTATGAGGCCTTTGCTCACCACCTCCTCACTCTCTACTCTATTACTAATATTACTGTGCTTACGTCCTTCACTTTCATAGCACTTTTCACAATGTGATGTTATTTTGTGGATCTTTTCTGTCACTCCCACTGGAATGTTAGCCCCATGAAGTCAGGGAGGGACCTGTGTTGGCACCACTGTATTCCCAGTGGTGTGAATAATACCTGGCCCAGAGCAGGTGTTCAGTTAAGTATCTGCTGAATGAATGAGTGAATGACAGAAACAAGGCATGAATGAATGACAATTTATGTTTTGCCACCAAGCACTGTGACTGTCCAGAGACTGGAGCCCTCTTGCTCTGACTAGTGGGCTCAGTGCCCACAGGAGAGCTGTACAGAAGCCAAACCCCACTCAGAAGGGTGGATCATGGAAGGGAGTCAGAACAAGCCTGGTGGCGGCAGGCGCTTCATAATATCAGAGGAAGCTGCAGGAGAACCATGGCTAAAGAACCCATGCACTCCAGGGCTTTGGCCGTGACTTCTCCCCTGAGCAGCTTGAGGCGCACTGCCAAGGCTAAAGTTTGCCTCTGCCACTCTCTTAGGAGAGACACCTTCATAACCCGAGTCGGGTGCCTGGCGATCATGCAGGTCTGGCCTGTGATGTGGGTTCCTGGGTTGGGGTGGGGGTTCTTGTGTCTCCTCCTTGTTCCACCTGTCATCCCAGGCTGCCTGTCCCTGGTGTCTGAATCTTGCCTTCCCTACTGGCCTGAGAGGTTCCCTTAGAATGGAGAGCCTGCCTCCATCTTTGCACCGTGGCTCACGCTTGATGACTGGTGCTTGGTTGGCATTCAGGAAATCACTGGTGGTGATGATGATGATGATGACAGTGACGATGGTGATGATGACGAAACAATCATGAAGGAGCTGAGATGGTTGGAGCTGTTTAAATGTTAGAGAAAAGAGACATCTTGTCAGACCTGGGTGGAGAAATTAGTTCAGTTTAGAAAAGTGAACCCAGTGCAGAAGTGGTGACTGGGATAATCTGGCCTCTGCTTAGCCCAGTCCATCCCCTCATCTGTTATCCCCAACCAAAGCTCACTTTCCCTCGTGGACCATTTTCTCATGAACTCCTGTCCGAGCCATTTTGCTGTACCCTGCAGAACCCTGGTTTGGTCTGAAACAAATCCTTCCCCAACGTCCTCTGCCTTCTCACAGAGCTCCCAGCCTGTCTGGACTGAATATGATCCCTGTCTTCTATTCCCTACCTTCTCTCTCACTGCCCTGCCTTCTGCAGTGGAAGCCTTTAGTCTCCTACATTGTCTCCAGGTTGGAAAGGAATGCACTAGCAATAGTCCAGGCCAAGGCCATTGCTCTTCCTGACTCATGTACAAACTTCTTTCCACCCCTCCTCATCAGTCCCATACACTGATCAGCCCAGACTCTCTAAGGATTTCAACACCTGTTTTTAGTCTTCCTGCCTGATTCCTGCCATCAGGTAATTCCAACAAGCATGGCTCATTCAACATCATAGCACAGCAGTTTTCAAGTGTTAGGGAGCCTAGGAACCACTCAGGGAGCTTGTAAAAATACGGAATTCTGGTCCGTCCCCCAGAGATTCAAACTTAGTAGGTTTGGCTGGGGCCCAAGAGTGTGCATTTCGCATAGGTGGTTCTGAACTCTGCCTTGACCTCAGTTCCTGACTTCAATTCCAATGCCTTCGACATAATTCAGCAGCTTGCTCACATGGCCACACCCTAGATTCACCTGGAACTTCTCTGCCTCTGAGAACCTAAATTCCAATGTCCTTTTCCCTGATCCCCTCCCATCCCCAGTACACATGGACCTCCAGTTCCAGCTCCTCAGGCAGTTTGTTTTCTTCCAGCCCTTCAGCCCCTCTTGCACCTATATTTGAACTTAGGCTCAATCCCTTGAACTACTTACCACCTGTTAGCTTCCTGATCCCCTGACCCCCTTGACCTCCAGCCTTAACCTACCAACCTTCAGACCTACCTGAACCAACCTGACAGTCTCCTACCTCACGGGCAGGGCTGAAGAAAACTGCTGTGTCATATGACTCAGGGCTGCGATGGTTCAGGCCATCCCAAGTCCCTGATACCAGTGCTTGGCAGTTCCGTTTTGCTGAGGCCCCATCTCATCTGCAGTTGTTATTCCAAACCTCAAGCCCCAACGTCATTTCCTTTACTTTCAACAAATATCCTTCTTAGAGAAAACAATTTCTGTGACTACCTACCCCTCTACATATTTTGCAATTTTCCTCAGCCTAAGAGCAAATTCCAGCATCTCCCTGCCTTAAAAACTTCCTGGCCGGGCACAGTGGCTCACGCCTGTAATCCCAGCACTTTGGGAGGCCAAGGCAGGCGGATTGCCTGAGCTCAGGAGTTCGAAACCAGCCTGGGCAACAAGGTGAAACCCTGTCTCTACTAAAAATACAAAAAATTAGCTGGATATGGTGGCGGGTGCCTGTAATCCCAGCTACTTGGGAAGCTGAGGCAGGATAATCACTTGAACCTGGGAGGTGGAGGTTGCAGTGAGCTGAGATCGTGCCACTGCACTCCAGCCTGGGTGACAGAGTGAGACTCTGTCTCAAAAAAAAAAAAAAAAAAAGAAAGAAAGAAAAAAATCTTCCCTTGACCTTGTGCCATTTTCTAGACTCCATTCTGCCTTTATCTCAACACAATCTAGTTTCCTGAAAGGCTGTCTCCAAAGGTGTGGTAGATGGCATTTCAGTTTCCAGTTATTCATCTCTCACTGTAAACATACCGTTCACCCTGTGACTGTGCATCACTTCAATGGAGGCGAGGTATATTTTCCCACGCCACTGATGTTGCTGGTCTAAGGGAGATGAAAGGCACATGGAGCCACCTGGATCCCACTCACAGCTTGGAAGTCAACCCAGCCCAGCAGAGCCCAAGCTAGATCAGCTAAAGCTCAGCCTGCCCACAGATGCATGAGCAAGATACATGCTTATGATTGTAGGCTTCTGAGTTTTGAACTGGCTTCTTATGCAGCATTACTGCAATAATAGTTAACAGTGACAGAGGGAAACAGAATATTAATGATGCTGGAAAGACATGATGGATGAGTGACTAGCTATTTACAAAAGAGCAATTTAGACTCGTGCCTCACAGAATCCACCAAAATAAATTCTACCCGAATTAAAGGGTTAAGGATATAAAATTAAACCACAGAAAATTAGAAGAAAATGAAAGACATGTTCAATCTGGATAGCAGAGGATTTTCTAAAGCTAAAAATAACAAATGCGTCATTCTAATTTTCCTTAATAGGCGTATGTTATTCTTAAAGGCATTTATTATTCCTATTATTCCTTAAAGGCATACATTATTCAGAAAAAAGCAACAGAAGATCTAACAAGGGAAATAATTACTGTTTTAGTTACTTTAAAATTTAAATCCTTGGCCGGGCGCCATGGCTCATGCCTGGAATCCCAGCACTTTGGGAGGCCGAGGCGGGTGGAGGCCGAGGTGGGTGGATGACGAGGTCAAAGAGATTGAGACCATCCTGGCCAACATGGTGAAACCCCGTCTCTACTAAAAATACAAAAATTAGCTGGGCGTGGTGGCGCGTGCCTGTAGTCCCAGCTACTTGGGAGGCTGGGGCAGGAGAATAGCTTGAACCTGGGAGGCAGAGGTCACAGTGAGCTGAGATCACGCCACTGCACTCCAGCCTGGTGACACAGCAAGACTGTCTCAAAAAAGAAAGAAAGAAGAAAGAAAGAAAGAAAGAAAGAAAGGAAGGAAGGAAGGAAGGAAGGAAGGAGAGAGAGAGAGAGAAAGAAAGGAAGGAAGGAAGGAAGAAAGAAAGAAAGAAAGAAAAAGAAAGAAAGAAAGAAAGAAAGAAAAAGAAAGAAAGAAAGAAAACCTCAGGCGGGCATAGTGGCTCATGCCTGGCATCCCAGCACTTCGGGAGACTGAAGCAGGTGGATCACTTGAGGCCAGGAGTTCAAGGCCAGCCTGTCCAAAGTGGTGAAACCAAGTCTCTGCTAAAAATACAAAAATTAGCAGGGCATGGTGGCAGGCGTCTGTAATCCTAGCTACTTGGGCACTGAGGCACAAGAAATCGCTTGAACCCAGGAGGTGGAGGTTCCAGTAAGCCGAGATCGCCCCATTGCACTCCAGCCTGGGCGACAGAGTGAGACTCTCTCAAAAAGAAAAAAAAAAACGAACTTAAATATACTTGATCTTAGCCAAAAGGCCAAGGAGTGATTACAGACCTTAAATAAATGTGAAAACACAATGACCTCAATTAATAAATTAATAAATGGCTAATAAATATGAAAAAATGTGAAAACTCAAAAGAATCAAGAAAATCCAAGTATAGCCAGGCATGGTGGCTAACTTGCACCCAAAGTACAAGTAATCCCAGCACTTTGGGAGGCCAAGGTGGGAGGATCGCTTGAGCCCAGGAGTTCCAGACCAGCCTGGGCAACAGAGGGAGACCTCATCTCTACAAAAAATTTAAAAAATCAGCCAGGCTTGGTGGTACACGCCTGTGCTTCCAGCTGCTCAGGAGGCTGAGGTAGGAGGATCTCTTGGGCCTGGGAGGTAAAGGCTGCAGTAAACTGTGATCATGTCACTGCACTCCAGCCTGGGAGACAGAGACTCTGTCTCAAAAAAAAAAAAAAAAAAAAAGCCAGGGCGCGGTGGCTCACGCCTGTAATCCCAGCAATTTGGGAGGCAGAGGCAGGCAGATCACCTGAGGCTGGGAGTTTGAGACCAGCCTGACCAACATGGAGAAACCCTGTCTCTACTAAAAATACAAAAAATTAGCCGGGTGTGGTGGCACATGCCTGTAATCCCAGCAACTCAGGAGGCTGAGGTAGAAGAATCGCTTGAACCTGGGAGGCGGAGGTTGTGGTGAGCTGAGATTGCGCCACTGCACTCCAGCCTCAAGAGCGAAACTCCAGCAACAAGAGTGAAACTCCGTCTCAAAAAAAAAAAAAAAAAAAAAGAAATAAAGAAAATGCAGTTAAACAACGAGATTTGATTTTCACTTAACCAAAATGCCAATATTAAAAACAAGAATAAAATCCTGAAGTTCTAAGAATATGGGAAGTTGAGTATTCATACATGGTTTGTAGGGACATCAAATTTGTATAATTTTCTGGAAAGCAATTACCAATATGCATCAAGGCCTTAAAAATGTTCATATCTGTTTACTTAGTAATTCTGTTTTAGGGATCAGCCCAAAAGATAAACTCTGAAATATATTAAAAATTTGAAGGCCCAGGGTTACTGGTAATGATGAAACTCTACAAACAACCTAGAGATCTTGCAACAAAAGTTAGGTTCTGTGGAACTCAGTGTTCCTTTTAAATGGTATTTAAATTAGAAATCAATGCAGTACGTGATCCTGAATTGGATCCTGGACTAGAAAAAAAGACACTGGGGAACAACTGTCAACATCAATAAAGACTATAGGTAGGTTATTAGAATTGTATCAAGGCTGGGCTCAGTGGCTCATGCCTGTACTCCCAGTACTTTGGGAGGCTGAGGCAGGTGGATCACCTGAGGTCAGGAGTTCCAGACCAGCCTGACCAATATGGTGAAACCAGATCTCTACTAAAAATACAAAAATTAGCCGGGCATGATGGTGTACACCTGTAGTCCCAGCTACTCAGGAGGCTGAGACAGGAGGATTGCTTGAACCTGGGAGATGGAGGCTGCAGTGAGCCAAGATCACGCCACTGCACTCCAGCCTGCAACCTGGGCGACAGAGTGAGACTGTCTCCAAAAAAAAAAAAATTGTATAAAGATTAATTTCCTGGTAGTTAAATAATATGTGAACATTTTTATCAAGGTTAATTTCCTGGTAGTTAATATTTGGGGAAGCTAGGGCCAGGTATGAGATCTCCTTATACATTTTCACAAATATTTTGTAAATCTGTAATTACCTAAAAAAAAAAAAGTTAAAAAAATAGAACACATACGAAGAGAATAATGCTCATACATTGATAGAGGGTTTTTTTGTTTGTTTTTTTTAAGGTGGAGTCTCACTCTGTCACCCGGGCTGGAGTGCAGTGGTAAGTTCTAGGCTCACTACAACTTCTGCTTCCCGGGTTCAAGAGATTCTTGTGCCTCAGCCTCCCAAGTAGCTGGGACTACAGGTGCACACCCCCACACCCAACTAATTTTTGTAATTTTAGTAGGGATGGGATTTCACCATGTTGGCAAGGCTGGTCTCGAACTTCTGAGCTCAGGGGATCCACCTACCTTGGCCTCCCAGAGTGCTGGGATTACAGGCATGAGCCATCCCTCCCGGCCCAGGTTTTCTTTTTTTTTTTTTTTTAAACAACATGGGTGTGGCAGATCCTGTTGGTCAATATCCATTCTTCACCCCTCCCTTTTTTCCTTGTTAACCCCTATTTTGCCCACTCTCCTCTGAATAGCCATAGCCTTCAAGTGAGTCCCTCCTCAGCCCTGATGGGTGGATCTTGCTTGGTCCAAGCCACACATTGCCAGCCAAGCTATTGGTTAGACCCAGGAATGTAATGTAATTCTTGCTATCAGATAGTAATAGCAAATATTTATATAGTACAAATCACAGGCAAGGCACTGTTCTAAGTGCTTTACATAGATTAACCCTCAGCTCTCACAACAAATGCAATTATATTTGCCTTTACATGTGGGGAAAAGAAAGAGAGATCAGATTGTTACTGTGTCTATGTAGAAAAGGAAGACAGAAGAAATTCCATTTTGATCTGTACTAAGAAAAATTGTTTCTGCTTTGAGACGCTGTTAACCTGTAACTTTAGCCCCAACCCTGTGCTCACAGAAACATGTGCTGTAATGAATCAAAGTTTAATGGACTTAGGGCTGTGCAGGATGTGCCTTGTTAACAATATGTTTGCAGGCAGTATGCTTGGTAAAAGTCATCGCCATTCTCCATTCTCGATTACCCAGGGACACAATGCACTGCGGAAAGCCGCAGGGACCGACCTCTGCCCAAGAAAGCTTGGGTATTGTCTAAGGTTTCCCCCAACTGAGACAGCCTGAGATATGGCCTCATGGGAAATGAAAGACCTTACCATAAGGCCTGACACCCATAAAGGGTCTGTGCTGAGGAGTAGTGAAAGAGGGAGGCCCCTTTGCAGTTGAGATAAGAGGAAGGCTTCTGTCTCCTGCTCTTCCCTGGGAATGGAATGTCTCGGTGTAAAGCTGACCATTCCCATTTGTTCTATTCTGAGATAGGAGAAAACCGTCCTATGGCTGGAGGCGAGATATGCTGGCAGCAATACTGCTCTGTCGCTCTTTGCTACACTGAGATGTTTGGGTAAAGAGAAACATAAATCTAGCCTACGTGCACATCCAGGCACAGTACCTTTCCTTGAACTTATTCATGATACAGATTCCTTTGCTCACATGTTTCCCTGCTGACCTTCTCCCCACCTGTTGCCCTGCTACACTCCCCTCGCTAAGATAGTAAAATAAACACTGAGGGAACTCAGAGGCCGGCACCGGTGCGGGTCCTCTGTATGCTGAGCGCCGGTCCCTTGGACCCACAGTTCTTTCTCTATACTTTGTCTCTGTGTCTTATTTCTTTCTCAGTCTCTCGTCCCACCTGATGAGAAATATCCACAGGTGCGTAGGGGCTGGCCCCCTTCAATTACACAGATAGGAACCCTGAGGTACTGAGATCAGATCAATGGCTCCAGGTCACACAGCTGATTAGATGGGGAGGCAAATAGGCTGAAGGCCTTCTAGGAAGGTTCTGCTTGTTCTTAAAAAGGGATGTACAATCATGTGTTACTTAAGGACAGGAATACATTCTGAGAGATGTGTCAGGTGATTTTGTAGTTGTGCAAACATCATAGTGTGTACTTACACAAACCTAGGTTGATTGGTATAGCCTATTTCTCCTAGGCCACAAACCTGCACGGCATGTTACTGTACTGAATGCTGTAGGCAATTACAACACAATAGCAAATATTGTGTATCTAAACCTAGAAAAGGTGCTGTAACATGGGGCGCATGGTAGCTCACGCCTGTAATCCCAGCACTTTTGGAAGCCGAGGCGGGCAGATCACCTGAGGTCAGGAATTGGAGACCAGCCTGACCAACATGGTGAAACCCCATCTCTACTAAAAATATAAAAATTAGGCAGGTGTGGTGGCACGCACCTGTAACCCCAGGTACTTAGGAGGCTGAGGCAGGAGAATCGCTTGAACCTGGGAGGCGGAGGTTGCAGTGAGCCGAGATGGCGCCACTGTACTCCAGCCCGGGTGACAGGGGGAGACTCCACCTCAAAAAAAAAAAAAAAAAGCAATAAAGCAATAATCTCATGGGACCATTGTTATACATGTGGTCCTTCGCTATTAAAACATTGTTATGTAGGCCGGGCGCAGTGGCTCACGCCTATAATCCCAGCACTTTGAGAGGTCGAGGTGGGGGGATAACAAGGTCAGGAGTTCGAGACCAGCCTGGCCAATATGGTGAAACCCCATCTCTACTAAAAATAAAAAAAATTAGCCAGGCATGGTGGCGGGTGCCTGTAATCCCAGCTACTTGGGAGGCTGAGGCAGGAGAATTGCTTGAATCCGGGAGGCGGAGGTTGCAGTGAGCCATGATTGCACCACTGCACTCCAGCTTGGGTGACAGAGTGAGATTCCGTCTCAAAAAAACAAAACAAAACAAAAACAAAAAACATTGTCATGTGGCACTTGACTGTAACAGGGCTATTTTCTTGCTTCAAGATGCCATCACCTGCCTGGGATGCTGGAACCACAGACGCCATCTTGGACTGTTGGGGAGCAGTTTGTTTAGGAGGAAATGCCAGCACCCGAGGATGGCAGAGCAGAAGTGATGGAGACCTCACCGACTGCCTGAATTAACCAATCCTGGAATTACACGCTGCTCTGGGCTTCTTGTTGCTTATAATGTAAGCCACTTTCAGTTGGGTTTTCTTTTCTTTTTTTTTTTTTTAGACGTAATCTCGCTCTGTCGCCAGGCTGGAGTGCAATGTCGCGATCTCGGCTCACCGCAGCCTCCGCCTCCCAGGTTCAAGCGATTCTCCTCCCCCAGCCTCCTGAGTAGCTGGGATTACAGGTGTGCACCACCACGCTCGGCTAATTTTTTTTGTATTTTTAGTAGAGATGGGGTCTCACCATGTTGGCCAGGCTGATCTCAAACTCCTGACGTCAAATGATCCTCCCACCTCGGCCTCCCAAAGTGCTGGGATTAGAGGCTGAGCCACTGTGCCTGGCCTCAGTTGGGTTTTCTGACACCTGCAGCCAAGAGCATCCAAACTAGTACTTTGGGTAAATTTTATATTTTCCCATAAACTGGAGGCTGGGTGTGGTGGCCATGCCTGTAACTCTGGGAGGCCAAGGGGGCAGATCACTTGAGGTCAGGAGTTCCAGACCAACCTGGCCAACATAGCAAAACCCCATTTCTTTTTTCTTTCTCCTTTTCTTTCCTTTTTTTTTTTTTTTTTTTTTTGAGGCGGAGTCTCTCTGTTGCCCAGGCTGGAGTGCAGTGACACAATCTTGGCTCACTGCAACCTCTGGCTCCTGGGTTCAAGCAATTCTCCTGCCTCAGCCTCTCTAGTAGCTGGGACTACAGGCATGCACCACCACGCCCGGCTAATTTTTTTGTATTTTTAATAAAAACAGGTTTCATCATGTTGGCCAGGCTGGTCTTGGCCACCACACCCGGCTGTGAAACCCCATTTCTACGAAAAATATGACAATTAGCTGAACGTGGTAGTGGGTGCCTGTAGTCCCAGCTACTTGGGAGGCCGTGGTGGGAGGATCTCTTATTTTATTTTATTTTTATTTAAATAGAGACAGGGTCTCACTATGTTGCCCAGGCTGATCTTGAATGATCTCTTGATCCTGGAGGTCAAGATTGCAGTGAGACATGACTGCGCCACTGTACTCTGTCTCAGAAAGAGGAAGGAAGGAAGGAAGGAGAAAGAGAGAAAGAGAGAGAGAAAGAGAGAAAAAGAGAAAGGAAGGAAAGAAGTGGAGGAGGCTGGGCACGGTGGCTCACTCCTGTAATCCCAGCACTTTGGGAGGTTGAGGCAGGCAGATCCCCTCAGGTCAGGAGTTTGAGACCAGCCTGGCCAACATGGTGAAACCCTGTCTACTAAAAATACAAAAATTAGCTGAGGGGTGGTGGCAGCTCCTGTAATCCCAGCTACTCAGGTGGCTGAGGCAGGAGAATCGCTTGAACCCGGGAGGTGGAGGTTGCGGTGAGCCGAGATTATGCTATTGCACTCCAGCCTGGGTGATAGAGCAATACTCGTCTAAAAAAAAAAAAGAAAGAAAGAAAGTAGTGGAGAAAAAAATAGGACACAAAACTGGGTAAATTTTGAATAACTGATACGATTGTACCTCTGTAAACAAAAATGGATTAAAAAAAATCTAAGGCTGGGCACGGTGGCTCGTGCCTGTAATCCCAGCACTTTGGGAGGCTGAGGCGGGCAGATCACAAGCTTAGGAGTTTGAGAACAGCCTGGCCAATATGGTGAAACCCCGTCTCTACTAAAAATACAAAAATTAGTTGGGTGTAGTGGCGGGTGCCTGAATCATCCCAGCTACTCAGGAGGCTGAGGCAGGAAAACCACTTGAATCTGAGAGGCAGAGGTTACAGTGAGCCGAGATGGCACCACTGCACATCTGAGTGATGTGCAGTGAGACTCTGTCTCAAAAAAAAAAAAAAAAAATCTAAAATGCTTCCAGTCATAATCTTTGGTTGATTGACTCATGGGGTACCATTTGTTTATTATTTTTTTGTGCTTTTAAAATATTTTCTGATCTTCTATAATGAAAACATATTAGTATTTTAATTTTTAAAATTATTATTTTATTAAAACAAAGAAAGTAGTCCTCTCTGCTGTCTCTACCTTTCACTTCACGTCCATTCTCAGGCCACTCAACTGGGCCCCTGCCTGTACTGCTCCATCCTAATTTGGCGCTGTCCCCTTGAAGGTCAAACCCATTTGTCATTGTTCAGCCCTTATCACTGAACCTCTGGGTGGCAGCTATGACAATGGAGCATGCCTTTTTCCTCTGCCTTCCCTGCCACAGTCTCTCTGGCTCTCCTCTCCCCTCTCTGACAAGCTCCCCTTCTGCTAGCTCTAAATTCACCACTTACAGGCTACCACCTGTATACTCATTACTTCAAAGGAGAAATGTCCACAAGAGCCTCCCTTGGATGCCCCACGGTAGGGGTCCCCAACCGCTTCCCTCCAACCCTATACTGGTCCTTGGTCTGTTAGGAGCCAGGCCACACAGCAGGACAGGCAAAGCTTTACCTGTATTTACAGCTGCTCCACATTGCTTGCATTACCCTCTGAGCTCCACCTCCTGTCAGATCAGCAGCAGCATTAGATTCTCATAGGAGCTCGCACCCTATTGTGAACTGCGCATGTGAGGGATGTAGGTTACATGCTCCTTATGAGAATCTAATGCCTGATGATCTGTCACTGTCTCCCATCAATCCCAGATGGGACCATCCAGCTGCTGGAAAACAAGCTCAGGGTTCCCATTGATTGTACCTTATGGTGAGTTGTATGATTATTTTATTATATATTACAATGTAATAATAATAGAAATCTAGTGCACAATAAATGTAATGCGCTTGAATCATCCCGAACCCCCCTAACCCCATTGCCTCCCCCAGTCCCTGGAAAAACTGCCTTCCATGAAACTGGTCCCTGGTGCCAAAAATGCTGGGGACTGCTGCCACACGGGATCTTTAACTTGATTTGTCCAAAGCTACCTCCTCATCCTCATGTGACCCCAACCCTCTCCTTCAGGTCTGCCAACTTGGCCAACGGCATCATCTGTGTTTCCAGATGATTTTGCCCAACTGTAAACGAATGTCATTGTTTTGTGCATGTTTAAGGCAGGCTAGGCTAGGCTATGATGTTTGGTAGGTTTAGGTGTATTTAATGCATTTTCCACTTAGGATATTTTCAATTTAGGATGAGTTTATTGGGATGTAACCACTCTATAAGTTAGGAAGCATCTGTGTTTGTCAGATGACCAAACAAACCAATCCCGACACCTAGCTCCTGGGTGAGGGCATCTCTTAGGCCTAGGTAATGACTTGCACACTTCATTGCACACATGTCTCTGTGATGGTCCTTAGGCTGTGCAGTAATTCCTGGCGCTGCCCCATAACACTTCAAGTGCCTTGTGGGTAAGGAGGGTGAACTGTCGGGGAGGGAGTGGAATCGGGTTTGGGGGTTGTGTGCTAGACTTGGAATGACCAGCTTAGAACCCTGGCTCCACTAGGAACTCTGCACCTTGGGGCAATGTTCTTAATCTACTCAAACCTCATTCTCTTTCTCTCCACGAGGGACTGGTAATTTGCATGGAGCTACTCGGAGGATTAACCGTGATTACCCAGAGAAAGGACACCTTGCCTGGGCCGTTTCAAGTACTCCACACATGTTCCTTGATATTATTGATCTCATTCTTGCAACATCAGCATCTGTCCTGGTGGGTGCTCAAGTAAATATTTTATGACTGAAATGATAAGAGGGTGTGACCTTTGCCTCCATTTCCCATTGCATCATCCCAAATCAGGCCCTTGGGTCCTCATGCCTGGCCCATTGCAGGCACCTGCAGCCCCTAGCCATCAGTTTCAAGCAGGGGCTCCCCCTGCTCAAAGCCAGTGTCTACACAATCAAATTTGCATCCCTTGTTTTAGCGACATGGTCTCAGCCCAGTTCTCTAGTGTGTGGCGTTCCTGCTGCTCCCCTCCACATGTGTCCCGTCTGCCAGCCTGCCCTGATCACTATCCTAGATTTCTGCCCCATGCCACCTGGAGAAATCCTTTTAGGCAGCTTCCTCAAGATACCAGGTACCTTCCAGCCCTACCATGCCCCCGGGGATGTGATACCCTTCCAGGAGTAACCATAACTAATGAAGGTCCAATTCTCAATCTAGGGAGTCTGGCAGCTCTCAACAGAGGAGGGAGGAGAATGAGTTCAGTTCTCAAGGAGGCTGATAATGCCTTTCCTTTTAGTCCAGTTTCTTTAAGGCTAAAAATAAATTCAACCTCCTCTTCGAAGGCTTTTCTGATTACCACAATTATTTGCACTGCCTGGTCACTACTCTAACTCCAGACCCTGGAAAAAATGTCATCTCACAGCCAAACAGAAACGAATGGTTTGGCTATGGTGGGGGCGGAAGGGGGCACACCCAGAGGAGCCATAGCCTTTTCTTTACAAGACTCTGACCTCTGGGCTGGGGGTGGTGGCTCATGCATGTAATCCCAGCACTTTGGAAGGCCAAGGCGGGATGATGGATCGGAAAATTGTCTAGAAATTCAAGACCAGCCTGGGCAACACAGTGAGACCCCACCTCTACAAAAAATTAAAAAAAAAAATAGCCAGACATGGCATGCACCTGTGGTCCCAGTTACTTGAGTGGCTGAGGCAAGACGATTGCTTGAGGTCAGAGGTTGATGCTGCAGTGAACTATGATTTTGCCACTGCACTCCAGCCTGAGTGACAGAGTAAGACCCTGTCTCAGAAACAAACAAACATACAAACTAACAGGCAAAAACAAGACTGAGCTCTCCCTGTAGGCAAAAAATGGCGGCCTCCACTTGTTTGTCTCTCCCTCATCCCCAGCACCTTGCACTGGGCTTGATGCATGCAGTGTGATAAATGTTTGTTCTGTTGTGTGGGAAGGAAGAACAGAACAACCGAGTGTAGACTGTCTACTGAGCACAAGGCCTGCGCACAGCCCTTGCACGTGGGATTTCATTGTCACGACTCTATAAGGAAGGTGATGGTCGCCCCACTTTATTTATTTATTTATTTTTGAGATGGAGTCTTGCTCTGTCACCCAGGCTGGAGTGCAGTGGCGCGATCTCAGCTCACTGCAACCTCTACCTCCCAGGTTCAAGTGATTCTCCTGCCTTAGCCTCCCGAGTAGCTGGGACTACAGGTGCCCGCCACCACGCCTGGCTAATTTTTGTGTTTCACCAAGATGGGGTTTCACCATGTTGGCCAGGCTGGTCTCGAACTCCTGACCTCAAGTGATCCACCCACCTCAGCCTCCCAAAGTGCTGGGATTACAGGCATGAGCCACTGTGCCCGGCCAGTCGCCCCACTTTAGAGATGAACAAACGAAGGCTTGGAGAGAATAATGACTCATACCATCACAGGCGACAAAACCCAAATTCAATTATGGTTTTATTTGACCCCCAATTCCATGCTCTTTCCACTGATCCTCTGTAACCAGCCTGGGTAGAAAACATGTGTCAGTGTCTGCTGGGAAACAGATGACACAGGCAAACTGGGAAAGCTGAGGAGAGCTTGAGAGAAGTTAAGTTTTAGTGCTCTGCAAGGCTACCGGCAGGTGCTGGAAACAGTTCTCCAGGCTAGTGACACTGTCGCCACCCCTGGGCCTGAAGGGTCAGGAAGGGAGCTGTTATAAAACATAAAGACAGGTTGGGTGCGGTGGCTCATGCCTGTAATCCCAGCACTTTGGGAGGCCGAGGCGGGTGGATGACCTGAGGTTAGGAGTTCCAGACCAGCCTGGTCAACATGGTGAAACCCTGTCTCTACTAAAAATACAAAAAATCAGGCATGGTGGCAGGCATCTGTAATCCCAGCTACTTGGGAGGCTGAGGCAGGAGAATCGCTTGAACTGGGAGGTTGCAGTGAGCTGAGACCACGCCACTGCACTCCAGCCTGGGCAACAAGAGCGAAACTCTGTCTCAAAAACAAAAAACAAAGACAGAGCTGTGTGGACAGGCCCAACTGATAGGGGCTGTGACCACTGGTTGAGGGATAAGCCAGTCTGGGGTGAGCCTTGAGGGAGGGAGAAGGAGACAAACCCTCCACCTCTGCTGCCATCTCCTCCTGGAGAGCTCCACTGCCAAACTCAGCTGCAGCTGGAGGACCAAGAGCCCACTGAGGTGTCCATAGGACCAGCTCCAAGCAGGGTGGAGAAGACGGAGGGGGATGTGGAGAGCAAACGGAAACCAGCCAAATGAAACCAAAGAAGTGCGGGTCTGGCCGGGCGTGGTGGCTCACACCTGTAATCCCAGCACTTTGGGAGGCTGAGGCAGGTGGATCATGAGGTCAGGAGTTCAAGACTAGCCTGGCCAAGATGGTGAAACCCCATCTCTACTAAAAATACAAAAATTAGCTGGGCATGGTGGTGGGCACCTGTAATCCCAGCTACTCAGGAGGCTGAGGCAGAGAATCGCTTGAACCCAGGAGGCAGAGGTTGCAGTGAGCCGAGATCATGCCACTGCATTCCAGCCTGGGCAACAGAGCAAGACTCTGCTCAAAAAAAAAAAAAAAAAAAAAGAAGTGCAGGTCTGGGATGGGGGTCGTGGGGTATTGACACCTCAGGGTGGGGGCTGGTGCCACCACCTTTCATCTTGTAGCCAAGGTGGCTCCTCAAGGCCTTCCTGCTCTCGGGCTCCATTCCCTCAACCCATTCACCGCTCAGAGCCAGGGTGATTCTCCTAAAATACCACCCAGATCATGTCCCATGTCCCAGCCCTGCTCAAAATCACTCAATGGCTTCCTTTGTAAACCAAAAATAAAATTCAATGCCCCCTCACCTCAGCCATCTGAATGGACTCCCTCCTCTGCCAGGGCATTCCAAAGTTAACCTGAAAGACTGGTTCAGGGCTGGGCTGGTGGCTCACACCTGTAATCCCAAGGATTACACTTTTGGGAGGCCAAGGTGGGCAGATCACTGAGGCCAGGAGTTCAAGACCATCCTGGCCAACATGGTGAAAACCTGTCTCTACTAAAAATACAAACAAATTAGCTGGGCATGGTGGTGGGCACCTGTAATCCCAGCTACTTGGGAGGCTGAGGCAGAAGAATCACTTGAACCTGGCAGGCAGAAGTTGCAGTGAGCTAAGATGGCACAACTGCACTCCAGCCTGGGGAACAGAGTGAGACTCCATAAAACAAACAAACAAACAAACGAACAAACAGAAAAAAAACCTCCAGGCCTTTAGGTAACTCTTTTAATCAATTGCCAATCAGAAAATTTTTAAATCTACCTATAACCTGGAAGCTCCCTTCAACACACACATACATTCTGCGCCCCTGTCCCCCCGCCCTGACTACCTTGGGCCACGTGTTCTCAGGGTCTCCTGAGGGCTGTGTCAAGGGCCATAGTCGCTCATATTTGGTTCAGAATAAATTTCTTCAAATATTTTACAGAGTTTGAATGTTTTCATTGATATCTTTAGGCTGAAATTTGAAGTCCTTAAAGAGGCCCTGAGACTCTGTAGACCTGGCCCCTGCCACCTCCCCAGTCTCCTCTTGGGCCATGCCCCAGTGCCCACCACTCTCCAGCCACACCACTCTCCTGGAAGTTTCTGGAACATGCCAAGCTCTTTCAGCTTCAGGGGTGTCTCCACACCTTCACATAGCTTGATCCTTCTGCTTAGAAGGGTCACAGCACCATTGTCCACCACCCCCCACGGCCCATCCCCTCTGTAGCTACTCTTTCATGCCACCTTCTGCCAACATAAGAGGTGCCTGGGTGCCACTCTTTTGTTTTTGTTTTTTGAGATGCAGTCTCACTCTGTTGCTCAGGCTGGAGTGCAGTGGCGCTATCTCAGCTCACTGCAACCTCTGCCTCCTGGGTTCAAGTGATTCTCCTGCCTCAGCCTCCCGAGTAGCTGGGACTACATGTGCGCACCACCATGCCTGGCTAATTTTTTGTATTTTTAGTAGAGACAGGTTTCACCGTGTTAGCCAGGATGGTCTCGATCTCCTGACCTGGTGATCTGCCTGCCTCGGCCTCCCAAAGTGCTGGGATTACAGGCGTGAGCCACAGCTCCCTGCCTTGGGTGCCACTCTTTTAGGGCACTGAGTCAGCTTTCCTTAAGTGCATGTATTACAGTTTGTAAAGATACCTTTGCTTATGAGATGAGTTGCTAATATCTGTCCTGCCTTCCCTACTGGACTGTAAACTCCAAGAAAGCGGGGGCTGTATTTTATTTACTTCTGTATCCCCACAGGTCTGGCACACAGTTGGCCCCTCATAAATGCTTGTTAAATAAATCTTAATGGTATTGGGGTTGAGTCCTGGCCCCTTTCTTTTCTCCCGTTTTTGTTTGTTTGTTTGAGACAGATGGTAGCTCAGGCTGTTGCCCAGGCTGGAGTGGCATAATCACAGCTCACTGCAGCCCTGACCCTCCTGGGGTCAAGCCAACCTCCCACCTCATCCTTCCAAGTAGCTGGGACTACAGGCACGCACAACCATGCCCAGCTAATGTTTTAATTTTTTTAAAGAGATGGGTCTCACTATGTTGCACAGGCTGGTTTCGAACTCCTGGGCTCAAGCCATGCTTCTGCCTGGGCCTGGCTAAAATGCAGAATTACAGGTGTGAGCCATTGCGTCGGCCAAGGCTCCCTTTTTCTAGCCAAACAGTGCTAGTCAGACTCTGCCCCCTAGTGGTCATGTCTGGGAACTGATTGTGGCTTGTTCCAACCGCTTCCTAGATGTCAGTTTTTGACTTGTTAAAAGTAAATGGAACGCAGCAGAAAGTACTGAGTGCAGGCCCTGGGCTAGGCATCTGGCCAAGATGAATTACGATCTAGACCCTGACCCCCAGAATTCCCCCTTAAGTCAATGACCAGCGCTATAGATCTGTGCTGTTTCATATGGTAGCCACTAGCCACTTGCCACTGAGCACATAAAATGTGGTTAGTGCAACTATAAAACTGAATTTTTAATTTTATGTAATTTTAATTCATTTAAACTTAAATCTAAACATTGGCTGCTCTGTCTATGGAGTAGCCATTCTTTATTCCTCTACTTTCTTAATAAACTTGCTTTCATTTTACTCTAAAAATAAAACAATAATAAAATAAACCTTGATGCTTATTTCAGTTATTGGAAAACACTCAAGTATGTACATTTTACAAACACTTTTCAGATTTGATCTAAATACAGATCCTATATTTCTGATGAAAAAGTAACATCCTAATTGAGATATGCTGTGTCAAATACATACCAGATTTTGAAGACTTAGTATTTAAAAATCCCATTAAAAATTCACCTATGGCCAGGCGTGGTGGTGCATGCCTGTAATCCCAGCACTTTGGGAGGCAGAGGTGGGTGGATCACTTGAGGTCAGGAGTTCGAGACCAGCCTGACCAACATGGTGAAAACACATCTCTACTAAAAATACAAAATTGGCTGGGCGTGGTGGGGCATGCCTGTAATCCCAGCTACCTGGGAGGCTGAGGCAGGAGAATCTCTTGAACCCAGGAGACGGAGGTTGCAGTGAGCTGAGATCGCACCACTGCACTCCAGCCTGGGCAACAGAGCGAGACTCCATCTCAAAAAAAAAAAAGAAAAGAAAAGAAAAGAAAAAAATGTAGACTCTCAACCTACTGAAGCAGAATCTGCATTTTAACATGAACCCCAAGCGATCTATTTGCACATTAAAGTTTGAGAAGCAGTCACCTATTAGACATCCAAGTGGTGATATAGGCAGCAATTCTCTGATTGCTTGCTCAGAGACATAGGAAGCAAAGTCGAGGCTGAGAGTGAGGCTGCAGAGGAGGTGTGGGAGTTCAGAAGGGACTGTAGAAAGTGTGGAGTAATTGCCTAGGATGGGTGTGTTAGTATGAATGGACAAGTTAGTGTGCATGAACTTAAAGCGAGATCAGTCAGGACCGTTGCATGTTTTTACCCTCACTTTTGGCTATGTGGGTGCAGAGTTGAGATTTTGCTGCTGAGAACCATAAGGTAGAGTTGAGGCTGCATGCAAAGGAGTAATTATAATATTGGAATCCAAGCTGGTCAAGGAGGAAAGTGAGGATGTGAGAGATAAGAAAGAGGTGGTGGTCAGGCGCGGTGGCTCACTCCAGTAATCCCAGCACATTGGGAGGCTGAGGCAGGTGGATCACTTGAGCCCAGGAGTTTGAGACCAGCCTAGGCAACATATGGAGACCCCATCTTTACAAAAAATTACAAAAATTAGCCGGGCGCGGTGGCTCACGCCTGTAATCCCAGCACTTTGGGAGGCTGAGGCGGGCGGATCACCTGAGGTCAGGAGTTCGAGACCAGCCTGACCAACATGGAGAAACCCCATCTCTACTAAAAATACAAAATTAGCCTGGCGTGGTGGTACGTGCCTGTAATCCCAGCTACTTGGGAGGCTGAGGCAGGAGAATCACTTGAAACTGGGAGGTGGAGGTTGTAGTGAGCTGAGATCATGGCACCATTGCACTCCAGACTGGGCAACAAGAGCAAAACTCTGTCTCAAAAAAAAAAAAAAATTACAAAAATTAGCCAGGTGCAGTGGTGTGTGCCTGTGGTCCCAGCTACTTGGGAGGCTGAGGTGGGAGGATGGCTTGAGCCCAGGGGGCTGAGGCTGCAGAGAGCCATGACTGCTTCGCTGCACTCCAGCCTGGGTGAGAGCGAAACCCTGTCTCAAAAATAAATGAATAAACAAATAGGTCGGGTGCGGTGGCTCACGCCTGTAATCCCAGCACTCTGGGAGGCTGAGGCAGGTGGATCACCTGAGGTCAGGAGTTCGAGACCAGCCTGGCCAACGTGGTGAAACCTCATCTCTACTAAAAATACAAAAATTAGCTGGGCCTGGTGGCGGGTGCCTGTAATCCTAGCTACTCAGGAGACTGAGGCAGGAGAATCGTTTAAACCTCGGACGCGGAGGTTGCAGTGAGCCAAGATCGCGCCATTGCACTGCCATTGCACTCTAGGCTGGGTGACAAAAGCGAAACTCAGTCTCAAAATAAATAAATAAAATAAAATAAAATAAATAAATAAAATAAAGGAACAGGTGGTAAGATGAATAGATTGTTGATCCTGATATGGTCACAGAATTGTCAAATCACGGTCACAGAGCTGGAAAAATAGATGGTGGTCAGAGTGTGGGGTGCCTGAAATTGAGATTATGGAGGGGGTGCAGTTATTGGTAAGGAGAGGTTCTCAGGCAGCTAATATCGTGGGTTGGGAATAAGAGGAAATCGCTGTTGGCTTTTCTTGGGGAGTAGAGTTGTTTAGACAAAAGCAAGTATCTATGAGGAGGAGCTTCCTAGGTGGGGGGCAAGAGAGTGGGAGAATGAAGCCCAAGATGGACGAGGAGAGGGGCTTGAAAGCTGAGAATCCCCCGGTATTCTGGCTGGCAGAGGTGGCAGAGGTCCATGGCGAGAGGGCAGGGTGTAAGGGCACAGCTGGAGCCTGGCCCTGCTGAGCTCCCAGCTCGGGCAAGTTCATCCCTCCAGGCCCTGCTTAGTGTGAAAGGAGGTTGTGTTCATCACTGGGAGAATCACTGGGCTTCTATCTCACAAACAACAATAACAATGAACATTTTAACTCTGCCCCAAGCATTTGACAACTGCTATTTTTCATTCTTACAACTACCCTATATTATTACCACCCTTTTTATAGATAAGGTGCCAAGGCTCACAGCAGTTAAGTAATATGCCTAAGGTCACAAAGCCACCAAAGACATTTGAACTTGGATTCAAACCCAGGACTGTCTATCACCAAAGCTTGCTGGTGTGGCTGGCGATTCACCTGGGGAGCGTTTGTTTATGCTTCCACTGAAGATTCTGATTCACAGGTCTGGAAAGAAGTATCCCCAAGGGAACGTGCATGTTTTCACAAGCAGCTCAGGTGACTCTGAGGGTCAGGGAAGAATGGAAAGCATTTCGCTGGCCCTGCCTGCAGCATGGTGGATGCCAGGCTGGTTCCGTGGCCTGGCTTCCTCATGGTGCCACCCACTTCCAGTTACAGCAGTTTCAGTCACCATCAACATCCGCCATGTGCCTTTCTCACTGCCTTTCACCTAGATGACCTCAACTGAGGAAGGCGCCAGAAGTCACAGGAGGTAGAGAAATGCAGTATGATTTCTCTCTCTCTTTTTTTTTTTTTTTGAGATGGAGTCTCCCTCTGTTGCCCAGGCTGGAGTGCAGTGGCGTGATCTCGGCTCACTGCAAGCTCCGCCTCCCGGGTTCATGCCATTCTCCTGCCTCAGCCTCCTGAGTAGCTGGGACCACAGGCGCCTGCCATCACGTCCAGCTAATTTTTCTATTTTTAGTAGAGACGGGGTTTCACTATGTTAGCCAGGATGGTCTCGATCTCCTGACCTTGTGATCTGCCCGCCTCGGCCTCTCAAAGTGCTGGGATTACAAGCGTGAGCCACTGTGATTTCTTTTCTTCTCTCTTTTTTTTTTTTTTTTTTTTTTTGAGACGGAGTCTTTTTCTGTTGCCCAGGCTGGAGAGCAGTGGCATGATCTCGGCTCACTGCAACCTCTGTCTCCCAGGTTCAAGCGATTCTCCTGCCTCAGCCTCCGGTGTAGCTGGGACTACAGGCATGCGCCACCACACTTGGCTAATTGTTTGTATTTTTAGTAGAGATGGGGTTTCACTATATGTTAGCCAGGCCGGTCTCTAACTCCTGACCTCAGGTGATCCACCCCCTGACCTCCCACAGTGCTGGGATTACAGGCATGAACCACTGTGACCAGCCACAGTGTGATTTCTAAGTAGAGAGATGGGCCCCCGGCCTCACAGTCCTTTAGTGCCAAAGCTGGAACAAAACTTCACTTCTGAGACATCCAAATCCACCATTCTTTCCACTCTCTATTTCCTTAGGAAAGTGTTAAATAATGTTTATGAATAATAAGGCCAATTTTAAGGGGGAGGAGCCCCCATACCCCACCCCTACCTTATCTATCCCCCACACATCTATCATTCAAGCCTGAGAGGCTCCCTCCATCCCACTTTGGAACATTGGCATTCAATTCAACAGATGCTGGGTCAGGGCCGTGCCCAGGCCTAGGGGTGAATGAGACATTGTCTCTGCCCTCCAGTGGGGAGAAACAGGCACTTTCACCTCAGGCTGGGTTCAATGCCTCAATTCAGTAAATACGTCCTCTGAAAACAAGCAACTTCGGGCGGCGCGGTAGCTCTTGCCTGTAATCCCAGCACTTTGGGAGGCCAAGGCAGGTGGATGACCTGAGGCCAGGAGTTCAAGACCAGCCTGGCCAACGTGGCAAAACCCTGTTTCTACTAAAAATACAAAAATTAGCTGGGCATTGTGGTGGGCGCCTGTAATCTCAGCTACTCAGGAGGCCAAGCAGGAGAATCGCTTGAACCCAGGAGGCGGAGGTTGCAGGGAGCCGAGATCATGCTACTGCACCCCAGCCGTGGTGACAGAGTGAGACTCCATCTCAAAAAGAAAGAAAGAAAGAAAGAAAAAGAAAAACAGAAAAAAGGCAACTTCTTTCAGAAAGTTAGTGATCAATGCATGGGTAGAGTAACACATTAAATGCTAGGTAACCAGGCAGCTATGAGAAGGGTTTGGAGGACCAATTAGTGGAGTCCTGGGGCTGGGCTGGAGGGTGGCAACAGAGAAAGTTCTCTGGATCCACCGCTCCAATTAAGTTTTTCCTGCCCATGTCCTTCAGGTTCCACCTGGGCCCACCCCTTCCAGGCTGCCACCACCCCCTCCCACCAATCACTAAGCTTTAGCTAGTCCTAAAATACCTAAAATAACATCCAGTCCTAAAATAAACATCAGTCTAATCCCTTTCACTCCTCCACCCCTCTTCCTGCAGCCATGGACTTGACTCCACTTTCCTCCTAGGTAGTGTTGCTGGAAAAATACAACCAACCAGTTAAATGTGAATTTCAGATAAGCAATGAGTACTTTTTTTTAGTACAAGTATTTCCAAATATTATATGGGGCAGTGGGATATGCTTATATGAAAAAATATTGTTTGGCCGGGCGCAGCGGCTCATGCCTGTAGTCCCAGCACTTTGGGAGGGTGAGGCGGATGGATTGCTTGAGCTCATGAGTTCAAGACCAGCCTGGGCAACATGGCAAAACCCTGTCTCCACAGAAAATACAAAAATTAGCCGGGCGTGGTGGTGCTCATGTCTGTAGTCCCAGCTACTTGAGAGGCTGAGGTGGGAGGATGGCTTGAGCCTGGGAGGTGGAGGTTGCCGCGAGCCAAGATCGCACTACTGTACTCCAGCCTGGGAGTGCAGAGCCAGACCTTGTCTTGAAAAAAAAAAAAAAAAAGGTTTGTTGTTTATCTGAAGCTCAAACTGGTTGCCTTGCATCTTTATTTGCTAAAGCTGGAACCCTACCCCAGGGGCACCACCAGAGCCTCCCCAACCCTCCCAAACTCCCTCTAGGTGGTTATTTTCTGGCTCCCCATTGCTTTCAGGGTAAAATCTCAATTTCTGGCCCCCTGCCTCCTTGGCCAGCCCTATTTCCTACCCCTTCTACCCCACTGCACCCTCCACCCCCCATCCTAGCTTGCTGGGGCAACTGGCCCTAAGTCCCTTGCCCTCTGCCTGGAGAACCTTCTCCCCTCCTCCGAATAGGCTGGTTCCTAACACCTCCTAACACTCTACTCAGGTGTCACCTCCTCTGAACTCCTTTCCCGAACCCCCACCCCATTCCCCACACTGGGTTAGGAGCTTTCTCTGGGATCTGGAGGAACCAAGTGAATATTTCTTTATCTGCCAGCACTTGTCAAACTGTCAACATTGTAATAATCTGTCATTTTACTGGCTCCCTTAGACTGTGAGTTTCTTGAGAGCAGGGGCTGTGTTCTTTCAGCCTTCTCATTTCTAGAACCGGAAATTCCTGTCTGGTTGGCAGACAATAAAAGCTTACTTAATAATTTTGCAGATAAGGCCCAAGAGAAAAAAACATCATTTATCGAATGCCTATTGCCAGCGAAGCACTGCTGCTCTGGGCCAGGCGCTTCAGGTGTTATTTTTGACCCTATAGTCAGAAAAAGGGCTCTGGAGAAAAAGCACGCAGCAAGGCTTGTGTGGGCTTGCCTCGTGTGCCCCATGTCCCACTCCCCCAGTCGGGCAGATGTGAGTCGCTGGTGATTGCTGGTTGGAAATGGAATCTCCTTGGATATTAACCATCCTGGTGGTTCTAGAAAGTGGAGGGTGTTTTCTGGAGAAGGGGCCTGCTATGGTGGGAATGTTGTTGTCCCCACTCCATTCATTTGTTGAAACTTAATCCTCAATGTTATAGTATTAAAAGGTGAGGCCTTTAGGAAGTGATTAGGTCATGAAGGCGGAACCCTCTGGAATGGAATTCATGCTCTTAGAAAAGAAGCTGGTGGCCAGGTGCAGTGGCTCACGCCTATAATCCCAGCACTTTGGGAGGTGGAGGAGGGCAAATTGCTTGAGCCCAGGAGTTCAAGACCAGCGTGGGCAACATAGTGAGACCCTGTCTCTACAAAAAATACAAAAATTAGCCAGGTGTGGTGGTGCATGTGTGTAGTCCCAGCTACTCAGGAGGCTGAGTTGGAAGGATTGCTTGTACATGGGAGGTCAAGGCTGCAGTGAGCTGCAATTGTGCCATTGCACAGAGTGAGATTCCATCTCAAAAAAAAGGAAGGCTGGTGGGGGGGCGGTGTCTGTTTGTTCCTTCCTTGGCCATATGAGGACTCAGACGATATCTGTGAAGCAGAGGGAGCCTTCATCAGACACCTAACCTGCTGGTGCCTTGATGTTGCGTTTCCCACCCTCCAGAACTGTGAGCAATACATTTCTGCTGTTTCTAAATTACCCACTCTAAGGTATTTTTGTTGTAGCAGCCCAGATGGACTAAGACAGCACAAGTGTAGAGAGCATGAAAAAATGTCAGGGATCTGGACAGATTCCATGGGCCATGCATTTCACCTAGGGCGCTACTCCTTGAGCAAGGGGGAGACAGACACTGAGCAGAACTGTACTTGCTCTGGTGAGATCACACCTTGGGTGGGGACTTCCTAAAATGAGGTTCTTGGCCTGTAGGAACTGGAAGTACACTGAAGGGTTGGGGTGTCTGGGGAGCTAGCCCACCATAACGGCCACTAGTCCCCCTAAGTAACTCCTACTTAAACTATATTTACAGAAATAAACATACATAGTGTGTGTATGGGGGGCAGTTTTTAAAAATCTGTCTTTTTTTTTTTTTTTTTTTTTTAAATCTCTGTTTTGGGGCTGGACGTGGTGGCTCATGTCTGTAATCCTAGCACTTTGGGAGGCCAAAGTGGGCTGACTGCTTTGAGCTCAGGGGTTTGAGACCAGCCTATGCAACAACGTGAAAACCCATCTCTACAAAACAAACAAACCAAACAAAACAAACAAGCAAACAAACAAAATTAGCTGGGTGTAGTGGCACACACTTGTAATCCCAGCTACTCAGGAGGCTGAGGCCGGAGAATCACTTGAAACCAGGAGGAGGATGCAGTGAGCCGAGATGGCGCCACTGCACTCCAGCCTGGGTGACAGAGCGAGACCCTGTCTGGAAAAAAAAAAAAAAAAAAAAAAGGACATTCAGTGGTGGTGTGGTGCTGACCTATAGCTATTAACATGAGATAAGCACTTTAAACAGAGTTGGTCAACTACTGGCAGCCTTGGTGTCATGGAAAGAACTTGGACTTTGGAACCACAGAAACTCAGGCAAGGCTCGGTAATGTTTCTCTTTTTAAATTGAGACAAGGTCTCTCTATGTTGCCTAGGCTGGGTCTCCAACTCCTGGGCTCAAGCCATCCTCTGGCCTTGGCCTCCCAAAAGTGCTAGGATCGCAGGTGTGAGTCACCATGCCCAGGCTCCAGTAATATTTCAGAACTTCCTCAAAACTGTTTCCTCCTTTGCTACTGCATTCTTCACTGAGATGAGGGTTAAGACCTACCTAACAGTAGTAATCTACATCTCAATGTAGGACTTCTGAATTCTGACTTGAGGAAAGCACCTGCTTTCCTGGTTGAGTAATTATAAACAGAGATTCTAGGTTTGCATGTTTGCAGTTTTAAACTCGAAAAGTGCATTTATCTCAAAAACACAGAATTATCAAGGATTTTAATTACTGATTTATTTGTAATGTAAAAATGGGAAACAAACGGCCTCCAGTAGGAAATTAATTTAATCCGCATAGCCATGCAATGGAATACTTCACGGCATTAAGATTGTGCTTTTGAAGACTATTTAGTGAGAAGAAAAATGTTCATCATAAAACAGTAAAAAGAAGGGCAGTAAACAAAACACCATACAATATACCCCACTGTAGAAAAACAAAATACATACAGAAATGTAATAGCCAAAGAAGGACCCAAAGCGAACGCTTCCCCCTGGGAACTAGGAGGGGTGGAGAGAAATTACTTTCTTCCCTGCATTTCTGTGTCTTTTCTAGCTTCCTATCAGTATCATGTATTGCCTTTAAATCCGAAAATACCCCTGTGTTATTAGTGAGGCGTCGTCGGGGCTCTGAGAGGCGCGCGCGCCCGGGACAGACCCCTGCGCCCCCTGGCGGCGCCCTGAGGCCCCGCCCCACGAGGCCGGCGCGACGGGGCGGGGCGCGGAGCCCCAGCCGAGCCTAGCCCTGCCCGGCCCCGGAGGACTTGCAACACTCCGAGGCCAGGAACGCTCCGTCTGGAACGGCGCAGGCAAGCCAGGGGGCCGGGGCCGGCGCCGTTGGGGACTGTGGGCGGTGGGGACTGGTCCAGGGCTGGGGCGGCCATGCGCCGGGGCGCCTAAACTTTTCGGAGCGCGCTCCCGGCTTGCCCGCTCCTGGGCCCAAGGAGCCCGTTCCAGATGGGGATCTCCCCTCCTGGCCCTTGGCGTTTCGCTCTCCCTGGGCGCGCGGGTGGGCGGCCGGGTCTGTGGCACCTGGTTAGCCTTGGGAGCCCAGCAGCGTGTTGTGGGCACTGGTGAGCGGAGCCAGGGTCTGGGGGTGTCCTCGTGTTCCCTCTTTCGGGCACGAGTGGCCTCTCTGTCGCAGGGCCTATCCACCATGCCAGCCCGAGTGGCCAGCTGTGTGGGATGAGGGCTTTCATGGCCCTCAGCTGGTGAGAAGAGGGAAGAGGGAGGGGAGACAGCCAGGGCCTGGCACGGACCCCAGGTTGCCCCCACACGCGCTGAGGCCAGTCTCGGTGTAGACAGGTGAATATTTAAGGGGTGGGGAAGGGGGGGTCCTAGCTTGCAGCTGGGGCAGAAGCCAATGAGCAGCTCAAGTGTTTGGCATGGGGAAGTGGCCACCTCTATCACCATGACTTTGCCCTCTGCCAGTCCCACTTCCAGCCACTGTTTCCCGGCTGGGTTCACAGAACTACAGGGGAGTAACATCCTCCTCGTGACTTCTTTGGGTTAGAGTGAAAACAAAACAGAGAAACGGGAAAAGGGAAAGCAAGTGGAGAGACTGGGGCAGGAGCCAGGGACCAGTGGGAGGAAGCAGAGGGAGGCTGCTGGGAGGCCAGGCCCTGGCCTTGTGGGGTCGGCACCAATTCTTGTCCTATGGGGTCTCCATCTCCTCTCCCTCCTCTGTGGCCTCTACGTGGTACCCAGGAGTTTGGGGTTCTACCTGAGCACCCTGGACATGGGATAAGTAGGCCTGGGAACGCAGGTCAGAGCCAGATGTCATGGAAGGGCCCTCAGGTGTCCAGTTCTCTGGGCTCTGAAATATTCATCTCATTAGTGAGCTTTGGTTTCCAAGCTGGCGACTTTGGGCTGGCCAGTGGTGGCAGGGGAGCCAGGTGCCTCCTGGGGCTGCTTTATTGGCGCAAAGGGGGAGCCATACTTCCTTCTCACCTGCCTCCTCTCTCTGTCTCTCCAGTCATGAGGATCCAGAGAACCAGTTTATAGCTTAAATGGAAGAGGCAGGACCACAGTGTCAGGGGCCCTGTCTTTCTGTGCTATGACCTCAAGGCCTCACTTGTAAAAATGAGCCCTTCAGAGAGGTAATGATGGGTTATCCTGTAAGTGTTGGGAGAGCCTCATGTCATGAGCTGGGGTAATAGCCACCTGGGCTCAGCCTCCTCCCCTGGGAATGGGTGCCTCAGCCAGACGCTGTCTACCTCAGAGCACCTCCAACCGCAGGCCTCACCCTGGGCCTTTCAGAAAAAGCAGAAGCCACAGAGAAGGGAAACACACATACTTGTGTGTTTTCAGAGGGCTGAACTGGGACGACCAGAGAGTGGAAGCTCATACAATTCTCTGGGAAGAAGTTCTGCTAACAACATGTCTGATCATGACATGGGCCTTCTGGACCTATTCTGTTGGGGACACAGTGGAAGGGATGACCTTGACAGAATCTTCCAACCCTAAGATTCTGGGATTCTAGGCCAAAACCTGGGTCTTGTTTTGAAGTAGAAATGATATCCAGAAGTCGACAGGCTACAGTGGCAGGTACCTCCATTGGTGGGAAGGGAGATATTAATGAGCTCCCACTTTTGTCTGTAATGATTTGTGCTTTGCCCCGTTGCACAGAGGTGAGGTTAGGGGTGCCCGTTTCCTGGTTCTGTGGTAGCTGGATATGTCCCCCGGCCCTTGGCAGTAAATCCCACGGTGGGATAGCAGCTGTGTGGAATGGGGGAAGGGGAGGACCCTCGCCAGAGATCCTGGCACTGGGCTGACCCCCTGAGAGTGAGAGGGCATGTCTAGTACTTCATGTGACTGCTCTGAGGGGCAGCTGGGTGTACGCACAGAGGTTATAAGAGACGAGGAGTTAGGATATGAATGATTCTCAGGGTTGGGTGTCTGTAATACAAAGGTGGCCTGGGTCAGCATCCCACAGGGTGTTAATAGGTTTGCCTCGATAAAAGTGGCTCAGGCTTAAGGGAGTTTGAAGGAACACTGGGTTAAACAAAGCTGAACAGGGTTGCTTACTGCAGGACTTCTCAGGGGCAGAATATGCCATTGTGAATTTCCAAGAAGGGGGTGTGGATTGTTTCTCAAGAGTCATCTGTTTCCAGCACTCATTCATTAACGTCTCCTGGGGCGTGTTCTTTAGAACAGTCTGGGAAATGCCTGGCTAGGTGATTCTGTTTCTCCACTGTGGCTCCCATAAACAAGTCCCTACTCCTTTCCCCCACGTGGGCTGATTTAGGGATAAAAGGAGGCCAGGGGAGGTCATTTGCCTGGATTCCTGCAGCTAGTTCATGAACCCAGGTCAGTGGACTTCCTGCCTCCTACTCTTTCTTTCCTAGAGTGTTATATACTGTTTAGCTCGGGCGTAACTGATCACCCAGGAAGAGCTGGCCGTAGGGTCCAGACAGCATTATGGGGACAGTTTGGGAGGGTGTGGACAGCCCCATACTGAGAACATGCCATGTACTTCTGCCTCTGAAGATGTCCTTGGAAACAGTTGCACATCAGTAGTGACCCCCTGGTGTAGGTTCTTGGGGAGCCATGCCATTCTGCCCTGAAGCCTCCTGTTAGGCTGTTCATTCAGAATCAGAAACTGGCAGAGTGGACTTTGATCTTTCAGTTTTTTTTTTTTTTTTTTTTTCTGTCGCCCAGGCTGGAGTGCAGTGGCATGGTCTCGGCTCACTGCAACCTACATCTCCTGGGTTCAAGTGATTCTCCTGCCTCAGCCTCCCGAGAAGCTGGGATTATAGGCATGTGCCACCATGCCCGGCTAATTTTTGTATTTTTAGTAGAGACGAGGTTTCACCATGTTGGCCAGGCTGGTCTCGAACACCTGACCTCAAGTGATCCGCCTGGCTCGGCCTCCCAAAGTGCTGGGATTACAGGCATGAGCCACCGCGCCTGGCCATTCTTTCATTTGAGGGGAATTGTCTTACTGATGTTAAAACTGGGTCTAGAGATGTGGCTCTCACAGTGGAGTGAGTCCCAAAGCCAGGACAAGAACTTCAGGTCCCCACCTCCTAGCCCAGGACCCAGGCTTCAGATCAACTTTCCGCAGGGGAAAGAAATAATGGTAGCAACAACAGCTTGCTCAGCTCCTTTCTATCTATCGTTTTGATCTTTACTGCCTTGGCCCCACCCTGGTGCTGCCTATTCACGCAGGTGCGTGCTACAGATGCCTCAGGGGCTTCTACTCCTGCCTGATATAAAAGCAAAGAGGCTGAATTTTAAATCAGGTGTGAGATCTATGCTTAAACTCATCTCTGCTGTTTGCCTGCTGTGGGACCCTAGATCTCTTTTTTTCTGAATTTCAGTTATCTCATCTATAGAGTGGGATGAGGGTAAGAATACCTCACAGCACTGTTGCAAGGATCAGATGTGCCTTAGTTACTATAGGTTGAGTGTCTCTTATCCAAAATGGGACCATTTTGACAATTTCCTTCCCTCCCTTTTCTTTTACCCACCCCAACTCCCTTCCACCCCCAAGAAAACACTTTACTCTCCTACTCGAGCATATAGTCACGATAGCCATGGGGGCAGACATCTACAGTGGCAGAAGCACATGGATTTTGGATTTTTTCGGATTTGGGGCTATGTATATTATACTTACTGGTTGAGCGTCCCTAATCTGAAAATCCGAAATCAGAAATGCTCCAGTGAGCATTCCTTTGAGTGTCATCTTGGTGCTCAAAATGTTTTAGATTGTGGAGCATTTTGGATTTTGGAAATGAGGGATATTCAACCTGTACTTCCTTAGTTATATAGTAAGTACTGGAAGTGGTTCAACTACTCTAAGTGGTTCCCTTCCTTCCCTAGTTATTTTATTTATTTATTTTTTGAGACAGAGTCTCCCTCTGTTGCCCAGGCTGGAGTGCAGTGGCGCCATTTTGACTCACTGCAAGCTCCGCCTCCCGGGTTCATGCCATTCTTCTGCCTCAGCCTCCCGAGTAGCTGGGACTACAGGCGTCCGCCACCACATCCAGCTAATTTTTTGTATTTTTTAGTAGAGATGGGGTTTCACCATGTTAGCCAGGATGGTCTCGATCTCCTGACCTCGTGATCCGCCCGCCTTGGCCTCCCAAAGTGCTGGGATTACAGGCGTGAGCCGCCATGCCTGGCCCCTTCCCTAGTTCTTTTTTGGGGTTAGTTATCAGTCTCCTTTGTCTGTCTCTTTCCCCTCCTAATCTTGAAGTTCAATGAAAAGACAGGAGATGAAACAAAGAAGGAAGTGAACAGGGACTGTGCTCAGAAGTATTATAGCATCAGCCTGCTAATGGCTTCCTCTTCCCTTATCTGTACTCCCAGGCCATCCTGACTTGGGTGGGGTAACCCGAGATTACCATTCTGATCACAGGATTCTGCTCCAGACAAGGGTGGCGGAGCTGCGGTGCCTGGGTCCTCTCGTGATCCCCAGGACAGCCTCTCCCTCCTGGGAGCTTGGAGCCACCCCTCGGTCTCCATGGGTCCAGAGAGAGGCCACCCTGGCTAGAGAGGGGGCTGGGAGGGGTGGCCTCGAGTTGGGGGCCAGAAGTCGAGGGCTGGCTGTCTTTTTTTTTGAGATGGGGTTTCACTCTTGTTGCCCAGGCTGGAGTGCAATGGCATGTTCTTGGCTCACTGCAACCTCTGCCTCTCGGGTTCGAGCGATCCCCCTGCCTCAGCCTCCCGAGTAGCTGGGACTTCAGGTGTGGGATATCACGCCCAGCTAATTTTTTGTATTTTTTAGTAGACATGGGGTTTGACCATGTTGGCCACGATGGTCTTGATCTCCTGACCTCGTGATCCACCTGCCTCGGCCTCCCAAAGTGCTGGGATTACAGGCATGAGCCACTGCACCCGGCCCGGTCTTAACTGTTTCTGAGCTGAGAGGTCACTAGAGAACTGAGAGAATGGTAGCTTGTTCTGGCCCCTCCTTGGGAGAGGGTGTGTGCTGGTGTCTATCACTCAGAGAGTGGGCGGGGCTGGGAAGGGAAGTTCCAAACCCATGACGAAGAAGAGGGCTGTTCTGGGGTGGAGCAGGAACTTTCTTGGCTCTGGGGTTTCCTTGTCTGTCAAATGACCAGGTGAGATCCAAAGTCTAAGCCAGCTCTGATATTTTAGTGTTTAGATCCCTGTGGCTTCATCCTCTTAGTCCCAAAGTCCAGGCTGATGGAAGGATATTTAGTTGATTCTGGGCCCCCTTGGTGCAGAATCAGGCCTGGTGACTTGCCCAGACACTCCTGGGTGTATCTTTTTACTCATTTGCTCTCGTGGCTATGAGGTCAGCTGTGCCCTGGGGTAGGAGGATAAAGTGTTTTCTTGTGGGGGCAGATAAAGGAAAAGGGAGGGGAACAAATCGTCAGATCTGGGCTGTGCTCCTGCGCCTGCTGGGTGGGGTTTCCTGAGATGTGCATTCTGAGCTATTTTTTTCCACTCTGGGCATCCGTCTCTGGCAGGGAGGAGGGCAGGCTGCCTGGACCAGTCAGCTGCTCCTTTCCATCCCTCCCTCCAGTACACATACTCTCCTCTTGCTGTAACCCCAGTAGCTCAGGCCTCCTCTGCAGATTCCGGAGCCTTAACCCTTCAAATACCCCCAGGAGAGCCCCAGCCGGGGCCTCAGTAGGCAGACAGCAGGATTACCACACTGAGAGGGCTCCAGGGGAGGAGGTGCTTCCGCCTCTGCATCTGAAAACCTTGACACCCAGCAAGTCCTGCTGTCTGAGCTCACCCACTTGTGCCGCTGCTGTGGTAGAAAGCAGGGGCTCTGGTTCCTTCCTAATGGGGGACTGGGGCCCTGAGAGAGGAGCAAACTTAGATCTATAATGGGCAAGGATAGGGCACAGTCTGAATGCCTTGATAACAGGCATTGTGAGGCAAGGAAGAATGTTCTAATCGAGCTGTCTGCAGACAAGGGGCTTGCTCCATGTTGCTGGAGTTCCTTCAAGCAGAAGGTGGGCCAGACACAGTGGCTCATGCCTGTAATCCCAGCACTTTGGGAGGCCTCGGTGGGTGGATCACTTGAGGCCAGGAGTTTGCCAGCCTGGCCAACATGGTGAAACCCCGTTTCTACCAAAACAAAAAGAAAAACAAAAACAAGCAGAAGGTGAATGCCTACTGTATTTTGGGAAAATTCAGGCTTCCAGTGGGGACCTTAAAGTCCCTGCAGACTGTGAGCCCCTCTAGTAGCTGCTGGCAGAACCCAGATCTGATTTCTAGTCCTCACTCTGTGTCAGTCTCGTGATCTCTCTCCCCTTCTCCCTCCTTCCCTTACCCTCCATTCTTCTCTAGCCTCCACCCTTAGACATAGCTACGAAAGTAAACACTGACCCTTTCCCCCTTTGCTGCTACCTAGGCAGATGCCAGCCCCAAACCTCATCCCTAGTGGAGGCCTTGCTGATGTGGAAGTGGCCAGGGCCCTCATGGAGGCTGGGCAGAAGCCCAAGAGCAGGCTCTAAAGCTGCCAAACCCGGCAGCCCTGGTCCCCGGAGGCTCTTGCCAGTCTGACAGTGTTCTTGGCACTGCTCAGAGGTGAGTGTGGCTGAGTTTAGCAACTCCCCTGGCTAGCGTTAATGCTGGGGTTTCCTCTCCTGTGCCCAGGTCTCTCTATGTAGACAGCTAGGATCTCGTCCTGTCCCCAGGACCAGCTCGGTAACCAAGGACAGGTTCCTGTGCTGTGGCTGTCTAGTTGGTAAAGTGAGGGGTTGGCTGTCCTTGGGTGAGTTTCTTTCCAGCTCTGACCTTTATGTATCTCCAAGCCTGGGCCACCCTCTTCTCCTGGGGCCGTTGGCCAGGCTGTGAGCCCTGTGGTGGTGTGGAGGGCCTGAGTAGTTTGGCTTCCACTTGTGTCAGCCTCCTGTTGAGGCTAAAACCCATGAGAGGGTTTTAGATGGAAGCTATGGCAGAAGTGATGAGAAGGTTGGATAGACAGGGTGTTTTCAGGTTAGGGATTAAGAGCAGGGGCTTGGGAGTCAGTCTTGGGGCTCATTTTGACTTCATCACACTCTAGCTAGGTTATCTTGGCCAAGTGATTTAATTCTTCTGTGCCTCAATCTCTTCATTTGTAAATGGGAATAATAATAACAGTATTAACTTGCTGGACTGTTGTAAGGATTTAATGAAAATAACCAACCTTTATCCCCATTGATCAGGGGTCGGGTTTCATTCTAAGCACTTTATGTGTATTTTCTTTTTTATTTTCTTCGAGACAAAGTCTCACTCTGTCACCCAGGCTGGAGTGCAGTGGCACGATTGTGGCTCACTGGAATCTCCGCCTCCCAGGTTGAATCGATTCTCCTGCCTCAGCCTCCCGAGTAACTGGGATTCTAGGCGCCTGCTGCCATGCCCAGCTAATTTTTATATTTTTAGTAGAGACGGGGTTTCACCATTTGGCCAGGCTGGTCTCGAACTCCTGATCTCAGGTGATCCACCTGCCTCGGCCTCTCAAAGTGTTGAGATTACAGGCGTGAGCCACTGTGCCCAGCCTTCTATGTGTATTTTCTCACTTAATTTTTATAGCAACCCCGTGGAGGGTACTATTACTAGTGTGAGACCCATTTTCCAGGTGAAGAAACTGAGGCATAGTGAGTTGAAATGGTCATGGTAGTTTCTGGTGTGGATGGGCTGGTGGCTGAGGTACCCGAAGGACTGGCCTGGAAACTGCTGTGTGCAGTGCAGGCAGGCCTACTAGCACATGCTTCTGAAACCAAAAGCCTGAAAGGGAGGGGCAAGAGAGGCAGGAGTGAAGCTCTGAGTCAGCACCCGCTGAGCTGCACCAGAACCTTGGAGTCCCCGTGGCCCATCCGAGGCTGACCCTTCTCTCTGAGGCACCTTTCACCCGGTGGCTGCCACAGTCCCTTGGTCTGGAAAGTTAGCTGTTTGCCCTGCTTGGCTCAGAGGAGGGAGCAGGGGCAGCTCTCTGGCCGAGCAAAGGTCAGGCCCTGCAGAGCCGAGTTCCCAGAATCATAGTCTGTTGTTAGAGGGGGCAGTGGGCTTAGAGGTCGTGTCGCCCCCACCTTATTTCACAGAGGTGCACCCTGAGGAGGTGCTGGGACACGTCATGGTGACATCACGGTTGGGGTTTCTGCCCACAGAGCCTTTCCGGCCAGTGCTTTTTTTTTTTTTTCTTTTGAGATGGAGTCTCACTCTGTTGCCCAGGCTGGAGTACGGTGGCGCGATCTCAGCTCACCACAACCTCTGCCTCCCAGGTTCAAGTGATTCTCCTGCCTCGGCCTCCTGAGTAACTGGGACTACAGGTACATGCCACCATGCCTGGCTAATTTTTGCATTTTTAGTAGAGCAGGTTTTCACTATGTTGGCCAGGCTGGTCTCGAACTCCTGACCTCATGATCTGCCCACTTCAGTCTTCTAAAGTGCTGGGATTACAGGCGTGAGTTACCGCACCCTGCCAGCTTTGTATTTCTGACCTGACATTCTTGCCCTGGTTCTATCCCAGCCCCTCTAGGGAGATGAAGAACAGCTTTCCTCAAAATAACCCACTTAGAGACCTGGACTTTTATTCAATTCCCCCTCCTCAACCCTCCCTGCCACCTTCCCCTCTCTGAATTATCCCAGTTGTCATAAAAGAGAAGAGATAAGACAGTCCTTTATTTGATCCCCGAACTATGCAATGTGCCCTAAAAAGAGACGCTGGTCTCTCTTGCTTCCAGCAGAGCCTCTGAGAGCCTCTGGTGTCTGCTGACCTGCATCTGGGGGTGTCCTCCTTGGGGATCCTAAAGCCCCCTGTAGATGCTCTAGAAGAGGTGGTGGCCCTGTCGAGCCCAGACTGCCAGGGCTTGTCCTTACTGGGGATGCAGGGGCCCTCTAGGGGCTTCCTTAGCTCCTCCTAAGCCTGCATCTCTGCTACCTCAGAGGGGACCACCAGGCCCAGAGGACAGTAACTGGCAGAGGAGGCATAAGAGCACCGCATAACATGAAGGACCTGGACCCAGGATCTGGAAGGCCTCCGTCCTGGTTATGCCACTGACCTGCGAGTTCTGGGGTTCTGGGGAATCACTTCCCTGTTCAGGGCCTGCATTCTCTCATCTGAAGTGAGCATTTGGGGCTTATGGCCCTGAGGTCCCTTCCAACTCCAGTTTGGGGTTCCCTCCCCCTGGTTTCTTGGCCCTCCCCTGGCTATGGGGCTCTTCCTGCTGCAGGGAAGGCATTCCCTTGACCTTGTGGCCTGACTCCTCAGCTCTTTGTCCTCCCTGCTAGCACTGCACCTGGAAGACAGGTAGAACTCACAGAGAGCCTGGGATTCAGAACATCTGTCTCCCCCTCCAGGGTGGGGGTAAGGGGGAGGGCGAGGGGCCGTGCACTCACTCTCTCTTCCCTAGCAAGGCCAGAGAGCAGCTGTGGTCGCAGGCTGCCGCATGCCTTTCTGACACGCCACCGCTGTTATTTGAAGGAACCAGAAAGTCCTGTCTCAAGCTGGCCCTTTGGCACAGCCTCCCTGCCCCCAGCCCCTGTACCACCCACTCCTGCTTCTCAGGCTTCCTGACTCAGCCTGCCACTGGCCCCCGGGTCCCTGGATCCCTTCCTCCTCGGGGCCTGGCAGCTCTGGCACTGGGGCTAGCTTGTTTTCCTCCACTTCTTCCCCCGGCTCTCCACTTTGAGCCTTGGCTCCAACCCAGCTCTGGCTTCCAGGCCTGGCATCCCCGTCAGCTGTGGCAGGGGCAGAGCTGACCCTTTCAGAGGGTCCCAGCTGGCCCTGTGAGTCGCCAGGAGGCTGTGCCTGGCCCATCTGGCTTCTTCGCTGGTTCTGCCATCAAGCCACCAAAACTGGAAGGTTTTCTTAAACCACAACAGGGAGTTCCCAGGCTCCCTGGTTCCCTCTCTCCTCAGCGAATCCTTCCTCCTGCTTTCCTATGGCTGGGGAGCTGCACAGTGAGAGGCCTGTGGACAAGAAGCAGGCGCAAAGGCAGGAGGGACAGGAGCCCAGTTGGTGGGGAGGTGGCCTGTGGACAGCAAATCACACGCTGCCCTCTAAGGAGAAAATAGGTGGTGTTCCTCTCCACGGAGGCAGCCTGGACAAGGCTGGAAGTGGGCCCATGAGGCTGAGTGAGCTGGGCCTGGGCATTCACGATTGCTTTTCTCCTCTCCCATTTCAGGTCCCAGCAGCTGGGGTTCCCCCTCAGCCCGTGAGCAGCCATGTCCAACCCCAGCGCCCCACCACCATATGAAGACCGCAACCCCCTGTACCCAGGCCCTCCGCCCCCTGGGGGCTATGGGCAGCCATCTGTCCTGCCAGGAGGGTATCCTGCCTACCCTGGCTACCCGCAGCCTGGCTACGGTCACCCTGCTGGCTACCCACAGCCCATGCCCCCCACCCACCCGATGCCCATGAACTACGGTGAGTCCTGGAAGGGCAGATGGAAGGTGGGTGGGAGGGACAGCACTTGGAGCAGATGAGGCCACCGCCTCCTGCCCCTTTTCTCTTCTAGTTTCCCTTAAATCCCTTTCTCATCTTCTCTGTTGAGATCTCTCCCTCTGTTTCTGTCTTTGTTACCCTCCACTTTTTGCCTCAGCAACTGGCCCCCAGCCACTTGCTGCCCCCTTTGTTCAAGGAGATCCATGAGGCATGTCCCAGAACGTACACACCACAGGAGAATGGGGCTGGGCCAAGTAATGACTCCTGAGGGGTTACCTCAGGGCACCAGCTCTGTTTCCCAACAAGCGGCCAACAAGCTGCTGCCACCTCCCAGACCTGTCGACTTCCTTAGGAACTCCTTTGGGAACCTGAACCACTTTCCTCATCCTTTAAAGTGAAATCTGACTTTTGCAAAAGACATTTGGAGCCAAGTTTGGTAAACATCATGGCAGGGACATGCTTGTGTTTGGTCAGAAATGAGGTGAGGCCGGCCGCGGTGGCTCACGCCTGTAATCCCAGCACTCTGGGAGGCTGAGGCGAGCAGATCACCTGAGGTCAGGAATTCGAGACCAGCCTGGCCAACATGGCAAAACCCCATCTCCACTAAAAATACAAAAACTTAGCCGGGTGTGGTGGCGTGCACCTGTAATCCCAGCTACTCAGGAGGCTGAGGCAGGAGAATCGCTTGCAATCCCAGGAGGTGGAGGTTGCAGTGAGCCAGGATCGCACTACTGCACTTCAGCCTGAGCAACAGAGCAAGACTCTGTCTCAAAAAAAAAACCAAAAAAAAAACAAAAAACAAAACAAAACAAAAAAAGAGGCCGGGTACGGTGGCTCATGCCTGTAATCTCAACACTTTGGGAGGCTGAGATGGGCGGATCACGAGTTTGAGACCAGCCTGGCCAACATGGTGAAACCCTGTCTCTACCAAAAATACAAAAAATGAGCCGGGCGTGGTGGCATGCGTCTGTAATCCCAGCTACTCAGGAGGCTAAGGCAGGAGAATTGCTTGAACCCGGGAGGTGGAGGTTGCGGTGAGCCGAGATCACGCCTTTGCACTCCAGCTTGGGCAACAAGACCGAAACTCCATCTCAAAAAAAAAAAAAAAAAAAAAAAGGAAATGAGGTGAAGTTAGAGTGCAGTGAGTCTTCCTGGGTGGCTCAAGCGTGGATTTTAAAAGTAGTTCCCAAAGAGGCATTCAGGCATTCAGGCATTCAGGGAATGTTTGCAGCCCTGCAGCATCTCTGAACCCCAGAGGGGTGTCAGCCAGCTCTCACCTGGACATGTGCGCTGGTGCGGATCTGCGCATGGGTCCTGCACAGTCACGCACACCCTTTGCACACCTGCCTCTGTGAGGCTGATGCAGATCCCTGTCTTCACCTCTATCCCTGCTGCTGCACAAACTGCGCTCTGCCGCCCTCCTTTTCTCCTACCCTCTGTCCCCATCCCCTGTTCTGCCCTGGCTGGCTGCCCCAGTGGATGCCCATACCTGCTCCTGCCTGGCTTCCCCACTACATCGTGACCCCCCAGTGAACCCCCAGTGGCGTGGGCTGGGCACACAGGAGCCCTCCACAGATGCACGTGAGGAACGTTTCCCACCTAAGCCCCCTCGTGACAGGCCGGCTCTGGGTCACTCTGAGGGTGTCTAGAAGACCCCAGCTTGGGAGAAGAGTTCCTGTTATAACACTTGTCTTTTGGCTGGAGATCCCTGAGACTTTGAGATTGTCAGGGAGGCTTTGGGATTGACGCCACATGTCTCAGGTCCCCAGCTGAGTCAAGTGTCATCTGTCCCTAGGCCCAGGCCATGGCTATGATGGGGAGGAGAGAGCAGTGAGTGATAGCTTCGGGCCTGGAGAGTGGGATGACCGGAAAGTGCGACACACTTTTATCCGAAAGGTAAGATACGCGCTGGGAGGTGGGTGTACCTGGGGCCCCTCAGGCTGTGGGAATGGGAAGTGGGTAGGCCACAGTAGCCCCAGGGCATCAATTCCATGAAATACACTGGCTGCCTGTCTTCTCTAGCCTTGTCTGCTTCTCAGAGGGGCACCTGGCTTCTCTAACCCCAGGGTTCCCTCTCTTTTTGCACCTCTCTTCTTGACCATGTTTTGGGAGGACACATTCAGTCTGGGAGAATCTCCTAGGTGGGTTCTGCCACAGCGCCCGCCTTCCCCAGACATCTTTCTCCCTTTAGACTATAGGCAGCTTGGAGCCAGAAATGATCCTACTCGCTTGTAACCCACCCTCTCCATCTCACAGCTGCATAGAGCGTGCAGACTGAGCTGCTGGGAGTGCAGAGGCCATACTGGTAGAGTATGGTGGCCAGGCAGGGCAAGTCAGTAGTCACCGAGGCTGGTGTTGGACAGGAGGGGAGATGGCAGGGAGCATGGGAGCGGGGCTGAGGAAGAAGTGCACATTGCCTCTGAGCCAGGCATCTCACTGGGGTCGCCTCTGGGCCAGGCTGCAGCTAGGGAGGGTTCTTGAGTGGGAGGAAAGTACTGGGGGCTGGCAGCTTCCTGGGGCAGGCCAGGGGTGCCGGATGGTGACCCATGCCCGGCCGTCTGTGTCCAGGTTTACTCCATCATCTCCGTGCAGCTGCTCATCACTGTGGCCATCATTGCTATCTTCACCTTTGTGTAAGTCTCTAGGCTTTGCCACCCACTCCTACTGCCCTGGGGGTTCAGGGTCACCTGCTGGGGGTGTGGGTGGCGGTGGGCCCTGCTCTCAGGGTGACCATGGGCAATTAGAGAAGGTGAAGCCAGGGCTGCCTGGCTGGCCTGGGTGGGGCAGACAAGCCTCAGGGTGACTACTCCTGTCCTCCTGTGCCCCACAGGGAACCTGTCAGCGCCTTTGTGAGGAGAAATGTGGCTGTCTACTACGTGTCCTAGTGAGTGTGTGCTCCTCTGTGGTTGGGCAGGGAGGCAGGGGTGGCAGCTTCTGTTTCTAGGTGACCAGCTTTGCTCAGGGCAGGATCAAAATGCTTTTTGAGAGGGCCCCCAAGTTGGTGCCAGTTTCCCGTGCCAGAGGGTGTGGGTGTGCGTGCCCAGATGAGTAGCAGACCCCTAGAACTCGAGAGCAAGAGTGGGACCTGCTGGTGGTGGCGTGCACGCTGCGCTGCAGCCCCCATGTCCTCTCAGCCCGTCAGCTGCAGCCTCCCCAGACCTCCTTCCTGGCCGGAGCCTGGTGCTTCAGAGCATCTCAGTGACCCTGGCTGGGGGTAATCTCGTTCTTGCTTCCTGTTGAGTTGCTTCCCCTCAGACTTCCAAACGGCTATTTGGGCCCCAAATCACTGGCCTGGTGTGTGCTGCCAAGCGGGGCAGATTTGGGCCTGAACTGCTTCCCCATCTCTTTGTCCCTAGTGCTGTCTTCGTTGTCACCTACCTGATCCTTGCCTGCTGCCAGGGACCCAGGTGAGTCCCAGAGACTTAACACAGTGAGAGGGGTGACAGGGATTGGGATGGGGGCCGAGTATTTTGGAAAGAAGGATTCCTTTATAGCAGCTGAATGGAAACTTACAAGAAATGAGGAGGAGGATGACGATGACAGCTACTGTTCAGGTGTATACAAAGGACCATGTGTGTTTAGGAGCTAACTAGCTGTCACTCTTATAGTAACCCTGCAAGACAGGTAGCATTTTAGCCAGTTAACAAATAGGAAGAACCCGAGGCTCAAAGAGGCTGAGTAACTTTCTCCCCATCACACAGGCAGTCAGTTTAAGAGTTGCAAACCAATCCAGGTGTTTCTGGCGCCACAACACAGGTCTGTCTCATTGGCCCATGTTGTCCCTGCGTACCACACCTGAACAGGTGCCAAAGGCCATGCCAACCTCCCTCCTTGGAGTCAAGGCTTAATCCTCCAGGCACAGGAGCCAAGCGCTTCCTTCTGCTGTAGGAGCCTCTGACGCCTGAGGGGCCCCAAGTCATTTAATCAAGGCTTCTCTTTCCCTTCAGACGCCGTTTCCCATGGAACATCATTCTGCTGACCCTTTTTGTAAGTCTAGAAGGGTGGCAGGAGGGTGTGGAGATGCTGTGAGGGAGACTGCTCCCAGGGAAGGGATGGGGACCCATTTCAGAAGGATGTCCTGGCTGTCTCCTCCACCTTATCTGGGCCGCCTGTTCTGATCTCCTCTGTGGCTGCCTCTTTCCAACTTGGTGGCGTTCCCCAGCTCTGGCAGAGGCCACCATGGCCACTCCCCCAGCACCCTGCCTTCCTTCCTTTTTAAGTGTTTCATTCTTGTCTCTCTCCTTCCCTTAGACTTTTGCCATGGGCTTCATGACGGGCACCATTTCCAGGTACATTCAGGGATAAAGCACCACTCTTGGGAAATGTGTATTGTGGGGAGTGGGGTGTTCCTGGGCCGGCAGCCAGCTGCGTGGGTGGATTCTGGGCAGGTCCCCTCTGGAAGTGGTGATTTTGAAGTCATTCATACGTGGCTTAATGCCTCTTGTCTGTAACTCCTGCTTCTCCCCAGTATGTACCAAACCAAAGCCGTCATCATTGCAATGATCATCACTGCGGTGGTATCCATTTCAGTCACCATCTTCTGCTTTCAGACCAAGGTGAGGGCATGGAGGGCCCTTCCCTGGCCCCCCGACTCCCCTTTCTTATCAGGCCCGGACCCCGGCACACTAGGGATGTTCCCTAGAGACCTGATCCCCTTCTCCTCATCCGCACCTACAAAACTGTGTCCTGTTTCTGTCCTTAGAATGTTGTGGACATTCCCATACCCCCTAGGAGGCAGCACTGGGACTCCCTGGCAGGGCCAGTCTGACTGGGCTGGTTGTCACAGCCATCTGACAGGTGCCTCTTTCTTGCTTCCTGGCAGGTGGACTTCACCTCGTGCACAGGCCTCTTCTGTGTCCTGGGAATTGTGCTCCTGGTGACTGGGATTGTCACTAGCATTGTGCTCTACTTCCAATACGTGAGTGTCCCAGGAGAGCTGGGGTCAGGGAACCCAGTGCTCAGGGCAGACTTCCTATATAGCATGGTCTCGCAGGCCCCAAAGGTCCCCGGGGCAGGCTCTGACCTCCAGAACCTCTCGACTGGCTAGCAAAGGCACCAACGTGGAGGCAGCATCCTTCTGGGTGAGGGTAGACTCTCTGTGTGGAGATGGGCGGCCTTGGAGCCAGAGCACCTGAAGCCCTGGACTGCATCACTGCACTCCTAGGGGAAGGGGTGGGTTCAATCTGGCTGGCAGCTGAGAATCAGGTTCTCGGAGGCAGACTGGGAGAGGAACCCAGAGGACTGAGATGATGGGCCTAGGTGGAAGGGACCTTGCGGGGGTCTCTGGATCCAATTATTTCCTTTATTCTGTTCAGCTGGGGGAGAACAGTGCCGAAGGGGAAGGATGGGGACACGAGGGCTGCCTGCCCATGGGCCAGCTCTGTCCTTCTGTGGACGGCCACCTGTGGGCATGTCATGTGGGCTGTCCTGTGGGTGCTCCCGGATTTTGATACTCACCAGAGGGGTTGGGGGGCCTCCCTTCTTCCTTAGTCTACCCCTCCCAGGCTGGGCTGTAGGAACTGGTCTATTGAATGCTGGGTCTGCCCCTTTCAGAGCTGTAACTCAACTGCTTTTTTTCTAGAAGTATAGTAGACACTTGTGTACCTTGACTGGCTTTGGAGATTGGTTTTATACAGCCATTGCAGGATGGCCTCTGCTTTCTCTGCTGGATATATCACCAGTCTTAATTTCCTCCAAGATCTGGAAAGGCAGTAGCCTTTCATGGAGAGCTAGCTTCCCAGCTCTACCCACTCTCATGCCACTATCCCGGGGGAAGCTGGGGCCTGTGGGCCTGTGGTTTGCTGAGGTTTCTAATGCCATTCTCTGTCCCCTTCTTCTCCAGGTTTACTGGCTCCACATGCTCTATGCTGCTCTGGGGGCCATTTGTTTCACCCTGGTAAGTCCCAGCCCCACTCTAGGAAGGGGAGCTGAGGGGATGAGGGGAGGAATCTAGGGAAGGGGGCATGAATTTAGACTGCCTGGGAGGCAGGGAATGGGGCCATAGCAGGCCATTCCTCTCACTACTGTCCAGAGATTCCATTGATTTTTGTGGGCACTCTTGCCATCTCTTGTTCAAGCTGCCTGCTATTAGAACACTAGTCAGCCATATTGAGAACGGTGTGTCTGCCTCCTTTCCTAGACTGTGAGCAGCTACAGTATAGAGCCCATATGTTATGCTGTGCGTTAATGTGGCCCTAAGCACTGTGTGGCGCATAGGCCCCCAAGACAAATCTGCTGACCAAAAATGAGCTCTGGACACTGATGCCTGAGTTCTCACTTCTGGCTTCCCTATCCTTGCAGTTCCTGGCTTACGACACACAGCTGGTCCTGGGGAACCGGAAGCACACCATCAGCCCCGAGGACTACATCACTGGCGCCCTGCAGATTTACACAGACATCATCTACATCTTCACCTTTGTGCTGCAGCTGATGGGGGATCGCAATTAAGGAGCAAGCCCCCATTTTCACCCGATCCTGGGCTCTCCCTTCCAAGCTAGAGGGCTGGGCCCTATGACTGTGGTCTGGGCTTTAGGCCCCTTTCCTTCCCCTTGAGTAACATGCCCAGTTTCCTTTCTGTCCTGGAGACAGGTGGCCTCTCTGGCTATGGATGTGTGGGTACTTGGTGGGGACGGAGGAGCTAGGGACTAACTGTTGCTCTTGGTGGGCTTGGCAGGGACTAGGCTGAAGATGTGTCTTCTCCCCGCCACCTACTGTATGACACCACATTCTTCCTAACAGCTGGGGTTGTGAGGAATATGAAAAGAGCCTATTCGATAGCTAGAAGGGAATATGAAAGGTAGAAGTGACTTCAAGGTCACGAGGTTCCCCTCCCACCTCTGTCACAGGCTTCTTGACTACGTAGTTGGAGCTATTTCTTCCCCCAGCAAAGCCAGAGAGCTTTGTCCCCGGCCTCCTGGACACATAGGCCATTATCCTGTATTCCTTTGGCTTGGCATCTTTTAGCTCAGGAAGGTAGAAGAGATCTGTGCCCATGGGTCTCCTTGCTTCAATCCCTTCTTGTTTCAGTGACATATGTATTGTTTATCTGGGTTAGGGATGGGGGACAGATAACAGAACGAGCAAAGTAACCTATACAGGCCAGCATGGAACAGCATCTCCCCTGGGCTTGCTCCTGGCTTGTGACGCTATAAGACAGAGCAGGCCACATGTGGCCATCTGCTCCCCATTCTTGAAAGCTGCTGGGGCCTCCTTGCAGGCTTCTGGATCTCTGGTCAGAGTGAACTCTTGCTTCCTGTATTCAGGCAGCTCAGAGCAGAAAGTAAGGGGCAGAGTCATACGTGTGGCCAGGAAGTAGCCAGGGTGAAGAGAGACTCGGTGCGGGCAGGGAGAATGCCTGGGGGTCCCTCACCTGGCTAGGGAGATACCGAAGCCTACTGTGGTACTGAAGACTTCTGGGTTCTTTCCTTCTGCTAACCCAGGGAGGGTCCTAAGAGGAAGGTGACTTCTCTCTGTTTGTCTTAAGTTGCACTGGGGGATTTCTGACTTGAGGCCCATCTCTCCAGCCAGCCACTGCCTTCTTTGTAATATTAAGTGCCTTGAGCTGGAATGGGGAAGGGGGACAAGGGTCAGTCTGTCGGGTGGGGGCAGAAATCAAATCAGCCCAAGGATATAGTTAGGATTAATTACTTAATAGAGAAATCCTAACTATATCACACAAAGGGATACAACTATAAATGTAATAAAGTTTATGTCTAGAAGTTAAAACCCTGTATGGCTCCAGGAGTATGTGTGGCTCTGCCCAAAGTATCCACTTCTTCCTTCTGCATTCTGGCTTGGGCTGTCCCACCTTTTCCAAGGTAATCAAATACACTTTACTGCAGCAGTTTCCGGGGACGGATGCAATAGACTAGTGAAGGCTCAGGAGTTGGGTGGGGAAAGGGAGAGCTCAACCCTATCACACTGGATCACTGGATATGGAAGAGACCTCTTGGCTGTAGTGCTTGACCTTTTCTGCACCATGGACCCTTTCCAAAAGCTCATGAGAGCTAACTCTCTTCCTCAAAGAGCTGTATGTATACCTACAGTTTTGCAGATGGAGGAGGGGATGGACTGCAGGTTCAGTCCATGTCAACTCCAGTCCCATCTTACAAAATGAGGAAACTGGGCCTGGTGCGGTGGCTCACACCTGTAACTCCAGCACTTTGGGAGGCCGAGGGCGGTGGGGGGGAATCACCTGAGGTCAGGAGTTTGAGACCAGCCAGACCAAACATGGTGAAACCCCATCTCTACTAAAAGTACAAAAAAAAAAAAAAATTAACTGGGAGTGGCGGTGAGTGCCTGTAATCCCAGCTACTCTGGAGGCTGAAGCAGGAGAATCACTTGAACCCAGAAGGTGGAGGTTGCAGTGAGCTGAGATCATGCCATTGTACTCCAGCCTGGGCAACAAGAGTGAAACTCTGTCTCAAAAAAAAAAAAAAAAAATAAGTAAAAAAAAATCCAAAAAAAAAAAAAAAACACAAAAAGTAACTGGGCATGGTGGCACTCACCTGGGGTCCCAGCTACTCAGGAGGCTGAGGTAGGAGGATCACTTGAGCCCAGGAGGTGGAGGTTGCAGTGAGCTGACGATCACAACACTGCACTCCAGCCTGGGTAACAGAGCGAGACTCCGTCTCAAAAAACAAAAAACAAAAAACAAAACAAATGAGGAAACTGAGGCCCAGAGTCGAGTCATTTGGACTCAGTAAAGAGCAGTGCTTTTTTTTGCCTCCACACCCTGAATACCTTCTTTGATTCTCTTTATTGTTTCAAGGCTGAGCGGGACCCCACCCTCCTGGCCGGCAGCTCTGAGGGCTTGGTCCCGAGGGCCCGGGGCCTAGGCTGGTTGCACTTAAGTCTCTGGGTTTGCCCCACCATCCAGCTGGGAACACTGAGCTCTGTGAGAGGGAGCACACATGAGTAACCAGCCCCACCCTCTGCCCCTCCCATCCCAAGGGACTCACAAACCCAGACCTGGTTCCTTTCTACTAAACACTCAATAACTTTATTTGCCTTTGGCTGGCTCCTTGGTGTGGGGCAGGGTAGGGTTTGGCAACAGCCTGGGCTTCATGCGCCCTCTGGTGGACCTCAGAGGCACGAACTGGAATCTGGGCCAAACCTGAGGACTTAACAGTCAATAGCCTAGGAGGGTCGCAGCGCTCCTCAGGTCTGCACCCCAGACCCAACATCAGGGGACGGGGCACTCTGGGAGGAAGCCCTGAACCTCTGGCTCTCATACTCGCCCGTGTTGGACAACCGCATGTTCTGCCGAGCCTTCATCTGCTTCACACGGTCCTTGTCCACTTCCCGCTTGGTGAGGATGAAGAGGAGGATACCACAAGGGAAGCCGATGGCCCTACGGGTGGGGAGATGTGCACGGGGTTTGGGGAGGGGCCAAGCCTGAGCCAGAGGAGCTGGGGGGAGTCATTCTAGCTTCATCAGTTGCATGAATGCTGCAATACCTCTTATAGTCTATTCATCCTCTGTGCTGGCTGCTGGAGGGACCCACACAAATCAGATCCTGTCACTTCCCTGCTTAAAACCCCGTAACTCCATCACTTCCTGGCCAAGTCCAAACATGGCACAAAAGGCCCAGTGTGGCTGGGTCTCTGCCTGCCTCTTTCCTCCTCCCGCCTAGAGCCTGATCCTCAGCACGAGCCCTGCATTCCTGCAACAGCACCTGTGCAGGATTTTCCAGGCAGCCCTGACGCTTTCCCTCTCTGAGACTTGGCCAAGGTACCCTCCCAGTTTTCCCCTCTTAAGCTAAGTAACCACTGCTTGGGAGGCACTTTGGTATGGGGGAAAGAGCATGGAGTCACAGACTAGGTGAGAATCCTAGCTCAGTCTCAGTTCCTTCCTCTGTGAAATGGGGATGTAATACTTATCTCAAACACTAAAACATTACATGGCAAAGTACTGGCACACCTCACATGCAGAAAAAAATGTTGATTTCTTCCTCCTTTCTCTTTAATATTGGTCAATAATATGTATTAAGGTCAGAGTCAGAGCCCAATCACAATGTTCATAACGCCTTCTGAGTACTACTATACAACTAGTACAAGCTCACATGATCTCAACGAACTACTTACTTAAACTTGGGTCTCACTCCAAGCTCCCAAAAGGGAGGATGAGGCCAGGGACCCAAGTCTGAATCAGATCAACTCAGCTTACTCCACAGTAAACCCACTGTCTTCTCAATTCCACATACTTTCCCACCTCCACTGCCCCACCCCTCTGAGATTCCAATCGAACCCAACAATTCTGTTCCCACAACTTTGGATTCAGCTCGCCACCTGAAACTTGGAGAAGTTTCTAAGTCCTGCCCTCCCCTACAAGCCACGCCCCGTTGGTGGGCAAAGGGGTGGTTAAAACTCACCAGGCCAGTCCCACAGCTTTCATGGGGTTCTTGCCCCTCTTTCTGGGAATGTATTCCAGCTCCGGGGATAGGGGTTCAGGTTCCTCCTTGCCCTCTGGGGAGCTGTGGCTTTGCAGGGCCCGGGTCCTGTTATGAGAAGCCTTGTTAGCTGTGGCTCCTGCGAGAATCCCTGTGGATGGAGGTAAGGAAGGTCAGTAAGAAGAGATGAGAAGAAAGCAAGCGGGGAGGTGGGGGGCAGTAAGGGCTTGGGAGGAGCGGCTGAGATCTGGGGAAGGGGAGTGACTGCAGTCTGAAGTAAGAAGTGCCAAGGAGAATCCAAAGGGAAATGGGAAAATCGCCACCGAGGTGGCACCTTTGGAAGCCACTTCCACGTCACTGCGGGCTCATCACCCTGGTGCCAGGACGAAAAGCTTCGCTGTTCTTCCTCAGACGACAGCATGGGAAGGACTGCAGTGGGACTCACATAAGACGTATGAAGGAAATCCGGGAAAAGGTTTTGAAACTGCAAATGTTAGCACTGGAAGGGACCTTAAAGATAGTCTACTCCATCCCTTGCACTGTACGGAAGAGGAAACTGAAGCCCTGAGAGAAAAACTGCTTTGCCCAAGGTCAAACTGCTAATTATCCGGGGCTGGAACTCAAACCTCCAGAAGCCCGGGGCTCTTTCCTCTGCACTGCGGTGAGTGTGAAACACCTGGAGCGCGGGAGTCCAACAGGCTTCCTAGGAGCTCCCTCTTGCAGCAAGACCCCGGAGGTGTCGAGCAACCCGAAGGCGGGGGGATGCACTGGGTGACCTCTAAAGAGCATCTCTGCACCCCCAGACTCTAAGATCTTGCAGAAAAGTGTGGGGAGGAACCAAGAGCCCTGACCTCCTGCTATCGTCGGGCTGGACGTGAAAGAAAAGGGATCTTCTGCAGTCCTGCCCTCCCCGGGGTCCCTCTCCTTACCCCGGAGGACGCGGGCATTTCTCGCCCCCCGGCCCTTCAGCGCCGTAGCAGCTACCACCGCCGCCATGTTCAGATCCCACCCCCGCTTCACCGCGCTCCCCGCCGGGAATTGTAGTTTGCGTAAGGGGCCTCCCCCGCTCCTTCCGTCCTGCCTACAGACCAGAAACTACATCTCCCAGAAGCCCGCAGAGCGGACCCAGGAGAACTACTCTTCCCAGGAGACCCCGGAGGCGCGCGCGCTCGCTTGTTTCCCTCCAGTTGGGGGCGGAGTCAGGTGGGGCGGAGTTTGGGTTCTCTCCGCCACGCCCCGGCCCCATCTTCCAATGCCGCTCTGTGATTGGTGAGGCGGCCAGCCAACCTTCGTAGCTATTGGCCGAACGGCCGTCGCTCTTCCTGCTGGGGAGTCGCCTACGCCTACTTCCTGCCGGGAGGAGGGGCTCGAGTTCCGCGTCGTCGCGCAGAGCTGACTCTGGGAGGCGTTTGGGCCCAGAGAAGTGGATCCGCCGCTTGCGCCGCATGGAGTCCGAATCGGAAAGCGGGGCTGCTGCTGACACCCCCCCACTGGAGACCCTAAGCTTCCATGGTGATGAAGAGATTATCGAGGTGGTAGAACTTGATCCCGGTCCGCCGGACCCAGGTGAGAACTGCCGCTCCTCAGGCCATGGGACAGGAGACGCTCACCCCTGGCCTCTGACTCCTGCTTTTCCCCGCTCCCCTCCACACCCGACTGGTCATTCCTACCGATATCCCTCTTCCCCTCCTCCCCCACTCCCACCCTCACACTTAGTTCTCAGGCCTGGCTGGGGTGGGGGTTCCCTGACGCCTCCTCTGGCCCTTCCCCTCACACACCCCCTTCCCATCATCCCCTTGGCCCTCCCTTACCGCACGGTCTCTGGCCAGCCGTGGCCTCCCGTCCTGTGTCCCGCGCGCCCCCGCGGACCCCGGTGTGTCTGACTCCACCTTCCCTTCTCGCCACATGACCCGCCCCAGCCTCAGGCCTCCTCATGCTTCTCTCCGTACCTCTTACCGCCTCCCGAGCCCCATCTTCTAACCCTCTCCCCAAAGCAGATGACCTGGCCCAGGAGATGGAAGATGTGGACTTTGAGGAAGAAGAGGAGGAAGAGGGCAACGAAGAGGGCTGGGTTCTAGAACCCCAGGAAGGGGTGGTCGGCAGCATGGAGGGCCCCGACGATAGCGAGGTCACCTTTGCATTGCACTCAGGTAGGTCTTTGAGGCGATCCACCTCAAATCAGTTTAGGTGGGCGTGTAAGCATTAAACATCAGCCATGGACAGAACGTTATGGGGGACACAGAGATGGGCAAGATGCTGGCCTTGCGCTGGAGGAGCCCACAGGTGGGAAAGTGTGGCAGAATGGATGATTGCTTGGCTTCTGGCATCAGTCGAGACACCCTCTACTTTGCCAGTTAACCTTGATTAACCTCTTAGTTTTCTTTTAAAAAGTTATCTTTGGCCGGGCGTGGTGGCTCACTCCTGAAATCCCAGCACTTTAGGAGGCTGAGGCAGGTGGATCACTTGAGGTCAGGAGTTCGAGACCAGCCTGGCCAACATGGCAAAACCCAGTCTCTACTAAAAATACAAAAATTTGGCTGGGCATGGTGGCTCACGCCTGTAATCCCAGCACTTTAGGAGGCCCAGGCAGGCGGATCACAAGGTCGGGAGTTCCAGACCAGCCTGGCCAATATGGTGAAACCCCGTCTCTACTAAAAATACAAAAATTAGCTGGGCGTGGTAGCGGGCGCCTGTAGTCCCAGCTCCTCGGGAGGTTGAGGCAGGAGAATTGCTTGAACCCGGGAGGCGGAGGTTGCAGTGGACCAAGACTGCGCCATTGCACTCCAGCCTGGGCAACAGAATGAGAGTCTGTCTCCAAAAAAAAAAAAAAAAAAAAAGTTATCTTTGATAAAAGTTAATAAAAGTAGTGAGTATAAAATTAGAGATAATTGGCCAGGTGCGGTGGCTCATGCCTGTAATCACAGCACTTTGGAAGGCCAAGGCGGGTGGATCACCTGAGGTCGGGAGTTCAAGACCAGCCTGGCCGACATGGTGAAACCTCATCTCTACTAAAAATAAAAAAAAAATTAGCTGGGTGTGGTGGCATGTGCCTGTAATCCCAGCTACTCCGGAGGCTGAGGAAGGAGAATCACTTGAACCTGGGAGGCAGAGGTTGCATTGAGCTGAGATTGTGCCACTGCGCTTCGGCCTGGGCGACAGAGCAAGATTCCATCTCAAAAAAATAAAATAAAATGAGAGATAATTATATCTTTTTGAGCATATTTTATATAACTTTCTCAAGTGCTAGTTCTTAGTAAGAAACTGTTGCCAGGCACGGTGGCTCATGCCTGTAATCCCAGCACTTTGGGAGGCCGAGGCGGGTGGATCAGAAGGTTAGGAGTTCGAGACCAGCCTGACCAACATGATGAAACCCCATCTCTACTAAAAATACAAAAATTAGCTGGTTGTGGTGGCGGGCGCCTGTAATCCCAGCTACTCAGGGGGCTGAGGCAGGAGAATTGCTTGAACCTGGGAGGTGGAGGTTGCAGTGAGCTGAGATTGTGCCACTGCACTCCAGCCTGGGCGACAGAGCAAGACTCTGTCTCAAAAAACAAAAAACAAAAAACAAAAAACCCTTAACGTGATGCTCTCCTCGCTCTGTACCCAACCCCGGTGGCATCCCATGCTGACAACTGTAAGCCCTGCACCTGTCCCCACCTCTTGTCCATGGCATTGGTGTTGGGTGGTGACGGGAGTCACACAGTGAGGGGATCTACTCTGGCAAATAGGGAGCTTGGCAAATATGGGAAGGATCTAACAACCCAATTCTTGAAACTTAGAAGAACTTGGATGTACCTGTGTTTTCCAGGAGGAAAGACACGCTTTGGGTGAAAGGGGGTGGGTTTCCTGAAGATTGTGAAGGACAGAGCCCTAGGTGGGAGCTCTGTCCCCTTACCCATGGAATATCTCTTGGGACAGCATCTGTGTTTTGTGTGAGCCTGGACCCCAAGACCAATACCTTGGCAGTGACCGGGGGTGAAGATGACAAAGCCTTCGTATGGCGGCTCAGCGATGGGGAGCTGCTCTTTGAGTGTGCAGGTGAGGGGGCTGGGGTAGAGGCCTGGGAGAGGTCATATTCTTTTGGGAGATCTTAGGAGGCTGACCTGCAGAGGTTGTGCATCCAACAGCCACTTAGTGACATCTCTTTTGTGCCAGCTCTGTGCTGGGCCCCAGGGACACGGGGCGAATACTAGTGTGTTTTGGGCACAGAGGCAGGAGGCACTAATTGGCCAAGGGAATCCAGGAAAGGCCAGAGAAGGCCACATTGGTATAGGAGCAGGCGGGCAGAGGTGTAGAGTGGACAGAAGGGGGAAGGCATAGGAGGCTGGGACTTGGTCTGGTTGAGTGAGGGCCAGCAGTGTCTCCCAGCAGACATGGGAGTATTGGTTCCTAGAGTGGTGGTGAGTTCCAGCACCTGTTCTGCTCAGTCCCGCCCCTCTTTTTTTCCTAGCTGGTCCTTTCAGTGGGCCAGATACCAGAATCACATGCCCCCAGCACCAGGTACCCTATTTTTTTCCTCTGTTTTCTGCCCACTTTTCTTTGAAGGCCATAAAGACTCTGTGACTTGTGCTGGTTTCAGCCATGACTCCACTCTAGTGGCCACAGGGGACATGAGTGGCCTCTTGAAAGTGTGGCAGGTGGACACTAAGGAGGAGGTCTGGTCCTTTGAAGCGGGAGACCTGGAGGTAAGATCATCAGAGCGGGAGTCAGCTCTGTGGGGCCTTGGGTTGTTGGGGGTGCAAGCTTGGGAGGCCAGTTCTGCCTTTATTGCGCCAAGCCAGCTCTGAGCCAATGCGCCCCAAGGCACAGGAAGAATATCTACCTGCTACCTGGAAAGTCCCCGCGGAACCCCAGAGGCAGGAAACCTTGGGTGGAGCTCATGGGGCAGGCTTCTAGGTGGGATGGGGTGACGGGCCTCCCTGCTGCCCCTTCCTCCCTGTCCAGTGGATGGAGTGGCATCCTCGGGCACCTGTCCTGTTGGCGGGCACAGCTGACGGCAACACCTGGATGTGGAAAGTCCCGAATGGTGACTGCAAGACCTTCCAGGGTCCCAACTGCCCAGCCACCTGTGGCCGAGTCCTCCCTGATGGTGAGAGCACCTCCCTTGAGTGACCTTTCCTGGGTGCAGAGGCCGAATCCCGGGATATACACCTCCCAGAGCAGCCTTCTGGGTCACAGCCGGCAAAATCTGAGGCCTGCTGTTTGCAGTGCTGACCTCCTGGGCCCCAAAGTTCACAGCGCCTCCTTCCTGCTCTGAACTCACCTGTGATTCCTGGGGCAGTGTCTGGGCCCTTCCACTCTTCTTTCCTCTCCCTCTCCCCATTCCCTTGCTTAGTGTATGTGAGCGTGCCCTCTGCCCTCTCTTCATCTGTGCCTCTCTTCAGGGAAGAGAGCTGTGGTAGGCTATGAAGATGGGACCATCAGGATTTGGGACCTGAAGCAGGGAAGCCCTATCCATGTACTGAAAGGTATCAGAGGTGGGGGAAGTGTTAGCCTGGGCCTTTGTAGGGAGGGGCTGAGAACCTGGGGCAGGACTCAGAGGGGAGGTAGGACGAAGCCTGAGCTGCCTCCCTGCTCTATGCTAGGGACTGAGGGTCACCAGGGCCCACTCACCTGTGTTGCTGCCAACCAGGATGGCAGCTTGATCCTAACTGGCTCTGTGGACTGCCAGGCCAAGCTGGTCAGTGCCACCACCGGCAAGGTGAGTGGACCTGGAGCCCGGCTGGGGCCTCCGCTTTCCCGACTCCTCTCCTTCCTTCCTGGGTCTTCACTGTCTCCTCTCCCCACCGTCTTTCTCTCCATCAAGCACCCGGATTCCGTGTCCTCCTCTGATCCTCTCTGGCTTTCAGGTGGTGGGTGTTTTTAGACCTGAGACTGTGGCCTCCCAGCCCAGCCTGGGAGAAGGGGAGGAGAGTGAGTCCAACTCGGTGGAGTCCTTGGGCTTCTGCAGTGTGTGAGTGAGGATGGGGAAAGGGGTTTGTGGGAGGGGCCTGGGCTGGGGGCCCGGGAGGACGGCAGGGCGTGTGAGTCCAGGCCCTCATGAGTCTTCATGGTACGCTCCTCTGGCCAGGATGCCCCTGGCAGCTGTTGGCTACCTGGATGGGACCTTGGCCATCTATGACCTGGCTACGCAGACTCTTAGGCATCAGTGTCAGCACCAGGTATGGGCAGCTGGAGCTGGGGTCCCTGTGGGCTGTGTCCATAGTGGTGGGGAAGCCCAGGCCTCCAGGAGCATCTACCCCAGATCTGGCTCCTGCCTGGCCCTTGTGTGTGGCTGTCCCTCTTTGAGAATTGGGAGCAGATGGCTCTCAGCTCTCCTGCCAACCTCCGCCCTGCCTCTGTCATTCCTCGGGGCAGTCGGGCATCGTGCAGCTGCTGTGGGAGGCAGGCACTGCCGTGGTATATACCTGCAGCCTGGATGGCATCGTGCGCCTCTGGGACGCCCGGACCGGCCGCCTGCTTACTGACTACCGGGGCCACACGGCTGAGATCCTGGACTTTGCCCTCAGCAAGTAAGTGAATTGGCCAAGGGCTGGGATCTTTGTGTATTTGGAAGGTGGCAGTAGTATGTAGGGGACACAGGATCCTTGGGGTGTGGGAAGGGATTCCTAAGGCAGGAATGCAGAGAAGCCTGAGGGTTCACAGCCCAGCCCCCATTCCAGTGGCTGACAGTGACCCTCCGGGGCCCCACGTCTCAGTCATGAGGGAGAGGCTGAGACTGATTTTCCCCATCGGAGTCAGCTCTGCTTCTCCCGTGCTGGGGGCTTCCTCTAATCCCCTCCATGCTGGCTGCAGAGATGTCGGCCCAGTGCTAGGCACTAGGGCCCTAGAACTGAGGGTGTGCTGGAGGAGCCCACCCTAGGGCCCCTAGGTGGTGGGCTTGGGTCCCCCAGTCTCTGCAATCACATGCTTTCTGTTTACAGAGATGCCTCCCTGGTGGTGACCACGTCAGGAGACCACAAAGCGAAAGTATTTTGTGTCCAAAGGCCTGACCGTTAATGGCTGCAGCCCCTGCCTGTGTGTCTGGTGTTGAGGGGACGAAGGGACCCCTGCCCCTGTCTGCCAGCAGAGGCAGTAGGGCACAGAGGGAAGAGGAGGGTGGGGCCCTGGATGACTTTCCAGCCTCTTCAACTGACTTGCTCCCCTCTCCTTTTCTTCTCTTTAGAGACCCAGCCCAGGGCCCTCCCACCCTTGTCCAGACCTGGTGGGCCCTTCAGAGGGAGGGGTGGACCTGTTTCTCTTTCACTTTCATTTGCTGGTGTGAGCCATGGGGTGTGTATTTGTATGTGGGGAGTAGGTGTTTGAGGTTCCCGTTCTTTCCCTTCCCAAGTCTCTGGGGGTGGAAAGGAGGAAGAGATACTAGTTAAAGATTTTAAAAATGTAAATAAAATATACTTCCCAGAGACAGAGTCTGTGTGGATTTTGTGATGGCTGGACCCTAGGAGGAGCTAGCGAGGGCCCCGTCAGGGCAAGGCTGTCCCGCAGAATCGGCTGGATGTTGAGATGTGCCAGCTCCCCATCTCCAGGGGTGGTCTGTGCGCACGACACTTCTTGCCTGCCTGGAGTCGGACTCTGCCTTAATCCACGCGTATGTCTGTAGGTTCTTTCTATTGTTGGTGTGTTGAGCCATTTCCTCCTGCCTCGCCCTGAGATATGGAATGAGATAATCATAAACGGCCAGAGGAGCTTTATTCAGTCAGTGCGGGGTCAAACAGAGGCAGGGTCTCTGATCCAGAGAAGTGGGGCCCGGTAGAGACAGGCTGGATGGCTGAGCTGGACGGATGCTCTGGTAGGAGTCAGCAGAGGCCCTTCCTTTAGTTCAAGTCCAGGTCGACACTGCTTTGGCTGCTTGGGTGGTAGGCAATGCTGGGGCCGGGACTGTCCCGGGAGGCTCTTCCCCACAGCCCCTGCAGGCACCTTTGGGCGGCTGCCCTCCAGGGGGCTGTGTAGCGCTGATCGCCCAGCCCCATGGCTACGGGCACTGCCGCTGCACTGGCACTTCCTAGGGAGAGGAGGGACAACAGTGTCCCAGGCCCCAGTGGCGGGCGCTGCTCATAGGCCAGGACTGAGAGGAGCAGTGTGGCCACGTAGGGCCCCCAGCACAGCCCGAAGAGCAGCATGGCTCCAGCCTGTGCCCTTGCCTGCCTCCAGGTAAGGGCCCGGGCCAGGGCGGAGGGCTCATCGCGGCACACTGCCCGCTCCAGCCGGCAGATGTCCTGCAGCTGGCGGTGGGCAGTGGCCAGCACGCGGACAGAGAGGAAGGCAGCAGCACCCACGGCGGGCAGCAGGAGCCCATAGACTTCGAGGTACAGGTAGGGGGCTGGGAAGATAGCCTGGGAGCTGCAGTTGGCACCAGGGGTCCAGTGGTTCCACCCCAGAGCGGGCAGACTGGCAAAGAGCAGGGGACCAGCCCAGGTGAGGAGCAGGGCCAGCCGAATGCTCCCAGGGGGCTGGAGTGGCCTCAGGACTGCCATGTAGCGCTCCCCGTGCACCAGCAAGAGGTTGGCAAGCAGGGAGAGGAAGGAGAAGTTGGGAGCCAAGTAGACGAGGAGGCAGGACCAGTAACCCCGGCGACTCTGGTTCCACAGCCCTGGCAATGTGGGCAATGCCAGACCCGTGAGCAGCCCAGCCAGCAGTAGGCTCAGGAAGAAGCAGCCAGCAGGTGGGCTGCGCAGGCGGCGGTCCCAGGCGATGCCCAGGGCTAGGAGCAGGTTCGCGGTGATGATGAGGCTTGCCAGGGCCAGGGAGAGCCCCAAAGCCCCCTTGGGAATGGGGCTGGGCACCTCGCCAGTGCTGTTGGGCGTCATCTTGGTCCTGGGGACAGGGGAGTCCTGGAGCGGCAGCCGGCATGCCTGCAGGATGGGGTGGCCAGAGTTAGGATGGGGCTGCAGGTCGTGTCCTCCTGGCAGGGCAGCATGTTAATCCAGGGGCGCAGACCCGCAGGCTGTGGGCTGTATCATGTTCGCTGATACACAGAATTTTTCAATTAATTGCCAATTAAACATTTATATAAAAAACTATCTTTGGTTTCTATTGAAAATTCAGGTCTGGCAACACATATGTCCTGTGTGGTAGCAACCAGCCGGAGCTCACTGCTGGCTGCCCTTCGGACAGTCCCCACCCAGCCAGCTTTATCCATTTCTGGTATCTGCCTTTTCTGGGCAGCTGTGTTGAGGTCTCTTGTTTAGACTGAAAGGCGGGCCCATCCAGCCCCAAAGCATTTTGTGTATCCCTGCCTCCACCGGGGAGGCCTCTAAATGAGAGAATGGACCAGGGCTGGCTGGTGTGTAGTGGTCTTCCAGCCAGCCATTAGGTGACAGGCTCCAGCGGGCCAGGTCTCGGGCACCCTGCACCCTTCCCCCCATCTGTCCTTGTAGCCATCACAGCTCAGTGAGCAGCCTCCGGGTAGGACTTCCAGCCCATAAACTTGACTCGTCTTTGCTCCACACTAGCAACAGGGTCCTTCCTGGGAGCTGGAGGGAGGAGAGAAGCAGCTGGAGGGCACGTGTGGCAGTGAACGTGGAGATGCCAGCAGCAAGGAGAGGGACTCCCCCACACCCCCAGGCCTGAGGCTGAGCCCAGAGGAGAGGGAAGAGGAGTCTGGGCAGAGTCTGGCTTCTCTGTGGCTCTCATCTGTCCCTGTCCTTCCCGTCATTCCCTGGTCTCAGTCCTCCAGTGTCATGGCTCTGCTGCCACATCCTGGGGACAGGGGGAGGGGTCCTGGGTCCTGTGGGAACTCCTGCTTCTGTCAACAGGGGAGCAGCTGCTGTTGCTAGGATCCAAGTCAATAAGGAAAGGATTCATACCTCTCCCCTCCTCCAGGACAGGGGATCAGGGCCCCATGGCTGCCCTGAGCTGAGAGGAAGGAAGATGCTCCCCTTCCTTCCCAGGTTCCCCCAGCACCCTGAGCCTGGGCCTCCAAGGCCTTATGCCCCCTTTCCCCTCCCCTAAGCATGTTTTCTCTTTCTCAATCTCTTCCAGTGCCCTCCACCCAGGATGTCTTTTCCTCTCTAGAGGCCTTGCAGTTTCTGTTCCCTTTCCCAGGGCATCATCAACTCTCTTAAGTCCCGTGAGACTCAGGGTCCATTACCCCAAACCTGGCCTGAGCTGGAGCTCCCAGCCCTAATCGGAATGATTCCCCCCAACCCACCTCCACTAGAACAGCGACAAAGGCAGGGAGCAGCCCCCAGGGGTGATTTCCCAGCAGGGTGCAGGCTGTACCACCTGCACACCCCCGAGGGTCTGGTGGCTTGGGCTGGGTGTAGTAGCCTCTCCAGGATCTGGGGTTTGGGGGTTTGGGGGAGTAGCTACTCACATGGCTGTTGGGAGCAGGTATTGCCTGCCCAGCCTGGGCCTTCCTGAGTGTCAGGGAGTTGCTGCAGCCAGCCCTGCAGCGGTTTGGACCATGTCTGGTGTCCTGGCTGAAGAGCACAAGTGGACCAAGTGCATGGTGTCTCCACCCAGTGGGGACAGCGGGGCCAGGCTCTCCTACCCAGGCTCTGCCCGTCTGGGTTCTCAGAGGGATAGAGAAATGAGGCTGGCAGGACTCAGCCCTGGCCCCGCCTCTGGGAGGGTGGGACCTGACATATTCCAAACTGCAGCAACTGGGAGGCCTGCCTCCCCCTCCCACCCAGTTCCCCTCTCCCCCTGCCACCTAGGTGGCAGTTTCCCTACTCCAGCTCGGAGTAATCTGAGAAATGCATTCCAGTTAATGAATAATAATGATTGACTTACCCCTCCCGACTTCCCGCCTCAGCTGATGCATTTACATTTAAGCCCCTGGACTGGCCAGCCAGCTGACAGCACACCAGGCTCCCTCCACACTTCCGTGTGTGATGGTGGCAGTGGCAGGTGTTTGGGGCCTGAGGATCTTCACTCCCCCATCCCATCACCTGATGGGCCTTTCAGTTTCTAAGGCCAGACTTGCCTTCCTGAATCTGGGGTCATTCCACACTTTTCTCAACTGCTTTCTGAGTCAAGTTCTGAACTATGAGGGACAAATGGCTCTGGGGATGTGACCATGGGTAAGGTACTACTGGGCCTCGGTTTTTGCCTGTGTTAAAATGGGAACAAGAAAAACCACCTCTAATTAAGGTCGTGGTGGGGAATATCACAGGATAACACATATGGCGGCATATACCCCAGTGCATGGCCCTTGATGGGTGGGGGTTTGCCCCAACAAATGGCTCCCTCTCTTTCCTCCCCCATGATGAAGAGGCATGAGCTGGCGCTGGAATCAGAGCTGTCTGGATCCTTTTTTAAAAAAGCCAGTGAACTTGGGCAAATGACTAAAGTTCCCTTGCCTTAGTTTCCTCATCTGTCAAATGGGGCCCATAGTTGTACTCACCTATCGTGAGACTAAATGAAGTCCCGTGTGATGAGGACTCAGATCAACACTTGGCCCTTCAGCACTCCGCGACAGGCAGCGATCGCTGGGAACATTATTAGGATTTCTGCCTTTCTCTGCACCTGGCCCCTCTAAGACAGATCTGCTGAGAGGGGCGCATGGGGAGCTTGGGAAAAGCAAGAGGGGAGTGACACTCTTGCTGCACAGGGAAGCTGAGGAAACCAGATACATTGAGAGGGAAGGGCAAGTTCAAGGCTGGGAAGCCAGAAGTGGTGCTTTGATTTCCACCTTGTATCAAGTGCGGCTTTGGAGTGAGGGGGAGGAGAGAAGCCCAGCCACACTCCCTTAAGGCCTGAAATGGGAGGGAACAGGCGGAAATTGCAGCAGGAAAGCTGGGACTGGGGGTGAGACATTAGGAAACACTTGCTGGCTGAAGAGCGCAAGTAAATGGAGCAAAGGGACTCTGGTGCTCTCCGGGAGAGCTGGGCCTGAAGGGCTGGAAGCCCGTGGAGTGTGGCTGTGCCAGCTCTGCACAGCCAGTCAGGGATCCTGGAGATCAGGGACTTCTGTTGGGACAAAAAGTGGGAAGAGGAAAGCATCCAGCCTCAAGTCCATCCTCGAGGGAGCTGGTGGGTCGGAAGGACGCAGGGTTCCAGGGCCGGTCCTCAGAACCACGGGATCTGGTCGGGCAGAAGTCACAGGCTCTGGGAGAGTTCAGCCTGGGGCCTGGACAGAAGTGGGTGTGGGACCCTTCTGATATGTGACTTCCAGGAATAAACAGACCTCCTGTTCCCAGCCCCAGCCTGCTCCCTGTGGGATCCAGGATGTCTGTTTCTTCTCTGCTGCTCTGTCTAAACACTGTGTGTGGGATGTGTGTGAAGGGGGACAGATTAGGTAGTGGCAGCCAGGGAGCCTGGGCTGTCTCCTGCTCAGCCTCATTTCTCCCTTCCTAGATCATCTAGTTCCTGTCTGTTCCATCAAGCCCTGGGGCTGACTCACCCCCTAGCTTCTCCCTTCAGCCACGGAGGGCTCTGGTGCAAGCCGTCTTCAGACGCTCCATCCAGCTGACTGTGCCCGGACCCCATTCTCCTTTCCTCAGGCAGAGCCTGAATGGGGGTGACCAATTCAGACTCTGGCATGGAATCCTCCTGTGCCTCCTTTGTCCGCTTCCATTCTCTTAGCTATCTGAATTTCTCTCTGTTGACCCACAATGTCTGGGACTGGGTGAGTGTCATGCTGGCTGCGGGTACCAGCTCTGGACCAATGGAGGCAGCAGGGACGGGGTTTGCTGGACCCTGGTTGGCCTCCCTGAGCCGCTGTTCAACACTTCACACTCAATGCCTGTAATCCTAGCACTTTAAGAGGCTGAGGCCTGGGCAACGTGGTGAGACTCCGTCTCTACAAAAAATAAAGATTAGCTGGGCACAGTGGTACATGTTGTGTGGTTCCAGCTACTCAGGAGGCTGAGGTGTGAAGATTGCTCGAGTCCAGGAGGTTGAGGCTGCCGTGAGCCTTCATGGCGCCACTGCACTGCAGCCTGGGCGACAGAGTGAGACCCTGCCTCAAAATAAAGATGATTAAAAAAAATCAGAGCCAGGCGCGGTGGTTCATCCTTGTAATCCCAGCACTTTGGGAGGCCGAGGTGGACAGATCACCTGAAGTCAGGAGTTTGAGAGCAGTCTGGCCAACATGGTGAAACCCCATCTCTACTAAAAATACAAAAATTAGCCAGGTGTGGTGGTGAGCACCTGTAATCCTAGCTGCTCAGGAGGCTGAGGCAGGAGAATCGCTTGAATCCAGGAGGGGGAGGTTGCAGTGAGCCGAGATTGCGCCACTGCACAACAGAGCAAGTCTCCAATAATAAAAAAAAAAAATCGCCTAACCTTTTAATTCGCTCATCTGTTAAAAAAAAAAAAAAAAAAGGTTAGGGTGGGCTGGGCACAGTGGCTCACGCCTGTTTTCCCAGCACTTTGGGAGGCCAAGGTGGGTGGATCACCTGTCAGGAGTTCGAGACCAGCCTGGCCAATATGGAAAAACCCTGCCTCTACTAAAAATACAAAATTAGCTGGGTGTGGCGGTGCAGGCCTGTGGTCCCAGGTACTCCGGAGGCTGAGGCAGGAGAATTGCTTGAACCCGGGAAGCGGAGGTTGCAGTGAGCCAAGATCGCACCACTGCACTCCAGCCTGGGCGAAGAGTGAGACTCTGTCTCAAAACCAACCAACCAACCAACCAACCAACCAACCAACCAAAAACCAAAAAGAACCAACACCCCCCGCCCACTGAAATGGCAGTGCTTTTAGCAACCCCCAGTAGGGGGCAGCACTGCTTGAACTCAAAATCGCCACCAGAGTAGACCCAGGTTTCGGTCGAGCACTCATCAGTACTACTCCAAATGAGGGTAACCTAACGGCAACCAACTCCAAGTATCAGCTCCCCTCAAGGAGGCTGAGGCAGCAGCTAGGGCTATTTCCTTTTCTTGATTTCAATTCCCCCTCCAAGTCCACCCTTCCACTTCCTGTTAGAGTCTTAGCGTCTTTCCTGCCAAGCTCCTTATCCTTAGCTTGCAGTTTGCCCCAGGTTCCACTTTTTCCAGACATGGAGATTCTTACCTGCCTGGCCTCGGCAGTAAGGGCCATTTAAGCAGGGGAAAATACCAAAATACCAACTACCTTGGGGAAAGCCTGGGAAACCCCAAGCACCGAATAAGGGTTGGCTTCTGTGGGACTTTGCTGGGGCAACAGCCTGTCACTTCTGATCCCCTTGAGTGTATAAAGGGAACTAAGATTCATTGACATTATAATTACAGGCATCATAATGCTTATGATGTAACAGACATTTATTCTCTTTTCCTTTTACAAATCCTCAGGTAGGTGGCATTATGTCCAATTTAAATGAGGCTACCAGGGCTCAGATTAAGAAATTTGCTGTCACATAGCTATTAGATGGCGGCACCTGGATTCAAACTGTTCCTCTACAGCCCATATCCAAGGACGCCTACACTTACCAGGTGTGAACCCTTGGGGCACTGGCTTCCTGAGACTAGGAAGAAACAACTAGATCCCTTTTTTCCAGCCCACACCCTCAGTGTGCTTGACCCTCATCCTGAGACATTCCTCCTGCGGTCCTAAGGCCTCGACTGGTCACGATGGGCTGCTTCATCTGTGACGAGGGTCTTTGAGGCTAGATCCATACTAACGCCAAGTGTGTCCTTGTTAAGAGAAGAGTCAATCTGGATACGGGTTTACACCAGTATGGATTTTTCTTTTTTCTGGGACAGGGTCTCACTCTGTTGCCCAGGCTGGAGTGGAGTGGCACGACACAGCTCATTGCAGCCTTGACCTTCAGGGCTCAAGCAATCCTCCTGCCTCAGCCTCTTGAGTAGCTGGGACCACAGGCATGCACCACCACATCCAGCCGATTTTTATTTTTTGTAGAGGCAGGGTCTTGCCATGTTGTCCAGGCTGCACTACACATTTATTTATTTTTGAGACAGAGTTTCGCTCTTGTTGTCCAGGCTGGAGTGCAATGGCGTATCTTGGCTCACTGCAACCTCCGCCTCCTGGGTTCAAGTGATTCTCCTGCCTCCGCCTCCCGAGTAGCTGGGATTACAGGCACCCGCCACCATGCCCAGCTAATTTTTTTTTAGTAGAGATGGGGTTTCACCATGTTGGCCAGGCTGGTCTCAAACTCCTGACCTCAGGTGATCCACCCGCATTGGCCTCCCAAAGTGCTGGGATTACAGGCGTGAGCCACCGTGCCCAGCCAGATTTATTTTTATAGAGATGGAGAAGGAGTCTCACCGTTACCCAGGCTGGTCTCAAACTCCCGGGATCAAGCAATCCTCCTTCCTCATCCTCACAAAGTGCTACGATTACAGGTGTGAGCCACTGTGCTCAGCCTGCACTATGGATTTTTAATGTTGACAGTGTCTTGGAACTAGTTACTTCCTTAGGATTTACTGCTGTAGAAAATATTTATGCCTTTTCATTTTTCTCCTAACTCCATATCTTCTAAGCAACCTTGGTTCTGTCACCTACAGTACTTACCAGAAATCGGATTCCTACTACTGGCAAAAGAGTACAGTGAGCTCCAACATTAGTTATGTTCTACTAAGGAAGAAAGCAAAAACTCAGCTGGACATAGTGGCAGGTGCCTGTAGTTCCAGCTACTCCGGAGGTCAGGAGCTTGAGTACAGCCTCGGCAACACAGTGAGACCCTGTCTCTAAAAACTAAAATTAAAACAAAAAAAGAGCAAAAACTGCTTCTAGTCAAAATTACACTTGAAAACCCCTTAAATAACTCATGGGGTAGAGAATGCATATGTTGCTGTCAATATATCCAATTAATCTAGGTTTTCCAAGTACCAGAAGTAAGTGGTCAGGGGCACCCTGAGCAGCCAATTAGAAATCAGAGTACCTTGAGCTCTCTAGCAGCCCATTTTAGTGAAATAAAATCAAGTCTGATGACTGAACGACCTGTGGTTTTCAAAATTCTCCACTGTGACTCACAGTCAAGAGACATTTCTACAATCCAGTCATGATGTGCATATGTAACTAAAATACGTTTCCACATCAACACTTACCCTTAACAGATGTAATGCACTCTGATACTATTCAATTGCTTAAAAATGCTGGCGTCACACAAAGCTACACGTATGATAAAAATGCACAGATGTACATCTCATACAGTGCACGTAAATCCGGCCAAATCTGAAGGTGTGTGGACTATACTAATGATTTTTTCTTGGCTGTGATGTTATACAACAATTATACAAGATGTTAGCATGGTGGGGGAACCAAGTGGAAGGTATACAGGATCTCTCTGTATTGTTTCTTACAACCGTATTTAAATCTACAGTTATCTCAAAATCAAAAGTTTAGAAAACAAAAATGCTTGTTGTGATATAGTCACACCACAATTAATGGGTCCCAAGCCAGTATGAAACACTGCCATAGATGGAAGGCAGAAACCATTAGAATGACCATCAGACCGTTGCAGGTGCCCCTAAAATTCTCCTCTTAATTCCTTACACCAAGCAAACTTTCTGAAGCAATTTCATTTCAGGGACCAGAGTCCTGCTGGGGGACAGCTGCTCTACTAGGCTCTGTACTGTTTTTGACAACTGCTCTCCCTGAGAGCAGTCTTTTGGGCTGCCATGTGAGAAAGACAAACTGTGGCCAATTAGTCTGCATCAGACCCACACCTGAATACTCATCAATGTCCTGCAGGACCACACACTAAGGAACACATTTTGGGAAATTCCACACATTATTCACAATAAAAAGATAAACCAGAAAACCCTTTAATTTCTCTGTCATTGACCAGGGAGCTTCAGGAGCAGCCACAGAGTCTCAGGGACCAAGCTTTATAAGGAAGCATGTAAGTTTGTATTAATAGCTCGCTGGGTTCCATAGCTCATGCCTATAATCCCAGCACTTTGAGAGGCTGAAGCAAGCAAACTGCCTGAGTCCAGGAGTTTGAGACCAGCCTGGGCAAGATGGCGAAACCTCATCTCTACTAAAAATAAAAAAAATTAGCCAGGCATAGTGGTATGCGCCTGTAATCCCAGCTATTTGGGAGGCTGAGGTGGGATGATCACCCGAGCCCAGGAGGTAATGACCCTGTCTCTCAGGGGGAAAAAAAAAAAGTTTAAATATAGCTCACTGGCCAGCCATTCTCTCCTCTAGGGAAGGTGAGGATCTAAACCTGATGGGCTCCTGAAACTAGGGCTTCCCAGCTTAGGTTTGCAGGTTCAAGGGTAGTATAGGTCTATCCTTCTTCCTTCCTTCTCTTCTCACTTTGGACTCGCAGTCCAGAAACCCAGCAAATTCTCATGTAAGATAGAAAGATTTTCTTTATTAATGACCCCAACCGTATTTCTTTAGATACAGGAGTTTTGAACTCAAATACTTAGGAGAAAACAAGTTATGACTGCATTATCCTGCAACTCATTACCAGTAATATATTGCAAAGCGAAACAGCTTGGAAAAGAGGGTGGGAGAAAAGGGAAGTGAGGGAGGGAAGATAAAGAAAAGGAATTAAGTTGATCAAGTGGAATTCTTTTTTTTTTTTTTTTAATTCTTGGGAACTATGAAGTCTTTGCAAGCACAGCTCGTTTCTGCAGATTATTTTCCAAACGTGTACAAAATGGAACCAAAACGGAGAATCCCTTAAGAACCTGAAGAGGCGCAACATTAAAAGCTACGATTATCCAGTAGCAAGTGTTCCAGCCTTCAGTTGCCAGCCGCTTCCTCCTCTTATTCCCAAGATTAGCGGGATGAAAACGTCTTCCCCCTTCAAAAGGAGAGATAAGTGCGAAGGTCAGTTTCTGGCTGCCCTTTCCTCCCACCCCACACTCCTAGACTAGATGGGATCCCAAAGAAACACCAAATGAGAGGTGGAAAGGGCTAGATTCCTTAAGCAGAGGCACTGGAACCACAGGACATCGGCTAAAATCTGGCTTTCACAGAATGGTTTCACGAGCTCTTCCTTCCTATTGGATACTTTGGATGCCCGGGAATATCAGTGTTAAGCCCACAAGGACATTCAACGTACCAAGTTAGATAGAAGAATCACTTGTTCACAATTTCTGGATGGCCTAGACGTACCTGAATTTCCGACTAGGCTCAAACCGTCTTCTTAGTACTACCTCATTTGTCAGCTCCTCCTACACAGTGTATACCTCTCAGGGCTCCCAGATAGCAGTTCCTTTATCTCTCACCATGAAGGCAGGTGGCTGGTTCAGAGCAATCCTCAGAACTTCCAAGGCTAAAGGTATTTCTGCTATCACGTGGTGACTCCTCCTCTGGCTTATACAACACCTGCCTGGTTCGAGGCTCCTGAATTGTGGTGTCCTGTTCCACCCAGTATTTCTCCAGATGGGCTAGGTGGTTCTCAAGGACAGAGCCTCTAACTGGTACCTAACAGTATCTGGGAAAGCAGCCTGGAAGCTAGAGCTGAGAACTATGGGAAATCAGGGCAAAAACATGGGCTCTAGATTTTCCCTGTCTTGGATGTATCGCTTATTCCAAAATGAAGCTACACCTTATTATCCTTCTCTCCAAATGAAAAGCTCCTGAGTGTTCAATTCTGGGCGGCCCATCGAGGGTTCCTGGCTTCTGCCCACAGCTGAGTCACTTAACTCCTACCCACCATTAGTAACATAATCTGGTTTTCAGGGTGGATGCAGCTGTTTGTCTCCTGCTTCTCCTTTCTGGGGCCCAACTCTGCCAAAGAGAAGCTGCAGCACAGAAGAAGGCAAAGTTGCTCTTTCTAAGTCCCAGAGAGGAGGCTTATGAACAGTCTGTTCATTTTAAGGATTCATCCCTTCCTGGGTCTCTCACCAGGACAGGGAGCTATCCCTGCCCGCTACACAACTGCACTCACTGGGCAGGGACTCCCACGACTGCCTGCTGGCTGTGGAATCGGGCAGCAGCTGCCTAACAGGCCTTCCTCCTGGATGCACAAGCAGCTACCAGTGCCAAAGGTGATGCTGGCAGCCCTGAGACTATTATGATGCCCAGCCTTCCAGTCCGGTTATCACAGGCTGCCAGGTCAGGCTTCCCTCTCACTGTACCTGGCTGCCAGTTTACCTCTTGGCCTCTACTGAACTGCCTGTCTACTGGGCCCTGAAAGCAGCATGAAATTCACTGCCTCACACTCCAGGTCACCAAACAAGTACCCGGTGAGAAAAGTACTCCTGTGTAGAGCAAGCAGGGAAAGGGGAAAATGTAGACACCAGGATGGAGACTAGGTTCTGGAGAGGCAGCAAGCACATCCTCTCACCTGCCCACCCACCTTGTTGGTCACTTTGCCCATTTAAAGATCTGCCCAAGAAGCTGCAGAAAAGAAACGATGCTGCCATTTCATTGCATGGCATTTGGACACTCCTCTCTGAGCTGCTACAGAGACAGGCCTTTGCCTAAAGAAGTCGAGGTGACTTAAAAAGTGCTTTTTTTTTTGAGATGGAGTTTCGCTCTTGTTGCTCAGGCTGGAGTGCAATGGTGCGATCTTAGCTCACCGCAACCTCTGCCTCCCGGGTTCAACTGATTCTCCTGCCTCAGCCTCCAGAGTAGCTGGGATTACAGGCATGCACTACCATGCCTAGCTAATTCTGTATTTTTAGTAGAGATGGGGTTTCTCCATGTTGGTCAGGCTGGAGGTCTCCAACTCCTGACCTCAGGTGATCCGCCTGCCTCGGCCTCCCAAAGTGCTGGGATTACAAGCGTGAGCCACCGCACCTGGCCTTAAACTGCTTTTTGACAATGTCTGAAAACCCTCACCTACTGCTCAAGTCCTTGATCTCTTTCTCATCCTTTCAAATGACAGCAGAAACTAACTTGGTAGAAGAGCCCTCAAATGCAAGAGAGAGAGTGTAAAGCCCTAGGCGTACCACACCCACTAAAACTTTGCCTCAAGAGTACTGAGTGCTGGGCCAGGTGTGGTGGCTCATGTCTGTTATCCCAACACTTTGGGAGGCTGAGGTGGGAGGATCACTTGAGTCCAGGAGTTCGAGACCAGCCTGGACAACATGGTGAAATCCCGTCTCTACAAAAATACAAAAATTAGCCAGCTGTGATGGTGCATGCCTGTGGTCCCAGCTACTTGGGGGGCTGAGATGGGAGGATTGCTTGAGCCCAGGAGGTTGAGCCTGGCTGGGGATCACAGAGTACTGGGCTGGGCGCGGTGGCTCACTCCTTAATCCCAACACTTTGGGAAGCTGAGGTAGGTGGATCACGAGGTCAGCAGTTCAAGACCAGCCTGGCCAATATGGTGAAACCCTGTCTCTATTAAAAATACAAATAAATTAGTGGGGCTTAGTGGCGCACGCCTGTAGTCCCAGCTACTTGGGAGGCTGAGGCAAGAGAATTGCTTGAACCCAGGAGGCAGAGGTCGTAGTGAACTAAGATTGTGCCTCTGCACTCCAGCCTGTGCTTCAAGAGCGAAACTCTGTATCAAAAAACAAAAAACAAAAACAAAACAACAAAACAAAACAACAACAGTACTGGGGTGCTGGCAAATAACACTGGCTGTGAGGGAGGCTTATGACCTCAAGACTTTTAGTTCAACTGGTACAAAAGACAGCAGATGGGAGGCCGAGGTGGGTGGACTGCCTGAGCTCACGAGTTCTAGACCAGCCTGGGCAACATGGTGAAACCCCATCTCTACTAAAATACAAAAAATTAGCCGGGCGTGGTGGTGTGCACCTGCAGTCCCAGCTAGTTGGGAGGCAGAGGCTGCAGTGAGCTGAGATCGCGCCACTGCACTCCAGCCTGGGCGACAGAGTGAGACTCTGTCTCCCCCAACACCCCCACCAAAAAACAAACAAACAAACAAAAACCAGCAAATGAACACTATTACCTTATCTTAAGGACAGGACTGCCTGAATTTCATCAGAAGAACCAAGGTCTGGCACCTTTCACAAAGATGGAACTCTCTAGGCTCTAGGCCATGCTCGCCTTTCCTGCATGCAGAGCCACACCCCTATTTAGGGCTCTCCTCAAATTTTTTTTTTTTTTTTTGAGACTAAGTCTTACTCTGTCGCTCAGGCTGGAGTGCAGTGGCACAATCTTGGCTCACTGCGACCTCTGCCTCCTGGGCTCAAGCAATTCTCTGCCTCAGCCTCCCGAGTAGCCGGGACTACAGGCACCTGCCACCACGACCGGCTAATTTTTTTTGTATTTTTAGTAAAGATGGGGTTTCACCGTCTTGGCCAGGCTGGTCCTGAACTCCTGACCCTGTGATCCACCCATCTCAGCCTCCCAAAGTGCTGGGATTACAGGCGTGAGCCACAGCGCCCGTCACGGCTCTCCTCAATTCTATCCCTGATAAAGAGAACCTTCCTCTGCATGCAAACTTCCTGCTGAGAGTGGACCAGGAAAAAGAACACTTAGTGGGGTGGTTTCAGGCCTATTTACCCAATTAAAGGTCCCTAAGCAACTTACTCCATCTCTCCAGAAAGACCACCAAAAGCACAAGACTGACCTCATAACTCAGGCCCAAAAAGAACAGTCTCTTGGTAAACTTTGTTTATTTCCTAGCTGCCATTCTCATAGCTCACAAAGATACGGAAACAAGGAAACCCATCCTGGCCTATATGGCAGTGAGAACATGGAATCCCACCTTTGGTTTATCTACTTAGCCCTGCTGACCTCATATGTAGCCAGTGCCCAGATACATGGAGGACCAGGCCACCAGCGCCCACTGCTTCCTTCTCGGTGACTCAGGAGAGGAAGGTGGTCGCTGGGGTGCTGCCTAACTTACGTGATTGTTTTCATTTCTTTTTTCTCGGCATCTGGGCGTGCGCGGTTCAGCACCTTGAGGAAGTCAGACGTTTTCGCCCGCATACGTGTGTGAATATAGGCCTGGGAACAAACATAACAGGTACTAAAGCACAGTCATGGTCTAGAAAGACAGCTTTGCTGTCTTTCATCAGAGAGGTCATCAAGGGCGGTTGGGAACATACACCCTGGGATTGACCCAGGCCCTGCAGGGAAGCAGGAAGGTGAGCAATTCTGGAAACAAATATTCATCTCTGCTATAGGGAGGGATGGGGGACAGTGGCTTGATGAAGAAAGACCATGGTTTCTTGAAGCCTCTAGAATTATTTACCTAAGAGTCAATATCCACAGCGTAGACTAATGGAATGACTTTCTGTCAGGAGTTCTGGTGGAGGAAAAGACCCAGAGCATAGAGGCTGAGATGCTGGCACCCCCCTCACCTTAGAGCACTTGATGTGGTAGTGCAGGTAGTCCCGGAACGTGTGGATCAGGTTGATGGTGTTGTCTCGAGCACTGGCATTGGTGTGACGAGGGAACAGCACTGAAGGCGGAAGACACAAACAAGGCGTCAGGACACGACACAAATGCCAAAGGGTGGGGAAGAACAACAGCCTAGTGAACATCACTCCCTCTCTGCTTAAGTACACTCCACTTGTGTCAGTATTACCAGGCTTTGTCAGGGTTTTTTCTTGACATGGAAGTTAAACAGCATGGCCAGGAAAGGTGTCAACGAGCGTGAATGGAGGAGCCCACGATGAAAAACAGGGCTTGACCCTAGGCCTTCATTCTACTCCTGAATTCTGCAGCTGTGCATTTTGAAATCTATTTCCGGTCTGCCACACAGGTACTAGCTCTTGCCTCTGCAGCTGGACACACTCCAGGATCACACTAACTGGCTGTAACAGTTTACTTTAAGGAATCAGGATTAGGAAATGCAGCTGCCTGTCTTAGGTCCTTGGTGCTGAAATAGAGTAAACCTTCCCAGAAAACAGATGCCAGAGAATTTCCCATATTCTCACTGTGAAAACAGACAATAAGGTGTAAGGACCTGAACCCTCATGATAGGCCAGGCAGGAGGAGCTGCTCTGAATGGGCCTGACTGAAGTCCACCCTGTGACACCAGCCACCTAAAGACCTGTGTGAGGCTGGGCGCGATGGCTCACGCCTGTAATCCCAGCACTTTGGGAGGCTGACGCAGGCTGATCATCTGAGATCAGGAGTTTTGAGACCAGCCTGGCCAACATGGTGAAACCCCATCTCTACTAAAAATATAAAAATTAGCCACATGTGATGGCGTGTGCCTGTAATCTCAGCTACTTAGGAGGCTGAGGCAGGAGAATCGCTTAAACCCGGGGGGTGGAGGTTGCAGTGAGCCAAGACGGTGCCACTGCACTCCAGCCTGAGTGACAGAGCAAGACTCCATCTCAAAAAAAGACCTGTGTGCTCATCACAAAGTCCTTTGCACTACAGCAGGCCTGCATGCCCCTCTTGCCCTGGTTTTCTGGAATCGTTTTTACCTGCTGCACCTCCTCTACTCACTATCTGCAAAACCCCGTCAGTTGTCTGAAGTTTTCGTTGAAATGAAAAGGAATGCCTCCTAAGGAAGTGTGGAATTTCTGTGTCAATGTGCCCTGGCCTGAAAGTAAATGAACACCACAACAGAAGACAACTATACTTCAAAGAATCTAAGGTGCTTATGACTGTAAGTCTGCCATAATTTTATGTACCACAAGAGAAACATGCTGCCAATTAAAGTGTGACATGCTATGAATTGTAAGATGCATCCCAGCTTCAAAGACAAAAACTTGAAAAAAATGGTATAGCTGGCTGGGCGCAGTGGCACACGCCTGTAATCCCAGCACTTTGGGAGGCTGAAGTGAGTGGATTGCTTGAGGCCAGGAGTTGAGATCAGCCTGGCCAACATGGAAACCCTGTTTCTTTTTTTTTTTTTTAATTTTTTTTGAGACGGAGTCTTGTTCTGTCGCCCAGGCTGGAGTGCAGTCGCGTGATCTTGGCCTATTGCAAGCTCCGCCTCCCAGGTTCACGCCATTCTCCTGCCTCAGCCTTCAGGGTAGCTGGGACTACAGGCACCCACCACCACGCCCAGCTAAGTTTTTGTATTTTTTGTAGAGATGGGGTTTCACTGTGTTAGCCAGGATGGTCTCGATCTCCTGACATCGTGATCCACTTGCCTCGGCCTCCCAAAGTGCTGGGATTACAGGCGTGAGCCACCGTGCCCAGCTGGAAACCCTGTTTCTACTGAAAATACAAAAATTAGCCGGGTGTGGTGGCACACGCCTGTGGTCCCAGCTACCTGGGAAGCTGAGGCACGAGAATTGTTTGAGCCTGGGAAGCAGAGGTTGCAGTGAGCCGAGATCACACCACTGCACTCCAGCCTGGGTGACAGAGAGAAAGAAAAAAGAAAAAAGTGTATAGTTTAGATTTAATGAAATTTGGTAAATCAACAGATTCATCACCAATAAACAGGTTCACCTTTACCACTGAGGTGAATTAAATTACATTTCACAAAGGAGACATTCCAGTGGCATTGGGTGCAGTGTGAACAAGCTTATTAATTCCAAACTGTAAGCTATCATAATCAGCCAGTGCATGAGGCTGGAGCAACTGAAGGAAGACCTGAATTTATTCCGCGAAAAAGTGGAGTAAGTGGATCACGGCTGGAGCTTGGGCTTAATAAGCAAAAAACCAAGAATTGCCAAATGACAGAGAACCCCCATCTAGCTGCTTAGGTGGTTCTCTTCTTAACTCCTTTTTTTGGTGAGATAGGGTCTCACTCTGCCACCCAGGCTGGAGTGTAGTGGTGCCATCACAGCTCACTGCAGCCTCTACCTCCTGGGTTCAAGTGATCCTCTCACCTCAGCCTCTCAAGTAGCTATGACTACAGTCATGCACCACCATGCCTAGTTATCTTTTTTTTTGAGACAGTCTCCCAGGCTGGAGCGCAGCAGGATGATCTCGGCTTGCTGCAACCTCCACTTTCTGGGTTTAAGCAATTGCCATGCCTCGCTTGCCCGAGTAGCTGGGACTATAGACTATAGGCACATGTCACCATGTCCAACTAATTTTTGTATTTTTAGTAGAGGTGTGGTTTCACCATGTTGGCCAGGTTGGTCTCGAACTTCTGACCTCAAGTGATCTGCTCGCCTTGGCCTCTTAAAGTGCTGGGATTACAGGTGTGAGCCACTGTGCCTGGCCCCTTGCTTTTTGTAGAGATGAGCCTGCACCATGTTATCCAGGCTGGTCCCAAACTCCTGGACCCAAGTGACCCACCAACCTCGGACTCCCAAAGTGCTGGGATTACAGGTATGAGCCACTGTGCCCCGCCTATCCTTTACTCTTTTCTTTTTTCTTTTTGAGACAAGGTCTCACTCTGTCATCCAGGCTGGAGTGCAATGGTGTGATCTCAGCTCACTGCAACCTCCGCCTCCTGGGTCCAAGGGATTCTTGTGCCTCAGCCTCCCGAGTAGCTGGGATTACAGGCGCACACCACCACGCCCAGCTAATTTCTTTGTTATTTTTTTGGTAGAGACGGAGTGTTTCACCATGTTGGTCAGGCTGGTCTCGAACTCCTGACCTCAGGTGATCTGCCCATGTTGGCCTCCCACAGTGCTAGGATTACAGGCGTGAGACACCGCACCCAGCCTCAACTCTTTTTTTTTTTTTTTGGAGACAAGAGTCTTGTTCTGTTGCCCAGGCTGGAGTCCAGTGGCACGATCTCAGCTCATTACAACCTCCACCTCCCGGGTTCAAGCAATTCTCCTGCCTCAGCCTCTGGAGTACCTGGGACTACAGACGTGCGCCACCATGCCCAGCTAATTTTTTTTTGTATTTTAGTAGAGACAGAGTTTCACCACATTGGCCAGGATGATCTTGATCTCCTGACCTCGTGATCCACCTGCCTTAACCTCCCAAAGTGCTGTGATTACAGCCATGAACCACCGTGCCCAGCCAAAACTGTACTTGTCTCCTTCAAGCTGGAATCGAACCAGCAACCTAAGGACGTCTCCTACTGAGGAAGTAGCTATAGTCCTCTGCTCTACCAGCTGAACTATTGAAGGGACCTTAACTCTTGATATCAGAATTCAGTCTTATTTTTAAGATTTAAGAAAAATGGGGAAAAAAAGGAAAGGATTACTGTACAAAAATAGCATATGGCCTGCTCTGTAATTAATACCCTGTGACATCCCTCCTTTAGTCACTGCAATGGCAACAGGAACAAGTTGGTATGCCTGCGTTTGCCTACCTTAAAATGTTAACCAAGGTTCTGTGCAGATTTAGGTATTCTGCTGTGTGAACTCATTAAAGCGGCACAAAAGCAGCAAGTGCACCCTGCTCACCAAAGGTAATGTAGCCAATGTTGTCACCCACAGCGGCGTCTGTGTCTTTCAGCTCCAGAGGAGGTTCCCTGTGGCTAAAGAGGACCTGTGGGGCTGTGTGGCTGGCTCTGCGTCCTTCTTTGAACTCCTGCCAAGACAAAGCAAAAGCAACCAGAAGAGAAGTGGGTGTAAGATGAGTGGCAACTCAAGCTATAGGGTTTGTTCTATGTGGTGTGACCTTTGTAGCCCTCCAGACCAGCAGGAGGTTAAAAATAAACTACACCAAACCTGAAATATGACAAGTGCTAGCTGCTACCACTACACTTCAGATTCAAACGGGAGAGACTGCAAAGTACTTAATAAGTCAGATCTTCAAAATGTGATGAAAAGTAGTGATAATCCTTTTCCTTTGCACTAACATAGGTGATAAACTACCATACTTTCTCTGGGCTCTGGGACTTTGCATGAGTCTTTTTTCACTGAGGATCCTGTTGCTATTTAGAATTCATCAATAAAATCTTTAGAGCAAACTTAAGCTCTTCTTGCGGACAGAAGACAATGGAATGAAAGAAGCTGAGTTGTCTTGGTGCTCATAAAGGAAGCCCTTCCTTCTATGTTCCAATCTCCAAACCTGAAGCTTCTACAGTCCATACATTCCTATGTAAATAGACAAGTAATACAAGGCTTCTCTCTCTCAGCCAGATCTGCAAGAACAGAAGTAGATTTTCTAGCAATGCCAGTAAAACTGGATAATCCAAATTCATCAAGTGGGCCTTCCAAGATGATAGACAGCAGGAGGATGCTGCCAAGGACTCTCCAAGGTCTCTTGTTTTAGGAGTTCTGAAGGCATGGTTACACAGCCATGTGGCCTGCGTGCCCTTCTACTGCTGCTCAAATACTGCCTCCTAATACCATCTCCAACAAACCCAGGCAGGTACTGCTCTCTTGCTGGAGCTGCCATGTCTTTTCTACAAACCTCTACTATGATATTTTACCATTCATTAATGTATCTGGCTCCCCTACCAGGTTATGAGTTCAAATCAAAGATCCTGCTTAATTTATCTTTGTAATTTATTCTTCTGTCTTTCAAAGAGGCTATGCAGCACATGCCTTGCTGAGAGAAAGCAAGTGCTTCTACCCTAGCTGGTTTAGTATCATCACACTGTACAGGAATAGGCAAGGGCTGTTTCCAGTTGCAGGCAGGAAGAATAAACACTGATTAGCAAGCCCTCTCGACAATTAGTGGCAAAAGAAAGATGATGGCTGAGGAGCCCCAATGCCCAGCCTGGGACCTCACCTATTTCACAAACTGCCTCTCATGCTAACACTACCAAGCTTTAAGTAGGAAAAGAAATGACCATCAACTGGGTTAGATTAGTCCCCTTTTGAACAGATTTTGTTCCCCGAAGGAAAAATATCCAAAAAGGAAGGGAAGGAGTCAAGATTATCCCAAATGGAAATTTCTAGAGCAAAGCTTCTAAAATCGCCCTTCTCTAGAAAACATTTTTTATTCTACAAAGGGGTTAAGAAGCTTTTTAACTTTTACTGGTTTTACTTTTCGGTATTAAGGAATTAAACAGAACAGATACGTAACTGTTGGCATTTTCTTGTGTCTGTTAAGTGTCTCCAAGGCTCTAATTCACAGGTACATGTGGTATTCACAATGAGATGGGGTATTTATAAACCAGTGGTGACTTATTAGCACTCATTAGTTTTGTATATGGAAAATAACATATTTAAGGCTCGGTCAACGATACGTTTCTGGCTTGGGCCTATTCTTTCTTTCTTTTTTGAGACAGGGTCTCACTCTGTCACCCAGGCTGGAGTGCAGTGGCGTGATCTTGGCTCACTGCAACCTCCACCTCCTAGGTTCAAGTGATTTTCATGTGTCAGCCTCACGAGTAGCTGAGATTACAGGCGTGTGCCATCATTCCCGGCTAATTTTTGGCCTTTAAAGTAGAAACAGGGTTTCACCATGTTGGCCAGGCTGGTCTCAAACTGGCCTCTAGTGATCCACCTGCCTAGGCCCCGCAAAGTGCTGGGATTACAGGCGTGAGCCACTGTGCCTGACTGGGACTATTCTTTAGATTCTCTGATGTCTTTGCTTCTCCTCAGTTCTCTCTCCTAAATAAAGCTTAAACAAACAAACACACCCAAACAGCCCTCCATCTTCATTGGCATCTTTGTTATACGTAATCAAGCAATATTGCCTTTTTACTCTCCTTCTGGCTAGGATGTCTTTTGAGCATCAGATTATTTCTCTCTTCCAAAGTACTATTTATCATAGGAAGTTCGGAATAAATCCAAATATATACAAGGCATTTAGCATATGATAAAAGTAGCATCTTAAATCAGGGGTGTAAAAAAGGAAATAATTGCCACTGGGACCACTGGATAGCCATTTAGGAAAAAAAGATCATTCTTTCATACCATACAACAAGAGGAGCTCTCAACAAATAAGAAAAAATCATGTATAAAATATGTAACTGTAAAAATACTCAGAAAATAACAGGTAAATTTCTTTATAACCTTCGAGTAGGGAAGGGCTTTCTACCTATAACTCAAAATCTAGAAGCCATAAAAGGCAAGACTGATTAATTTGATTATGTAAAAACAAACTTCCACATGGTGGAAAAAACCCCACAAAACACGGTCCAATGACAAACTGGAGAAAATATTTCAACTCTTAATCACAGATGAAAGGCTACTCTCCCTAGTATGTAAAGAAATTGAGAAGCTCAATGACCCTACAGAATAATGGGTAAAGGACATAAAGAGACACTTCATAAGAAAATCAAATGGTCTATAACATTAAGAAAAGATGTTCTGACCTCAGAACATCTTTTTATGTCATCATAAGCAGACACAGATACCACCTTTAACCTATCAGATCAGGAGAAATCCACAAGTTTACAACATACTCTGGGAAAACAGGCACTCCTCTCCATCACTGGTAGATGATAAAATGCCACTACCCTGATGGAGAAGAGTTTGGCAATGTCTACCAAAATTACTGACTTGGACTCAGTGTTCCCAGTTCAGGAAAATATCCTACAGACATACCCACACATGCAAACAGGCAGAAAGGGCCCTCAAAATACATCTTTACAACTGCCTAAGAGGCAGGTGCTTGTGTCTTTGTCCCTGAACATATAAAAACCAGTGGTTTCCACTTAACTTTTCCTGGTTATTTAGTTACTAACTTGACTTTAAAATCTTAGAATATGAAAAGAATTCTAGTTCACCATAAGCTAATCTCCAAAAGCATAATTACTGGTCCTATTGCTTTTCATGGAATAAGCATTGAAATGATGGCTTCTATCAGACATTCTCCAGTACTCAGCTGATATGCCCATACCACTAGTGTGGAGGAATACACTTCCTGTCTTTTTCTGAGAGGTAGAAAGCATCCCTCAGAGCCTGCTTGCCAAATGACAAAAGCAAGACTTGAATTCTGATCAGGCTGGATGTGCATGCTGGAAGGGAAAGGCCACAAAGGCTGGCAACAAGTAGACTAGTGACCATGAGGAACTTCAAATAGTGTTCTCAGGGTACAACTTTCTGTGCCAGGTGTCCCTCATTCTTTTTCCGAGAAATTTACAATTCCAGGCCTAGGAAAAAGTTCTATTTATTTTTTGGGAAAATCCAGCAAAAGTCCAGTTTCCGATTGTCATTTCCAACAAATTACCTAAGCCTCTGAATTTGGAAAGGGTGGCAGGGCAGATGACTTCCTGAGTCTAGCTAGCACTGCACCAGGCCAGTTACTATCCAGAGATCCTGTTAGTGCCAAAATGCAAAAGAGGCTTTGTCTTTCCTTTTAGGTAAGTGCCCTACCACAGGTACCCTGAAGGAGGCATTTAAATCATATGCCAAAAAAGAATACACAAAATTCTCCTAAGGAACAAATCTCCGGTACACTCTCCAAGATAAGATCTGTTTAAAGTATAAAAATAAGTTGTTTCCTGGAATAAAATGGAATAAGATTGGTAAAAAACCAGCCAAATCTAAATATATACTTCAGAGCTTTTAAAATTAGTTTTGTTACTCTGGATTTAGCCCAATTTCTGAGCTACTGCATTTAATTCCCCTGTCAATTCTGCATAAAAACACATGAAATGCCTCTCTAGAGGCTTACTTTTAGGACCCAAGAGATACATGTATATTTATATATTCCTTCATCAAGTTCAGCACTAGCAAATGCTGAAGTGTCAATATTCCAATTTTTCTGTATAGTGACTCCCAAACTAGTTTCTGATTAATTAGCCAAAATACAAAAGCCACTAGGGATGGAGCAGTTGAGAATATCACTTTTGAAGATTTTCCTAGCCACTTAGAAGGCTATGCAAAGTATCTTTACTGTTAAGCACAGCTGTCTTTCAACTCTATTTGGCAAAAGAGATTCTGCTTCAGAATTTAAAAATCTTTACCACCCTGCCAAGGAACAGAATGAAGGTAGTAACGTTTTCAAAAAATTTTACCATTGTACTAGATTTTGAATGCTGAGCCATCTCAGAAGAAACCAGCCTGAATGTCACTTGACCAATGAACTCTCATGTCCATCCTAGAGGCAGCAACTAACTGGCCAGCAGACTGGTACACAATGACCTGAATGCAACTACACCAAAAATCCAATTACAAAATGCCCTGCTAACTCTCAGGACTCTCTTTTTTTTTGAGTCGGAGTTTCGCTCTTTTTGCCCAGGCTGGAGTGCAATGGTGCAATCTTGGCTCACTGCAACCTCTGCCTCCCAGGTTCAAGAGATTCTCCTGCCTCAGCCTCCCAAGTGGCTGGGATTACAGGTGCCTGCCACCACACCCGGCTAATTTTTTGTATTTTTTTAGTAGAGACGGGGTTTCACCATGTTGGCCAGGATGGTCTTGACCTCTTGACCTCGTGATCCGCCCACCTCGGCCTCCCACAGTGCTGGGATTACAGGCGTCAGCCACCGCGCCTGGCCTCTCATGACTCTTCTTAAGATGAGCTTCTTGTGAGGGAAGTACTCTATGGTGACCCATCCAAACTCAGGCTCAGTCTGTCAGTTCAACAACTCTACCTGTTCATGCGTTATCTACTACCAAATAATTGGCTATACAGTCCATTCTGAAAAGACCTTAGGACCAAACCAAGAGCAGCCACCTTACTAGAAATCTGAGGAAACACAAGAGGTTAGGGTTAGGAAACCTGACAAAGTTTTAGGTCAAAGACCCCACAGTAGGAAGGATGCATAACATTCATTCATAGTTAGTATGTTTAATTCTCAACTTACCCTTTAGTTCTGTCCTGCAAAACTAAACCACTGAGAAAAAAAATATCAGGCTGGGCGCGGTGGCTCATGCCTGCAATCCCAGCACTTTGGGAGGCTGAGGCGGGCGGATCATGAGGTCAGGAGATTGAGACCATCCTGGCCAACACGGTGAAACCCCATCTCTACTAAAAGTACAAAAATTAGCTGGGCGTGGTGGCGCGTGCCTGTAATCCCAGCTACTTGGGAGGCTGAGGCAGGAAAATTGCTTGAACCCAGGAAGCGGAGGTTGCAGTGAGCTGAGTTCGTGCCACTACACTCCAGCCTGGCGACAGAGCAAGACTCCACCTCAAAACAACAGCAGCAGCAACAAAAAATATTCACTGAGTTTTGTGGGAGTTGTCTATTAAATCTTCAACAAATTCTAACGTCAAGGCTGGGCATGGTGGCTCATGCCTGTAATACCAGCACTTTGGGAGGCCGAGATGGGCATCACCTGAGGTCGGCAGTTTGAGACCAGCCTGACCAACATGGAGAAACCCCGTCTCTACTAAAAATACAAAATTAGCTGGGTGTGGTGGTGCATGCCTACAATCCCAGCTACTCAGGAGGTTGAGGCAGGAGAATTGCTTGAACCTGGGAGGCGGAGGTTGCAGTGAGCCGAGATCACTCCATTGCACTCCAGCCTGGGCAACAAGAGAGAAACTCCGTCTCGAAAAAAAAAAAAAAAATTCTAACATCAGTAGAGTTGCTAGATCTCTTTCCTACGCTCATGGTATGTTTGGGTGCAAAGGTATAAGTCGCCATGCATGGGTTTCCCCCAAGATGTCTGCTCCATACCTGCATGAACACCTTTCCAATGACCACATCGTCGTCATCCTTAAACACTGTGCTGAAGACTACTGTGACTCTGTCCTTTTTAGACTCAACATACCTGAGAGGAACAAAATCCATGAGGATAAGTACAGAATCAGAATGGGGTTTTGTCAATAACTTGATCTACAAGTACATCAGAAGGCTAAAGTCATAAATCTCTTAAATCATAATATAAAGGTGTGCCAAATGAGATGATATTTATGGTCAACAAAGTCAGTGCACAAAATGAATGCCCTAAGAGAGGCAGCAGATGGAAATTATCAGAAGTAGATTTTATTGACTTGTAAATATAACATGGACCTATGGTCACCCTGCCTGCTGATTATCCAGGCTATACTCTTAAACATGACTCAGAACAGTGGTGCCTTAAAGGAAAGCACTGGATTCTCTTTCCACCATCTGTCAGCTCTCAGTATCTGGAGAGTAGGAGGAGTGGCTGATTTCTGCCCTATCATCTACTTCCTGGCTTAAGACATTTTATGAGAAAAACATTTTCACGCAATACAGCTGAAAGTTTGACCAAGCCATATTTCTTTCAGTAAGTGCCATGGTGGTGTAGCAGCCATATCCAGGCTTCAGGACCAAATTCTATACTCACATGGTCTCATCATCCCTATAATGGATAACTGCCCTGTTCTCTCCTTCCTTGCCCTCTTCTTGGAATTGGAAGTATTTTTCAAAGACAGAGGCAAAACAATTTCGCTTCAACATGCCAGCTTGATGCACAATGGAATCCTTGGATGCCGGAAGATTTTCAAGGTCATATAGCAAAGAGACATTGTATCCTGGAGGGAAAGAAAAAACAAGAAACAAAAAACAACCCAGCAGTTACATTTAAAAAAAAAAAAAAAAAAAAAAGCAGCATACTATCTATACCAAGTAAACAGAGACTAGAGGCAACTAAAAAAATCTTTTTTCAGGTTCTATTGACATTTTGTCTCATTATCTGTACTTTTAACCTGGGTAGAATATAGTCTATTTCCATCTATCTCACAGGGCAAAATGAGGTGAAATAAAATCTTAATTTTTATAAGATTCTTGTAAATATATATAATTAATGTTAATCAAAAATTTGAATCAGTATCAAAGATGACTAATTACAAATATGTAATGGGAGAAAGTCAGAACCTGGGAACTCTGATTGGAAATGTACCCTTCTAGACACAGTTGTAAAGGAGCCACATATATTTCTCTGATAGTTTAATGTGCCAAGTATCAGTATGGCCAGCAAATGGGTAGCTTTGTGATAATAAGATAAACCCTTCTACGTGCCACTGCAAACTCTTTATGAGGTGGCAGGGTAGAAAAACCAACTACCTGTTCATACATATACCTCCCCAATAGCTTTTATTGGTATATATTGTACAATTTTTAAAACATTTTACTTCATTTGATCTCCATAACCACCTTTGAAGTCTGCAGGCTAGATAAGGTTACTGTTTTGCAGAGGGAAAAGGAGATTCAAAGAAGTGACGTGACTTGCCAAATGCAGCATGACACATAAGTGTAGGGCACTCTATTTTGAGTCGAACAGAACTGGGTCCAAATCCTAGTCTTGTCATTTTGTGACCTTAAAAAAACTGCTGGGTGTGGTGGCTCACACCTGTAATCCCAGCATTTTGGGAGGCCAAGGTGGGCAGATCACCTGAGGTCAGGAGTTTTGAGAGCAGTCTGGCCAACATGGCAAAACCCTGTCTCTACTAAAATCACAAATATTAGCCAGGCATGGTGGCGGGCGCCTGTAATCCTAGCTACTTGGGAGGCTGAGGCAGGAGAATTGCTTGAACCCAGGAGGTGGAGGTTACAGCGAGCTGATATTGCACCACTGCACAACAGAGCGAGACTCCAGCTCCAAAAAAAAAAAACAAAAACAAAAAAAATTGCCTGACTTGTTAATTTCCTCATCTGTTAAAAAAAAAAAAAAATTGGTGGTGGGGGGCAGGTAGGGTGGTCTGGGCACAGTGGCTCAAGCCTGTATTCCCAGCACTTTGGGAGGCCAAGGTGGGTGGATCACCTGAGGTCAGGAGTTCGAGACCTGCCTGGCCAATATGGCAAAACCCCGTCTCTAATAAAAATACAAAATTAGCTGGGTGTGGTGGTACACGCCTGTGGTCCCAGGTACTCCGGAGGCTGAGGCAGGAGAATTGCTTGAACCCGGGAGGTGGAGGTTGTAATGAGCTGAGATCGCGCCACGGCACTCCAGCCTGAGCAACAAGAGTGAAATTCTGTCTCAAAAAAAAAGAAAAAAAGAAAAAGGAGCAGGGCAGGGGGTGCGGAGATAGGGGAGAATGTTGTGAGCATTAAAAGAATGTTCAATACTTAAAGTGTGTGGAACATGACAGGTCATCAATACGGGTGCAGAACATGGACTGAAACCATTGGATGACCTGCCTTTTTACAGCATGTCCACTATGAATTCCCAGAAGCCGGCTGGAACACTTGATTATAGAATCAAATGATTAATAAGTGTCAAACTGCCTAGAGATGTTTTTGCAAGAATATTTCTACATCACTGAGGATCATTTTATATTCTAGGCAACTGACGGGAATAACTTCACCAGAACTGTATGGCTTTCACACTTCTAAGTATCTGAAACCTCATTACTATTTCATTTTTTCCCAAAAGCATTCCTGAGATCTGTATTTTTTTTTTTTTGAGATGGAGTTTTACTCTTATTGCCCAGGCTGGAGTGCAATGGCATGATCTCGGCTCACCACAACATCCGCCTCCCAGGTTCAAGCGATTCTCCTGCCTCAGCCTCCTAGGCAGCTGGGATTACAGGCATGCGCCACCAGGCCTGGCTAATTTTGTACTTTTAGTAGAGACGGGGTTTCTCCATGTTGGTCATGCTGGTCTTGAACTCCTGAATGCAGGTGATCCGCCCGCCCTGGCCTCCGATAGTGCTGGGATTACAGGCATAAGCCACCGCGCCCGGCTGAGGTCTGTGTTTTTTGTTGAGCATGGGCTCTTCGGGAGGATGGGCTAAATCTTTGCTCTAGATAATGCTTAGCACATTTTATTTAATACTGGAGAGGCACTCCAGTATTAAATAATATCAATCATCATTCTATTTTGGGTACTTGAAAACCAAATAAGCACACAGATTACAAGGTTAGATTAAAAAAGAAAAGATTTAGAGCTGAGGTTTGCTAGTTTTAGGAAGCCAAATAAGAGCAAATAAAACTATAGCTAAGGTAAAGTCTGTCTTTAAGTAAGGCTTCTAACATGATGAACAGAATATACTGAGGATGAAGAGAAGTAAAAATCTAGTATAACTTGCTGAGTTTTCCAAACGTGCCTAGATAAACCCATTAAAAAAGAGGAGGAGAGACTCTACGGTCTTTTTTTTTTTTTTCTCGAGACTGAATCTTGCTCTGTCGCCTAGGCTAGAGGGCAGTGGCGCAATCTCAGCTCACTGCAACCTCTGCCTCCTGGGTTCAAGCGATTCTCGTGCTTCAGCCACCTGAGTACCTGGTATTACAGGTGGCTGCCACCATGCCTGGCTAATTTCTGTATTTTTTATAGAGACAGGTATCTCATTATGCTGCCCAGGCTGGTCCTGAACTTCTGAGCTCAAGCAATTCACTCACCTTGGCCTCCCCAAAGTGCTGGGATTACAGGTGTGAGCCACTGCACCTGGTTGAGACACTACTTTCACACACTTTTACATTTCACACTTCTATGAAGACAGGGTCTGCAATCTGGCAATGTCTATGATTTAGTGGGAGGTAGAAGGAGGCCCAGGGACAGAAACATAAACTTTCCATGTCAGGATGTTGGCTGTGACAAGCATGCCCAAGACTTTGGACATGATTTTTCTGTTCTAGATCTGTTTGTTTCTTTCTTTTAATACCTTGATTTTGCCAAAAGCCTACAGTGTTATCTTGGCTTTTATTTCTGTGACACATTCATCCCGCCAATTTGGAGATTAAAAAAAAAAAAGGTGCTGGGTATGGTGGCTCATGCCTGTGATCCCAACTCTCTGGGAGGCGGAGGCTGAGGTGGGTAGATTGCTCAAGGCTAGGAGTTTGAGACCTCCTTACTCTGTTTTGGCAGTATGGGCAGCAGACAGTGAGACTCTGTTTCTACAAAATATTAAAAAAATTAATTGGGTATGGTGGCATGTGCCTGTAGTTCCCAGCTACCGGAGAGGCTAAAGCGGGAGGATTGCTTGAGCCCAAGATTTGGAGGAGGCTGCAGTGAGCTATGACTGTACCACTGCATTCCAGCCTGGGCAACAGAATGAGACTGTCTGAAAAAATAGGTGAGGTGATGAAATAAGCTAGCACAAGTAACTGCTGTTAAGAGTGACAGAGAACTTCCTTCTTAGAAGACTTTTCTAATCAAGGTACCAAAGTTGTAATAGTTGAGTAAAAAATATTATGTTCCAATGGTCTTACTACCTGGTTCTCACTTTGGGGTCCTGCTAAATGCCTCAGAATTTGAGACATGCCACTGAATCACAGGGTAAAAAGGCTGTTCAGTTTTTCCACTTTAAACCTCCTTTTTAAAGCAGTATAACATAGCTGTTCTATTCAAGGATGACACGGTGCCTTTCAATTCCTCTGGCCATGAATGTTGAGACAACCTATTAGAAGACTGGATTAAGAAAGGGTCTGATTTTTATTACTTGAAATCACAAGAATAGTGTGGTGAATATTCCTCTTCTTTCTCCAAATATGTAGTATGCAGAATTACTAAGGGCCGAGGGTGGGAATCAATGTTTGCTCATTCTTTTCAAAGCCATTTTAATCACCATGAACAAACAAATGTGGCCCTCTGGCTGAAAGATTAAGTAAGAGTCATGTGGCCCCATCAAGTAAATGTTAAAAATGTCACACATCAATTTTGTACCTCTACTGTGTTCCATATTGGACAAAGCAAAGCCCCTTAAAAGCTATTTTTATGGACGGAGTTGAAATTAGGAATGGGCTCATGCAGAAATATTTGTAATAATATTTAAACGAAATCCTTTGGGTAAAAAAAGCATAATATAAAAAGGACACCTCTCTTCCCATGTCATTCCATAGTTGCTCACATGACTACATACCTGATTCTGGATTTACCAAGAAACTCCCGTACACCCTCTTTAATAACTAGAAAATAAAAACAAAACAAAACCAAATACGTTAATCCAAAGGCCATGATAATTTCATTATTTTTAAAGTACTGCACTTGCCAAGCTCTTCCTAAGTTGGCATTCTTCCTAACTTTCATTTGGTGGATGGGAAAGTAGAGACAGAGGGGAAGTGGATTTAGTCACCAAACAAGTCACAAAACTGAGATGAGTATCTTTTTATGCCTGGGACAGAGTGCAATGGCGCGATCTCGGCTCACCACAACCTCCGCCTCCTGGGTTCAAGTGATTCTCCTGCCTGAGCCTCCCAAGTAGCTGGGATTATAGGCATGCGCCACCATGCCCGGCTAATTTTTTTTTGTATTTTTAGTTGAGATGGGGTTTCTCCATGTTGGTCAGGCTGATCTTGAACTACTGACCTTGGATGATCCACCCGCCTCGTCCTCCCAAAGTGCTGGGATTATAGGCATGAGCCACTATGCCTGGCCGAGAATCTTTAATCAAAGCTCATCCTTTTTTAGGACTTGACTACACCCTTAATATGTTCTCTGTTCTCCTCCAGATCCTACATTGTACTTAATCATGTTTTGTTTTCAAGAGAGCAAAAGGATGCCAAATTCCAAGTGAGAGAACAGATTGTTAGTTATCAACCTAAGTACAGACTGAGCCACTAACCCAGGTGAATAAAGAGAAAAAACCAGGACTCTCGGGAACTGATCTGTTTGTCTGCTGATCTTGTATGCTTTAAAATTACTCAGTGCATAGCCAGCTCTTAAGGCAAAGGACAGTCAATAATGAAATCTTAGCTAGCTATTAATACTGGTGTCCAGAAGGTTGTATACTCTCCATGTCTTTCCCCCCAAACCAGAACCTACTGCTGGCTACTTTCCAGGTTTTTGAATTAAATGAAAACAACAACAAAAAAAACCCAAAAAACCAAGAACCCCTTTTATACCTTCTGCTATGGTTTGAATGTCCTTTCGAAAACTCATGTTAAAAATTATGATTTTTTTTTTTTGAGACGGAGTCTTACTCTGTTGTCCAGGCTGGAATGCAGTGGTGCAATCTCAGCTCACTGCAACCTCCATCTCCTGGGTTCAAGCGATTCTCCTGCCTCAGCCTCCTGAGTAGCTAGGACTACAGGCATGCACCACCATGCCTGGCTAATTTTTCCACACCCAGCCAAAATTTACGATTATTATTATTGTTTTGGAAGCAGGGTCTTACTCTGTAGTCCAGGCTACAGTGCATTGATACAATAGCTCACTGCAGCCTTGAACTTCTAGGCTCAAGTGATCCTTCTACCTTGGCCTCCCAAAGTACTGGGATTACAGGAGTGAGCCACCATGCCTGGCCACATGTTGAAATTTAATTGCCACTGTGACGGTAATAGGTGATTAGGCCATGAGGGCTCTGCCCTCATGAATGGATTCATGTTGTTATAGGGGAAGTTGGTTTGTTATTCACAAGAGGGGCTGTTAAAAAAGTGAGTCTGGGCTAGGTATGGTGGCTCATGCCTGTAATCCCAGCACTTTGGGAGGCCGAGGCGGGGTGATCACGAGGTCAGGAGATTGAGACCATCCTGGCTAACACAGTGAAACCCCATGTCTACTAAAAATACAAAAACAAAAAAATTAGCTGGGCATGGTGGCAGGCGCCTGTAGTACCAGCTACTTGGGAGGCTGAGGCGGGAGAATGGCGTGAACCCGGGAGGCAGAGCTTGCAGTGAGGTGAGATCGCGCCACTGCACTCCAGCCTGGGTGCACTCCAGCCCGGGTGACAGAGCAAGACTCCGTCTCAAAAAAAAAAAAAAAAAAAAAAAAATTGAGTCTGGCCCTCTCTTGCCCTTCTGCCTTTTGCTACAGGATGACGGGAAAGGGCACGAAGGCCCTTGCCAGATGCTGGTGCCACGCTCTTGGACTTCCCAGTCCCCAGAACATGAGTCAAATAACATATTTTCTTCATAAATTATTCAGTCTGTGGTATTCTGTTATAGCAACAAAAAACAGACTGAGACTCCCTATTTTTTTCTCTGTCACCGTGACTGCTTCACCTGGTGGAAACTGCTTCCAGAATGACATGGCTTAAGAAACAAACATTTTATTTTAATTTAATTAATTCTTTTTTTTTGAGACGGAGTCTCACTCTGTCACCCAGGCTGGAGTGCAGTGGCGTGATCTCGGCTCATTGCAACCTCCACCTCCTGGGTTCAAGCAATTCTCCTGCCTCAGCCTCCCTAGTAGCTGGGATTACAGGTGTCCACCACCACACCAAGCTAATTTTTATATTTTTTAGTAGAGATGGGGTTTCACCATGTTGCCCAGGCTGGGCTCGAAATCCTGACCTCAAGCAATCCACCTGTCTTGGCCTCCCAAAGTGCTGGGATTACAGGCGTGAGCCACTGCGCCTGGCCTACTTATTTATTTATATACAAAGACAGGGTCTCACTACGTTGCCCAGGCTGGGCTTGAACTCTTGACCTCAAGCGATGCTCCTGCCTTGGCCTCCAAAAGTGCTGGGATTACAGGAATGAGCCCCCACGCCTGGCTGAACAATAATTTCCTAATATTCCACATATTTATTTAACCATTTTCCTATAGCTGGAAGAAATTTTCAACCTGCAAGACTACATTTTCTTACACAAGGGCAAAAGATAAATAATGCCACCTGTAGTTCCTATTTGGTGATTGCACAGCCACTGTGAGGTATTTCTTTTACCGAAGAGGAATTGAGAGGAGGGGCTCAAGGTCACGAGAGTTTCTTGGTGGCACAGAGAGACTTGACCTTCAGGTGTCTGATATACCACTTCTTTAAAAAAAAGTAACATGCATATCCCAAGAATTTGAAACAGCATGCGACCTCTGAGCTACAAGTCTGTGTTGCACGTACTATTGGTATTTCGAGGAAGGGGAAATCAGATGTGGTGGGGATTTAGTTTAAATCCCTAAGTCCCTAAGATTTAGTTTAATTTCAAGCTTACTAAGTTAATATTCTGAGATCTAAGAGGTACTGAGAGCCAAATTTATATCATGTTCAACTGCTTTGCTCCCTCCCCTTGGTAAAACCAGCCAACACTTCCTTGTCACTTCACTTGCACTTTTAACCATGATTCACTTTTCAGTTTGTACCCCCTCTCCCAATGACACCAGGAGATGGGTGGAGGCAACCTATCACTCATCACCATTACCTTCCCACTCTAGCAGCAGAGGCATTCCACCTTTAAAAATGGCCTGTGACAAAGTAATAACCTTCCTGTGGTTATCATGGGTTGGTCACTGTTTAACCAACCCAGGGAGCCATTTACTGTGCACTCTGCTCCAACACTATGAATGTTACTTACTCCACCCACTTGAGTGGGTGGGGCTGGTTCTTTGACCCTTGTGGTAGCTACAAGAATAGCAATGTGTTCTGGAGCTCCATCGTAAGAAAAGCACAGAATGGAAAGGAGATTTAAGAAATCTAGCTTAACTCTTTCTTTCCAGGATTATTATTATTGCATTTAGATCTTTTCCTTTTTTTGAGGTGGAATCTCACTATGTCGTCCAGGCTGGACTTGAACTCCTGGGCTCCAGCAACTCTCCCCACTTGAACCCCTCAAGCCAACTGTGTGAAGTCCCAACACACAGTTGGCACTACAGGTGTGTGCCACTGTGCAGGCTTGCACCTAGTGAAGACTGTCTAGGGGAGAATGATTACACAATTTAAAAAAAGTCTATTCAAATATTTTAACACTTCTTTTCAGGTAGTTATAGCTGATCCAAAGCAGCGATGCAGCTGGACATGGTGGCTCACATCTATAATCCCAGCACTTTGGGAGGCCCAGGAAGGAGGACTGCTTGAGCCCAGGAGTTTGAAACTAGCCTGGGCAACATAGTGAAACCTCCTCTCTCTAAAGAACAAACAAACAAAAAATAAGCCAGGTGTGGTGGCACGTGCCTGTAGTCCCAGACACTCAGGAGGCTGAGGTGAGAGGACTGCTTGAGCCTGGGAGGTTGAGGGGTGCAGTGGCTGTGATTGTGCCACTGCACTCCAGCCTAGGTGACAGAACAAGACCTTGTCAAAAAAAAAAAAAAAAAAAAAAAAGAAAAAAAAAAGAAAAGGCTGGGCACGGTGGCTCACACCTGCAATCTTAGCACTGTGGGAGGTCGAGGCAGGCAGATCACCTGAGGTCAGAAGTTTGAGAGCAGCCTGGCCAATGTGGTGAAACGCCATCTCTATGAAAAGTACAAAAAATTAGCCAGGTGTAGCGGTGCATGCCTGTAATCCCAGCTACTCAGGAGGCTGAGGCAGATGAACTGCTTGAACCCAGGAGTTGGAGGTTGCAGTGAGCTGAGCTGGCGCCACTGCAGTACAGCCTGGGGCAACAGAGTGAGACTCCACCTCAAAAAAAAAAAAGAGGCAGGGCTGCTTTAATAGCCATTTGTTTTCTTTCACTCTTTATCTGGTAAAGAAGTGTCAGCCACTATCTTTTACAAAACAATTCTTCATAAGCTTTATAAAAGCACTAGGTCTTCTTTCTGAAGCTTTTCTTTTTCCAGTAAACTAATCTGGATTCCAAATCCTCTAAATATTTCTTCTTTCTTTGAACTTATGAGAAAATCAATTGCATTTGAATAACTAAGGGAAGCAACCAATGGCTCTTGGTATTAAGACTAATTTTAGTTTTTATGCTAAAAAATTAAACAAGCTTTTGACCATATTCCTTTACAAATCATCTTTTATTATATAAGTTTTAAATAATTCAAAAGCTACTACTTTTCAGAAAGAAACAGCTATGGTTATATCTTCATTTAACAGATTAAGGAGAACCTAGTTTGTTAAAACTAAGAAATTTGAAAACTGATTCAGGAACTGAGTCATATTTCCTGCTTTGAGACCCAACCACAGCGTGCACAAACTGGTGTAATAGCATTTTCTTTCTTCCATAAATGGCTCTCCTCAGAGCAAATACAGTTCAACAGGAACCAAACCTGCTACTTAACTATTTAAAGAAGCCAGTGAACAAGGCATGGCCACCGAAGTTTCATAATGTCTGGACATCTTTCTTATTTCCCCTATGGTAGTTATAAAGAAGAGATATTTAAAGACGGTAGCTTTAAAGAGCTTTAATTAAAAATTTCAAAAGACAGCTATTTGTGCCTAAGCCTCCAGAATGAGAACCTGAGACTATAAAATTTAAACAAGCTAGAAGTTATCTATCTGCCTTGATAATATTACAAAAATAGAACAGAACCTAATTCTTGCAACAGCTATTTTTGTACTGATCAAGGAAAAGTATTCTTTGCTATGTTTTTGGAGAACTAAAGCTATTTTTGTTTCCATTGTTTTAAAGCAAGCAAGCAAGAGTCAAAACCTTTTCTAGGAAACACAATTCATTATAGGAATCAAGTCAAGAGCCCCTAGTTAGGTGAGCAAGTAGTCATGTGGGGGTGATTTAGTGCCATGGATCTTCCATGAATGGCAAACTGCCAATGAAAGGTGAGGAAACAAGAGTCCCAAGGAAAATGATGTGGATCTTACCTCATCAGCACCATGTGCCTGAAGTTCCTTGTAGAATTTCAAAGAAATACTGACCATCACTTTTGTTTTGTCTCCATTAGGATTTGAAATATGATAGAGGACCCCATCGAAATCTGTGAGGAAAGCAAATAAGATTGCGTAACAATTTGGGAATGGGAAATAATCTCTCCAAGCGCCTACCTTGCCGTAGGCCACAAGGAAGACCACTTTTAAGGAGGCATGTAAGTAAAATGGAACTTATTTTAAATCCATGTGACAAATCAGCAGAAACACTGGGATAGAATTGCTGAGCACTTGTTTCTTTGCTCTTTCTTAAAATTACAAAGCTATTCTTTCCTTAATCACAGCTTGGTGCTGAAATAATTGGATTTTACATGTATATAAGCAGAACGAACAGTATAATGAACTCTCATCTCCATCATGAGGCTTCAACGATTTTTTTTTTTTTGAGATAGAGTCTTACTCTGTCACCCAGGCTGGAGTGCAATGGTGTGGTCTCGGCTCACTGCAACCTCTGCCTCCCAGGTTCAAGAGATTCTCCTGTCTCAGCCTCCCGAGTAGCTGGGACTACAGGCATGTGCCACCACACCCAGCTAATTTTTGTATTTTTAGTACAGACGGGGTTTCACTGTGTTGGCCAGGCTGGTCTCGAACTCCTGACCTCATGATCTGCCCACCTCAGCCTCCCAAAGTGCTGGGATTACAGGCGTGAACCACCTTGCCCAGCCTCAACAATTATTAACACATGGACAATTCTTGTTTCATTTAGACATCCTCCTTCCCATTGATTTATTTTGAAGCAAATCCCAGATACAACACATAATTTCATCCATAAATACTCAGAATATATCTTTGGAAGATACAGAAGACTATTTGTTAAAAAACATAACCATGATACTAGTGTCATGCCTAAATTTTTAAAAACAATTTCTTAATATCAAATATTCAGTCAAGGCCGGGCACAGTGGCTCAAGCCTGTTAACCCAGCCTGTTAACTTTGGGAGGCCGAGGTGGGTGGATCACTTGAGGTCAGGAGTTCAAAACCAGCCTGGCCAACATGGTGAAACCCTGTCTCTACAAAAATTACAAAAAATTAGCTGGGTGTGGTGGCACATGCCTGTAATCCCAGCTACTTGGGAGGCTGAGACAGGAGAATCGCTTGAACCCGGGGGGTGGAGGTTGCAGTGAGCCAAGATCATGCCATTGCACTCCAGCCTGGGCGACAGAGCAAGACGCTGTCTGGAAAAAAAAAAAAAATTAGCCGGGTGTGGTGGTGGAGATCTGTAGTCCCAGCTACTTGAGAGGCGGAGGCAGGAGAATCGCTTGAACTCGGGGAGGTGGAGGCGGCAGTGAGCAGATTATCAACGCCACTGCACTCCAGCCTGGGTGACAGAGTGAGACTCAGTCTCAAAAAAACAAAACAAATATTCAGTCAAGTATTTAAATATTCTCTACTGTCTCAAAAAATTTTAAGCATTGTTGTCTTATTTGAATTAAGATGCAAACAATATCCACACATTGCATTTGGTTATCTTTTGAGTTGCTTCTAATCTATAGGACTCCCCTCTTTTTCGGTTCTATCTTTCTGCAGTACACAGGACTGACTCAGCCTGTGTAATTCCTGAAACTAGGAATAGGTTCCTGAAACTAGAATTAGGTGCTGAGTGCCATCACTTTATGGAGCTGTCATGGGAATCACGAAGGGATATCTGGCAATGCCAGTTAGTAGGAGGGTAAAGGGATGGTGCCTGGCCTCCAGGTAACAGCACTTCAGAGCTGCAAAAGTCTTCCAAGATCATCTTGTCGAGGACTCTTGTTGTAGAAAGGGTGGTTGTATTCCTCTGAGTTCATTCACCTAACAAGTAAATAGTACCAACACCTAATTCTTTATAGGGAACAGAAAGCAGCAACATCTCTCTCTGACTTGATGAACACATCTCTAGCTGTTCATGTTTCCCTACTACTCTAGTGCTAGGCAAACTAAGACTGACAGCTACTTGAAGATAATGTAATATTTCCAAATTAAAAAAAAAACACAACAAAAAAACCTCAGTTTTACCACAAAATTAAATCCAAACTTCTAATTTATCAGCAGGTAACTTTATATTGTCAGTCATCAGTGGATTAAATACATGAAATGGTCATCTATTATAAAGAGCTCAAAAAGACCTGATGAGGGACAGTATCCAAAATGTCAAAGCTTTTTTTTTTTTTTTTTTTTTTTGAGATGGAGTCTCACTGTCGCCCAGGCTGGAGTGCAGTGGCGCGATGTCTGCTCACTGCAAGCTCCGCCTCCTGGGTTCATGCCATTCTCCTGCCTCGGCCTCCGGAGTAGCTGGGACTACAGGTGCCCGCCACCATGCCCAGCTAATTTTTTGTATTTTTAGTACAGACAGGGTTTCATCATGTTAGCCAGGATAGTCTCGATCTCCTGACGTCGTGATCCGCCTGCCGTGGCCTCCCAAAGTGCTGGGATTACATGCATGAGCTACCGCACCCAATCCATGTCAAAGCTTATTTTAGGTACAATTTTCTTTTCTTGTCTCTCTCTTTTTTTTTTTGAGACAGTCTCACTGTATCGCCCAGGCTGGAGTGCAGTGGTGTGATCTCAGCTCACAGCAACTCCTGCCTCCCAGTTCAAGTGATTCTCCTGCCTCAGCCTTCCGAGTAGCTGGGATTACAGGTGCCCACCACCATGCCCGGCTAATTTTTGTATTTTTAGTAGAGGGGGTTTCACCATGTTTGCCAGGCTGTTCTTTAACTCTTGACATCAGGTGATCCACCTGCCTCGGACTCCCAAAGTGCTGGGATTACAGGCATGTGCCACTGCACCCAGCCTATTTCCTATTTTTCATATTGTACCTTCTCTTCAGAGGGCTGAGATAAAGATGCTTACCTGCAAATGTTACTTCTACTGCTTCCGGTTTGTTTCTGTAAACAACAAAAAAGGTCCTCAGTTAAGATGACTGTATTGCTGCTTACCTTCAAAGGGAACTGGAAAGGCACCTGAGCTTCACTTAAGATCAGACCATTCTGTATAAATTTTAGGTTACTGCCAATCAGAGTACACAATTCATTTTCTCATGGACCTGAACCTTTGGACTTGCTTTAAGTAGAGGATAAAAAAGGAAGGTCAGATAAAAAAGGAAGGCCAGCTATAGCTTTTGTTTTTCACCTGCTGTTGAATCTACTGCTTTGGTTGGTGCTCACTTTCAATTCTGAATTTCCTAACAACATGCTATATACCACAAAATGCCATCTTTTGGTCAATGCCTTCCCCACAGGACAGTGGTATTAGGAGTAAAACGTTCAGCAGGAAAATGGCTAAGTATAATGTAGAATGGTTTTAATATGCTTAAAGAGAAAGGATGATTTCGGGCCATAAACAAAACGGCAAGTTCTATTCCACTTCAAAACCCGTCTGTAAGCCTTCCTACTCATCTTTCTTTCTTCCTTTACATCACCAAAGTACTTACCACTCACCTTCAAGAAACCCTCTTTAGTTCTACCCTAGTTTTGTCTTGCTTTGTAAATTCCAGCTCGGAACTTAAAATAGACAGTGTAACACAAAATAACACTATGAAATCACTAAGAATAGTCAGGACATCTGCTTTACAACTTTAGCTTTCTCATCACGCTCATGTTTTGGGACAAATACCCTTACACCTTTGCATTCTCCCCTATCATCAATAAAATGGGGGAATAAAAATGAACCTATTTACCTCATGGAACTACTACATATAACACAAGAACAGACCTGAAGTCCAAAGTAGGAAGCAAATGAAGACTATTGCCTTACCAGCTAGCTACCTGTAAACTCAATGATTCCACTTTGTTTTAGGGGCTAGCAAACAAGATGCGCATGTTTTCACATTTATTTTTGTCTAACTTGCTCAAGACCTCTTAATCAAGTACGTATCTTTCCACGATCTCTGCTCCATTACCTGCGAAAGAAACGAAGACTAAGTTGCTCTCCAGGGATGCTGGGAAATAATGGAATATATAACATGGTTTATGAGTGTTAAAAAGCTGATATAGAAGCCAGACAATACCTTTCAAAAAAACTGGCTTCTATGAAGCATGCTAGCCCTGCTGAAAAATCAACCTATACGAATCATACAAAGCTTCACCTTGCTTCTTCAAAGCCCTATATGTGACTTAGGAAAAGCGCACTGGGTATCTCTACGAATTGAAGTATCAAGTGGGTTTACGGAGAAGCAGAGAGTTCAGAATAGAAGGAAAAAACTAGATGAAAATTTAAATTGCTTCTGAGCCTTCATTTTGAAACTGTAGCCAGGAAACAAAGGCAACGAGTCCAATACCATTCCTCACCTCTAGAAAACAAGAGCAAAGAACAAAAATATGGAAATGTTAATCATGGACCAACTGAATGAAATATTAAGAGGATGACCAATGGGAGGAAGCATGGAAGCATACTTTCCTGGGGAAGGCTGACTGTGCTGAAGAGTCAGGGAGTTTATAAAAGCCCATTATTACATCACTTAGTAAGTTTTTTTTTAACCTTTAGGTTTTAATTCAGCCAAAGAAGGGCTGAGTTCCTCACTCTCCTACTTTGTCAAAAGACCTGAGAAAAACCAACTATAAATAAATAACCTTTGGGCTCCAAGTCATACACACTTTGAGTCTCTAATTTCAAATTTCTCTAGGCATAAAGTATCCTGAGCACAGATCCTTGTGGGAAAAGTTGCTACGATCGATCTTAAGTGGTCTGCTGTCTGACTTAGCAATATTTGTCAAATCACATTCATTAATATTTTAGTTTACTATTTATGGCTAGAAGAGAGAGAATGGCTGCTGAGGAGAGTATTAGGCCAAAGGAGACTTCATGGGAAGTCTTCTGGGAGTTAGAGGTCCGAGAACTCAGTGCCTTAACGATGAGTTTGCTGAGCGTGAAGTATACCATCACAAGATTGCTTCTCAATTCCAAGACCTGGCGTTTGTTATTTTACTTCTGTGGTTTAAAATTACAAAGGAGCGGGAGGAAGACTGGCCCAGGAAAAGTGTTCCACTAAATAGGCCCCCAGAATTAATAGTTACATTATTTACTGTTCTACCAGCTGCTAAAATTTCAGATGCTGGGGGTGAGAAAAAGCAAGTTATTTAGAATTCAGAATTTATTGGCTATGTGACCACAGGCAATGCTCCTCAAATGTCACCGGGCCTCAGGTTCCTCTTCTACAAAATGGGGACAAAACATCTACCTCCCAGGTTGGTGTGAAGACTGAGATGATATATGTCCAGCAGTACAGCAGTCTCCCCTTATCTGTGGGGGATATGTTCCAAGACACCCAGTGGATAAATAAAAGTGTGGATAGCACTGAACTGTAGCAAAGAAACACCAAGGTCACTTTTTTTACTTAAAGGAATCACTTCATGGGTTCTCTTTGGCATATCCAAATTGCCAGCATCATTACTCCTGTACTTTGGAGCCATTATTAAGTAAAATAAGGGTAACTTGAACACAAGCACTACAATGCTGTGACAGTCAATCTGATAACCTAGACAGCTATTAAGCGACTAACAGAGGGTAGCGTACACACTGTAGATATGCTAGACAAAAAGATGATTCATGTCCTGGGCGGGACAGCGCAAGATTTCATTATGCTACTCAGAATGGTGCACAATTTAAAATTAATGGATTGTTTATTTCTGGGATTTTCCATTTAATATTTTCAGACCATGGTTCACTGCTCACTGCAGGTAACTGAAACTGCAGAAAGCAAAACCACAGATAAGGGGGGACTACTGTACAGCAAAGTTTCTCAAACGGTGTCTTTTAAGTTATAGATATGCTGAGGTAATGATCCCCATATCCCTTAGGGCAGGCAGCAGGTGGCAGGATCTCTGAGAGGCTAGACCATTTACCCAAATGTGCCATACAAATACAATCATGTTCTGTGTGCCATACGATAAACAAGGTCAAGAATCACAGTGAAGGATGCCTGCACGGTGCTTACTTAATATGTAGTAGTTACTTATTCAATATCTACCCCCACCCCCAATCCTCAAGAGCCCTGGTTTTCTCAGTTGTAAATGAGATCCACTATCTGTCACAGAAATGAAATGAAACCATGTTAAGGCATATAGCACAGTGCCTAGCTCATAGAAGGTAATCAATAAATTAGTTCTTCTCCTAGGTGGAGTCAGAGATCGGACTCTGAAGCTGTGGTTGGGAGAGGTTTTAGGATTGCGGTAATTCCCTGAATCAGGAATTGGTTAGCAGTACAAGGAAAAACAGAACTCCTATAAGTGTCAGACTGCTGTAATGTCTGGAATCCTAGAACAAGCCGGCTGGGTAAGTCCTCAGAGTTACTGCCTGGACAACCCAAGACACTAAAACATAATCAATTCATTCAGACAGGTTTTAAGAGCTATTCTTAAAACCCTTTAGAAAAAATTTTCTTCTATCTTTTCTCTAAGGAAGCTTCTAGAATGTCAATAATCAATCCAGAAAGGGCTTCTGGCAACTGTATTATCTCATCTTCTTTTCTCATTAACAACTTTGGGGTTTTTACTCCTGAATGCACCCTAGGATCCAATTCCCCATTTTTTTCTTTTTTCTTGAGATGGGGTCTCGCTCTGTCACCCAGGCTGGAGTGCAGTGGTGCCACCTCTGCTCACTGCAACCTCCGCCTCCTGGGTTCAAGTGATTCTCCAGCCTCAGCTTCCTGAGTAGCTGGGATTACAGGTGTGCGCCACCACACCTGGCTAATTTTTGTATTTTTAGTAGACATATGTTTTGTCATGTTGGCCAGGCTGGTCTCAAACTCCTGACCTCAAGTGATCCGCCCTCCTTGGCCTCCCAAAGTGCTGGGATTACAGGCGTGAGCCAGGGTGCCTGGCCCCAATTCCCCATTTGGGCATTTATGTCTCTCTCCTACTTATCCCTTCTTATGTCCTGAATTAGAGGAATTACTGAATTCTGCTCACTATAAAGGTTTCTGAGCATTCTCCTTTAAATCTTCTATAAAGCTCCCATCATTCTTTTTGAGCAAAGCCTAAAAAAATAGATCATATTAGGTAAGAGGTGGTCCTATTCTCCACTAAGCCATATATCAAAATATGGAGAACAGAGACCTAAAAGCTGATTTACTCAATGTCACAAAAATGTCAGCTCCTAAAGAAACAAGGAATCATTCTATCTGGCTTCATTAATTTCTTCAATAAACCAATTTACTGAGTTGACTATATACACAATGAGGATGCTGGGGAAACAAAGATGATTAAAGTGATAGACCCAGCTCTTAAGGAGTTATCAGTTTGGTCCAGCACAGCTCTGGGGCTTCAGGACCAAAGTGGTCCCAAGTAGGCCACAGGACAGGTGGCAGTGTGTAATTAACTACAGTGACCTGTAAAAAGACCAACCAGGTCTTCTTACTGAGTTGGACACAACATTCCATTTCTTCTAAATGCTTAAACAATGTCCTAATTCCAAATCACTCCAAACAGCCTGTCTCTCTGAGGACATATGCAATATATTTGGGAATGAGAACAGAGTATCAGCAAGATTTAATTTATTCCTTTTTCAAATTTCTCTTCCCATCATCCTCGCCCACCCCAACTGGCACTGCTTGCTTACTGAGTTTCACTCCCCCCCATGGAACCACAGCTCCCCGCAATATACACTGGCTGTGGCACGGAGCCAGCACACACTTAAATCCAACAGCAATTTGCATCTGACAGAATTTCCTCAATTTTGGACTCCAGACTCCAGCTAAGTTGACAGGCCTAGCTTCTCAGTTATGAAACGGTTCTTGGTGTGTACACTAACGAAAGAATTAAATTAATTTGTCTGATTACTTTTGCTTTGAGGGTCTGGGTAAGAATTTCCAAATGAAAAGGCAATGCTGTTGATCAGACCTGTGCATGAGGTTATTTGCAGTGTTGGGCATAGCTTTTAAGTCAGTCACATTCTCTTAGTTTGTGGGCTGCTGGGAAGACAATTTACCAATAATTATTATTTTGTGACAATCTATGAGTTGTTTCAATAAGCCACTTCCCAGAAGTGTGTAGGAAAAAATTAAAAAGCAATCTGTTTGGAATGAACCTTAGGCTTTGTCAAACTGCCTCCAAATTAAAAGGTTATGATCAAATGTATTCTTAAACAGTTTAGATGACAACACTGCTTTACCCAAAAGAAAGCTGATACTTTTAGTAGGAGGCCACTGGTGAGAAGATCCAGCAGGATGATCTGAGAGGAATCATTAAAAAAAAAAAAAATCAACTTCAAATGGAAAATTAATGCAACTATATTCTGAAGTATATGCCACAGAACTATTTTTAAGACCATCTCATGCTTTCATTTTCAGAAGCTGGAACAGTGCTAATAGAACTTTGCAATAATGGAAATGTTCCATGTCTGTGCTAAATACAACAGCTACCAGCCACATGTGGCAAATGAGCACCAGAAATGTGGCTAGTGTGACCGAGGAACTCAATTTTATTTCAACTTAATTTTTACTTAAATTTAGCCAGCCACTTTGTATGGCTATCTTATTGGACATCACAGAGATGGAAGATGCACTCTGGAAAAGGCTGCTCCGAACTGTAATTTCCCCCATCGGTTTATTCTGAGAAGTGCAAAAAGTAGGGTGGAGCTGACCTCTCCTAGCAGGTTCCCACACCAGCAAAGCCTTTCAAATCTCCAGGGTTTCTCCTCCAAACTACTCCCTTTAATGTCTTTCTCTGATCTCCACCCCAACACCTTTCACCCCTTAGCACCTCCCTAACTTGGCTAATAGGCTCTCAGAGAGGCCCCTTTTTTTCTGTTGCTGCCTGGGCTGAGCACTGGTAGAATCCCATACATGTTTATGATAACCACACTAGGCAAACTCTGCTGTAAGTTCTGGAATAGGCATGCACCTTGCCTTACCTTACTGGAATGTCTGATAATTTACATTTGCTTCATTCGGGCTTCTACTGGGTGATACATCTGTAATCCCAGGAGAGCCCTGCCTACCAGGCACAATATCATGGTCTCTTTTTTTTTAAAGATTTTCAAAGTTTCAAATTTTCAGCAGAATGTTTTGAGCCTGCTTATTGAAAACCACATCTCAAAGGGGGAGATGGGCCAGAATAAAAGCCTAGATTTATACACACATACACCCGCACATGTGCACAAGCATACACACCAGTGCACCCCCTATACAGCTTCCCTACAATGCATATCTTTGTAAAAAATGTCCTGAGGAAAGGAGCAGTGCTGTAATCCCAGCACTTTGGGAGGCCGAGGCGGGCGGGTCACTTGAGGCCAGGAGTTTGAGACCAGCCTGGCCAACATGGTGAAACCCCATCTCTACTAAAAATACAAATATTAGCCAGGTGTGGTAGCACGTGCTTGTAATCCCAGCTACTTGGGAAGCCGAGACATGAGACTCACTTGAGCCTGGGAGGGCGAGGTTGCAGTGAGCAGAGATCGCGCCACTGCATTCCAGCCAGTGAGAGACTCTGTCTCGGAAAAAAAAAAAAAAGTCCTGGAAGTTCTAACTTATGTCTTCCAGACTTGAGGGCCTATTTAATCCCTCCGAAATGGTTAGCTTCTCTTTTTAAGAATAATTTTCTAAAAGAAAAAGAAAGAACTGAAGTTCCGAATAATGGGCCACATTTTGGAATCACAAGTCATTAATACACAAATAGATGAGAATGTACTCCTATGTTAAAAGACATGCCTCTACTTGAAAATACACAGCCATTTATCTTGTAGATCAGCTTATAACCGCCCAGGTCTCATTCTTTGCTAGTCTGGACCTGAGAATGCATTAAGATCAGTTATGAAAATGCAGAAGTTAATTCAACTTCCTCCTATGTGTTACACTGCTCAGAAAAAAGTATACAGCAATCACCCAAAATAAGACTCTGGGCTGATTCATTTGAATATTTAAAATGCAAAGAAACTGGTAAGAGAGGCTAAGACAAGAAAGAAGCAAGTCAGCCTCAAATATAACCAACTGCAGCCCCTGGCAGGAAACAGTACTGCTCACTACACGTATTACTTCAAGGAAAGTAGTGCTTTGTTTTACAGATAAAATCTGTGGCCTTATAAAGGAGACAGGACATACTATATATTCAATTTAAATGGCAGTTAATACTTTCTAATGCCTCCAAGCCACAAGTACATTATGACCACTTAAAAATTCCCCTCTACCAATCTTCTCCCATCTGTGGATCTGCAAGCACTTTCCTATTACTAGTTCCCAGTTCACCAGAAACGGTCTGCACTTATTAACTGTGAAACCCAGATGTGAAGCCCCATGCTCATACATAGGGAAATGAGGCAAAGGGACTGGCCACAGGCCACCAAAAATTAGAACCCAAAATCCTTAGCTCATGTTTTAAATATTATACTAGAAAAGCAAAGCAGCTTTGGAGGAGCAGATTGTCTTCTACTGATTCTTGTGTTTGGCAGAGAGGCTGCCTTGGAAAGATGCCCTAAGCCCATCTTTTAAAAAGTCCAATCGTAAAGACAGGTTATCTAAGAACTTTATAGATTCTGGAGTCTTTGAAGTGTGTAACTGGGCCAGGGCTACCACAGAAGAAATCACAGACCTAGGGTCTTGATGTAAGAATTTACAAGATAACCAGATAAAGGCTAGTGGGTGAGGAGAGAGCATTAGAACCTCAAAGGAGAGATAAGGAAGGGGTGTGGAGCGAGGGACAATTGGCTTTGCTTTAAAAATATGTAACAAAATGGCCCAGTGTCTCTCACAGAAGGGTTCGGGGAAGGGAAACCAGAGATCGCGTTTTTCCGGCTCTAAGACTGGGTCGGCTTTTAGTCTTCTCTTCTGCTCCTTTTAAAGGAGATGGGGGTGGGGAACGAGAATGCTGGTGGCGATGTGGGCCTGCATCTCCTTCCCTCCTCCAGTCCTGGGAATTCCTGAAAACTCCTTCCAACCCAATTCCAAACAGGCTCTCTCTGGGTTCAGAACAATGCCGGGGAATTTCACGCAGGGAAGGGGTCCCCTTCTCGCCCCAGAGGGCAGGGGGCTACTCCGGAGCGAGTTCCGGCTCCAGGGTCCCCCACGTCCCACAGGTCTCCTGCCCTTTGGCACGCACAGCCCTCACCACTCGCTGCTTCCGCATCCCTCCTCTGAGCCTCTCCCCACGCATCTCTGCCCCTCGCCCGGCCGCGCCCAATCGCCTCCCACGTCTACCCCGCTGGGGCAGCCCCTACACCCTGCCAGGCACCCCATTTCTCTCCTCCAGGTCTGGGGGACTGGACAACATTGGGGATTAGCTGGGGTCAACTCTGCTTCCCCCGCCACCCCCGGCCCCGGGCGCGCGCTCACCCGGCGGCCGCGTTCTCGAACTTGAGCGCGAGCGTCTCCTCGATGATGCGGTTGTTCACCTCCAGCAGGATCATGGCGGCGGCTGCCCCCAGGGGAAGGAGAAACAAGGGCCGGTGAGGGTGGGTAAGGGAGGCAAGGACGGAGGGAGCGGCCCTGCTGCCCCCTGAGTGGGGCTGGGTGGGGTAGGAGGTTAGGGGAGAAGGGGAGAGGGGCCGGGGTGGAGGGAAGGGTAAGACGAACGCGCTGGCCCACGCACGCAGACTGTGGAGACACCCACCCACCCAACCGACCTGGCCCCCGAAGCCTGAACCCGCCTGCCGAGCCGCCGCCGCCGCCGCCACTGCCGCTTCACCGACAAGCCCGGTCCCCGCCCAGCCCCCGGCTCTAGCCGGCCACTTCCGCTCTCACACCCACTTCCGCTCGCCGCCTGGACGCGCGGCCCCGCGGCGCCATTTCCGCTTCAACCACTCGTGAACGCGAGCGCAGGCGCGCCGGAGGAAACGGAGGCTGCGCTTGCGTATGTGTGATGCCGCCGCCCCACCGTCTACTTTCCCACCGACCCCGCTTACGTCTACCGCCTACCAGTGCGTCCCCCGCGGAGCTGTCATTCCCCGAGGCTTGCCTGACTGTTCAGCTTCTCTCTCCCGCTTGTCCCAGAGATCCAACTCCATTCTTCCGGTCTTGTCATTTCAGAAACCTCGCAAGAAGCTCGCCCTTGTCGTCTCCCAGCGGGCTTCTTAGCTCCCAGCTTGTTTGATGGGGGTGCCTCTTTTTCTTTCCAGGTATAGCTGTCCAGCGACACCATCATGCATTCATTTCTCCAACAAACATTTTCATGGGCTCTTGCTCTATACTGGGGATGTAGTGGTAAATGAAATGGACGAGGCCCTGCCCTCGTGGAACTTACAGTCTGGCAAAGGAAACAGACAATAAAATTCTCAGTTGTCTAAGGAGGCAGAGATGCATGGGGAGAGGATCAGAGTAGGGATGCGGAAGCAGCGAGTGGTCAGGAGTGTGCGTGCCAAAAGGCAGGAGACCTGTGGGACGTGGGGGCAGCTGGGGCCGGAACTTGCGCTGGAGGAACACCCCTTGCCTGCTGGGGCGAGAAGAGGACCCTTTCCTTGGGTGAAATTCCCCATATTGTTAAAAGGACAATTAAAGAAATGAAAGAGAGGTCACCTGGGTGAATAGGCAACTTAGATGGGCCTCCCTGTGTTCCTGTCATGCCTCCAATTCTGCGTCCAGGTGTCCGGAACACATTTTTTTCTGCCTTTGAAACCTTCCAGTACCTCTGGCAGAGATATACCATACCCTCCTTGTTACCTGCGTGCGGAATCTTAACTCATCGTTGTGCTACATCTGCACCTTCTGCCTTTGTGCCTTGTTTTGTGTTTTCCCTCCTCCGGGGAGAATATAATAAACTTAGCTGAGTCCGTTCTACATACAAGGAAATAATTTATTTTCTGCTATGTGTTTGGGGATGGGGATAAAAAAATGAACAAGAAACTAGCTCCTATCATTAAGGCACAGATAGCCCTTTGAAACATTACTTAACGGGCTATGGATAAGCTTCAGGATATTGCTGATCCCCTAAAATTATACGCTAACTTAAATTTTTTTTTTTTTGAGACAGAGTCTTGCACTCTTGCCCAGGCTGGAGTGCAATGGCATGATCTCGGCTCACTGCAACCTCTGCCTCCCCGGTTCAAGCGATTCTCCTGCCTCAGCCTCCCAAATAGCTGGGATTAAAGGTGCCTGCCACCATGCCCTTTTAATGTTTTGTATTTTTAGTAGAGACGGGGTTTCACTATGTTGGTCAGGCTGGTCTCGAACTCCTGACATCATGATCCTCCTGCCTCGACCTCCCAAAGTGCTGGGATTACAGGCGTGAGCCACCATGCCCGGCCTTTTTTTTTTTTTTTTTTTAATTTGAGATGGTGTCTCACTCTTGTCACCCAAGCTGGAGTGACGTTGCTATCTCTGCTCACTGCCCGCCTCCCGAGCTCAGGTGATCCTCCTGCCTCGGCCTGCCAAATAGCTGGGACTATAGACATGCACCACCAAGCTGGGCTAATTTCTGTATATTTTGTAGAGACGGGGTTTGGCCGTATTGGGCACGCTGGTCTCAAACTCCTGGGTTCAAGTGATCCACCTGCCTTAGCCTCCTAAAGTGCTGGGATTACAGGCGTGAGCCACCATGCCCGACCGATAAGCTAGCTTTGTAACATTAATGACTATTGAACTAAAATAATGTTTATAAATTGTTTAAAATATGTATGCTTATAATACTAAAAGGCTTGTAATGAAAAAAGCAGTTCCCTGTCCTACTCTTTGGAGGCAATATGCTCAACTCTTTCACAAATTCATCCTGATATTTACCTTCATAATCCCTTTCTTTCTTTCTTTCTTTCTTTCTTTCTTTCTTTCTTTCTTTCTTTCTCTCTCTGTCTTTTTCTTTCTTTCTTTCTTTCTGATAGGGTTTCACTTTGTTACTTAGGCTGGTGTGCAGTGGCACACTCTTGGCTCACTGAAGCCCCGATTTCCCTGGGCCCAAGCAATCCTCCGGCCTCAGACCCCAACTAGCTGGGACTACAGGTGGCCACCAATATGTCCAGCTAATTTTTGTATTTTTAGTAGAGACAGGGTTTCACCGTGTTGCTTCGGCTGGCCTCGAACCCCTGAACTCAAGCGATCCGCCTGCCTTAGCCTCCTAAAGTGCTAGGATTACAAGTGTGAGTCACCGTGCCCGGCCTACCTTCATGTTTCTAAGTAAATGTTTATACCATTATTTTTTGGTTTGTGAATTTTTAGCATTATGTGTTGACTTCCTGACACGGTAGATAAGAACTTGACTCTATCACTTCTGCTTCCCACCATATATAGCTGCGTAATAACTTTTGGTAAAACCAATAATCTGCACCTAGCTGTATTAAAATTATTATGTATGCAAATATTGTTTACTGATGAGCCAAGAAATGCACTATAATCATGACTTCTAGTTTACATGGCCCTTCATTTTTCTTAGGGTTAATTATTGCCTTTTTTCTCTCATCTGTCTGATTTTCTGTAAACAGTATTTACAGTTGGTTTTTCCCCTCAAATGCTCTAAGACTATCAAAAAGTCTAGCAATAATGTTTTCCATATACTCAATATATAAGTTCCACTTTTTCTTTGGAGTTTTTGTCCCAGAGCCTTCCTTCCTCTTATTTCAATCTGGACTGGCTGCTCGCTAGACTTGCTGTACAGTTGTCATTCTGGAATTTTCCTTCATTGTTGTTCTGGGGTGGTTTTGCCCATTTCCTGGATCCCATGTCTTCCTCTTGGTTTACTTCCTTGTTTTGCTAAAGCATCTCCTCTAATAACTTCCTAAGAAAGGGAGATGGGGGATATATGTTGTTAGAATCTTTGCATATTTGAAAATATGTTACTTCTATTTAACACTTGATGTGTTGTTGGGCTAGATATTCAAGTTTGAAAATAATTTTCCCTTTTTTTTTGAAGGTATACTACATTTTCTTTTTTATTTATTTATTTTTTTATTATTATTATACTTTAAGATTTAGGGTACATGTGCACAATGTGCAGGTTAGTTACATATGTATACATATGCCATGCTGGTGTGCTGCACCCATTAACTCGTCATTTAGCATTAGGTATATCTCCTAATGCTATCCCTCCCCCCTCCCCCCACCCCACAACAGTCCCCAGAGTGTGATGTTCCCCTTCCTGTGTCCATGTGTTCTCACTGTTCAATTCCCATCTATGAGTGAGAACATGCAGTGTTTGTTCTTTTGTCCTTGTGATAGTTTACTGAGAATGATGATTTCCAATTTCATCCATGTCCCTACAAAGGACACGAACTCATCATTTTTTATGGCTGCATAGTATTCCATGGTATATATGTGCCACATTTTCTTAATCCAGTCTATCATTGTTGGACATTTGGGTTGGTTCCAAGTCTTTGCTATTGTGAATAGTGCCGCGATAAACATGTGTGCATGTGTCTTTATAGCAGCATGATTTATAGTCCTTTGGGTATATACCCAGTAATGGGATGGCTGGGTCAAGTGGTATTTCTAGTTCTAGATCCCTGAGGAATCGCCACACTGACTTCCACAATGGTTGGACTAGTTTATAGTCCCACCAACAGCGTAAAAGTGTTCCTATTTCTCCACGTCCTCTCTAGCACCTGTTGTTTCCTGACTTTTTAATGATGGTATACTACATTTTCTTACACCTTCTAGGGTTGCTATTAAAAAAGTATAATTCCTATTCATGTTTCTGATCCTTTTGTCTGTTACATCTCCCCCATCTGTGGAAGCCTTAGGATTCTCTCTTTAACTTGTTGGTTAGAAATTTTAGAATGATTTGCTTTATTGTACCACTTTCTTAATTTGTTGTACTGAGCACTGATTCAAAATAGAAATTCATAGAGCTGAGCATGGTGGCTCATGCCTGTAATCCCAGTACTTTGGGAGGATAAGCAGGGAAGATTGCTTGAGCCCAGGAGTTTTAGGCTGCAGTGAGCTAGGATCATGACACTGCACTCTAGCCTTTACGACAGAGTCTTAAAGAAAAAACACAAAAAAAGAACCTTCTTTTCATCTTGCAAAACTGAACTCTAAACCAACCCATTGTTTGTTTTTTGTTTTTCTATTTTTGTGGAATATCTTCTTGCATTATCTTCAGCCATTTTAACTTTTTGTTTTGTTTTGTTTTGTTTTTGACACAGGGTATCGCTCTGTTGCCCAGGCTAGAGTGCAGTGGGCAACCTCAGCTCACTGCAGCCTCAACCTCCTGGGCTCAAGCGAACCTCCCACCTCAGCCTCCCAAGTAGCTGGGACCACAGGCTTGTGCCACCACATCTGGCTAATTTTTTGTAGAGATGAGGTCTTCCTATGTTGCCCAAGGCTGAACTTTCAGTTTTCTTTTTTTTCTTTCTTTCTTTTTTTTTTTTTTTGAGATGGAGTTTCGCTCCTGTTGCCCAGGCTGGAGTGCAATGGCGCGATCTCGGCTCACCGCAACCTCCGCCTCCCAGGTTCAAGCAATTCTCCTGCCTCAGCCTCCCGAATAGCTGGGATTATAGGCATGCATCACCATGCCCGGCTAATTTTTGTATTTTTAGTAGAGATGGGGTTTCTCCATGTTGAGGCTGGTCTCGAACTCCTGACCTCAGGTGATCCGCCCTCCTCGGCCTCCCAGAGTGCTGGGATTACAGGCATGAGCCACCGCGCCCGGCCTCAGTTTTCTTATTTTTAATTCCCAAGACCTTTTTTTCCTGCTGACTGTCTCTTTTCCATAATATTCTATCCTGGTTTTATGGACAGGCATAAGTTTTCCTGTCTGTGAGGATATTAGTGAATTTGTTTTTAGTTTTCCTTCTCTCCACTTTGTCTCTGTTTCCTTGGGTCCTTTTTAATGCTAATTTATTTTGGTTACTCTCATGCTAATGGCCATCTCAAACTTCTGTCTACTTTAGCAATCTATTCATATTTAAGGATGAGACACTAAAAAGCTGAGTGGAGACTCTAAGTGTTTGGGCAAGATGAGTTGACTAGCTCCTTGGACCAGCAGCATTGACATCATCTGGGAGCTCATTGGAAATGGAGAACCCCAGGTTCCACTGTAACCTACAGATTTAGAATCTGCATTTTAACAATATCACCAGGTGATTCAAGTGCACATTACGTTTTGAGAAGCACTAGGTTGACCGTAAGTTGCACAGATGATGTGCCAGATGTCGAATGTCAATATTGGGAGGTCTTCTCTCCAGGGAAGAATCCTCCAGTTGTGTTTGGAAAGTGGCTGTTCTTAAATAGCCAGAAATTTGCTGCATTCAATCTTGAAGATAGAGGCTAGAGGTAATTTTGGGGTTGGAATGGCTGTCTGGCCATTCTCCAGTTAGTCCTCCAGATCCACTCTTCATCCTTTTTCACCCCTATATCAACTGGACTCCCTTATGCCTGGGTGTTTGGTTGGCCAATAAGGAGCCCCAGCAGGAGGAAGGGGAACAGAAGTAGTAGTAGTAGGAGGAGGAGGCAAAAGAGTAATATCAGGCTATTTAATCTTGGGCTTCCTTCATCTTTTGAGGTCGCCTCAGGCTGGCTGTGTTCATCAACCAAATGTCACTGCCCCTTTCAAGGTGGCCACCTCAGCACAACTCTTTCCTTCCTTCCTGGTCCTGATCCCTCTCCTCAACCCTTTGGGCTTAGGGATAGTATCAGCTTGGCTGCTATTAGTCCTGGGTTAATGCATTCCCTCTTCTGGCTCCCCTACATCCACACTTTTGTAAATAATCCTTCTTAAATACATTCTTCTCAAATTATCCTATCTTGAGGGTGCCTTCTGTTTCCTATGGGATAAAGACTAATGTGGTGGGGTGGGGGAAGAGTGATGTCATGGAAGATAGCAGAGTAGAATTGATCCCTTCACTGAAACCACTATTGAGCTGGCAAGAACTGTCAGAACCAACTATTTGGAGCTCCAGACTCTAGTGAAGCACTTGCAGCATTGAAGGGAGTACTTGATTAAGAAAGAGGCTGGTGAATTTTGGTGAATTCTTCCCAGCAGCATCCAGTTGTGGAGATGGCAGTCTGTATCCCTGATGTGCTTGGCGATGTGAGGGTGGGCTATAGGGACCTTGTCCTCCAAAAATCAGGCTTGTGTATTTTGATATGCCTTAGTTTGCTAAGGGGCCACTGCTAAGGTTGGTTATTGTTTCAGCCTCCATGGGCTCAGCTGAAATGGTTTTCTTATTGGTGGAGGGGATTTAAAAAGCTCTTTTTTTTTCTTTTCTTTTTTCTTTCTTTTTTTTTGTTAAAGATGAGGTCTTGGCCGGGCACGGTGGCTTACACCTATAATCCCAGCACTTTGGGAGGCTGAGGCGGGCAGATCGCTTGATGTCAGGGGTTCGAGACCAGCCTGGTCAACATGGTGAAACCCTGTCTCTACTAAAAATGAAAAAAATTAGCCAGGCTTGGTTATGTGCCTGTAATCCCAGCTACTCGGGAGGCTGAGGCTAGGGGAATTGCTTGAACCTGGAAGGTGGAGGGTGCAGTGAGCCAAGATCATGCCACTGTGCTCCAGCCTGGGTGACAGAGCGAGACTCTTATCTCAAAAAGAAAAAAAAAAAGATGAAGTCTTGCTATGTTGCTCAGGCTAGACTCAAACTCCTGGGCTCAAGCAATCCTCCTGCCTCAGCCTCCTGAGTGATGGAAGGGATTTAAAGAGACAAAACAGCCTTTTCTTTTCTTTTTTGGACCCAGGCATTTAAGGAAATCTCTGTTAGGTCACTGGCTGACTGCAGAAATTATGAGTCTTTAGTGACTACACATGCCAAGGAATATAGTCTTTGCAACAGAGTTAGGAAAAGGCACTAAATAAACAGATGACTGTAGCTTTCTTCAGGCAACAGTAATCCCTGAAACTGGGGCAGAAGAGAAAATCTAATTTCAAGAGTTACAATTTTAATATTCAAAATTTCCAGTTCTCATCAGAAAATTATAAAGCATGCAACATAAAATGAAAGTATGGTTCATTCATAGTAAAAGGAATATAGAAAAAAATTGATAGAAACTATCCGTGAAGAGCCCAGATGTTGGATTTATATAAAAAGACTTAACTGTCTTAAATATGCTGAAGGAAAAAAGAAAAGAGCTCATGGAAACCATGAAGAATAGCTAAGGAAAATCGGGAGCATGGTGTATATACAAGCATAGAATATCATAAAGAGATAGAAATAATAAAAAGGAACCAAATAAAAATTTTGGAGCTGAGAAGTACAATAGCTGAAGTGCAGAAATTACTAGAGGGGGTCAACAGCACATTTGAGCAGGCAGAAGAAAGAATCAGTGAACTTGAAGATAGGGCAGTTAAAATTACCCAGTTTGAGGAACAAAAATAAAACAATTGAACAGAGCTTATTGGACATGTGGGACACAAATTAAGCATATCAAAACACACGTTATGGGAGTTACAGAAAGAGGAGAGAGAGAGAAAGGGGAAGGAAAAATATTTAAACAAGTAATGGCCATAAAGTTCCCAGATGTGGTGAAAGATGTGAATCAATACATCTAATAAGCTTGATAAACTTAAAGCAGGATAAACTCAGAGATTCACACTGAGACATATTATAGTCAAAACTGTTGAAAGCCAGAAATAAAGAGAAAATCTTTAAAGTGAAAGAGAGAAGTGACTCATTTACAAGTCTCCTGCATAAGAACAACAGCTAATTTTTCATCAGAAACCATGAAGGCAGTGGAATGATGATATCTTTAAAGTGGTGAAATAAAAAAACCTGTCAACCAGGAATATTATAGCCTGTAAAATGTTCTTTCAAAACTTGAAGGAGCCAGGCATAGTGGCTCACACCTCTAATTCCAGCACTTTGGGAGGCTGAGGCGGGTGGATCACCTGAGGTCAGGAGTTCGAGACTAGCCTGTTCAACATGATGAAACCCCGTCTCTACGAAAAATACAAAAATTAGCCAGCTCTGGTGTCTTGTGCCTGTAATCGCAGCTACTCTTGAGGCTGAGACAGGAGAATTACTTGAACCTGAGAGGTGGAGGTTGCAGTGGGCCAAGATTGGGACACTGAACTCCAGCCTGGGTGAGAGAGGGAAAATCCATCTCAAAAAAAAAAAAAAAAAGACAGCCAAATACCACATATTCTTACTTGTAAGTGGGAGGTAAACATTGAGTATATATGGACACAAAGAAGGGAACAAGAGACACCGGGGCCTACTTGAGGGTGAAGGGTGGGAGGAGGGTGAGGATCAAAAAAACTACCTATTGAGTATTATGCTTATTACCCGCACATGTACCCTGAACCTAAATTAAAAGTAAAAAAAAAAAAAGAAAAAGAAAATAAATAGCATGATAGTAGAGGTAAGTTCTTTATTATCGATAATCATTTAAAATGTAAATGGATTAAACAATTAAAAGACAGAGATTGGCAAAATAAATTTTTTTTTTTTTTTGAGACAGAATCTTGCTCTGTCGCCCAGGCTGAAGTGCAGTGGTACGATCTTGGCTCACTGCAACCTCCGCCTCCCGGGTTCAAGCGAGTCTCCTGTCTCAGCCTCATGTGTAGCTCGGACTACAGGCACATGCTACCATGTCCAGCTATTTTTTTTTTTTTTTTTTTAGTAGAAATGGGGTTTCACCATGTTGGCCAGGCTGGTCTCAAACTCCTGACCTCAAGTGATCTGCCCGTCTTGGCCTCCTAAAGTGCTGGGATTATAGGCGTGAGTCACCACAACCTCAAGTGATCTGCCCGCCTCGGCCTCCTAAAGTGCTGGGATTACAGGCGTGAGCCACTGCACCTGGCCAGCAAAATGAAGTTTTAAAAAATGATCCAACTATATGCTTTTACTAGAGACTAACTTAAGATCCAAAGATGCAAATAGGTTGAAAATCAAAGAATAGAAAAATATATTCTGGGACTGGGCACAGTGGCTCATACCTGTAATCTCAGCACTTTGTCTTTTGTTTTTTTTGAGACAGAGTCTCGCTCTGTTGCCCAGGCTGGAGTGAAGTGGCTCACTGCAACCTCTGTCTCTGGGGTTCGAGTCATTCTCCTGCCCCAGCCTCCCGAGTAGCTGGGACTGCAGGTGGGTACCACCACACCCCAGCTAATTTTTTTGTATTTTAAGTAGAGATGGGGTTTCACCATGTTGGCCAGGCTAGTCTCGAGCTCCTAACCTCAAGTGATCCACCCACCTCAGCCTCCCAAAGTGCTGGTATTACAGGCATGAGCCACCATGCCTGGCCAGTCCCAGCACTTTGGAAGACCAAGGCAGGAAGATCACCTGAGCCAGGAGTTTGAGATCAGCCTAGGTAACATGGCAAGACCCTGTCTCTACTAAAAATAAAAAAAATTAGCCAAGAATGGTGGTGCACACCTGGTTCCAGCTACTGGAGAGGTTGAGGTGGAAGGATTGCTTTAGTCCGGGAATACTATGCAGCCATGGCTGCAGTGAGCTATGTTTGTGCCACTACATTCCAGTCTGGGTGGCAGGGTGAGACTGTGTCTCTGAAAAAAAAAAAAAAGATATTCTAGGCAAACTGTAACCAAAATAGAGCTGGAATGGCTATGCTAGTATCAGAAAGAATATATTTTAAGTCAAGAATTGTTATAAGAGACAAAAAGTGTTTATATTGATAATAGGATCAATTCATCAGGAAAATATAATAATTATAAACATATACACATCAAACAACAGAGTCCAAAATATATAAAGCAAATATGGACAGAATTAAAGGGAAAAATAGTTCTACGATAATAGTTGGAGACTTCAATGTCCTACTTTCAATAATAGAGTGAACACCTAGACAGAAGATTGGCAAGGAAATAGAGGACTTGAAGAACATCATAAACTAACTAGACTGCAGATAACACAGATCACTCCACATAACAACAGCAGAATATACTTCTCAAGTGTACATGGAGCAGTTTCTAGGATAGAACATATGCTAGGCCAGAAAATGATTCTCAATACATTAAAAAAATCAAAATCATACAAAGTATCCTCTTCAACCACAGTGGAATGAAGATACAAATAAATAGCAGAAGAAAAAAACTGGAAAATTCACAAAGACAGGGAAATTGAACAACACATTTTTAGCCAATTTAAAGAAGAATTAACACCAACTCTACTCAAACATTTCCAAAAAATGGAAGAGGAACGAACATTTTCTAACACATTCTATGAGGCCAGTATTACTCTGATATCCAGACAAAGATGCCATGAGAGAAGCGAAATTCAGGCCAATATCTCTATGAATAGACACAGGAATCCCCAACCAAATGCTAGCAAACTAAATCCAATAGCACTTTATAATAATTGGCTGGGTGTGGTGGCTCGCGCCTGTAATCCCATGACTTTGGGAGGTTGAGGCAGGAGGATCGCTAGAGGTCAGGAGTTTGAGACCAGCCTGGCCAACATGGGGAATGCTATCTCTACAAAAAAACAAAAATTAGCTGGTGTGATGGCATGTGCCTGTAATTCCAGCTATGGAGGCTGACACATGAGAATCACTTGAACCCTGGAGGCAGAGGTTGCAGTGAGCTGAGATTGCACCACTGTGCTCCAGCCTGGACAACCAGAATGAGACCCTGTCTCAAACAAACAAACAAACAAACAAACAAACAAACAGAATCACATACCATGTCTAAGTGGAATTTATCCCAGAAACCAAGAGTGGTTCAACACAAGGAAATCAATCAATGTGATATGCCACAATAATAAAATGACAAGAAAAAACATGGTCATCTCAATAGATGCAGAAAAAGCATTTGATAAAATTCAGCACCTTTTGATGATAAAAACTCAGAACACTGGAAATAGTAGGTGCTATGATTTGAATGTATGTGTCCCTCCAAAATTCATATGTTGAAACTCAACCCCAATGCAATAGAATTAAGATGTGGGTCCTGAAGGAGGTTATTAGTGCCCTCATAAAAGGGCTTGAGAGAACTAACTGGCTCCCCTTTCCCCTTTAATCTCTTCTGCTACGTGAGGACACCGTGTTGGTCTCCTTTTGCCCTTCTACCTTTTCCTGCTTATTGTGAGGATGCCTCAAGAAAATGCTATATATGGAACAGGCCCTCACCAAACACCAAATCTTCTGGCATTTTGGTGTTGGACTTCCCAGCCTCCAGAACTGTGAGAAGCAAATTTCTTTCTTCTTTTTGGTGGTGAGGAGACAGGGTCTCGCTCTGTTGCCCAGGCTGGAGTGCAGTGACAAGATCCTGGCTCACTGCTGCCTCAAACTCCTTGGCTCGAGCAGTCCTCCCACTTCAGCTTCCCAAGTAGCTGGGACTGTAGGTGCCTGCCATCATGCCTAGCTAATTTTTAAATGTCTAATAGAGATAAGTCCTCGCTATGTTACCTGAGGTGGTCTTGAACTCCTGGCCTCAAATAATCTTCCCACTTTGGCCTCCCAAATTGTTGGTATTACAGGCATGAGCCATTGTGCCTGGCAGAAATACATTTCTATTATTTGTAAATTACTCACTCTAAGGTATTTTGTGATAGCAGCAGAATGGGTTAAGATAAAAGGGAACTTCCTTTACATGATAAAGGGCATTTATGAAAAAAATCCCACAACACATCATTCTCAATGGTGAAAGACTAAAAGCTTAGTTTCTAGAATCAGAAGCAAGACAAAGATGTCTGTTGTCATCTGTGCTATTCAACATTATACTGGAAGTCCTAGACAGAGCAATTTGGCAAGAAAAATAAATAAAAGGCCTCTAAATAGCAAAATAAGAAGTAAAACTACCACGATTTGTAGATGACTTGGCTCTCTGTATAGAAAATCCCATAGAATCTCAAAAACCTACTATAGCTGGTAAAGGAATTAAGCAAAGTTGGTGCAAGGCCAACATACAAACATGAGCTCTGTTTCTTTACACTAGCAGTGAACAATCTGAAAAGGAAATTAAGAAAACAATTCAATTTACAGTAGCATCCGAGAGAATAAATTACCTTGGAATAAATTTAACTGAGGAGGTGAAAGACTTGTACACCAAAAACTAAAAACATTGATGGAAGAAACTAAGGAAGACCTAAATGAATGGAAAGACATCCCATGTTCATGGGTTGGGAGTGTTAATATTGTTAAGATGGCAATATTCCCCAAAGCAATCTATAGATTCAATGTAATCCCGATCAAAATTCCAATGGTCTTTTTTTTGGAGAAATTGAAACTTATCCTCAAGTTCCTATAAAACTGCAGGGACAGGCTGGGTACAGTGGCTCATGCCTGTAATTCCAGCACTTTGGTAGACTGAGGTGGGCAGATCATGGGGTCAGGAGATCAAGACCATCCTGGCCAACATGGTGAAGTCCTGTCTTTACTAAAAATACAAAAATTAGTTGGGCATGGTGGTGCATGCCTGTAGTCCCAGCTACTTGGAAGGCTGAGGCAGGAGAATTGCTTGAACCCGGGAGGCGGAGGCTGCAGTGAGCCGAGATCACGCCACTGCGCTCTAGCTTGGGCAACAGAGCGAGACTCTGTCTCAAAAAGAAAAAAAACAAAAAACAAAAAACAATACCCAGAGAACTGCAGGGACCTCTGAATAGCCAAAACAATATTTAAAAAGAAAAAGAAAATTGAAAGACTCACACTTCCTGATTTCCAAACTTACCAGGAAGGTACCTGATTTCCAAACTTCCCAGGAAGGTGTTTTTGAGACAGGGCCTAACTCTGTCACCTAGGCTGGAGTGCAGTGGCACAATCTTGGCTCACTGCAACCCCTGGGCCCTGGACTCAAGTGATTTTCCCATCTCAGCCTCCCAAGTAGCTGGGACTACAGGTGCACACTACCACATTTGGCTAATTAAAAAAATATTTTTTTTTCTGGAGAGTTGAGGTCTCACTATATTGCCCACGCTGAAGTGTGGTACTTGTATAAAGACAGACACATATAGACCAATAAAATAGAATTGAGAGTTTAGCAATAAAACCAAACATCTATGGTCAATTGATTTTTTACAAGGGTGCCATTTAATGGGAGGAAAGAAGAGTCTCTTTAACAGATTGTGGTGGGACAATGGGATAACCACATGCAAAAGAAAAAATGAATTCATACCCTTGCCTCATTCCACATGCAAAAACTAATTCAAACTGGATCAACAACCTAAATGTAAATGATAAAACTATTAGAAGAAAACATGAGGTAAATCTTCATGACCTCAGATTTGGCACTCAAATCTTGAGCAACAGAGAAAGAAAAAGATAACTTGTTCTTTCTTTCTTTCTTTTTTTTTTCTCTTGAGACAGAGTCTCACTCTGTTGCCTAGGCTGGAGTGCAGTGGTGCGATCTCGGCTCACCGAAACCTCTGCCTCCCGAGTTCAAGTGATTCACCTGCCTCAGTCTCCCAAGTAGCTGGGACTATAGGTGTGCGCCACCATGCCATGCTAATTTTTGTATTTTTAGTAGAGACAGGGTTTCACCATGTTGGCCAGGCTGGTTGCGAACTCCTGACCTCAGGTGATCCACCTGTCTCAGCCTCCCAAAGTGCTGGGATTACAGGTGTGAGCCACTGTGCCCAGCCAAATTGTTCTTTCTTAAAATTAAAAACTTGTGATAGACGTGTACCAACTGTTCCTCCAAACCTGAGATGAGTCAGCCAAGAACTGCCATCAAGTACATTAAGCTGAAGGTCTGAACCTATGTAATACAATAGGTTGTGCTATTTACAGAAAATGAGTGACTAAACAAAAAAAATTTTTTTAATTAATAGAGATGGGGTCTCACTATGTTGCCCAGGCTGGTCTTGAACTCCTGGGCTTAAGTGATCCCCCGCCTCAGCCTCCCAAAGTGCTGGGATTACAGGCGTGATCCACTGTGCCCAGCCTGTTGTTTAAATTTTAAGTGGTTTAATGGGTCTCCCAAGGAGTTACCTGCTTTGGAAAATCGCATATATTGAACCTCTCGTTTTGGTATAGAAAGAGATGTGGCTGGGCGCGGTGGCTCACGCCTGTAATCCCAGCACTTTGGGGGGCTGAGGTGGGTGGATCATGAGGTCAGGAGATAGAGACCATCCTGGCTAACACAGTGAAACCCCGTCTCTACTAAAAATACAAAAAATTAGCCGAGTGTGTTGGCACGCGCCTGTAGTCCCAGTTACTCGGGAGGCTGAGGCAGGAGAATCGCTTTAACCCAGGAGGTGGAGGTTGCAGGGAGCCTAGATCAGGCCATTGCACTCCAGCCTGGGTCACAGAGCGAGACTCCATCTCAAAAAAAAAAAAAAAAAGAGAGATGCATCACTTTTGTTAGTAGAAAATTTCTCCTTGTCTCTACTGAAAAAATGTTGAGTTGAAGGAACGGGAAATTATTAACTTGCCTGAGGTGTTCTCATGACTTGATCCAGTTAAGTTAGGAGGAGCAAATGTGACAGTGGAGATTAAGGAGATATTTTTTAAAAATTATTTATTTATTTATTTATTTTCGAGACAGGGTCTTGCCCTGTCACCCAGGCTGGAGTGCAGTGGCGTAATCATAGCTCACTGCAGGCTTGATCTCTCAGGCTTAAGCAATCCTACAGCCTTAGCCTGCCAAGTAGCTGGGACCACAGGTCCACACCACCATGCCTGACTAATTCTTTTGATTTTTAATACAGACAGGGTCTTGGCATGTTTCCCAGGCTGATCTCAAACTCCTGGGCTCAAGCAGTCCTCCTGCCTCAGCCTCCCAAAGTGCTGGGAGGTGTGAGCCACTGTGCCAGGCCGAAAGATACTCTATTTGGATAGGAGATGATGGCAGTTTACTCTGGGTGGAGTAGTGGAGATGGAGAAAAGTGGAGTTTTTGAGAAATTATTTCAGTGAAAAAATCAAAAATTTCTGGTGATGGACAGATGCTCCACTAGTTTTCTATGCTGAGTAACAAATTACCACAAACTTAGCAGCCCCAAATAACACCCATTTATTATCTTACAGTTTACATGGGTCAAGAGTCTAGGCACAACTTAACTGGGTCCCCTGCTCAGGGACTCACCAGACTTCAGACCAAGTATTGACATGGGCTGTAATTTCATCAGAGTCTCAACCAGGGAAAGGTCAATTTGCAAGCTTCCTCAGGTTATTGGCAAATTCATCTCCTTGCAGTTGTAGCACTGAGGTCCCCATTTTCTTTCTGGCTCTCAGAGGCCACCCACAGTTCCTTGATAAACATGATAGCTTTTTTTTTTCTAATAGAAGAATTGTACTTACTTAGAAGCATTCAGAATGTCAACAAAACAGCTGCAACTTTTTATTTTTTTGTAATTACAAAGCGGTATTCAGTTAACAGAACAATTATTTCATATAAGCTGCATCAGAGACAACTGAAGATAAAAAAACTACCATCCCTGTATATAACTAATTTGTGCTGTGCACCAACAAGAACCTGCTTTAAATTTCCATGCCAATTTACAACCCCCATACTGTACCAGGCAAGGTTAGTGGCTACTGAAAATACCACCAGAATAGGGCTATCTAAAGACACATTCGGTAGTGTGTTAGCTATACAAAAAAAAGACACTGTGCAGTTTAAAATAAAATCTTACACAGCCTTACATTTCATTTTTTTTCTTTAAAAGGAGTGAGTTGTGTGCAGGGGGGTTAAATGCTTTATAGACAAGAAAAAAAAACTGTGCTAGAACCAACTTATTCATCATCATCTTCTTCATCTTCATCTTCTTCATCTTTCTCCTCCTCCTTCTTATCCTCTTCATCTTCCTCATCTTCCTCCTCTTCCTCCTTTTTCTTGCCTTTTCAGCCTGGACAACTCCTTTTTTTTGCTGCATCAGGCTTTGCTTTAGCTCGATATGCAGCAATATCCTTTTCATATTTTTCCTTCAGCTTGGCAGTCTTCTTTTCATAAAGGTGCTTGTCGTCTGCAGCAGTGTCATTCCACATCTCTCCCAGTTTCTTTCCAACATCACCAATGGACAGGCCAGGATGTTCTCCTTTGATTTTTAGGCAATACTCAGAACAGAAGAGGAAAAAGGCTGAAGGAGGCCTCTTGGGTGCATTGGGATCCTTGAACTTCTTCTTCTTTTTTTTTTTTTTTTGAGATGGAGTCTCACTCTGTCACCCAGGCTGGAGTGCAGTGGTACGATCTCTGCTCACTGCAACCTCTGCCACCCGGGTTCAAGCGGTTCTCCTGCCTCAGCCTCCTGAGTAGCTGGGATTACAGGCACCTGCTACTGCGCCTGGCCAATTTTTGTAGTTTTAGTAGAAATGTGGTTTCACCATCTTGGCCAGGTAGTCTTGGATTCCTGACCTCGTAATCCACCTGTCTCGGCTCCCAAAGTGCTGGGATTACAGGCATGAGCCACCGCGCCCGGCCGGAACTTCTTTTTTGTCTCCCGTTTAGGAGGGGTATATAGGTTTTCATTTCTCTTTCATAATGGGCCTTGTCTGCCTTTGGCATATCTTCAAATTTTCCTTTCTCTTTAGCAATCGTGGTCTTCCACGTCTCTGGGCACTTCTGAGAAAACTCTGAGAAGTTGATTGAAGCATCTGGGTACTGCTTCTTATGCTCCTCCCAACAAGTTTGCACAAAAAATGCACATGATGACATTTTGCCTCTCGGCTTCTTAGGATCTCCTTTGCCCATGTTTAGTTATTTTTCCTCAGTGAGGCACAGAGTTGCCCAGTGCCCCTCTGGCTCTCACTTGCCCTGGTGCAGTCTCTATGGAGCTCAATGTACTGCAATGGCTGAGAGCGGGAGCCAGACGCAGCCTCCTCGCTCTCTCTGCTCTGTAACATTACTCTTCGACAGCTTACTTCTTTAAAGCCAGCAAGGGAGTCTCTCTCGAGTCAGCTAAGATGGAGTATTATATAACATAATGCAATCACAGGAATGCCATCCAGTCACTATCACCATATAACATATCCTAAACAAGATTCTAACATCTATCACCTTGGCCATATATATATATATATATATATATATATATATACATATATATATATATATGTATATATATATATATATATGTGTGTGTATATATATATATATATATGTATATATATATAATTTTTTTTTTTGAGACAGGGTCTTGTTCTGTCACTCAGGCTGGAGTGCAGTGGCGCGATCTCAGCTCATTGCAACCTCCACCTCCCAGGTTCAAGTGATTCTCATGCCTCAGCCTCCCAAGTAGCTGGGATTACAGGTGTGTACCATGACACCTGGCTAATTTTTGTATTTTTAGTAGAGATGGGGTTTCACCATGTTGGTCAGGCTGGTCTAGAACTCCTGACCTCAAGTGATCCACCCACCTTGGCCTCCCAAAGTGCTGGGATTATAGGCGTGAGCCACCACTCCCAGCCCACCTTGGCTATCTTCTATTGATTAGAAGCAGGTCACAGGTTCTGCCTCAAGGGGAGAGGATTCTACAAAGGCATGCCTCATTATGGTTAGGGGGGTGCTCTTTAGAGTGTGTCTCCCCCAGGTAGAATAAGGGAAAGTGAAGAATCACCTATAACATTCAAGTTTCTGGCTTGAGCAGGTGGGGGGAAGTTGTGCCATTTATTGAGACACAGAACATGGAGGAGCATGTTGGTTGAGGAAAGCTCTTGAGTTCAGTTGTTGACATTTTAGTTAAGCTGCTCAGGGGCATGAACCATGCCTGTTTTGTTTTTCATTCTATATCCAGTGCCTGGTGTAGTTCCTGACACATAGTAGGTACTCGATAGGATGAATGAATGAGATCTGTGAGATACCCAAGCAGAGATATTGATGAAGCCAACATCTCCTGGATGCCATTTGTGAGGTGTTGACTGACCATGCATTTTCAGAATCAGTGGTGTTTGTGCACCATTGGTGCATAATGATGATGAACCTGCTGGCTTGGATGAGATGGCCTAAGAAAGAGGGTACAGGGAAGAAAGCAAAGGTCTCGGGACTGAGCACTGGGAGCCCCAAGGCTGAGAAGTGAGGCTGGAGAGGAAATATTGGCAAAGAATACAAAGAGAGGACAGACACAAGACTGGTGCCAAATGCTGCTGAGAAGTTGAGACAAGACTGAGAAGTGTGCCTGGGGGGAACTGGTTTTGGTAGAGTGGTGGGGCTCAGCAGCCAACTTAGTGGTGGAGAAGTGGAGGAGGTAAGGACATGGAAGGCAAGTAGACAACTCTTTCTAGAAGTCTGGCTGAAGGGGAGGAGGGACTGCGTGATAGCTGGAGAGAAATGAGCCATCCACAATTGAGATCATCCAGGTCCTGACTCCAACAGTGTATCCTGAGGCAGGGGCTGGGTTGCTCTGGACTGGGTCCACCCTCTGGGTCAGAGAGAGAGCACCTTCTCTGCCTAGCTCAAAGTCTTGCTTTTATATTGCTGTCTCTGTCATGTTCTTTTGTTTTGCTTTTGTTTTTTTTTGAGATGGAGTCTTACTCTGTTGCCCAGGCTGGAGTGCAGCAGTGCAATCTCTGCTCACTGCAACCTCCACCTCCCAGGTTCAAGTGATCCTCCTTCTTCAGCCTCCCGAGTAGCTGGGACTACAGGTGTGCACTACCATGCCCAGCTAATTTTTGTATTTTTAGTAGAGACGGGGTTTCACTATGTTGGCCAGGCTGGTCTTGAACTCCTGACCTTAGGTGATCCACCCCCATTCCCAAAGTGCTTGGATCAGAAGCGTGAGCCACCACACTAGGTGTTATGTTCTTATAATAGTCAGGCTAACATATTTCTTTAAGAAGGTTTAAAAGTCACAAATTTGGAGAATATGCTTGGATATCTCTTTCCTCTCCCCTTCCTCCTCCCGCTTCTCTCCCCAATAATTCTGTCCAGAATGGCCTTCCTTCCCTCCCTTCTTTTTATTTAGAATGAAAGAGACTTAAGAGGTTTTCATTGCTGACTAGGTGGATGCAAGAGAGAGGGAAAAGTTGGAAAGAAAGAAAGAGAAAGAAAGAAAGGAAAGAAAGGAAAGAAAAAGGAAAGAAAGGAAAGAAAGAAAGAAAGAAAGAAAGAAAGAAAAAAATGAATAGTGTGAGGCTTCTGAAAAATGATGGGGAGATAGACTCTAGGATGCAGGTGTTGGGATTGGGTTTGGAGTGGCCAAGGGACACCAACTTATTTGTGGCAGAAGGAAGGCACGTATGTATGTATGTATGTATGTGTGTGTGTGTGTGTGTGTGTGTGTGTGTCTGTGTGTCTGCGTGTCAGGTGGGGGCAGTGATAATATTGGTTTGGTTTCAGGAAGCAGAGAGAGGCTTAGGTCCGATTGTCTTTTGTTTCTACCTCAGTCCTGGAGGCACTACCTTCTATGTAATAAACTGTTCATATTTGTTGAACAAACGAAAGGGTAAATAAATCCTTAAAGGACAGCATAAATAGCATATCCCTTCCTTAGATTTTCAAAATGAAATCTTCACTTTTGTTATCATACAAATGACACATGCTGTTTGTAAAAAGTTTCAGTAATATAGAAAATTTCTGGCCAGATGTGGTGGCTCACGCCTGTAATCCCAGCACTTTGGGAGGCCGAGGCGGGTGGATCATCTGAGATCAGGAGTTTGAGACCAGCCTGGCCAACATGGAGAAACCCTGTCTCTACTAAAAATACAAAATTAACTGGGCATGGTGGAACATGCCTGTAATCCCAGCTACTTGGGAGGCTGAGGCAGGAGAACCACTTGAACCCAGGAGGCAGAGGTTGCGGTGAGCCGAGATCCTGCCATTGCACTCCAGCCTGGGCAACAAGAGCGAAACTTCGTCTCAAAAAAAAAGAAAAAGAAAAAAGAAAAAAGATAAAAGAAAATTTCCCTCAAATTCTAACCTGCAGGGATAACAACTGTTAAGTGTCAGCCTTACCAGTAGGTTATATATTAAACAAAAGAGGATCACTTGATATGTGGAACTGTGTAAGCTGTTTTTCTCATGTGAACATTTATGTGCTTTGTGTCAATATGTAAAGATGTTCTTTATCTTTTATAACACCTGCCTGGTCTCCATAACACCTCCGAGTCTCATAAATTTATTTAACCAAAACCCTGTTGATGGGCATTCAGGCTGTTTCTAACTTTTCAGTACAATAACCCTTCTTGTTCACACAACTTTGCACCGTGCACCATTCTTTTCTTAAATTCCTAGAAGAGGGCAACATGCCTGCGCATTTCAACTTTTGATACTTATCTTCCAAGTTTGCCTGCTGAAGCCAGTTTAGGCTTCCATCAACAGAATGGAAGTGCACCTGTTTCTGTCCCGCCCTTGCCAACAACTGGCTACTAGAAATCTTTTTAATTGTCTCCATCTAAGTGAAAAATGATATCTCATTTTATTTATTATTTATTTTTAATTTAATTTTTTTTTGAGACAGAGTTTTGCTCTTGTTGCCCAGGCTGGAGTGCAATGGTGCGATCTAGGCTCACTGCAACCTCTGCATCCTGGGTTCAAGTGATTCTCCTGCTCCAGCCTCCCAGGTAGCTGGGATTACAGGCACCCACCACCACACCCGGATAATTTTTTGTGTTTTTAGTAGAGATGGGGTTTCACTGTGTTGGCCAGGCTGGTCTCGAACTCCTGACCTCAGGTGATCCACTCATCTCAGCCTCCCAAAGTGTTGGGATTATAGGCGTGAGCTACTGTGCTTGGCCAATATCTCATTTTAATTTGCTTTTCTGTAATTATTAGTGAAGTTGAACATCTTGAGTGTGAATTTTGGACATTTTTGTGTCTTCTTTTAAAATAGAGTGCTTCTTTATGCCTTTTACTCATTTTCCTACTGGGTTTGTAATTTTCTTATTATTTCCAAACAATTCACAGTTTAATAATAGTACTTTTTCTCCATCATGTTGCGAATGTTTTCTTTCCATTTTATTGTCTTTTGCTTTGCCATATAGAGATTTTAGTTTCACATTTGTCAATCTTTTTCTTTTCTTATGGCTTTGTCTTTGACATATTGCTAAGAGAGCTGATTACCACATTAAAATTATAAAACATTCTTTCATGTTTTCTCTATTACTTTGTAGTTCAGCTTTTTTCATTAAGTTTTGTTCTTTTCCGCTTTTTAAAATTAGATGGGCAATATGTGGCAATATATGATTATATCCTAATGACATCCTTGAATGTAATCACTTTGTCTCCTCATAATGCCCTCATACACTCTTCAAAAGCAGAGAGGAGAAAAAGAGGGATGATGAGAAATACTTTTTTTTTTTGGTGAACTTAAATAGAACAGCTGATCTTATGCAACTAATAAGTAAATAATTCTGCATTTCCATGAAAAAAAGAATGACTGTTACCCAATTAAGATTTATCCTTTCAGACTCTATTCATGCATTTCTTTCATATGTTCATATGGGTATCTATGCACACATGTAACATAAATGGTATCATTCTATGTATGTTATTTATAATTTGGTTTTTTTTTTGAGATAGAGTCTAGTTGCCCAGGCTGGAGTGCAATGGTGTGATTTTCGCTCGCTGCAACCTCCACCTCCTGGGTTCAAGTGATTCTCCTGCCTCAGCCTCCCTAGTAGCTGCGATTACAGGCATAGGCCACCAAACCTGGCTAATTTTTGTATTTTTAGCAGAGATAGGGTTTCACCACGTTGGCCTGACTGGTCTTAAACTCCTGACCTGAAGTGATCTGCCCGCCTTGGCCTCCCAAAGTGTTGGGATTATAGTCGTGAGCCACCATGCCTGGCCTATAATCTGCTTTTCATTGAACATTAGATAGTTCCTTGTCAGTACATATATATTTACTTCTTCCTTTTCTAACTGACTGCTGCACAATAGTCTATTGTATGAATGTAGCATAGTTTATGGATAAATTCTTTTATATTTAAGGCTTTCGTCCATCTGATTTTTTTTTGCATCTGTGTATGAGTGGAGTGAGTTCGGGATATAACTATTTTTTCCTAATAATTTCCCAACTATCCTATCACCACATGTTGCATAACCTCTCTTTTCTCCACTGACTTCAAATGTTATTGTCATAATTGAATGGACACTAAGCAGAGAATGCTGGGAGGTGGGCGGAGCAAAGTGTTCAGGAACATCTGAAGGAGCTTCCTGCTTTTGCTGGACCAGTGGTAACAGCTGGCCTGGGTATTCCTGTTTCCTCCCCAGCCACATAGCTTTCTCTGCACCAACACAAAAAAGGACTGCCCAGTATTCCCTAATTTATCCCTAGAAATAAATGCAAACATCTTAGTTTTGAAATGAGACCATTTAATACTACTACCACAAATCCTGTGTAAGTCTTACTATTCAGCAGACCTGCTGATCATCTCCATCTCTGTAGAGTTCCTGAGGTGTGTGTGGGCCTAGGTGCCATGTGAGTCGGGGAAGACCCTGCTCCAGAGCCTTCCCTCCTGGGAATTGAGGGTGGGGGCATCAGGGACATAGCTGGAGCTGGGTTTGCTTTTGCAAAGTGTTCCATTGGTAAAAATGGGATGGTTTTGGGTGATTCATGGTGAATCTATTTTAATTTAAATCATTACATATTTATTTTAAGTCACGTTAATAAAAGTGACTCAATTTAAAGAAGAACATGGTATTTGAGCAGGCATGGCAAAAATGCTGAAGGTGGTTTGAGGATGATGGAAGTTTGGAAGACCCCAAATTAGATGATCGTATTATTAATCAAGAGTGCCTTCAGCTGCTAGTAACAAAAATCTAACTCCCAGTGGCTTAAAAACATAGGAGTGAGGTTTTTTTTTTGGTGTTGTAATTTTACACATAAAATTTGCTAATATTGGTTGGATGCTCAGCAATGTCCAGGGCTGACTTCTGTCTTCCCAGTTCTTTTGTCCTTCTCCCGATGGTTCCATGATGGTTGCTGCTGCTCTAGCAGTCACAAGCAAAAGGAAGGAAAAGGGAGAGAGGGTGCCAAGCAGTGTCTTTCTTTCTCTTTGGTAGGAAAAGTGAGGTTTTTCAGAGTTCCCAGCAGTCTTCTCCTTGAGCCTCATTGACCAGAATCATATCCATGGCCACCGTTAGGTGTAAAGAAGGCTGGGAGAGTGGGCAATAGGTTGCATAACTGGCTTAGACCATCCTCATCCAATGGAGGTTCTGTTAGTGAGGGAGGAAGGGGAATGGATGGTGGATAGACAACTGCCACGTCTGCCATGTGGGAGTGCGTGGACCCATAGAGGGAAGCAGAGATGCAGACCATATGGCCCCAGAGAGAGTGCTGCAGTGGGAGCAGCGTCAGGCTTCCAGCTCCAGTTCCTGAGTGACAAGCTGTCCTGCATTGCCTGTTCTTGCAAGTTGGCGAGATTGCCTGTTGTAATGTTTCCATCAACTCTCTTTTGACTTGAGCTCCTGGGAGTTGGTTTCTGTTCTTTACAGCCTGGAGCAGAGTTTTGGACACTTTTTATTTTATTTCATTTTATTTTATTTTGAGACAGAGTTTCCCTTTTGTTGCCCAGGCTGGAGTGCAGTGGCACGATTTCGGCTCACCGCAACCTCCGCCTCCCGGGTTCAAGCAATTCTCCTGCCTCAGCCTCTGGAGTAGCTGGGATTACAGGCATGCACCACCACGCCCGGCTAATTTTGTATTTTTAGTAGAGATAGGGTTTCTCCATGTTGGTCAGGCTGGTCTCGAACTCCCGACCTCAGGTGATCCGCCTGCCTCGGCCTCCAAGTGCTGGGGTTACAGGCGTGAGCCACTGTGCCCGGCCCTTGGACACATTTTAAAGTTTGTTTTCTCATTTGTTCTTTACAGTAGTTATTATTATCCTTATTTTACAAAGAGGAGAAGGAGGTTCCAAGAGGTTGGGTTAAGTTGGCAAACTCCATGTGACTGTAACCCAGGTTTTCTGACAACTAACACATTTTTCATGCTGTCTTCCTATTTTTAAGATTACCACCTTTAAAGGGGAAGTGTTTGTTCCCTAAATAGCACCAACAGGACAAAGGGAATAAATATATGAGAGACTGAGTTTCTTCTGGGGCCTGTCAATGCTACCCATCAACCCTGTCCCTGGATTAAGTCAAAAGGCAGGAGGCAAAAATCTTGGCTGTGTCATGCACTGGGCTTTAGAGACCTAGGGAATGTTTAGTTTTCTGTTTGTCTATTTCCAAACATTATGTGTGTAATTTATTGTCCCGATTATAACTCAACACGGTTGGAAGATGTGAGCCATTCAAGTCACAGATTTGTGTGAGAAGCACAAGAGAAAATAAGTGCATCTGGGAGCTGCGACCACCAATAGTTTTTATCATTGCCAAGACAACACTTTGAGAGCCAACGTTTTGATCAATTCCTTGTCAAAAATAAATCATGATTTATTTTCCCTAAACTTGCTGTTTCTCTTGCATTCCCTGTCTTGGTAAATGGTACAACTATCTACGCAGTCATGCCAGGCTTTCCTCACCCTGGCACACAACACTTTGACCACATTATGCAGATTCCTTCCCCTAATTACACAGTAACATGCCCCTCCCCCTTTCCCTTTATTCTCCTACGGAGGATGGTGGCCGCAATCTCCTACACTCTGTGTTTTCTTGGTTGTTAGAAAACCTGGGATGCCTGTTAATCATATAGGTTCCCAGGCCCTTCCCCTAGACTCAGCAGGTCTGGAGGGGGCCTTGCAATCTGTATACTTAACAAGTACCCCAGGCAATTCTTCTGAGCAGTGGGTAGCACTAGTACCTGGCTGGCCTTGCTTCAGGTCTCTCTCTTGTCAGTGTAGCCCCATTCTGCTGTAGAAGTATCTTCCTAAACTATGCTGGTGGTTCTTTATCTGCAGCGCAAAATCCAAACTCTTGTAGCATGGCAAACAGGGCATGATTTGGTTCCTACCTCCCTTGCTGGCCTCGTCTACTTCCCTGGTTGCTCATAATACAAACTGCCTGTTAACTCTGAGGATTCCATTGCTCTGTTATTGCTCAATGCCTTTGCACATGCTGTTCTTTGTGCCTAGACAGGCCTCCTTCCCCAGGTCTATCTGGAAAATCCCTATTCATCCTGCAAGACCCAACTCAAGTGTTGCCTCTTTCTGGAAGCTTTTCTTGCTGTCACTGCAGCTTGAACGTACATGTATTATTGCAGTTACCCCTGTGGCTCCGCTATAGCAGAGACTGTGCTTAGCCCACAGGTTCACCTAGTATTTGTAGTAGTAGGTGCTTGTTAAACAGGGTTGAATAAAGGTAGCTTCTCCTATGTGAGAGGAAATGTAGTGAAAGCAAGTAGAGCAATTTTTAGGAAAACAGTATTCCCATCTTTAGCTTGTGAGTCTAAACTCTCAGGAGTTTCTTACTGTGAAAATCAGTCATCATTTTATCTGTGTGCATTTACGAAGTCAATATATTAAACTGTTTAACAGTAGTTAACATATATCTGGTGCCAACCAGTGTGCCAGGAACTTTGCATTCACCATCTCACTTCGTCCTGCAGATGAGGAAACCGAGGCTCAGAGGAGAATTAATTTTCCCAAGGTCACGGCCAGGTGTGGTGGCTCATGCCTATAATCCCAGAACTTTGGGAGGCTGAGGCAGGTGGATCAGCTGAGGTCAGGAGTTCAAGACCAGCCTGGCCAACATGGTGAAACCCCATCTCTACTAAAAATACAAAAATTAGCCAGGCGTGATAGTATGCACCTGTAATCCCAGCTACTTGGGAGGCTGAGGTAGAAGAATCACTTGAACCCAGGAGGCAGAGCTTGTAGTGAGCCGAGATCAGGCCACTGCACTCCAGCCTGGGCGACAGAGTGAGACGCCTTCTCAAAAAAAAAAAAAAAAAAAAAAAAAAAAAATTCCCGAGATTACAAAACTGGTAAATAGTAGAATTGTTACAATGCTATTCTGCTTCTTCCAGAGATTTAGTTAACAATCATTAGGATATGCAGTATGTGTCTAGGATGAAACACTCTAGGTAATGTAAATGAGTGAAGCACTCTGGCCATGAGGCAAGGAGGGGTAGAAAGTGTGGCAACCAGTTACAGGTTAAAGAAGTTGGCCAAGACAATGCCAGCTGATAGCCCCAACATGTTATTGTGAACAATTTTAAACATAAAGAAAAGTTGGGCCTGGCGCAGTGGCTCACGCCTGTAATCCCAATACTTTGGGAGGCCGAGGTGGGTGGATCACCCGAGGTCAGGAGTTTGAGACCAGCCTGACCAACATGGAGAAACGCTGTCTATTAAAAATACAAAAAATTAGCCAGGTGTGGTGGCTCATGCCTGTAATCCCAACTACTCGGGAGGCTGAGGCAGGAGAATTGCTTGAACCCAGGAGGCAGAGGTTGCAGCGAGCTGAGATCACGCCATCGCACTCCAGCCTGGGCAACAAGAGTGAAACTCCATCTCAAAAAAAAAAAAAAAAAAAAAAGAGAAAAGAAAAGTTGACAGAATTTCACTGTCTACTTGTACATCTACTACCTAGATTCTGCCATTAACATTTTACCTGCTTTATCTCATATTTATCCATTATCCATCCCTATAGCCATTAATCTATTCTTTTGGATGTGTTTCAAAGTAACTGTGGACACCAGTATACTTCTCCCTAAATACATCAGTGTGTACATCATTGATTAGAGATCAATATTTGTTTATAGTTTTTTTTTTTTTTTTGAGACGGAGTCTCTGTTGCCCACACTGGAGTGCAGTGGTGCGATCTTGGCTCACTGCAACCTCCGCCTCCCAAATTCAAGTGATTCTCCTGCCTCAGCCTCCCAAGTAGCTGGGATTACAGGCATGCGCCACCATGCCCTGCTAATTTTTGTATTTTTAGTAGAGACGGGGCTTCACCATGTTGGCCAGGCTGGTCTCAAACTCCTGACCTCAAGTGATCCTCCTACCTTGGCCTCCTAAAGTGCTAGGATTACAGGCGTGAGCCACTGCACCTGGCCTTTAGTGTTTTCTTTTGATGTAAAATTTGTAGACAATGAAGTGCACAAATCTTAAGTGTATATTCACTAAGTTTCAACTAATAGGTGCCCCTGTGTAATCCCAATGCCCATCAATATAGAAAACATTACCATCATTCCTAAAAATCCTCTCATGTCCCCCCATGGCTGGTTTGTCTCTGCCTCCATCCTCCCAGAGGTAACTTCTGCTCTGATTATTTTCAGATTAGTTTCACCTGTTCTAGAACTTCATAGAAGTGGAAGGCTTCTTTTACTCAGTGTAATGTTTTTAAGATACATCATGTTGTGGAGTATATCAGTAATTCAGTCCTTTTTATTGATGAGAATGACTCCATTGTATGACTATTCCACTGTATGTTTAGCCATTCTCCTATTGATGGACACCTGGACTGTTTCTAGTTTTTGGCAATTATCAATAAAGCTATTGATATTTTTGTGAACATATTATTTTCATTTCTCTTGGGCATATTCCTAGGAGTGGGATTGCTGGGTCAGAAAGTAGAAGAAACTGCCAGACCTTTTACCAAAGTGTTTGCACCATTTTACATTCCCACTAATTATATGTGAGGATTCCAGCTATACTACAACCCACTAATAGTCGATATTATCATGCTTTTGTATTTTTAGTCATTCTGGTGATGTGATGTTTGATTGTGTAATGAGATTTCTTTTCTTTTTCTTTCTTTTTTTTCTTTTCAGATAGAATCTCACTTTCACCCAGGCTGGGTCTCAGCTCACTGCAACCTCTGCCTACGAGGCTCAAACAATTCTCCCACCTCAGCCTCTTGAGTAGTTGGGACTATAGGTGCATATCAGCACGCCTGGCTAATTTTTGCATTTTTTGTAGAGATGGGGTTTCGCCAGGCTGCCCAGGCTGGTCTCAAACTCCTGGCCTCAAGTGATCCACCTGCCTTGGCCTCCCAAAGTGCGTGGATTACAGGCGTGAGCCACTGTGTCTGGCCCACATTGTTGATAAAACCTTCCTTTCCCTCACTGGATTGCTTTGGAACTTCTGTTGAAAATCAAGTGATGGTGTAAGTGTGGCTCTATTTCTAGGATTTCTTTTACATTCTAGGTTTAGCTGAGTTTTGCCATGAGCTCAGTGTTGTCAAATCTTCAATTTTTTTTTTTTTTTTTTTTTTTTTTAAGATGGAGTTTTGCTTTTGTCTCCCAGGCTGGAGTGCAATGGTATGATCTCGGCTCACTGCAACCTCTACCTCCCGGGTTCAAGTGATTCTCCCGCCTCAGCCTCCTGAGTAGCTGGGATTACAGGTGCATGCCACCATGTCCAGCAAATTTTCATATTTTTAGTGGAGACAGGGTTTCACCATGTTGGCCAGGCTCTTCTTGAACTCCTGACCTCAGGTGATCCACCCGCCTTGGCCTCCCAAAGAGCTGGGATTACAGGCATGAGCCATGGCGCCCAGCCCAGATCTTCAAAATTTTAAAGGAGAGTGTATAAATCCAGATGTTTTTAAATGTGAAAAAGCCTCAAGGTTTAAAAGTCAGAAACCAATTCTAATTTAAACAAACAAGGAAACCAATCCCAGGCAGTCAAAGAAACTCATCTGCAGGCTGAACTAGATGTGTGGCATTGGAACAGGGAGAGGTAGTTTCAGCAGGAGTCTGGATACATGTGTGTATATATATGTATATAAAATTATTTTTTGAGACAAGGTTTTGGTCTGTTGCCCAGGCTGGAGTGCAGTGGTGTGATCATGGCTCATTGCATCCTTGACCTCCTGGGCTTGAGCAATCCTCCCACCTCAGCCTCCTGAGTAGCTGGGACCACAGGTGTGTTCCACCACACCTGGCTAATTTTGAAAATTGCTTTGTAGAGGTATGAGGTTCCACTGTGTTGCCCAGGCTGGTCTTGAATGCCTGGGCTTAAACGATCCTCCTGCCTCGACCTCCTAAAGTGCTGGAATTACAGGGGTGAGCCACTGTGCCCAGCCTGGATATATGTATATTAAAGTATAAATCAAGGGTCTTATTTTAATTGAAAGATAATGGGAGTGTTCTCAGGGCAAGTAGGTGGGTTCCAGTGGTCAGTGAAAGTCAATAAGAATTCACTGCAAGGGTAAAATTAAAGCCTGTGGGTCAAGGTTTCCTTGGTGCCTAGGAAAGTGGAGGAGCACATTTGTGAAGCTATTAGAATTGCATTTAGAAACCGTAAGGACAGGAAGGGCTAAGGGGAGGCACTGAGTGGAGGCAGTTGACAAACCAGTGACAGGAAAGACACAGGGCCAAGAGAGCCCAAAGTGAGCTGATTTGGAGAATCTGGAGCAGAGGGAATAAAGAGAATCACAGGTCTCTAAACCCAGGGCCCAGAAAGATGCTCCCTGGAATTGGCTGGAGGCTTCCTTGGCTCTGTGGGTGGAAATTGAGACAGAGCAGCCAGAAGACATACAACTGCACATGCCAGAGCTTAGAGCAGTTTCTCAGCTGCACCACAGACCTCCTGCCACCATGGTTGAATTATGACTGTTTAACATTTTAAAATTATTTTTTAAACATTGAAAATATGTAATGGGAACTATGTCACATGTTTCAAAAAAAAAAAAATTAAAAGCTATTCACAAGGAGTCTTCTTCCCACCTGTCTCCCATCTGCCCAGTTTCCATCTAGAACCCCTCCACCCTCCAGCCCCCTGGTCACCATTTGTGAGGTTTATTTTTACTGCAACCATGGATACCGCTTTGGCAGCCAAGTCCATCAGACAGAATGTTGACTATGCAGGTTGGGCCATATCGGGTAGAGCTTGGTACGGCTGGCCACGTGTAAGAGAAAATAAGCAAGCCTGCATCAAAGACAGATAAAAGTTTGTTAGAACTTGCTAGAGCCTTGACTCATGAATATGTAAGGGAGTGTTATCAGGGAAGGAAATCATTCCTGTTAAACTGTGACATGGTGCTTGCTATGGACTCAAAATGTTTGTGTCTTCACCAAGTTTATATGTTGAAGTCCTAACCCCTGTTGTGATGGTATTTGGAGGTGGGGCCTTTGGAGAGGTGATAGATTATGAGGGTAGGGCCCCCATGTGGAATTAGTGTCCTCATAAGAACAGGAAGAGACCAGACCTCTCTTTCTTTCTCTCCACCACATGAGGACACATTGAGAAGGCAGCCATCTGCAAGCCAGGAGGGTGCCCTCATCATAACCCAACCATGCTGGCACCCTGATCTGGGGCTTCTAGTCTCCAGGACTGTGAGAAGCACATTTCTGTTGTTGAGATCACCAGTATTTTGTTATGGCAGCCCAAGCTGGAGGACCAAAAAACTGTGAAACGATCTTCAGTTCTCAGAAACTTGCTTTCTGTATACCTTTTAATCCCTTGGCCAGTAAGTCCAAATGTGCTGTATTTGAAAGTGTGGGTTCACTCAGAGAGGCTGAGAACCTTCTGGAAGAAGGGTCTGTGGGCTGGAAATGGGGGTTGACCATGGGGACAGGACTGTTAAGTGCTTGGAACCTGTGACAAGTTGAGGAACATGGGACCACATGGGTGATATCGTTTAATTGCTCAGTGCAAACTCCGCTCACACTCCGGCAATGGCTAAACTCTCATCTAGGAGCACTTTAAGGGGAGAATGAATGTATGTGAAAGGGTTTGCAAACTTTAAAGGGTGGTGTTAAGTTCTAGACGTGGGCTGCCGAACCCAATTTACAGTTGTACTTCCATAGGGTAGAGGAATTTTCACGTGGGTTACTTCCTTGTGCTCCTCCAGTTATTTGGTTTGATTTGAAGATAATGCTGCCCTCTCCTGGACTGGTCTTGCAACTCCAGGCCCTGGCCTCCAAGAGTAGATTCTGCACCTGCCCCCGCCTCCCCCCACCAAGCAACCTTGCGTGATCTCAGGTGTTATCAGAACAGTTAGTGGTCTCCTGCTCTGCTAAGTCATTTCTTACAGCCGTGGTGGGCTTAACTTTCCCTCCAGTGTTATTTCCCAGAGACTGGAGGCAAGAGAAACATAGGGCAAGTCACTGGTGGGTCCTCAATTTCTAGAAATAGAATCCTTCTTTTCTTCTTTTGCTTTGCTTTCAACAACTGTTTATTGTACCCTCTACTTGCCAAGGAGATGTGTAATGTCTCCTAGGCACATGGGATACAGTGGTCAAAATGGATACGGATCCCTGCCTTCGTGAAGCTTATATGCACCAGAGGAGGCAGACAATAAACAATAGCCTCTATAATAAACAAGCAAATGGTATAGGATGTTAGGAAGGGATGACTGCAGCAAGGAAAGAAGCATGTGTTAAATTGATGAGGGCAAGGGATATCAGGAAGTCTTGGGGAGGTGCAGATGCAGATGGGGGACAGTGTGGGCCTCAGCAAGAAGGTGGGTTGGAGAAAACACTTAGAAGAGGTGAGGGAATTACCTGCAGGAGCAGCTAAGGAAGAGCTTTCTGAGGGGGTGAATGGCCAGAGTCAATGCCCTAAGGCAAGAGCTGTACAAGGCCAGTATGTCTGGAGCTGAGCTACAAGGGGTGAAGTGGAAGTGGTTAGAGGGTGTTATGGGTTGAATAGTGTCCTCTCCCCGCAAATTCATATTTTGAAGTTCTAAACTCCAGTACATCAGAAGGTGGCCTTATCTGGAATTGGGGTCATTGCAGATGTTATTAGTTAAGATAATGTCATTAGAGGGGGGACACTAATCCAATATGACTGCTGTCCATATAAAAAGGGACACAGAGAAATGCACAGAGGAAGAATGCACCGTGAAGTGGAAGGCAGAGATTGGGGTGATGCCTCTACTGGTCAAGGAACACCAAAGATTGCCAGCAAGCACCAAAGCTGGGAAGAGGCACAGAACAGACTAGATTCTCCCTTATAGCCTTTGGAAGGAACTAACCCTGCTACATTTTGGTCTCGAACTTCTGGTCTCCAAAACTATGAGATAAGAAATTTCCGTTTGTTCAAGCTGCACAGTTTGTGGTACTGTGTTATGGCAGCCCTAGCAAACAAATCCAGAGGGGTAATGAGGTGGGATGGGGGGAGAGGGTGAGGGCAGGGAGATAGAGTAAAGCCTTGAAGGCCTTTAAGGACTTTAGGTTTTATCAGATTCACTTTTTCTCATGATAAAGTGGGATTTATTCCAAAAATTCAAGCATTATTCAACACCGGAAAACCATCAATATCATTCCCATACTAGATACTTTTGTAGCTCATAAGCATGATGATTCAGTGTCCAAGTGCATGCATGAGATGTGCCTCCCTCAAACCTTGTCACAACATCAGCACGTTGCTCATCTGACATGAACAAAATATACATAATTCACATATGAATGTATCTCAGAATAAAAAAAGTCATATAACTATCTTCATAAGCCTTTGACAAAATTCAAAGCCATTTTTTTTTAATAGATGAGGGGCTCTCCATGTTGTCCGGGCTGGTGTTGAACTCCTGGGCTCAAGGGATCCTGCCACCTCGGCCTCCCAAAGCACTAGGATTACAGGCATGAACCACCAAGCCTGGCTCAAAACCTATTCTTGATTTAAAGAATAAACTTAATAAAATAAAATACAGATGGTTTCCAACTTATGATGATTTGACTTAAAAATTTCCACTCTATGTTGGATTTATCAGGACATAATACCATGGCAAGTCAAGGAGCATTTGTAGGTGCTTTAAAAGCAAGTATTAACTAAACTCCAGATTTTATTTGGATTTGGCCTGTTTTTCCATTATCCCCTCTTTCTATTCCAGGATCCAATCCAAGACACTACATTTCATTTAGTTGTTAGCTCTCCCCAATCTCCTGTGGTCTGTGACAGTTTTGCTCAGTTTTTTTCTTGTTTTTTATGACTTTGACAGTCTTCAGAAATACTGGCCGGGTGTCCTGTAGAATGTCCCTCAATCTGCCTGATGTTTTTCTCATGATGCCTCTGAGGTTATGGGTTTTGGAGGGCATACCCCAGAGATAAGGTGCCTTCTCATCACATTGTATCAGTTGTACCTGAGGTCTATATATCCTCCCTGGTGATATGAGCCTTCCTCACTTGGGTAAGGTAGTGTTTGCCAGGTTTTTCTGCCATAAACTTAATTAAAATGCACTTAAAATGTTTAAAGCAATAGAATTTGTACTTTGGAGACATTGTGATAGGGACAGGAGGCAGGGAAATTCTGGGCAGAAGAGGGTGGGTCCTTGGCGAGGGCCCCACCCTCAAGCCGAAAAGCCTGGTACCACGGCCTAAAGTGAGAACATACATCTCTGTTTTCCTGCATGAATGTTGCCTTTTCCCAAATCACCCATGGCCTGCCCCACCCCCCATCCTGTGCCCATGGAAACTCCAGGCTCAGCTGGCAGAGAGAGGAGAAGCAGCTGGATGTCAGAGACTATGGCTGGACGTCAGAGAGAAGTGTCTTGACTTCAGAGGGAGAGTTTGATGGTATAGCTTTGGGGGAGGATTGCCTTCCCACCCCATCCCCTTTTCAACTCCCCATCCTGCTGAGAGCCACCTTCATTTGTAGTAAAATCTCCCTCATTTACCATCTTTCAAATTGGTTCGTGTGACCTCTTTTCTCTTGGACACCAGACAAGAACTGGGGTGCCACAAGTGTGGGTGCCGAAGTCTGTCACACTAACCCTCCACTAAGCTGTTAACACTTAAGCCATCCATGGACAGCAGAGCTAAAAGAGTACTGTAACACTTCCTCTGGGGCTTCAGGGGTTGTGGGCACCCCCGCCAGATGCTGCTGTGGGGCCAGTATAGAATTTGTTTCTGCTGGTGCCTGAAAAGTACTCACCCCGGCTCTTGTACCTGCTCACCTGCATGCTCCCCCTCCCATGAGTGAGGAGTGCAGTGAGTCCTAGTGAGTAGAGTTTGCCCCTGTCTATTGAACTAACGCCAAAGCAGCTGGCTAATTCCAGCACCTACACTCCAGTTCCCACCTGCAAAGGGGTCAGGGAAATATCCTGCTTCAGTTGCAGTATACTAAGAAGGAGTGACAATGATCTGACATGCATTGTAAAAGGATTGCTCCCTCTGGTGTGATGAGAATATACCACAGAACACAATGGGTGGGAGCAGGGATGAGCAGGGTTGTTTCAATGATATAGGTGAGAAGGGACACTGGGTGGCAGAAGATAGGGCAATAGCAGTGGAGTTGGTGAGAAAACAGGAGCTGCAATTTACTTTGGCAGAGTCAGCAGCAGTTTCTGGTGGATTGACTGCTGAGTGTAAGAGATAAAGATGCATCAGCGATGAGTCCATGAGTTTTGGCAATTGGAAGAATAGTTGCCATCCATTGAGCTAAGATGAGAATTCTGTTCTGCTGTTTCTCCTCTCCACTCCTTCAGTATTTCATCTATCTAACACATATTTAACTGGCATCAAGACTGGCTACATAATTTTCAGTACCCATTACAAAATGAAATTGTAAGCCTCTTTTCATTTTTTTAAAATTTTTATTTATTTATTATTTTTTTTTGAGACAGAGTCTCACTCTGTCACCCAGGCTAGAGTGCAGTGGCACAGTCTTGGCTCACTGCAACCTCCGCCTCCCGGGTTCAAGTGATTCTCTTGTCTCAGCCTCCTGAGTAGCTGGGACTACAGGTGCATGCCACCACGCCTGGCTAATTTTTGTATTTTTTAGTAGAGATGGGGTTTCACCATATTGGCCAGGCTGGTCTTGAACTCCTGACCTTGTGATCCTCCCACCTTGGCCTCCCAAAGTGCTGAGATTACAGGCATGAGTCACCGTGCCTGTCCTAATTTTTTAAAATTAAAATTAAAAAAAATTTTTTTTTTGAGACAGGGTCTTGCTCTGTTACCCAGGCTGCAGTGCAATGGCTTGATCATGGCTCACTACAGCCTCAACTCCCTGGGCTCAAGCAATCGTCATGCCTCAGCCCTGCAAGTAGCTGGGACTACAGGCACACACCACCATGCCTGGCTAATTTTTGTATTTTTGTAGAGACAGGGTTGCGCCATGTTGCCTAGGCTGGTCTCAAACTTCTGGACTCAAGTGATCCACCTGCTTCAGCCTCCCAAAGCATTGGGATTACAGGCATCAGCCACTGTGCCTGGCCAGGCCCCTTGTTTAAATGCTGGAGAAAGCTTTTTCCTTTCTTCCTTTGTCTTGCCCTTGACTGGAAAAAGGTGTGGGGATGTGTGTGTATGTGTGTCTGTGTGTGTAAATAAGTTTATTGATGAAGACACAAAGTCAAGCTTCCCCCAATTCCCACCCTTCCCAAGAACACATCCCAACAAGAACAGAGGAATGAGACTCATTCTTAGGGCAACATTTACCTATCCTCGTTTCCCCATTTCCCACCAGAGTCCCAAGCTTTATGACACAGACACATGCAGCAGACTGGGGTAAGGACAGACACTCGGGGAATCTCTGACCAGCAAAAGAGCTCTGGATGTTGGCTTCCCTTGCCCTTTGTATGACAAAGGCATTCAGAAGCAGAGGAGAGGGGAATGTGGGGCAACTCCCACCGGACATCCCCAGTTTGGCCAAAAGAGCTGTGGCAGAGGCAACAGTTCTGTTTGTTGGCAGAGAGGTCCTTTGATAGGAAGTAGGATACTTCCTCCGCTCAGGGGTGTGATGTGAGGCAGCCTCCTCAGGGAGGTAAGCATTCATGGATTAGCTCAGCCAGGGCAGCTGAGAACAGGAGCTGTTACCTGTCACTGGTGGGGAAGCTAAGAGAAGCCTCGCTTCAGGGCATGAGGGACACATCCTGATACAAAATGGTGTTGTCCTCTTGCCCTGACATACATGGTTTCCTTGGGAAGTATAGTTTGCTTTGAGATGAGAACACTGTATTTGCAGTGCGAACGTTCTTCACCATTTATAGCCATTGATTCCACAAAAGAGTCCCAACAAGGGAACTTTATCACCTGCTTTTTCACCCCACACATCACTGAAACTGCCTTTGGAAAATTATGACTGAGACAGTGAAATAGATCTAACTTAATCAACTCCATCTTGCTGCTAACCTCCAAGCTGTCATTGTTTATTTCTGGGCATAGGCTGAACTAACTTTGATAGAGACTCAGTTTAGAGTTTATAGTTTAAAACAAAGACGATAACAGCCCTTTCCCAAAGCAGACCTTCTTGCCTGGGGACTAGACGGCCTTTGTAGGGCTAACATTAGCCAAAAGATTAGAAATTATAATTTAGGAGTCATGCAGCTGGAGGCTACAAGATTCTGACCCTCCCTAAACCGCTCCTAAGATCAGTGCTTGAGACATTTTGCAGACTCTGCACTTGATGGATCAGCTGCACCACCCAGATCATAAACTGGCTCATCTGAACTTGTGGCCCCCACCTAGGAACTGACTCAGCACAAGATGACAGCTTCGACTCCCTATGATTTCGTCCCTGACCAATCAGCACTCCTCGCTCACTGGCTTTCCCCACCCACCAAGTTTTCCTTAAAAACTCTGCTCCCTGCTTGTTCCAGACTGACTGGAGTAATAATAAAACCCCAGTCTTCCACACAGCTAGCTCTGTGTGAATTCCTCTTTCTCCATTGCAGTTCCTCTGTCTTGAGGAATTGGCTCCATCTAGGCAGCGCGCAAGGTGAACCCCTTGGGTAGTTACATCACTGACTGTCCACCTCCCATACACAATCCTGTGCTATCTCCTGTTGCCCACGTGCCTGAGGGATGGTGAGCAAGGGACATAGTTCCCTTCCCAACCCCAGGCATTCTTCTCTTGGAGAGTCTCAGGGCTTAGGAAACGGTGTTGGGGGACCCATTTTCCCAAGCTTTGTGACTGGTATGAAGTGGGGTCATTTGAGACACGATGAGGCTGGAGGGTAGTTTTTGCTCTCGTTTTCTTCGAGTCCTCCTCTGAGGCCAGCACGTTAGATCTGAGTCCAATATGAGGCCTCTGGACGCCAGCATGCCTCTCATTTGAGCAGGGGCATCTGAGAAGAGCATTCTCGGTCATGGACCCTGAAGACTGAGTGCCAGGCAATGCCACAAGTGCCCAAGATCAAACAGTGCTACATTGCTAACAGGTTGGTGTTTGAGGCACGAAACATTCTTTGACAAATCATAACCACTGTGTTAAGGTGGGGATATTTCACATCCCCCCATCTTTTCAGAGATGACAAGAACTGCTTGAACCTCTGGGGTAATCTTCATATGCCCTGCAGCCCAAGTAACAAGAAGAAAGAGCAGATCGAGAGCTGAAGGGATAAAAAGAATTTGTGGCATCTCTAAGCTCATTTCATCGCTGTATTCACTGGACAGAGTGTTTCTTATTTGCTTTTAATGTTGCAACCCCTGGGGCACAGGGATACTTGTGGGGCAAGTTCAGACTGTCATGGGAGCCTGGGCCCTGATGTTGACCTGCCTTGTGGCTGCACCAAAGCTACCTCCAAGGGATGAGTGTCAGGCCTCTGAGCCCAAGCCAAGCCATCGCATCCCCTGTGACTTGCACGTATACATCCAGATGGCCTGAAGTAACTGAAGATCCACAAAAGAAGTAAAAATACCCTTAACTGATGACATTCCACCATTGTGATTTGTGTCTGCCTCACCCTAACTGATCAATGTACTTTGTAATCTCCCGTACCCTTAAGAAGGTTCTTTGTAATTCTCCCCACCCTTGAGAATGTACTTTATGAGATCCACCCCTGCCCACAAAACATTGCTCTTAACTTCACCGCCTATCCCAAAACCTATAAGAACTAATGATAATCCACCACCCTTTGCTGACTCTCTTTTCGGACTCAGCCCACCAGCACCCAGGTGAAATAAACAGCTTTATTGCTCACACAAAGCCTGTTTGGTGGTCTCTTCACATGGACGCACATGAAATTTGGTGCCGTGACTCGGATCGGGGGACCTCCCTTGGGAGATCAATCCCCTGTCCTCCTGCTCTTTGCTCCATGAGAAAGATCCAACTATGACCTCAGGTCCTCAGACTGACCAGCCCAAGAAACATCTCACCAATTTCAAATCTGGTAAGCGGCCTCTTTTTACTCTCTTCTCCAACTTCCCTCACTATCCCTCAACCTCTTTCTCCTTTCAATCTTGGCACCACACTTCAATCTCTCCCTTCTCTTAATTTCAATTCCTTTCATTTTCTGGTAGAGAAAAAGGAGACACGTTTTATCCGTGGACCCAAAACTCCAGTGCCGGTCACAGACTGGGAAGGCAGCCTTCCTTTGGTGTTTAATCATTGCAGAGACACCTCTCTGATTATTCACCCACGTTTCAAAGGTGTCAGACCACGCAGGGACACCTGCCTTGGTCCTTCACCCTTAGCAGCAAGTCCCACTTTTCTGGGGGAGGGGCAAGTACCCCAACCCCTTCTCTCCGTGTCTCTACCCCTTCTCTGCTTTTCTGGGGGAGGGGCAAGTACCCCTCAACCCCTTCTCCTTCACCCTTAGCGGCAAGTCCTGCTTTTCTGGAGAAGGGGCAAGTACCCCAACCCCTTCTCTCCATGTCTCTACCCCTTCTCTGATTTTCTGGGGCAGGGGCAAGTACCCCTGAACCCCTTCTCCTTCACCCTTAGCGGCAAGTCCTGCTTTTCTGGAGGAGGGGCAAGTACCCCAACCCCTTCTCTCTGTGTCTCTACCCTTTCTTTGCTCTTCTGGGGCAGGGGCAAGAACCCCTCAACCCCTTCTCCTTCACCGTTAGTGGCAAGTCCCACTTTTCTAGGGGGCAGGAACCCCCAATCCCTTAATTCCGTGCCCCAACCCTTTCTCTGCTTTTCTGGAGGGCAAGAAACCCCCACCCCTTCTCCGTGTCTCTACTCTTTTCTCTGGGCTTGCCTCCTTCACTATGGGCAACCTTCCATTCCTCCTTCTTCTCCCTTAGCTTGTGTTCTTAAGAACTTAAAACCTCTTCAACTCTCACCTGACCTAAAATCTAAGCATCTTATTTTCTTCCGCAATGCCGCTTGACCCCAATACAAACTCGACAGTAGTTCCAAATAGCCAGAAAATGGCACTTTCAATTTTTCCATCCTACAAGATCTAAATAATTCTTGTTGTAAAATAGGCAAACGGTCTGAGGTGCCTGACGTCCAGGCATTCTTTTACACATCAGTCCCTTCCTAGTCTCTGTCCCCAGTGCAACTCGTCCCAAATCTTCCTTCTTTCCCTCCCGCCTGTCCCCTCAGTCCCAACCCCAAGCGTCGCTGAGTCTTTCTAATCTTCCTTTTCTACAGACCCATCTGACCTCTCCCCTCCTCGCCAGGCCAAGCTAGGTCCCAATTCTTCCTCAGCCTCCGCTCCTCCACCCTATAATCTTTTTATCGCCTCCCCTCCTCACACCTGGTCCAGCTTACAGTTTCCTTCCATGACTAGCCCTCCCCCACCTGCCCAGCAATTTACTCTTAAAAAGGTGGCTGGAGCCAAAGGCATAGTCAAGGTTAATGCTCCTTTTTCTTTATCCCAAATCAGAAGCATTTAGGCTCTTTTTCATCAAGTATAAAAACCCAGCCCAGTTCATGGCTTGCTCGGCAGCAACCCTGAGATGCTTTACAGCCCTAGACCATAAAAGGTCAAAAGGCCATCTTATTCTCAATATACATTTTATTACCCAATCTGCTCCTGACATTAAATAAAACTCCAAAAATTGGAATCTGGCCCTCAAACCCCACAACAGGACTTAATTAACCTCACCTTCAAGGTGTACAATAATAAAAAAAAGTTGCAATTCCTTGCCTCCACTGTGAGACAAACCCCAGCCACATCTCCAGCACACAAGAACTTCCAAAAGCCTGAACCGCAGCGGCCAGGCGTTCCTCCAGAACCTCCTCCCCCAGGAGCTTGCTACAAGTGCCAGAAATCTGACCACCAGGCCAAGGAATGCCTGCAGCCCAGGATTCCTCCTAAGCCGTGTCCCATCTGTGCAGGATGCCACTGGAAATCTGACTGTTCAACTCACCTGGCAGCCACTCCCAGAGCCCCTGGAACTCTGGCCCAAGGCTCTCTGACTGACTCCTTCTTGGCTTAGCGGTTGAAGACTGATGCTGCCCTATTGCCTCGGAAGCCCCGTAGACCATCACGGATGCCGAGCTTTAGGTAACTCTCACAGTGGAGGGTAAGTCTGTCCCCTTCTTAATCAATACTCAGGCTACCCACTCCACATTACCTTCTTTTCAAAGGCCTGTTTCCCTTGCCTCCATAACTGTTGTAGGTATTGACAGCCAGGCTTCTAAACCTCTTAAAACTCCCCAACTCTGGTGCCAACTTAGACAATACTCTTTTACACACTCTTTTTTAGTTATCCCCACCTGCCCAGTTCCCTTATTAGGCCAAGATATTTTAACCAAATTATCTGCTTCCCTGACTATTCCTGGACTACAGCCGCATCTCATTGCTGCCCTTCTTCCCAATCCAAAGCTTCCTTTGCATCCTCCTCTTGTTTTCCCCCACCTTAACCCACAAGTATAAGATACCTCTACTCCCCCCTTGGCGACTGATCAGGCACCCCTTACCATCTCATTAAAAACTAATCACCCTTACCCCACTCAATGCCAAGATCCCATCCCACAGCATGGTTTAAACCATGCTTTAACAGGATTAAACAGGATTAAAGCCTGTTATCACTCGCCTGCTACAGCATGGCCTTTTAAAGCCTATGAACCCTCCTTACCATTCCCTCATTTTACCTGTCCTAAAACCAGACAAGCCTTACAAGTTAGTTCAGGATCTGCGCCTTATCAACCAAATTGTTTCGCCTATCTACCCTGTGGTGCCAAACCCATATACTCTCCTATCCTCAATACCTCCCTCTACTACCCATTATTCTGTTCTGGATCTCAAATATGCTTTCTTTACTATTCCTTTACACCCGTCATCCCAGCCTCTCTTTGCTTTCACTTAGACTGACCCTGACACCCATTAGGCTCAGCAAATTACCTGGGCTTCACTGCTGCAAGGCTTCACAGACAGCCCCCATTACTTCAGTCAAGCCCAAATTTCATCCTCATCTGTTACCTATCTCGGCATAATTCTCATAAAAACACACGTGCTCTCTCTGCTGATCGTGTCTGATTAATCTTCCAAACCTCAATCCCTTAGAAAACAACAACTCCTTTCCTTCCTAGGCATGGTTAGTGGGGTCAGAATTCTTACACAAGAGCCAGGACCGCACCCTGTAGCCTTTCTGTCCAAACAACTTGACCTTACTGTTTTAGCCTAGCCCTCATGTCTGCGTGCAGCGGCTGCCGCTGCTTCAATACTTTTAGAGGCCCTAAAAATCACAAACTGTGCTCAACTCATTCTCTACATTTCTTATAACTTCCAAAATCTATTTTCTTCCTCATACCTGACGCATATACTTTCTGCTCCCCAGCTCCTTCAGCTGTATTCACTCTTTGTTAAGTCCCACAATTACCATTGTTCCTGGCCCGGACTTCAATCTGGCCTCCCACATTATTCCTGATACCACACCTGACCCCCATGACTGTATCTCTCTGATCCACCTGACATTCACCCCATTTCCCCATATTTCCTTCTTTCCTGTTCCTCACCCTGATCACACTTGATTTATTGATGGCAATTCCACCAGGCCTAATTGCCACACACCAGCAAAGGCAGGCTATGCTATAGCACAAGCCACTAGCCCGCCTCTTAGAACCTCTCATTTCCTTTCCATCATGGAAATCTATCCTCAAGGAAATAACTTCTCAGTGTTCCATCTGCTATTCTACTACGCCTCAGGGATTATTCAGGCCCCCTCCCTTCCCTACACATCAAGCTTGAAGATTTGCCCCCACCCAGGACTGGCAAATTAGCTTTACTCAACATGCCCCGAGTCAGATAACTAAAATACCTCTTAGTCTAAGTAGACACTTTCACTAGATAAGTAGAGGCCTTTCCTACAGGGTCTGAGAAGGCCACACAGTCATTTCTTCCCTTCTGTCAGACATAATTCCTCAGTTTAGCCTTCCCACCTCTATACAGTCTGATAACAGACCAGCCTTTATTAGTCAAATCAGCCAAGCAGTTTTTCAGGCTCTTAGTATTCAGTGAAACCTTTATATCCCTTACGGTCCTCTGTCTTCAAGAAAAGTAGAACGGACTAAAGGTCTTTTAAAAACACACCTCACCAAGCTCAGCCACCAACTTAAAAAGGACTGGACAATACTTTTACCACTTTCCCTTCTCAGAAGTCAGGCCTGTCCTCAGAATGCTACAAGGTACAGCCCATTTAAGCTCCTGTATAGAAGCTCCTTTTTATTAGGCCCCAGTCTCATTCCAGACACCAGACCAACTTAGACTGTGCCCCAAAAAAACTTGTCAACCATACTATCTTCTGTCTACTCATACTCCTATCCACCATTCTCAACTACTCATACATGCCCTGCTCTTGTTTACACTGCCAGTTTACACTGTTTCTCCAAGCCATCACAGCTGATATCTCCTCATGCTATCCCCAAACTGCCACTCTTAACTCTTGAAGTAAATAAATAATCTTTGCTGGCAGGACTATGCTGAATCTCCTTAGGCAGTCTTTAATCAGATGTCCTAGGTCCTCCCAATTCTTAGACCTTTTATACCTGTTTTTCTCCTTCTCTTATTCCATCTAGTTTTTCAATTCATACAAAACCGTATCCAGGCCACCACCAATAATTCTAAATGACAAATGTTTCTTCTAACAACCCCACAATATCAACCGTTACCACAAAATCTTCCTTCAGCTTAATCTCTCCCACTCTAGGTTCCCACGCCGCCCCTAATCCCGCTTGAAGCAGCCCTGAGAAACATCGCCCACTCTCTCTCCATACAACCCCCCAAACATTTTCGCCACCCCAAGACTTTAACACTATTTTGTTTTATTTTCCTTATTAATATAAGAAGGCAGGAATGTCAGGCCTCTGAGCCCAAGCCAAGCCATCTTATCCCCTGTGACTTGCATGTATACATCCAGATGGCCCGAAGTAACTGAAGATCCACAAAAGAAGTAAAAATAGCCTTAACTGATGACATTCCACCATTGTGATTTGTTTCTGCCCCACCCTAACTGATCAATGTAATTTGTAATCTCCCCCACCCTTAAGATGGTTCTTTGTAATTCTCCCCACCCTTGAGAATGTACTTTGTGAGATCCACCCCTGCCCGCAAAACATTGCTCTTAACTTCACAGCCTATCCCAAAACCTATAAGAACTAATGATAATCCACCACCCTTTGCTGACTCTCTTTTCGGACTCAGCCCACCTGCACCCAGGTGAAATAAACAGCTTTATTGCTCACACAAAACCTGTTTGTTGGTCTCTTCACACGGACGGGCATGAAAGCGAGGACTACGGTGGTCTTGAGGCTGGGGAGCGGGTAGCTGAGACCTCATCCCTCAAGGCAACAGAGGTGGGACAGCATGTGAACTGAGGCTCCCAGTATCTGTGCATGACCCAGTGGACTTCCCATGTTTTTTTCCTAACTTGTAATTAAAAAAAAAAACTTTTTTTTTTGAGACGAAGTCTTGCTCTGTCGCCCAAGCTGGAGGGCAGTGGCACGATCTCAGCTCACTGCAACCTCTGCCTCCCAGGTTCAAGCAATTCTCCTGCCTCAGCCTCCCGCATAGCTGGGATGACAGGTGCGCGCCACCATGCCCAGCTAGTTTTTGTATTTTTAGTAGAGACAGGGTTTCACTATGTTGGCCAGGCTGGTCTTGAACTTCTGACCTCGTGATCCACCTGCCTCGGCCTTCCAAAGTGCTGGGATTACAGGCCTGAGCCATCGTGCCCGGCACCCCCAAAAATTTTTTTTTTGTCAAGATGGGGATCTTGCTATGTTGCCCAGGCTGATTTCAAACTCCTGAGCTCAAGTGATCCTCTAGTCTTGACCTCCCAAAGTGCTGGGATTACAGCCATGAGTCACTGTGCCTGGCTGACTTCACTTATAAAACACACATTCCAAGATAAAATTATTAAGAATTATAAGACAGCGACTGTAGAATATCAGACGCTAAGGTGGGGCTTTTCTGAGCCCAGGTCCCAGGCACCTGCAGAGGTCACACACCCCTCCTTGTGTCACACACTTTGCTGGGCACCAGGGATGCAAACTAGAATCCTTTACAGTTCTGGCCTTCAGGAGGGGCCAGGAGAGAAGGCAGGGGAGCTTTATGAATCATGACCAGGTGCCAGGCTTTGTGCCTGAGTCCTGCCTACTCATAGTCCAGTGTGAGACAAAGACTCCTAGAAATAAGCATAAAACAGTCTGAGAAAACAGCAGCAGTGGAGAACTAAGTGGTGTGGGAGCCCAGAGGCAAAAAAGCCTGCAGGTTTCAGGGCTGAGGAGGGAGGAGCCCAGTGGGACGGAAGCTCAGAGTCCTGGGCGTCTGCTCACAAACAGAGCTGTGCAGGCAAATTGGAGTGAGGGGTTGGGAATGACTGCTACAGTGGTATTTATTTACTGATTTTTTTTATGAAAATGGCTAAATATGTATTTTTTTTCTTTTATCTTTTGAGACCGAGTCTCACTCTGCTGCCCAGGCTGGAGTGCAATGGTGCAATCTCAGCTCACCTCTGCCTCCCAGGCTCAAGCGATTCTCCTGCCTCAGCCTCCCAAGTAGCTGGGAGTACAGGCACACGCCACCATGCCCAGCTAATTTTTGTAATTTTAGTGGAGACAGGGTTTCACCATGTTGACCATGCTGGTCTCGAACTCCTGATCTCAAGCAATCCACCCACCTCAGCCTCCTGAAGTGTTGAGATTACAGGCGTGAACCACTGCGCCTGGTGTGTATTTTTTTTTTTTCTGATTGCAAAAGTAATGCTTATTTTAAAGATTGAGCAACATCAAAAGACATAAGCAAGGAAGCAAATATCTACAATCCCAAATATCTACAATCCCCAAAGATAACCCCTGCTAACATTTGACTACGTTTCCCGTGTTTTCCCTGTGCATACACATATATGTATTTGATACAAAATGTAATACTGTACATTCTACTTTTTAATCTTTATTGCCACTTAGCATCCTATTACAAACACTTTTCTATAGCATTAATTATAGCTGTACATTATTTTAAATAGAAGCATGGTATTCCATTTTATAAATCCAGTATAATTTGTATAAACATTTTTTGAAGAACATTGAGATTATTGCTGTTTTATTATTATAAACAACCCTGTGATAAACTTACTTTCCTTCCTTCCTCCTTTCTTTCCTTCCTTCCTTCCTTCTTTCCTTTCTTCCTTCCCTCCCTCTCTCCTCTTCCTCCCTTCCTCCCTTCCCTCTTTTAGTGGAATTTCAGCATCAAAGGTTCTGCATTTTTTGGTGTGTTCGATACACAGCTCCCCCACGGGACCATGGGGGTTGTGTACAAAATAAATAAATAAATAAATAAATAAATAAATAAATAAATAAATAAAGTGATCATAAGAGCCTGGGCAACATAGCAAGACCCTCATCTCTACAAAAGTGTTTTAATTATCTGGTTGTGGTGGCACACACCTATAGTCCCAGCTACATGGGAGGCTGAGGCAAGAGGATCGCTTGAGCCCAGGAGTTCAAGGCTGCAGTGAGCTATGATCACTCCACTGCACTCCAGCCTGGGAGACAGAGTGATGTCCTGTCCTGAAAGAAAGAAAAATAAAGGAAAGTGGGCATCTGAGCACTCATTTGAAGGAAATCCTCCGGAATCGATTCAGAAATCCTCATGAAGTACCCAGAATTCCCTGCTTTGGAGCCAGCCAGACCAGGATGAACTAAAAGTGACTGAACACTTATTATCTGCCAACCACTTTACATATATTAACTAATTGATCCTGATGCCAATCCTATAAACTAGGTCCTACTTTTATTATCCTTTTGCAGGTGAGAAAACTGAGGCACAGAGTGAGCATCTAAGCTGCCCAAGGGCACACATCTAGCCAGGGACAGAGTTGGGATTTGTACCAGCTGGTTTGGAGCTCAAGCCTTCCATCATCACAACAGCTTGGAGAGGTAAGTATTATTATCCCCGTTTTTATAGATAAGGATATTTTGATAAATGTTAAGAGATGCCACAATTTGCCAGTTGACTGGCATTCAGGCTGCACCTGTCACGGCTTTCTTCGTGGCACTGGGTGTTCTGCATAGAATAGAAAAATGCTTTCCTATCACCACCCAAGATCACAAACTAGTAAAGAAGAGCCAGTATTTCCATCCTGGTCTGTCTGACTTCAAAGCAAGGAATTCTGGGTCCTTCATGCGGATTTTCTGAATCCATTCCGGAGCGTTTCCTTCAGATGAGTGCTCAGACGCTCACTTTCCTTTTTTAATTTTTCTTTCTTTCAGGACAGTACATCACTCTGTCTTCCAGGCTGGAGTGCAGTGGAGTGATCGTAGCTCACTGCAGCCTCGAACTCCTGGGCTCAAGCGACCCTCTTGCCTCAGCTTTCCATGTAGCTGGGACTATAGGTGTGTGCTAGTACATCCAGATAATTAAAACATTTTTGTAGAGATGGGTGTCACTACGTTGCCCAGGCTCACTTTATTTATTTATTTAGAGACAGGATCTCACTTCATCACCCAGGCTGGAGTGCAGTGGTGTGATCATAGCTCATTGTAGCCTTGACCTTTCTGGCTTAAGTGATCCTCCTGCCTCACCCTCCCTAATAGCTGGGACTACAGGCACACACCACCATGCCCAGCTAATTTTTACTTTTACTTTTTATTTTTAGAGAGATAGGTCTTGCTATGTTGCCCAGGCTTGTCTTGAACTCCTGAACTCAAGCAATCCTCCCACATTGGCCTCTCAAAGTGTTGGGATTACAGGCATAAGCCACCATGCCTGGCCTATTTATTTATTTGTTAATTTTTTTAAAAAAAATTGAGATTGCAGGAAATAATTTTTAAATTTAATTTTAGTTTTAAAACGGAGATTGCAGGAAACAAATATGCTCACTTTTCAAGGTCCTTCTCTGGCTTCCTCTGGAGACTGGAGATCAGGGCTGGGAGGTCTGCACCTGGCTAGGTCACGTGTCTGTCAATGCCCCTGTATCTTTACCACTGCAGCCTTGACCCAGTGTCTCACTGACACTACTCCCTGCTCCTCTCATCCTAGACCACATTTGGTTTCCAGAACTCTCACAGTTGGGCATGTTTTGGTTGCTGGTAACAGAAAAGTCAACTTAAACTGGTCTTAACAATAAAGACAATTTATTGGCTCATGGAACCGAAGAAAGTACAGAGAGAAGATGGCCTCTGGGCATGGTTTGTTCAGGACTCTTGGTCTGTTTCTCTGATTCTCTCAACTCTGCCTTCTTCTGTGTGTTGGTTTTTTCCTTGGACTGTTTTTGCCATTTATGGTAGCAAAATGGCTGCTGACTGCAACAAGACTATATACTTGCTTTTCCACATTCATTGAGCAAACATCTGAACTTTGCTCTGACTGGATCATCTTGGGTCACAGACTCACTCCCTGAGCCTGTTGCTGTGGTTACGAGGACGTCACTGGGGAGAGAGGAGAAACCTCCCTCTACCCCTTTCCTCTACTTTGATCCCAGATCCAAGTGGATTCTTCTGGAGGAATGAGAAGAGATGCTGAAGCTGGCATAAGGCTGATGCAGGGACAAAATAGATGTTCTTACAGCCACATTGTGCTGTTCACATGGTCTGTGCAGAAGTCATCATGTTTAAAACAGAGTGGTAAGAAGATGTCACCCAAAGAGATACTACATTTTGCCAGTTGACTGGCATTCGGGCTGCACCTGTCACAGCTTTCTTTGTGGCATTAGGAGCTCTACATGGAATGGAAAAATGCTTCTCAGCAGGAACATTCTAGGCCATTTTAAGAGGGCACAGTTATAAGTGGGAAGTGAGGTATAGAAGATAGGTTGGGTGGGCTGACTTGCTGGAACATTTTGAAGTGGGTAAAATTTTATTCTAAACTCATCTATATGTGCTTTCTCCCTCCTTCAGTGAAATGCTCGTCCTACTGCGAAGTGAAAGGTTCTTTCCACCCTTGTCCTCCAGATGCAACTTCTCCTGGAGACCCCAGCATTGCTGTTGCCCTCACCACACTCATGCAGCAGGGCTGCTCCCCTTCACTCCTCGGGCTCCAGGAGACCAGCCTCTTCCCTAACCCCTCAGTGATTCCTTGAAATAGACTGGAATAGTGAACCGACTTACTGAGGGTTTAGGAAAAGCAGAAGGGAACTATACACCAAGAAGAACTTAACATACGGTGTTAAATATACCTGCTCTTGGCCCTGGTCTTTCTCAAGGGGGTGTCTCACAGGGGATTCCCTGTCTAGCAACTGCTGCCCCCTTGTGGCAAAAACTATCCTTCTCCCGGCCTCAGGGTCTTTCTTGAGTATAGGCAGGTGTTTTGCAGTCTAGGCCCCCGTCTTTTTTCTCCTGTGTCCCCAGTGACTATTTTCTGCCCTTGGGGCTGATTTTCCCTAGATGATTAATAGAGGGAGTCTCCCACCTCCTGGGACTACCCCATCTTTGACTCCTTTCTAGTCTAGGCGTTAGAGCACAATAGTCCAACATCAGTAAAAGCAAAGCATGAGTGGCTATTGTCCCCTTACACTTCCTGTTACCATCTATGAATGATAAAAGAGCCCAGGAGGAAAGCACAACTTAGCTTAAAAAATAGGCTTGCCGGCTGGGCATGGTGGCTTATGCCTGTAATCCCAGTGCTTTGGGAGGCAAAGGCAGGAGGATCACTAGAGGCTAGGAGTTCAAGATAAGCCTGGGCAGTATATCAGGACCCTTTCTCTACAAATAAATAAATAACTAAATAAAAAATAAAAATAAAAATATAATATAAAAAAAGAAAGCCAGATGTAGTGGCTCTTGCCTGTAGTCCCAGCTATTCAGGAGGTTGAGGTGGGAGGATTGCTTGAGCCCAGGCATTTGAGGTTACACTGAGCTATGATCACACCACTGCATTCTAGCCTTGGCAACACAGTGAGAGCCTGTCTCTTAAAAAAAGAAAAAAATTCTTTCCAGTGCAGAACTGTAGGAATCCATGGCATGGTAAATTTGGCATTTGTGGTAGGGCAGGATTTATACTTGCACAGACTGGCATTAGCTCCAAACATTAGAGGAAGGTTGGAAAGAAGCAATGCCAGGCAGACCAACTGGGCTGTGTGGAAGTGAAGCTATCAGGCATACCAGTGACTTTAGTGTGTAGCCAAAAGCAATAGACACTGAATCGTGGTGGTGACTTATGGTCCATGAATCACAGGAGAAATGTCTCCCTTCATTTATTCCACAACCATTGATTGAGCACCTACTATATTCCCTGAAAGAGAACATAAACATGAATTGAAGAAGGTTCTTGCTGTCTCATGGCTCCCAAGCTAGAAGAGGGCTGACTTGTAAATGCCTCACAGCAGGGTTCATGTTATATGGAGAAGTGACGAAGGTGCCAGAAGACTCAAGCTAGGGGACAGCCATTAGCTGCTGGAGGCAGCTAAGGTGGGTTCCCAGAGAAGCCATTCTCCGTTACTGAGATGGGGGCTGCAGTGACCTTGACCACAGCTCTTCCATTCATGGACTGCCCCAGCTCTGTGGTCTCTCTGCTAACCAGCCAGACTCTGGGAGTGGCCTATGCCGTCAGCCTCAGGGCCATTTAAACCAACTGGTCATTGGCAGTGATTGTGCGAAAGAGTGGCTGGCGGCAAAGGAGGGTTTGTGTTCCATTCAAATACCCTCAAAAAGCCTGAAAAATAAGTAGAGATTGAGGCCAGGCCTTGGAGTTGTGGAAGGTGGAGAACACTGGGAAGCCAACCTCCAAAGAAGACCAGGTTGGAGGCAAAGGAGGAAGGGGAGCTCTCGTTGGCAAACCAACAGGGAAGCCAAGGATATCCCAGTAACTGCTCTCACATCCTTGATGAGAATGCCTTGAATCCGAGCTAGGCCACCTCAAAGAAGCCTGCAAAATAAGTAGAGATTGAGTGCCTGCTGTTCAAACACAACTCAAGCGCAGTCCTCCTCCTCTTTCCCACTGGATTGCCCCCAAGTCCCTCCTATGGGGGACTCCTTCTGAAGTCTCTGCTGTAAGTCAAATCCTTCGCCCTTTATACTTGGTCAGGAAGTTGCAAGCTTCCACAGGTGATATACTAGGGAATTTAGGAATAAACAAATGGAAATAAATTCAAGAAAAGGAAAATAATAAAAATGATCATCCATAGAGTGGAGAATTCAGATAATGGACCCTCAACCCCAGCTTCACACCTGGGACCCCCACTTGGTCATATGGACCCTGGCAGTCTCTAATCACAAGTCTGTGATCCCTTGACTTAAACTGTTCTTCCCCAAATGTAGACATGGGTGGGGCTCAGAAGGGAGGTGTCATCTGATGTGGTTTCCTTATTTCCGTTTATTCATCAAGTGCCCTCTAGCTGTTAAGTCACTCTGATCTCTGACTGCAGCTCCTACTGTTGGACACACCTGGCCGGTGCTTCAGGTAGGAAGCCACCTCTGTTTGCTAGGACTTTCTGTGGGGTAGGGCTGCTTGGCTTGACTTTATTTTGGAAAATGTATTCATTTCTGTGGGAGCTGAGGATTTCTGCTGCCCGCTTCCTCTCTTGTGACCACCACTCATACATGGAGTTAGCAGGTGAAGAGGACAGCCTCCTCATCCCCTCTTTTTATACCTTGCCCTTTTGTGGGAAGAGGCTGACCATTCCCCAATTTGATGTTTATTGCTTCACCTTAAGACTTTGTCTTCAGTGAAAATGCAAATACTGGTAGGGAGGGAACACACTAAAATGTGTGGATCTGAGTGGACTCATCATACACCCTCAGGCCTGGCAGCAAATGAGAGGTGGATGATTCTGTCTTCCTCGATTTGCAGATGAGAAGACTGAAATCTATAGGGGTACGAGACCCCACTCAAGGTCATGAGACTTATTTATTTATTTATTTATTTATTTTGAGATGGAGTCTCACTCTGTCGCCTAGGCTGTAGTACTGTGGCACGATCTCGGCTCACTGCAACCTCCATTTCCCGGGTTCAAGTGATTCTCCTGCCTCAGCCTCCTGAGTAGTTGGGATTACAGGTGCACGCCACCACACCCAGCTAATTTTTTTGTATTTTTAGTAGAGACGGGGTTTCATCATTTTGGTCAGGCTGGTCTCGAACTCCTGACTTCATGATCTGCCTGCCTTGGCCTCCCAAAGGGCTGGGATTACACACGAAACTTATTAATGGTAGAATCAGGATGGAATGAAGACTGGATGCTAGGTGTCTTTACAACCAACCTCGGTGACTTTCCAAAGGCTTTCAGACTTCTCTGGAGAGTCCTGGAGCTTTGAGGGGCTCTTTAGGGGCCATCTGGGTTCGGAGATTAGCACACTCTGCCCCACAGTGGCTCAGCTTTTATCTGCTTCACATACTGGGCTTCTGGGAAGATCTTATTTCAGTAAACTATTTCACAATAGGAAATATATTTGAAAACTCTTGAATGATTCTGTGGATTTTTTCAGGGGTGGAGGGTTTCAGGGACCAAGATGGAGACTTTATCTTCTCAAATACTTAAAACTCCTTTAGACAGAGGAACAAAATATGTGCTCCTCATTTAAAGAAGGCTTAAAATATACAGTTTAATGCAATGTGTTGTTATCACTTCCTTCCCCCAGTAGATTTTAAGGAGGGTAAACAAGAATCAGGGAGAACATAGGAATAGAAATAGTAGAAGGGGACACCTGGGAACAGGTTTGCCTTCTTGCATTTTGCTTAATGCTGGCCCTTCCCTGAATGTCTAAGACCAACCTGGTCCCCACATCCAAATGCACAGACACAGCTGAGGATGGAGAAGGCTAAAGAGGGACAGAGGTAGAGACATAGGCTGAGAGGAGGCAGTTGTAGGTTGAGCTAGGGCTAAGGTGTTTTCCCCATATTCCATCTTACCCCACACTCAGGCCAGGCCTTAGAGTTGTGGAAGGTGGAGAACACTGGGAAGCCAACCTCCGAAGAAGACCAGGTTGGAGTCAAAGGAGGAAGGAGAGCTCTCATTGCCAAACCAACAGGGAAGCCAAGGATATCCCAGTAACTGCTCTCACATCATTGATGAGAATGCCTTGAATCCGAGCTACTAAATCACATTTCCTTCCTTCTAACCTTCCAGTTAGATCAAACCATTGCTGAAACTGAAGAGGACATGTCAAATATTACAGATCCACAGATGTGGGATTTTGATGATCTAAATTTCACTGGCATGCCACCTGCAGATGAAGATTACAGCCCCTGTATGCTAGAAACTGAGACACTCAACAAGTATGTTGTGATCATCGCCTATGCCCTAGTGTTCCTGCTGAGCCTGCTGGGAAACTCCCTGGTGATGCTGGTCATCTTATACAGCAGGGTCGGCCGCTCCGTCACTGATGTCTACCTGCTGAACCTGGCCTTGGCCGACCTACTCTTTGCCCTGACCTTGCCCATCTGGGCCGCCTCCAAGGTGAATGGCTGGATTTTTGGCACATTCCTGTGCAAGGTGGTCTCACTCCTGAAGGAAGTCAACTTCTACAGTGGCATCCTGCTGTTGGCCTGCATCAGTGTGGACCGTTACCTGGCCATTGTCCATGCCACACGCACACTGACCCAGAAGCGTCACTTGGTCAAGTTTGTTTGTCTTGGCTGCTGGGGACTGTCTATGAATCTGTCCCTGCCCTTCTTCCTTTTCCGCCAGGCTTACCATCCAAACAATTCCAGTCCAGTTTGCTATGAGGTCCTGGGAAATGACACAGCAAAATGGCGGATGGTGTTGCGGATCCTGCCTCACACCTTTGGCTTCATCGTGCCGCTGTTTGTCATGCTGTTCTGCTATGGATTCACCCTGCGTACACTGTTTAAGGCCCACATGGGGCAGAAGCACCGAGCCATGAGGGTCATCTTTGCTGTCGTCCTCATCTTCCTGCTTTGCTGGCTGCCCTACAACCTGGTCCTGCTGGCAGACACCCTCATGAGGACCCAGGTGATCCAGGAGAGCTGTGAGCGCCGCAACAACATCGGCCGGGCCCTGGATGCCACTGAGATTCTGGGATTTCTCCATAGCTGCCTCAACCCCATCATCTACGCCTTCATCGGCCAAAATTTTCGCCATGGATTCCTCAAGATCCTGGCTATGCATGGCCTGGTCAGCAAGGAGTTCTTGGCACGTCATCGTGTTACCTCCTACACTTCTTCGTCTGTCAATGTCTCTTCCAACCTCTGAAAACCATCGATGAAGGAATATCTCTTCTCAGAAGGAAAGAATAACCAACACCCTGAGGTTGTGTGTGGAAGGTGATCTGGCTCTGGACAGGCACTATCTGGGTTTTGGGGGGACGCTATAGGATGTGGGGAAGTTAGGAACTGGTGTCTTCAGGGGCCACACCAACCTTCTGAGGAGCTGTTGAGGTACCTCCAAGGACCGGCCTTTGCACCTCCATGGAAACGAAGCACCATCATTCCCGTTGAACGTCACATCTTTAACCCACTAACTGGCTAATTAGCATGGCCACATCTGAGCCCCGAATCTGACATTAGATGAGAGAACAGGGCTGAAGCTGTGTCCTCATGAGGGCTGGATGCTCTCGTTGACCCTCACAGGAGCATCTCCTCAACTCTGAGTGTTAAGCGTTGAGCCACCAAGCTGGTGGCTCTGTGTGCTCTGATCCGAGCTCAGGGGGGTGGTTTTCCCATCTCAGGTGTGTTGCAGTGTCTGCTGGAGACATTGAGGCAGGCACTGCCAAAACATCAACCTGCCAGCTGGCCTTGTGAGGAGCTGGAAACACATGTTCCCCTTGGGGGTGGTGGATGAACAAAGAGAAAGAGGGTTTGGAAGCCAGATCTATGCCACAAGAACCCCCTTTACCCCCATGACCAACATCGCAGACACATGTGCTGGCCACCTGCTGAGCCCCAAGTGGAACGAGACAAGCAGCCCTTAGCCCTTCCCCTCTGCAGCTTCCAGGCTGGCGTGCAGCATCAGCATCCCTAGAAAGCCATGTGCAGCCACCAGTCCATTGGGCAGGCAGATGTTCCTAATAAAGCTTCTGTTCCGTGCTTGTCCCTGTGGAAGTATCTTGGTTGTGACAGAGTCAAGGGTGTGTGCAGCATTGTTGGCTGTTCCTGCAGTAGAATGGGGGCAGCACCTCCTAAGAAGGCACCTCTCTGGGTTGAAGGGCAGTGTTCCCTGGGGCTTTAACTCCTGCTAGAACAGTCTCTTGAGGCACAGAAACTCCTGTTCATGCCCATACCCCTGGCCAAGGAAGATCCCTTTGTCCACAAGTAAAAGGAAATGCTCCTCCAGGGAGTCTCAGCTTCACCCTGAGGTGAGCATCATCTTCTGGGTTAGGCCTTGCCTAGGCATAGCCCTGCCTCAAGCTATGTGAGCTCACCAGTCCCTCCCCAAATGCTTTCCATGAGTTGCAGTTTTTTCCTAGTCTGTTTTCCCTCCTTGGAGACAGGGCCCTGTCGGTTTATTCACTGTATGTCCTTGGTGCCTGGAGCCTACTAAATGCTCAATAAATAATGATCACAGGAATGAATGCATGCTGAAAAGACCACTCTTTTGCACACCATCTGCTCAAAGCTCCTCTTGTCTGTCCTCTCCGCTTTCAGCCTCCGTCTGTCCACTTATTAAGTTTGCCTTTGTGGTTTAGCTTCATTAGATGTTTATCTGTGTAAAAATGTCCCAAGTGAGGACTTAAGATGTCAGGGCTCTTCTGATGGCAAATGATAGAAAGAGAAGTCAAACTAGCTTAAGCAAAACTGAGAGTGTGGGTTTAGCCTGTGTGGGGAAGGATCAGGGAAGGCTTGAGGTTGGGAATAGGGTGAGGCTCAGAGACAGGACCTAGATCAAGCTTCAGATGGGGATCAGTGATTGATGTTGAAATCAAAGCTGGGATGGGGGCAGGGATGGGGTGGCAGCTTGGGATGAGGTCAGAGAAGGATGAATGCCAGGAATCGGTAGAGATCTACAAGGAGGGAGAGTGAGAGTCAGGGTCACAGTGAGGTGTTGGGAACAGGGAGATTCAACATGGAGCTGGGACCAGATATGGAGAGTGAGACTTTGGAATGGGATAAGTGTGGGGGAGTGGTGAGGCTCAGGGAGGGGGTGTCAGGCCTGGAATGAATATCAGGGAAGGCTTAGTAGCTATAAGGCTGGAGCAGAAGACGTGCCTGGTAGGGTCACCATCCTATCTGGAGCATCATCTAAGATCCTCTTCCGGGGCCAAAAGACAGAGGCTCCTCAGTCTGTCCTGCTTAAGACTCTCCAGGCAGGTGAGTGAGGAGGGAGTTAGGCACTCGAGCCCTAAGAGATAGACCTGATTCAGCAGAGAAGACAAGAAGGATGCAAAGGATGCACAGAGAATCTAGGGCAGAAGGCTGAGAACTGGGGCCTCCTTTTCCTCTCCTCCCTCCGCTGATCTCCCTCCACCTCTCCTACTGTTTCCTCAAAGTCCAACTTCCTCCTTCTTCACCTTATGCTCCTGCAAGGACAACTCCATCAGAGGCTTCAGTAAGTAAATAGGGATCCACACTGGGTCCAGGGGAAATGCAAATGACTCATAACCTCATGAAAAATGCTCAGTCTCACTAGGAACTAAATGAGGCTCAAACAGCAACAAAATAACTCAGAAGTGTTTTAAACAGGGGAGGGATATAGTGGACTCTTCAAACAAGTGCAACATTTTTCGATTGGATTTTTTTTTTTTTTTTAATGAGACAGGGTCTTGCTCTGTCACCCAGGCTGGAGTGCAGTGGTGCATACACAGCTCACTGCAGCCTCAACCTTCTGAGTTCAGGTGATCCTCCAACCTCAGTTTCCAGAGTAGCTGGGACCAGAGCTGTGCGCCATTATGCCCAGATAATTTTTAAAATTTTTTGTAGATATGGAGTCTTGCCACGTTGCCCAGGCTGGTCTTGGACCCCTGAGCTCAAGTGATCTGCCTGCTTCGGCCTCCTAAAGTGCTGGGATTACAGGTGTGAGCCACTGCACCCAGGCTGATTGGAAATTCTAATGCAGCCTGTAATTTTCTGGGTATAGCTCAAGACACAAATGATTTGGATTTCAGATTTTTAAAAAATGTCAGGATTTTGGTACTTAGTTAACAGCATATTGAAGTACCAAAAACTGATATTTCAATTACTAGATAGGGTGAGGATTAGATCCAGTCAGAGCCAGGGAGAGTGTTTGCCTTAAGGAGGGACTCCCTTGTCCAGGATGGGGCTGGCACTAGGGATGGGGTGAATCTTAGGACAGGAGTGGGGGTCAGAAATGGGAGGGGTCAGTGATGAGATTGGGATTACAGAGGGGATGTACATCAGGGTAAGGTGAGGGACGGGGATTAGGATGTAACGGCATGTTCTGCACAATGCTTCCTGATGTTAAAATCCTAAAGTTTGTTTTGTAGCCTTGGTGACAACGTTTGAGACTCTAAATCAAAATGTGAAAATCTACTGTTTTCCCCTAAACCAGTTCCACTTCTGACCAACCACAGCCTCTCACCACCCCTTGCCCTCCATCCCCTGGCCCATTCTTGTTAATTCCAGCAAAAATACTAATTGACAATCAACATTTTATGCCATAGAGGTAAAATTTGCCCCTTTCTCAGCAAAGTAGTATTTTAATAAGAGTCTTTCAGAGACTGAAAAATCTCATAGATGCAAATGAGTAACATGACAATCTCCTCTTTGGTCTAAGGATCGTCCCAAAGAGGTGCCTTCCTAGAGAAGACCACTCACCAAGAGACAGTGGTGGAGCCCTGTCTTTTGCCGTTTCCATGCAGAGGTCAGAGAGGCCACTCTAGGTTCCACCCAGAAAGCCACAAGGAGCTAACGGCGGAGCTCTCAGCACCAATGTTTTCTTGCAGCCTGGTATTCAGTTTTTAAATCCAAAGTCTTCCTTCCAACCTTCAGGGTAGAAATGAATCAAAGACATAATAAATAAAAAATAATCGAAATATGTTAACTCGACTTTTTAAGATTAAATTTTCTTTCTATTGTCTAAGTATTTTATACACATTGTTGAAAAAACGAAATGGCTTTATGAAGCTTATAACAAAAAACCAGCAGCCTTCCAGCTCCAATCCCTGCAGACAAGGGCAGCAGCTGTCAGCTCTCATAGCTGTTTCATCGGATAGTGATCTATATATTTCTAAATATCATACTTGTTCTGCTAGTTTTTTTCTTTTTTTTGGTCTCACTCAGTCTCCCAGGCTGGAGTGCAGTGGCATGATCTCAGCTCACTGCAACCTCCGCCTCCCTGGTTTAAGTCATTCTCCCACCTCAGCCTCCTGAGTAGCTGGGACTATAGGTGCCCGCCATTACGCCTGGCTAATTATTGCATTTTTTGGTAGAGACAGGGTTTCACCATGTTGGCCAGGCCAGTTCATCACTTGAACTCCTGACCTCAAGTGATCCCCCCACCTCAGCCTCCCAAAGTGCTGGGATTACAAGTGTGAGCCACTGTGACCAGCCCTCTGCTAGTTCTTGTTTTTCTCCCCCTCCAGGTTTAGCTATCATCACTGACTCTCTCTTTTGGCTTTGAGAATGTAATATTCTCCCAGTCCCTCTCCTGCTTTCACCCCAATCCAAGCAAACACAAATACTGCCTTCTCCATTCTCCAGAAACAGATGCCACATTTTTTGGTTAAGTCGACATTCAATTTTTTTGTTATTATGACTATGTAAAAAATTATTCACAGTAGGATCCAATTTTTTTTGTACAAGTTTTGTTTTCCCTGGAATTGATGAGAGGATGTTCCATGTACTTATCATGACATCAGTTCCAATGTCTCCCTCAATACATTCACACTCAGCGGATAATCTATTAATTTTTCTTTCTCAAAGACCTCTCTCCGGGAGTCCTTCATTGTCTTCTTCCAACCTGGACAGGTGACTCTTAGGAAAGGGGCCAGTTCCTCTTTACTAAATTGCTTTGACTATGTTTCCAGAGAAATTTTAGAATCTGCTTATCAATTTCTATATAATGTCCAGCTGGGATTTTGATTTGGATTATGTAGAATTCATAGATCAATTTAGAGAAAATTGACATTGTCATATTGAGTCTTCCAGTCCATGGGCACGATATCTTTCTCTATTTATGTCTTCTTTAATTTTTTTGCAAAGGATGTTTTATAGTTCTTGGTACACAAATCTTGTACATACTTTGCAAAATTTGTCCCTAAGTATTTTATGGGTTTTTTGGATGCGATTACAAATGATATCTTAAAAAGTTTTCATTTTCCAGTTCTTTTTTTGGTTACCATAGTATATAGAAATACAGTTGCAGTATGTATATTGACCTTGTAACTTGGGACCTAAGTAAATTCATTTATTGGTTCTAGTAGATTTTTTTAAAGATTGCTTTGGATTTTAACTGTATGCCATCATTTCAGAATTTAAATCTTCTTTTTAGTTTTAGAATGCATGATGTGTACCTTGGTGGTGTTTTTCTTCATTCATTGTGCTGGGCGCCTGGTAAATTTTCTTAATCTGGAAATTTAGGTTATGTAAATTTATCTGGTATTAGTTCTTTGACAGTGTTCCACCCTTCGTTTTCCTTATTCTTTAATTTTTTTAAAAGAATTATTCTATTTTATTTTATTTTTGAGACAGGATCTCACTGTATCACCTATGCTGGAATGCAGTGGCCCAATCTCAGCTCACTGCAGCCTTGACCTCCCAGGCTCAAGGAATCCTCCTACCTCAGCCTATTAAGTAGCTGGGACTACAGGTGTGTGCCACCATGCCTGCCTGGCTAGTTTTAAATTTTTAAATAGAGTCGGGGTCTCCCTATGTCACCCAGGCTGGTCTCCAACTCCTGGGCCCAAGTGATCCCCTCTCCTTGTCTTCCAAAGTGCTAGGATTACAGGTTGAGTCACTGCACCCTGCCTATTTAAAAAAAAAAAATTAAAAAATCCTCCTGCCTCAGCCTCCTGAGTAGCTGGGGCTACAGGCATGCAACACCACCTTTGGCTAATTAAAAAAAAATTTGTAGAGACAGAATCTTACTATGTTGCCCAGGCTCGTCTTGAACTCCTAGGCTCAAGCAGTCCTTCTTCCTTGGCCTCCCAAATTTCCGGAATTTCAGGCATGAGCCACCAAGCTTGACCTATTTAAAAAAAAAAATTTAGGGGCTGGGTGCGGTGGCTCACGCCTATAATTCCTGCCCTTTGGGAATCCAGGGCGGGAGGATCATTTGAGTCAAGGAGTTCAAGGCCAGCCCGGGCAACATGGTGAAACCCCATCTCCACAAAAAAATACACACATGCACAAAATTAGCTGGGCATGGTGGAATGCACCTACTCTGGGGGCTAAGGTGGGAGGATTGTTTGATCCTGGGAGGCAGAGGTTGCAGTGAGCCAAGATTGCACCACTGCCTTCCAGCCTGGGCAACAGAGTGAGACCTTGTCTCAAAAAAAAAATCCTCCTTCCTTAGCCCCCAGGTAGCTCGGACTACAGGCACGCAACACCATCTCTGGCTAATGTTTAAAATATTTTTTGGAGAGATGGAGTCTCACTATGTTTCCCAGGCTGGTCTTGATCCCCTGGCCTCAAGTGATTCTCCCACCTCTGCCTCTCGAAGTGTTGGGATTATAGGTGTGAGTCACTGTGCGTGGCAAAAAATATACTTATTTTAAAGTCAGATCCAAATTGCTTTATTATCTTTAGCTCCTCAGGTGTGAATTCTCCCATTTGCTGTTGACTGACTGTTGATTGTGATGATTGTCAGCTCTTTGTAACATTTTATTGTTAATTCATCTTTTGAAGGCATTTTTTTGTTTCATGGGAGTCTTGCATGTGCCCTGGATTATGAAGAAGTCTATTCAGGGGTGGCTTTATGGCTGTACCTGCTAGGGCCTTACTGGGTTACATAGCTCAGAGCATTTTTTGTTATTGATATTTCTTGGCCCTGAGTTTCCACACCATTGCAAATGACAGATTTGGGTCCTCATCACTTGATACTAGGGCTTGGGATTCTGGAATGTTCCTCAATTGGCCCCTTTTCTCTCATGACCTAGGAAGGCAGCTCACTTGGGGGTTGTGTCTCAGGCTGCAAAGTGCTTTTCTATCCCCATTCAAGGGCATGGCAGCTCTTTCTTGGTCCTGACAATTTTATAGGCAATCAAGTTGTAGTTTCTGCTATACATGGGGCCTTTAGGGTCACTGGTATTATCATTCCCATCCTTAAGGTACATGATCAATTCTAGTATCTTTCTGGGTTCCTCTGGCTTTAATCCTACTCCCTGATAAGTCCATACATTTTTAAGCTCCCTCTTCATTTCTGGCCCTTGGAGATTTTTTCTCTCTCTCTTGCCTGCTATTGACCTCAGATATTTATTTTTAAAAATTAATTAATTCATTCATTTATTTTTGAGACAGAGTCTCACTCTATTTCTCAGGCTGGAGTGCAGTGGCGTGATCTCAGCTTACTGCAACCTCTCCCTCCCGGGTTCAAGCAATTCTCCTGCCTCAGCCTCCTAAGTAGCTGGGATTACAGGCACCCACCACCATGCCAGCTAATTTTGGTATTTTTAGTAGAGACGGGGTTTTGTCATGTTGGCCAGGCTGGTCTCAAACTCCTGACCTCAGGTGATCCGCCCGCCTCGGCCTCCCAAAGTGTTGGGATTACAGGCATAAGCCACCACGCCCAGCCTTTTTAAAAATTAAAAAAAAAGTTATTTAGGATGCCTATGGAGGGCATGTTTGTGTTGCTGATTTGCTGCTATGCCTCTTCAGCCAGCCCATTATCATGACCAGAAATTCAGATAGCACATCAAACGAAAAACAAAGTTCCTTTTCTTGTTTTTTATTTCCCTTTCTTATGTTAAAACCTTCTTCCAGAAAATGTTATGTACCCCAGGAGGATACATTGACGGGATTTCTAGGTAACCCACAGTGTGTACGTGCATGTTGCTTATGCATGGGTGCATATGTATGTCTGTTTTGGGGATGAATGACCCAACGTTATTCCAGAACTATCACCCCCTTTTTTTTAGCCAGGCTTGCATCAGGGGGATGGAAGAAGTAAGATCTAGAAGGTAAATGGGGAGGGACCGCTGAAGAAATCTAGTCACTTCCGACATGGGAAGGAATTGTGTTGCCCAACTGAAACCTAAGAGGCCACATCCGTACCTCTCCCTTGGTTCCCATACTGTAAACAACATGGCTGTCTTCCTGAAAGAGGTGACTTTGCTCCAGCTTTAAAGGTATTGGGGGTGTGGGGAGACTAGGCAGGTACAGGTCTCAGGGCTGTGCAGTGCAGGGTTCCCCACTTGGCCAGCATACTTGAGCACTCCTCTGAGTGGGACCCTGGCAAGACTCAGCATGTACTGTCTTTGTGCACATTCCCACATGTTCCTAAGTGAGAATCCGCTAGTTGTCTGATTATGTAACAAATGCTTGTTTGCATCCAACTCCGTGCTAGGTCTTAAAACAAAGTAATGGGCCAGGCTCAGTGGCTCATGCCTGGAATCTCAGCACTTTGGGAGCTGAGGTGGGCGGATCATCTGAGATCAGGAGTTCGAGACCAGCCTGGCCAACATGGTGAAACCTGGTCTCTACTAAAAATACAAAAAAATTACCTGGGTGTGGCGGTGGGCACCTGTAATCCCAGCTACTTGGGAGGCTGAGACAGGAGAATTGCTTGAACCCAGGAGGCAGAGGTTGCAGTGAACCAAGATTGTGACACTGCACTTCAGCCTGGGTGACAGAGCAAGACTCTATTTCAAACAAACAAACAAACAAACAAACAAACAAACAAACAAAGTAATGTACTAAAGAAATAAAATCTAAGGGGACAAAGGAAATGTGTGAATGGAGGGTATGTGAGGAGTTTATGAAATTTCCTGTAGGGTCACTGGAACAAAGAGATCTATCTGGGGGTCCTAGTGTACCACAAGCTGAACCTGAAGATTTGGAAAAATGTTTCTAATTAAATAAAACAGAGCAAAAAGACAGACTTAGTTGCTGTGTTACTTGAATCTTCACTTAAATTTTCAGAACCTTGGTTTCCGCTCCCATAAAATGAAGTTTGAATAGGCAAGCTTCCTTCCAGTTCTAAGAATGGGAGATGCTCGAAATCTAAGAGTGTACTGCGATGGACAAACAGGACTATAGCTCTAGTGAACTTGACATGAAACATCCATCTTTGCCCAGATCGTGATTATCCACAATTAGGTGCCCTGTGAAGGCCAGTTCTTAGTATGTGTTTTCCAGGCAGCTGCTGACCAAGTCTGACCTGAGGAGTTCCTAGAAGGCCTCTCTCTGTCCCCTTCTCTTTCTCCTCTCTTCCACCTCCCCATCCAATATTTCCCTCCCTGGTCTGTCAGCCATTCTTTTATTTGGCCTAGGCAGGCCTCTTAGAAAAAGAGCAAATGCCCCTGGGTTGGGGGAATTCTTTCAGTCATTAAGCCAGGGATGAGAATGGAGTTTTGAAATTGTTCTCCAGCATAGGATCCTCTTTTCTAAGCCTTCAACTTCATGAGCAAATGGGCACACTCCAGTCCAACGTGTAAGCTCAGCCTCTCACTAACAGGTAGGTCTGTGCTCACTGGTAGGACCGCACTTTGGACTTAGATGCTAACATTAATCTGTTGGAAGATTTTGCAAGGAGACAGAGAGAGGAGCAATCTGGGATTCCTGAGGGCTTTGTTGCAAGGGAAGAGCAACGAGTTGTTGAAAGGCACCCAGGCCGGGTGCAGTGGCTTACACCTGTAATCCCAGCACTTTGGGAGGCTGAGGCGGGTGGATCACTTGAGGTCAGGAGTTTGAGACCAGCCTGGCCAACATGGCAAAACCCTTTCTCTACTAAAAATACAAAAATTAGCCAGGCATGGTGGCGCACACCTGTAGTATTCCCAGCTACTGGGGAGGCTGAGGCAGGAGAATCGCTTTGAGCCCAAGAGGTGGTGGTTGCAGTGAGCTGAGATCGCACCACTGCACTCCAGCCTGGGTGACAGAGTGAGACTCTGTCCCCCCCCCCCCAAAAAAAAAAGACCCAAAGATCAGCTGCTTCCGCCCTATTTCCATGAAATTGTCACTTTGATCCCTGAATTCTATTTTAGATTCTACAACACAAGGAGAACCCTTATCTAAATCCTTATATGTATAGTGTGTTTCCCGTGATATCATAATTGAAGACTTACTCTGTGCCAGGCACTGAAAAAAACACTTTTTACATAAATTATTTTATTTAATGGTCATCAAGACCTGATGGTAGGAATTATTATTATCCTTATTTTACAGAAGAGGAAAATAAGGGCCAAAGAGATTAAGTCCCTCACTCAAGATAACAGCAGCGGGTAAGTGGCAAAACTGGAGTTTAAGTCAAGGACCAGCTGCCTTCGGAGTCTGAGCTCTCAACTGCTGTGTGACACACAGAGAGGTGCTGTGGTGGAGAGAGAGCCACAGGGTGAATTTGCGGTAGCCTAGGGCTTAGTCTATCCCGACTTGTGTGATCGTGAGCAAGTAATTTAACTTCTCTGGACCCCTCCCTCCTTGAAGGGATGGCAGCATTGGAAGCTTGTTGTCAAGGTTCAGGGTAATGTATGCCAGGCTTTCAGGGTAGACTAAGGTCTCCATAAATGGCAAACATTATTTATCACAGCAGAGAAGTCTTGGAAAGGCAAGTCCACTGGGAAATCGGGATGTAACTCCAAATCCTCTAACTGTGATGGCAGTGTTTCCTACATGATGTCATAGCTCCAGGGAGTTGGGAGGAGAGTTGAGATATACCTCTTTCCAAGAGATGTTTTGAGATGAAAAGATAAAGCTTGGAAAGTGATCAAGGTATATCCTTGTTCCTGTGACATCCATTTTTTTCTCTTCTGGATTGCCCATCAGCTCACAAGCCTGTTGTAGGAGTTCCCATCTTATAACAACCCTCCCTTGATCCCACATCTCATCAGCTACGGTCCTATTTTTCTGCTCCACTTTGCAGCTAAGGTCTGAGGCCCACTGCTCAAAGGGTGCTTCAAGTCTGTGAGGGGAGATTAGCAACATTGAGCAGAGTCTCAGTTTGAACCTAAACTGGGCTCACTCTGGAATTCACGTAAGTCAGTGCAAGCAATGTCCCTGAAAGAAATGAAGGGTTGAGAGCTCTTAGGGAGGAGCTCATTTCTGGGGGTCAGGAGGAAAGCACACAGGCCTGCTAAAGGCAATGCCTCAGGGTTGGGGCTTAGGGAGACCTTGAGGGCTACAGGAGTTGAGTGCTGAGGCCAAGACCAACCCAGGTCCAGGGCTTCTCACCTAAGTAGTAGGGAGATGGGGCTGGGAGTGAAAGTGAAAAAAACTGGGGAGATTTTGGCAGTGCCAGCAACACACTCAGGGAAACCTGGCCCTGTTCCCCTGCAGGTGGCCGGGTTGGAACTGGTAGAGGGTGGAGGCAAACTTGGCAAATGGGTACAGGCAGCCTCAGGGATGCATGTGGGAGGAGGGACCTTGGAAGGCTACCTGAGGTGCTGAGTCACAGGCTGACTCATGGGGTACACAGGTACAGAGTGTGAACACAGAAAGAGCCAAAAAAAGGGTAAAAAAAGAAAAAAAGCACTCATATTTCCACCACTCAAAGTCAACCCAGTGCACATTTTGGTTTATTGCCTTCTAGCATTAAAAAACAATAAAGAGTTGATTTTTCAGAGTGGTTTTAGGTTCACAGCAAAATTGAACAGAAAACCTTCTAGTAATTTTTCTTTACTTTACTTTTTTTTTTCTTTTGAGTTAGAATTTTGCTCTTCTCGCCCAGGCTGGAGTGCAATGGTGTGATCTCGGCACACTGCAACCTCTGCCTCCTGGGTTCAAGCGATTCTCCTGCCTCAGCCTCCCGAGTAGCTGGGATTTCAGGCACCTGCCATCATGCCCGGCTAATTTTTGCATTTTTAGTAGCGATGGGATTTCACCATGTTGGCCAGGATAGTCTTGAACTCCTGACCTCAGGTGATACACCCGCCTCGGCTTCCCAAAGTACTGAGATTAAAGGTGTGAGCCACTGCGCCCAGCCACATTTTTTCATTGCGGTATTTCTTCTTGAATGTTTCAATGTCATGTGTCATAGCATCACAATGTCTTGTCAGTACAGCTTAGGTTCATACTATTTTCGTTGAATAATTTAATGCAGTTTTCATGTTATTATGTTTCAATCTTTTTTCATTTTTAAAAATCAGCCTACATCATGCTTTGATTTCATGTTATTATCATATTTAACATTTCCTTGCCTGTTATATTCCTCCCACTTAGTGATTTTCTCCGGCTTTCTCCTGGCCTCTTGTTATTTTGGTCACTTTCCTCTCTAGCTTGCCATCCCAAGGTTGTGCATGGTCTTGCTTTCTCTCTCAGCTAGTTGCCTCCCATTGACCTAAGAAACTAAGGCTGCTGGGCCGGAGGCTCCTCAGCAATTTGACGCCTCACCAGCATCCACACTTACTCTCCTCTCCTCCCTGTCTCTCATCTGATGTCCAGGGAGGAGGTGGCCTCTGCTCCTTCTATTTGGTTGAATCCCCCTGCAGTGCCTGATCCACCCACCTCCTCAGCAATGTTGAACCTGCTCTGGCTTCCTGCCCCCTCTTACCCCACTGTTGTGTCAACCTCTCCCAGTCTTCAGCTCCTTCCCTAGGTCTCTGCATATGGGATTTCCGGACAACACTTCCTCTCTGTAGCATTTGACCCTATTTGTATCCTTTCTTCATTTATGAAAAAAAAATGGAGCAATGTCTGTGTGTCAGGCCTCCCGCAGTACCTGAGGAACAGCAGGAGCAAAGTGTTCACAAATCCCTGCCCTACAAAAGCCTAAATCCACACCTCTTGCCTGATTTTTTTTTTTTTTTGAGATGGAGTCTCGCTCTGTCTTCCAGGCTGGAGTGCAGTGGCGTGATCTCGGCTTACTGCAAGCTCTGCCTCCCGGGTTCACGCCATTCTCCTGCCTCAGCCTCCTGAGTAGCTGGGACTACAGGCGCCTACCACCACGCCCAGCTAATTTTTTGTATTTTTAGTAGAGACGGGGTTTCACCGTGTTTGCCAGGATGGTCTCGATCTTCTGACCTTGTGATCCACCCGCCTCTGCCTCCCAAAGTGCTGGGATTACAGGTGTGAGCCACCATGCCCGGCCTCCTCTTGCCTGATTTTTTAAAAAACCACAAATCCCCAGATTCATAGTATGAAAAGGAGAAAATTTTATAAATTTATAAAAAATTTATAAAAGATTATCTTGGGGGTTAGGGGTTGTGGCTCACACTTATAATCCCAGTGTTTTGAGATGCCAAAGAGGGAGGATCATTTATAGCCAGGAGTTTGAGACCAGCCTGGGCAACATAGTGAGACCCCTGTCTCTATAAAAAATTAACACAATTAAAAAACATTAAAAAATGAGAAGATTCAGAAAAACTAAAGAAGACCATAATAGTCTATTTCCCCACTTATAGATAACCACTGTCTACTCGTGGTATATCCTGCCGTACCTTGGTCTATGCATGTAACACTTTAAAAAACAAAATAAAAATGTGGTATTTTGTAGCCTTATTTGTTTTTCTCTCAGTAGTCTGTTTTGCCAAAACACCATATAGTATTCCTAAGAAATTTCGTTATACCAAAAGTATCTTAAAGGGGAGAAGAAGGGTTGCAATCCAGAGAGCTCAAATTCACAATAACAGTTATTGCTGTTTAGGAACGTACATAATGATAATTTTTGAAGATAATTAAGTCTATGACTATAAGCCCTAAATATCACCAAGCAAATTCAGAGTTGATGAAGTCTACCTTTACTCAAAAGACGAGTTTTGTCTTATTATCCCTGATGTGTAGAGGCTCCTGTTATTTTACAAACTCCTGTCACCTTCAAGTTCTCCCTAAGATGCAACCCTAAGTCATTACTTTTCCAAGTTTCCTGAGATTCCAAGAGGGACCAGCACCAGGAGCAGGAAGGTGGTGCCTTTCTCAGGCTCGCTCTTCCTGGGGCCACTGATTCCTCACCTCTACTCCATTTGGCAGGTCTGTGTCACTCCTCTTTCTAGGCACACCACCTTTCCCTGCTTTTTTCTGCCTGCAGATGCTCCCCGAGTTTACATCACCCCAGATCAACTGAAAAGTCCAAATAGCATTGCAGTCGCCCATTTCCAGGAAAGCAACTGTGGTTGACTCAGCTATGGCCAGGGAGGCGCCTCTGGGAGAATGCAGGAAAGGGTGGAGGAAGGAAGACCAGTTAGGAGGTTATTTCAGTCATTCTAAGAGAGAGGTGATGGTGGCTTGGGTGAAGGTGATGGGGGAAGAGATGGTGAAAGGTGGTCAGATTTCCACTCCCACTGGGAGTGCAGCAGAGCATTATTTTCTCATATGTTACACTTCCTCTTTCTTCAAGCTCTATTTCTCAGGCCTCCTCTTCTTATCCAGAGTCTTTGGCTTCTTTTCAGTCCCCTTTGAAAGCCCCTCTTCCTCTTTTAGTCCCTCAAATGCTGGCGTTCTCCAAGATTCTGCTCTCTCCCATTTTCTGTCCATTCTCTGTTCCCCAATTTCCCTGTGCGATGTCATCACCTCTTGTAGCTTTAATCTGCCATCTCTGGGAGAATGATCTTTGAAAAAGTGTGTTGAGGCTCTGAAAAATGTTTTTCCTGGGCTCCAAAGCTAAGTGTCCCAATGCACAGTGACACATCTACTTGTACCCTCACCACAAGACCAGAATTGAAGCCAGCATCTTCCCCCCAAACCTGCCCCTTCAAGCCATTCATCCAAGCTGTGGGCTGAAGAATCCTTTTTGAATCCCTCAGTTTTTCTCACTGCCCCATTCTCCTTCCAGTTGCTAGCCAAGTCTGGACTTCCCTTAAAGATCTCTTGAACTCGCCCCCCATCTCCACCCCCATTGTTGTTACTTTGTCCAGGTCTTCACTACTTCTGCTCTAGCCTCCTAACAGGACTCCTGCCTTGAGCCTTTACCCCTTTCAGTGCATTCACACACAAGCTCAGGGGAGCGATGGGATTGCATTATGCATCTGCTGAAAGCTCTTCCAGGGCTCCCGTTGCCTGTGAGATAAAATGCAAACGTTTTAGCACAGCACTCAAAACCCTTTGTGGTTTGGCCTTGCCTTCTGGGCCAGGCGCATGTCTTATCTATTTCATCCCACATCTGGAATGGCCTTTGCTCTGGTCATTCTGGATTCCTTAGTTTTCCCTTGATGCCTCATGTCGTCTGCCTTTGACTGGGTTTCTTTTGTTGCAAGGGACAGAAACCTACTTTGAAAAGGCTGAAGCCAAGGGGGAATTTAGCAGAAGGATCAAAGGGTATCTGATGGTCCCCAAGGTCCTGAGATTCCAAGAGGGACCAGCACCAGGAGTAGGAAGGTGGTGACTTCGTCAGGCTCACTCTCTTTGGGGCCACTGATTCCTCACCTCTACTTCATTTAGCGGATCCATGTCACTCCTCTTTCTAAGCACACTATCTTTCCCTGCCCTTTTCTGCCCACAGACACTCCCTGAGTTTACATCACCCCAGATCACCTGAAAAGTCCAGGTAGCATCGCAGTCTCCCATTTCCAGGAAAGCAATTGTGATTGGCCCAGTTATGGTCAGGGAGGCAGCCTCATGGAGAACAAACACAGCTTGGAGAAAGAAGGCTTGGAGGACAGCCCCAGAAAAATCCCTAAACTCTCCACGTGAATCTTTAAGTATACTATTTCTTTTCATTGGATACCCTTCCCTGTGTCTTCATCTGGCTAAATTGTTTTTTTTTTTTTTAAATTGAGACAGAGTCTGACTCTGTTGCCCAGGCTAGAGTGCAATGGCATCATCTTAGCTGACTGCAACCTCTGCTTCCTGGGTTCAAGCGATTCTCCTGCATCAGCCACCCAAGTAGCTGGGACTACAGGTGTGCACCACCACGCCCAGCTAATTTTTGTGTTTTTAGTAGAGACTGGGTTTCACCATGTTGGCCAGGCTGGTCTCAAACTCCTGATCCCAAGGGATCCACCTGCCTTGGCTTCCCAAAGTGCTGGGATTACAGGGGTGAGCCACCTCACTGGGCCCATCTGGCTAAATCCTTAAGAGTTAGACCTTCCTGGAAGCCTCCTCTGGCTGAATTAGGAGCCCCCTCCATGTGTTCCTGTAAAACCATAGCAAACCTTGATTATAGCACATCATATTTGGGTCATATCCACTGATTTCTTGTCTGTCTCTCAGTAGACCATGAGATCCTTGGGGGTAGGCTCAGAACCTGTTCATCTCTTTTTCTCTAGAGTCAGGGGAAGAGCCAGGTCTAAAATAGGGACAGATTCAATTTTTTTTTTTTTTTTTTTTTTTGAGACAGTCTCGCTCTGTCAGCCAGGCTGGAGTACAGTGGTGCCATCTCAGCTCACTGCAACCTCCGCCTCCCGGGTTCAAGAAATTCTCCTGCCTCAGCCTCCTGAGTAGCTGGGATTACAGGTGTGTGCCACTACGTCCAGCTAATTTTTGTATTTTTAGTAGAAACAGGGTTTCACCATGTTGGTCAGGCTGGTCTCGAACTCCTGACCTTGTGATCCGCCCGCCTTGGCCTCCCAAAGTGCTGGGATTACAGGCATGAGCCACCGCGCCCGGCCGACAGATTCAATTTTTAAATGAAGGAGTGAAACAGCCCATTAGTTTTCATCCACCCTGGGCAGGATGCAGGGCATGTGTTAGAAAAAGAGAGAATACCACAGGTAGCTTGCTTACTGCATTGGCTGCCTGTTCCTCATAGCTCATCAGTCTCGGGAGTATCAGCCCTCAGGAAGCTACGTAACTTAGGATTCATTTTCCGCAATACTACAGGGTTATCTGTGGCTTTGTAGATTAAAATTGCCCAATCTGACTTATTAGGTGGTGTAAATAAATGAATGGCTGAAAGTAGAATAGGCCTGGTTTAGAACAGATTTGATTAACTTAATTAATTTTTTATTCAGACAGTCTTGTTCTGAGGCCCAGGCTGGAGTGCAGGGGTATGATTATGGCTCACTGCAGCCTCCACCTCCTGGGCTCAAGGGATCCTCCCATCTCAGACTCCTGAGTAGCTGGGATCACAGGTGTGCACCATCATGCCTGGCTAATTTTTACAAATTTTTTGTAGAGATGGGGTCTCCCTATGTTTCCCAGGCTGGTCTTGAACTCCTGGGCTCAAGTGATCCTCCTGCCTCAGCCTTCCAAAGTGCTGGGATTATAGGTGTGAGCCACTGTGCCTAGCTAGAACAGATTTAAAAATGTCACAAGCTTTAACTGGGTGCTGTGGCTCACGCCTGTAATCCCAGCACTTTGGGAGGCTGAGGTGGGCAGATCACCTGATGTCAGGAGTTTAAGACCAGCCTGGCCAACATGACAAAACCCCATCTCTACTAAAAATACAACAATTAGCCTGGTGTGGTGGCAGACATCTGTAATCCCAGCTACTCGAGAGGTTGAGGCAGGAGAATCGATTGAGCCTGGGAGGTGGAGGTTGCAATGAGCTGAGATTGCGCTACTACACTCCAGCCTGGTCGACATAGTGAGACTCTGTCTCAAAAAAAAAAAAAAGTCACTACCTTTATATGACAGGCTAGTTGATGATGGCTATGTGTATTTTGTATTAATACTATAGCTAGGATCTTGTTTGAACTTTATATCAAAATTTCTATTTACAAAATTTAGCCCAAATTATTTTATCTGTGAACTTGAAACAAAATTAAAGATTTAAATAAAGATCAATAGCTAACATTTATTAGAGCTTACCATGTTCTAGGCCCTGGGCTAAGTGCTTTATATATGTATTTCCTAACTAACCTAATCCTTAAAATTACCTTGTAGGGCTAGTTCTATAATAAGCCCATTTTATGCAGGAGGAAACTGAAGCACAAAAGTTTAGGTAACTAGAGTTGGGATGTGCATTTAGCATTCTGGCCCCAGGGCCTACACCCTTAACCACTCTGCTAGACTGCCTCAAGACACAGTTTGGTACCTTTCTTCCAATACTTATTCATTAATGGTTGTTATTTCAGTTATGTCTTGTTTCACCATACTTTAAAAGAGTTTTTCTTTTAACACTTCTTTCATGTTTATGTTTTTGGGTAAAAAAAAAGAAATATCTCTCTGTTTGAATACAAGGCATCTTGTCATTAAAAGCTCTTGCAAGAAGCTGTCATCATGCCAATGTTTACCACTAAACCAGATCCAAATGTTTACTTGACTTGCATGATGAACAGGAAAAAAATGAATAAGTGAAGGAGTAGCTTTAGGACTGTACTCTGTGTCTCTATTCCTGGGTCTTCTTTTTCTCTGAATCTTTATCTACAGGTACTGGAAGAAAAAGGCCATGGGAATAATCTTATGAGTCTTGCCACCAGTCCCATAAGAATCATTTTCTCAGTAACTTGAGAGTGGCATCCTGGTAGTGAGGAGGGTAATGAATGGGGAATCTGGAGACCAGTGTCCAGTGCTGCTTCTGTCACTTGTAGTTTGAGATCTCTTGCAAGTGTCCACCTACTCTGGGCCTCCAGTCATTCACCTGTCAAAAGTGGAGGTCAGTTCAGAAGTGGATCTTCGAGATTCCTTCCACCCAGACAGTGTGGATTTAGGTAAAGCAGTTCAAGGCCACCACTCACACAAGTGATGAGTGGAGAGTGGAGAGTATGATATGAATAACACACTTCTGTGTATATGTCCTAAACTGAATGAGTAGAATCTTTCCATAAACAGAGGGTTTCTGGGCACCCCTGACCATGGTCCCTGGGAACTACTATGATATTGAGACCCCTGAGCCTTGCAGAAGCTCCCTGTCTCCCCTGCTTATGGATTTTTGGCAATTGGGTTGGACTGTTGGGCAAGCATGGAATTAAGCATGGGGAAGCGAGGTATTCCAAGTGCCATAGACAGCTGTGCAGTCCAGTAGAGCAAATCCCTTAGCATGGTGCTGGACTTCTAAGAAAGTCCTCTAGAAATGCCCGCTGGGATCATAACTGTAGCAGAATAGAGAAAAAACACTGACCACCTCGTGGGAACCAGGACTTTAGCCCTGTCTCTGGGTCTGCCTGGCACAGAGCCAGTGTTGATGGGAAGCTGGCTCTTCTGTTTATGAGCAGGGAACATGTCTGACATCAGACCTAGCAAGGCCCTGTTGAGAAATCAGTGGTGTGTTTGTCTTCTCCCGGAAGGTGCTCCTTTGTTTATGTCTCTGAAGCTGTCCTTAGGGGAGGGCCCTTGAGTTGGGGCCATGATTTCTGCTCCTCTCTGTTTTCCCTCTGGACTCCCATAGCTGCTCCACCTAGGGAAGACAGAATGACCACAAGAGGCTCCAATGCAAGGCCATCTTCTTTTTGGCTAGGCCAAAATCATGGCTGGATGCTGAGACCAGCTCGGTCGGGGAGACCCTAACCCAGTGGCGCTAGAGGAATTAAAGACACACACAGAAATATAGAGGTGTGAAGTGGGAAATCAGGGGTCTCACAGCCTTCAGAGCTGAGAGCCCTGAACAGAGATTTACCCAGGTATTTATTAACAGCAAGCCAGTCATTAGCATTGTTTCTATAGATATTAGATTAATTAAAAGTATCCCTTATGGGAAAGGAAGGGATGGGCTGAAATAAAGGGGTGGGTCTGGCTAGTTATCTGCAGCAGGAACATGCCCTTAAGGCACAGATTGCTCATGCTATTGTTGTGGTTTAAGAATGCCTTTAAGCGGTTTTCTGCCCTGGGTGGTCCAGGTGTTCCTTGCCCTCATTCTGGTAAACCCACAACCTTCCAGTGTGGGCGTTATGGCCATCAAGAACATGTCACAGTGCTGCAGAGATTTTGTTTATGGCCAGTTTTGGGGCCAGTTTATGGCCAGATTTTGAGGGGCCTGTTCCCAACAGCCGGGTGTGGTGGGTCACGCCTGTAATCCCAGCACTTTGGGAGGCCAAAGAGGGAAGATCACCTGAGATCAGGAGTTCGAGACCAACCTGGCCAACATGGTGAAACCCTGTCTCTACTAAAAATACAAAAATTAGCTAGGCCTGGTGGCAGGCACCTGTAATCCCAGCTACTTGGGAGGCTGAGGCAGGAGAATCACTTGAACTTGGGAGGCAGAGGCTGCAGTGAGCCAAGATCATACCACCACATTCAGCCTGGGCAAGAGTGAGACTCCACCTCAAAAAAAAAAAAAAAAAAAAAAAGGATCACCCTCAGAAACAATTCTGATTCCAAGAGGGCATTTCTCATCTCCAGTTTGAGAGCTCTGCTGCTATTACTTCTGGGCTGGTAGGTTTTAAACTTGAGTCATGATCAGAGTCACTGGGGCTCCAGATTCCCAGGATCCACTCTCAGCCATACAGATTTGGTAGAAATGGAACCATTACTCTTAACTTGAAGCTTGGGTGGTGAGTTGGATATCATCTATGTTTTCCTCCAGATACACTCTCTACCTTTCTTTACTGAATTCTGTGCCCTGGGATGCTGACCTACATGGACTGTCTCAGGGCACTCCCTTGTCCTCTGGTTTCTGAGCTCAACCAATGGGAATCCTGGTGATATGGGAGTGGGGCAGGGAAGTGCTGGGTAGAGAAGGGTGGGGTCCCTGGTGAGGGCTCCACACTGGGCCTGTGTCCATGGACCTAAATGAGGAGAGCCATTCCTGTTGCATTTTCCAAGCCCACTCTGGCCCCCTACGTCCCCCATCCTGTGCCCATATAAACCCGAGAGACCTTAGCGGGTACACACACAAGTAGCAGGACATCAAGAGGAGCAGAACAACACACCAACAGACACCAGTGAACACCGGCAGGCCATTGACGGTGGGACAACATGGAATTCAGTTGGGGGTGGTAGGAGGAAAGTCTGGCTGCTGGGCAGCCTGACTCCAGGGGAAGACCACCTTCCCACTCCATCCTCCTTCTGGCTCCCCATCCACCTCTCTGAGAGCTACCTCCACCACTCAATAAAACCTTGCACCCATCCTCCAAGCCCATGTGTGATCTGATTTTTCTGGTACACTAGGGCAAGAACTTGGGTTACAGAAAGCCCTCTGTCCTTGTGATAAGGCAGAGGATCTAATTGAGCTGATTAACACAAGCCACCTGCAGATGGCAAAACTGAAAGAGCACAGTGTAACACATGCCCACTGGGGTTTTGGGAGCTGTAAACACTCAACCCTAGGTGCTGTCATGGTGTCGGAGCCCAAAAATGCTCCCCACGACCTGCCCACCTGCATGCTCCCCCTCAAGGTTTGAGTGGTGGGGCACTGAAGAAGCGAGACACACCCCTGTTGTATGCCTCATGAGGGGGATAAGGGAACTCCTCCTCTTTCACTGGTAGGAGATTGGGTTGAGCTCAACCCAGTATCAGGGGGATCCAAGTGGGAGACGGGACTGAGTTCAGCCAATGGGAACCCTGGTAAGAGAGGCTTCAGGAAACCTAAACAGGAGCAGTGTCAAGTCAGGGCATTTCTTTGCTCAGCCCTGTCCCTGCTGGTTGCTGGGGTTGACACCTGTCAGGCAGCCCACATCATACTGCTCTCTCTTGGGCTCCTGTCATGGTTCCTCACCTTGCTGCTTTAGGCCTAGGGATAGTGATTGCTCCCCACTGTCACAGTCCTTAGGGTACTGAATTTCACATTATTTTCCCCAAATCCTTCCCACACTGTTGTTCCAGGTCCCTTTATTCAACTCTTACTGAAGTGGATAAAACTCTCTCTCCTTGCCTAGCTCAAGTGCACTGCCTAGTTTCTGCCAGGAAACTGGGGATTATCCATAAATCTATATTTTGAAGAAGATGCCCATTTTATTATATTTTATTTTATTTTAAGACAGGGTCTTGCTCTGTTGTCCCAGCTGGAGTGCAGTGGCATGATCACAGCTCACTGCAGCCTCCACCTCCTGGGCTTAAATGATCCTCCCATCTCAGCCTCCTGAGTAGCTAGGACTAGATGTGTATGCCACCATGTCTGGCTAATTTTAAACATTTTTTGTAGAGATGGGGTCTCACTGATGCTCAGGGTGGTCTCGAACTCCTGAGCTCTAGCAATCCTCCTCCTGCCTTGGCCTCCCAAAGTGTAGGAATTACAGGCAGGAACCACCTGGACAAGAAGCCCATTTTAAGCATGGAACATTTTAGAAATGCTGTCCCATGGCCATCAGTGGTGCCTAGTTCTTTTTTGGTCAAATATCAACAAGTCTCTTTATTGCTTAACTCATTTGGGACTAAGAAGATGTTTTTCAAAAAGCAACTTCACCAGGAAATCAAGTAAAAAAAAGAATATGAATATTGTTCAAGAAAGAATATAAAACACAGAAATGGTCATGTCCACAAAGCCCAGCCCCCTTGTCTATAAGAAGGCCTGTGCAGACCCCTCCAAAATCAGCTTCAGCTCCTTCATTTTTGGAAAAATCCAGCCCCAACCAAATAAATGGAAACAATGCAAAATTGTACAAACCAGTGATGAATGCTACCCCATCCTCCAGCTCTCTCCAGCCATAACTCCTATTGACAGCTTGGTATATGTTCTCTCAGACATTTTTCTGAACATTTACAAACCCACATATAGACTAGAGTGTTTTTTACACAGGCAGGTAAGCCATTTACTACACATGCTGTTCTACCTTCCTTTTTCTTTTTTGTCGTTGCAATTTTAAACACTGTATTTGAGCAAACAGCAATTCATGAATCATCTGCCTTCCTTTTCCATTCAACATTATTTGTTGAAGATCTTTCCATGTCCAGTCATAGAACGACTTCATTATTTTTATATTATATTATATTTAATTTTTTTTTTTTTTTGAGACAGAGTCTCCCTCTGTTACCCGGGCTGGAGTGCAGTGACGTGATCTCAGCTCACTGCAACCTCCGCCTCCTGGGCTTAAGCGATTATTGTGTCTCAGCCTCCTGAGTAGCTGGAATTACAGGCACCTGCCACCATGCCCGGCGAATTTTTGTATTTTTAGTAGAGATGGGGTTTCACCTTGTTGGCCAGCCTGGTCTCAAACTCCTGAGCTCAAATGATCCACCTGCCTTGGTCTCTCAAAGTGCTGGGATTATAGACGTGAGCCGCTACGCCCAGCCCTACTTCATTATTTTTAAAGATTCTTTTAAAGAACAGTTTGCTGAGATATCACTAACCTATTATCAGATCAGTCTGTCCTAAGAATGCCATCCAGTGAATTTTAGTAAATTTACAGAGTTGTGCAACCATCACCATAATCCAGGTTTAGGATATTTCTATCACTCCAAAGGGAACCTTGGTGCCTGTTTGTAGTCAATCCCTTTTCCCACCCTCAACCCCAGGCAACTGCTCATCTGCTTTCTGTCTGTATAGATTTGTCTTTTCTGGACATTTTATGTAAATAGAATCATACTGATCAGCGGCTTCCACTTTGCATGTTTTATTTTTATTTTATTTATTTATTTTTTGATACGGAGTCTTGATCTGTTGCCCAGGCGGGAGTGCAATGGCACAATCTTGGCTCACTGTAACTTCCGCCTCTCTGGTTCAAGTGATTCTCTTGCCTCAGCCTCCCGAGTAGCTGGGATTACAGGTGTGCACCACCACGCCTGGCTGATTTTTGTATTTTTAGCAGAGACGGGGTTTCACCATGTTGGCCAGGCTGGTCTCAAACTCCTGACCTCAGGTGATCCACCCACCTCAGCTTCCCAAAGTGCTGGGATTACAGGCGTGAGCCCACACCTGGCCGTACTTTGCATGTTTTAAACATCATGTTCAAACCACTGCATTCACAGTATTCCACAGTGTGGCTGCACCTTCAAAGTGTTTCTAACCAATTCCCCACTGATGGATATTTAGGTTGTTTCTGAGCTTTGACTTTTATAAAAAATGCTGTGATGAATATCCTGTACACGTTTGTCCGCCTAGATGTGTATTTCTATAGGATAGATTTGTAGCAGTGTATAATTCCTGGATTGGAGATTGTATGCATTAAAGTATATATCACAAAATTGCCTTCTTGAAGGATCGTTCCTAATTCCTCTCCTACTGGCAGTGGATGATAATATCTTCTAGTCTGGTGAATTCTGATCCCCAAACTATACAACACAAAAGCTTGCAGTCCACTCCCTGTGGTGGTTCCTTGAAATGACCCAGGTTGTCCTTTTGTTCTGATCACTGTTTCTGTATTTTTTCCCTTCATTTTAATGATTAAAAACACTTTTCTTGTGAATAGCATACATAGCACAGATTACAGAAAACTAACATTTATAGCTTAAAAAATAATAATATAATGGCTCTTAAGCATCTATCACATAGGATAAGAGAGAGGACATTATCAGTGCCCCCTAAAGCCCCCATGTGTTCCTCCCTTTCCCGACCCTTTAATAAATATCACCTGAACCTTTGTGGGAACCGTTCTTTTTCTTTAGAGTTCGCACATAAGTTTGTGCAGAGGATTTGTATTGAGTCAGCATAGATAGGATAGAACTGTATTTCCCCAAATTCTCTTCCTTTCACATTTCCAGGTCAGTGAGGGGCCAGAAGGGACCTTGTATGTGAGATCTGGAAGGTGGAAGTGGAGCAGCATCTACATTCTGTTTCAGCTCAGGAAGGTCAGTGGAAGGCACCAGACACCACCATATGATGTCACTTATCTGCCGGCTCCTGTAGGCATGGGGCCTGAGCTGGCCTGCAGCCCCTCAGGTGTGGGTTTACCTGCTTGGTGCAGGTGCCAGCTTCTCCACAGGCCATTCACATACTGAACTTGGACCAACGCAGGTATCAGCCTGTCCTGGTAGGTTCCAGCTCCTCCTCACTATTCCCACTTTACATCCATCTTTCCTTCCAGGCTGTCCATCCTACCAGCTTAAGATCCCAGCCAAGAAACAAAGCCAACAGCCTGACACTAATGGTTTAGCCAGCTCCCACAGTTGCCTAGGGTCAAATGCCTGTCACAAATTCCTCCTCCCAGTGGTTTTGCTTCTTTAATTGGCCCCTGCCTGATAAGATATGTGTCCTCTGTAGAGGGGTTAGTTGTGCCTGTCTCTGAATTTTGTTTTGGGCTCTGATTGCGTCTTTATTTATTTATTTATGAGACGGAGTTTCACTCTTGTTGCCCATGCTGGAGTGCAATGGCATGATCTCGGCTCACTGCAACCTCCGCCTCCCAGGTTCAAGTGATTCTCCTGCCTCAGCCTTCCATGTAGCTGGGATTACAGGTGCCCACCACCACACCTAACTAATTTTTGTGTTTTTAATTAGAGACTGAGTTTCACCATGTTGGCCAGGTTGGTCTCAAACTCCTGACCTCAGGTGATCTGCTCTCCTTGGCCTCCCAAAGTGCTGGGATTACAGGTGTGACCAACTGTGCCTGGCCACGATTGTGTCTTTAACTGTGCTGCCTGCCAGCCAAGAATAGGAGAACCCAGCCTGAGGCTGCTCCCACACCTGTGCCCCTGAGCCTCCTCTGGGCCTCGCTGACTGAGACTCCAGCAACCCCAGCTCCAGGCACAGATGAGTGCAGGTGCAGAAAATGTAGACTGGTCTTACCCGTGTGAGTGAAATGGTCTGAAAAGGTCATGTCTACATGTAATTTTCCATCTTGTCTGTCAGGTGCTCGAACCGAAAAGCGAAATATTTGGTAAAAAACGAACTGACTAGGAATCTTATTTCAGCTCCACTACTGTCTAGCCATGAGATTTTGGCCAGGTTGCTTTGGTAAAGCCTCAGTTTCCTCGTTTATGTATGGAAATGGGGACTTCAGGCCTCTTTGACAGACCGAGAAGGCAGATCAGGCAGAAAGGTGCTGGACCCTGAGACCTTGGGACTCAGGATCAGAAACATCAGAGGGAAGAAAGAAGTCAACAACTCAAAGGCAATCCCCAGACTCGCCTGTCCTAGGGATGGCGTGTTTGGTAAATTATTTGTGCCAAGACTGTTCTTATGAGAGAGAGTCTGAAAGAGAGAGAGAGAGACAGAGAGAGAGAGAGAGAGAGAGAGAGAGAGAGAGGAGATAGAGATGAATAACAGAGTTCACGTAAGCATAATTTAATCTCTGCCTCATTTTCCTAGGCTGATGGTATCCTTTTATTATCCTTGGAGAACCATGTTTCCTCCAGTCCTTGTGAGAGGAAAGAGCAGAGTCCTGAAACCAGAGTGAGGTGTAATTTGGCCTCTTCCCTCTGGGAGTCATCTCAGGGAGCCACCTGGTCCATCAGCCTTGTCCAGGCAGAGCACCATTGGTTCCTCTGGCAAGTCAGGTCCTTGGTAAATACACGTTCCCCTGCATTTCCCTGCTACTGAATCAGAAGCTGTTCCGAAGACTCAGCCAGAGCAGTTGAGTCGTGCTTGGTCCCGAGTTTAGCAAGTACCCAGCATAGAATGAGCAGGAAAGAAGGGATTGTTGTTGCTGAATGCAATAGGAAAGGCACTTCTGTGGCTTTTGAGTGGAAGTTCTCTGCCCCTCAAGCCCTCCCACTCAGAGGTGTGCTCCTGCCTCCCTGTTTTCCCCTAGATTTAGTTGTTAACCTGAAGGGGGTTGTTTGGGAACTGCGGACGTTCAGTTCCTCTTGCCTCCTTCCTTCCTTCTCAGGCTGCTCAGACCCAGAGCCCCTCTTGACAAAGACCCTGCAGAGACAAGCCCTAGGAATGTGAGCTCCCCCAGGGCAAGGCACTGTCTGTCGTGGTCTCTGCTGTATCCCCCCACTCTCCGAACAGTCAGCACTCCATGCTGTTGGAGGCATGATTCGAATCTTTTGTTTTCTCCTAATGACAGATTATAAACCACTTCCCCATTCTGCATTTGGGCTGTCCTGTCAAACCTGGAATGATGGGTGTGTGTTTGGGTGGAAGAGAGGGAAGAGGATAGGGCACTCACAGTGGGTGCTGCTGGTTGAGCTGGGAGAGCTCTCTGCCTTCCTGCTACCTGATCAGGGGGATTTGGTAAACTTACTCAACCCTCTGCACCTTCTAACTCTAAGTCTCACCCCTGACACTCCTGACTACTGCCTCACCCAACGACACGAGACGCCCTAGAGCATCCCAGAATGCATTTCTTTCCATGATGTGTGGTCTACAGCAGGAAGCTTGGGTTGGGGGTGAGGGGATGGCAAGGCTGGGCTCCATCTCTATTCCATCCTTTTCTCTATGACACAGCAAATAACAAAGAGATTTACTTCTTGTAAAGACTCTCACCCAAGACCTCCACTCACCCTTGCCCCACCACTCTGTAGCAATTTGGAAGCAGTAATATAAACACCCAAGTAAAAATGGTTTATTAAAAAAAAGATATTGAATGAAATCATTTAACAAAAAATATAGGCAGGTGGTTCTAGCCTTGGTTTAATCAGCCTTGGTGATTAAAATACCTTTTGGGGCTCAGGTTTTTTTTTAAATTGATATAAAATATACATAACAAAATTGACCATTTAAACCATTTTTAAGTGTCAATTTAGTGGCATTAAGTCACATTGCGGTACAACTATCACTACTGTTTATCTGCAGAACTTTTTCAACATCCTAAACATAAACCCTGTGCCCATTAAACCGTCACTTCCCATGCTCCCCTCCCCTCAGTCCCTGGTAATCACTGTTCTGCTTTCTGTCTCTGTAAATTTGTTCACTCTCAGTACCTCATGTAGGTGGAATCATAAACTATTTATCTGTTGATGTCTGGCTTATTTCACTTAGCATAAAGTTTTCAAGGTTCGTCCGTGTTGTAACATGTATGAGTACTTCATTCCTCTTTCAGGCTGAAGGATACTTCGTTAGGTACATATCACATTTTGCTTAGCCATTCATTCATTCATTGATGAACATTTGGGTTGCTTCTGCCTTTTGGGTCTTGTGAATAAGCTGCTATGAATATTGGTGTACAAATATGGGTTCAAGTCCCTGCTTTCATTTCTTGTGGGTCAATTCCTATAAGTGGAATTGCAGGATCATGTGTTAATTCTATGTCTGAAGTTTTGAGGAAAGCTGCCATACTGTCTTCTGCAGTGGTCACACCATTTTACAATCCCCCCCAGCAACGCTCGAGAGTTCCAGTTTCTCCTCTACATCTTCATGGACTGAGACAGAGTCTCACTGTCGCTCAGGCTGGAGTGCAGGGGCACAATCTCGGCTCACTGCAACCTCTGCCTCCCGGGTTCAAGTGATTCTCCCATCTCAGCCTCCCAAGTAGCTGTGATTACAGGCACTCACCACCACGCCCGGCTAATTTTTTTTTTTTTTTGTATTTTTAGTAGAGACAGGGTTTCACCCCGTTGGCCAGCCTGATTTTCTTTCTTTTGATACTAGCCATCCTAATGAGTATGCAGAGCTGTCTCACTGGAGTGTAGATTTTCACTTCTTAGAACATAGAGTGCCATGGGCTCAGGGGCAGGATGGGCAGAGCTCCAGCAAATGACATAGTAATTATGGCAAGGGGTGAGGCACCAGGGCAAGCTTTCTAAACCATGCAAGGGAAACTAGTAAGAACGTGGCCTCCTCTACTTCCTGTGACCACAATGGGGGCTGCATTGACACTGAGACCAAGAAGAACCAGTGGACATGAGGCTTGGAATGTGACTGTGAAGAGAAGGGAGGAACCCCACGGGGCTGCACTTAGGCAGGAGGTCTTAGAGAGTAGTGGAAGTGTGCCCTGAAGAAGAGCCAACAAAGGAAGGCCTGCTGTCTTTGGGCAGGGAGTCCTTGCTGATCAAGCCATGTATAGCTAGAATCTTGAGGAGTCCATGGCGAAACTTCTGGCCAATGAAGGCGTAGATGAGGGGGTTGAGGCAGCTGTGAAGGATGCCCAGAATCTCGGTGGCATCCAGAGCCCGGTCGATGTGATTGCGGCGCTCACAGGTCTCCTGGATCACCTGGGTCCTCATGAGGGTGTCTGCCAGCAGGACCAGGTTGTAGGGCAGCCAGCAGAGCAGGAAGATGAGGACGACAGCAAAGATGACCCGCATGGCCCGGTGCTTCTGCCCCATGTGGGCCTTAAACAGCGTACGCAGGGTGAATCCGTAGCAGAACAGCATGATCAGCAGTGGCACGATGAAGCCAAAGGACTGGGGCAGGATCCGTAACAGCATCCGCCAGTTTGCTGTATTGTTGCCCATGTCCTCATAGCAGGCTGGGCTAACATTGGATGAGTAGACGGTCCTTCGGAAAAGTAAGACAGGCAGGGCCAGGAGCAAGGACAGACCCCAGATGCTGAGACATATGAATTTGACCAAGTAGCGCTTCTGGGTCAGTGTGCGTGTGGCATGGACAATGGCCAGGTAACGGTCCACACTGATGCAGGCCAGTAGCAGGATGCCACTATAGAAGTTGACTTCCTTCAGGAGTGAGACCACCTTGCACAGGAATGTGCCAAAAATCCAGCCATTCACCTTGGAGGCGGCCCAGATGGGCAAGGTCAGGGCAAAGAGTAGGTCGGCCAAGGCTAGGTTCAGCAGGTAGACATCAGTGACGGAGCGGCCGACCCTGCTGTATAAGATGACCAGCATCACGAGGGAGTTTCCCAGCAGGCTCAGCAGGAATACCAGGGCATAGATAATGACCACAAAATACTTGTTGATTTCCAGGGATTCTGGTTCACATGGGGCGGCATCTAGTAGAAAAGGGGGCAGGGTAGAGCTGTAACTGTAATTACTAAGATCTTCACCTTTCCAGAAATCTTCAAAGCTGTCACTCTCCATGTTAAAATCTTCCATTTTTGAGGTAAACTTAAATCCTGACCTATAGAAGAGAGATGAAGGTTACTGCATAATAAATTCCCCATATTCTTGCCCATCCACTCAAGAAACTGGGATAGGATTCTTTGTGTTGGCTTGAGTATTACAATGTAGTAATTTTTCCCTTCAAATTTGTAAGTGGTAGCTCTTAGGTTATGAGATAAATTTGGTGATAAATGGTACATTTTATGAGAGGACCATAGTTCTCTTTAATATAAGAGAGAAATTCTTAGCATTTCTTTTAGCATCGCCATCACCTAAAACTTTGTAGAAAGTTCTCTTTGGATAATCCCCACAGAACCCTCAATACTACCTGGATCCTTCAGTGGCGAGCATCTTTGGCTATCAAGGCTGGGTTTAATGTTCAGAAATGTGAGATGTGAGATGTCACTCAGTTCTTTTTTTTTTGTCTTAGAGATGGGGACTTGTTATGTTGCTCAGGATGGTCTTAAACTCCTGACCTTAAGTAATTCTCCTGCCTCTGTCTCCCAAAGTGCTGGGAATATAGGCATGAGCCACTGCACTCAGCCCCATTCAGTTTTTAATCAGGGGATTAAGCAGGAACTCCAAATGGGCTATACCCTCAGAAAAGATCATGGTTTGACTATAAAGCTGAGACATGAATCCCTTTGTTCAATTTTCTAAAAGTTATTTTAAAAGATGTATTCTGGAAAATGGTTTGAACAATTGTGGCATGGAGTTTTGGAAGGCTCGAGCTAGCAGAGTCTTCAGTTAATTAGTAAGGCCCAGCGTTTCTCTTTTGGGTAGAAGGAGACCCGCTTTGGGAATGTCTGTGTAGTTTGGAAAAGTATATTAAAAACAATAAGCAAGCGGGCTGCCTGATTCTCCCTGTGGGTGGAAACGTAACAGGTTATTTGGGGAGCTCTGGGCAGCCATGTGCCACCATGCGGGATAAGCAGACACAGCCAGTCTGCTACCCAATAAGAGAGGGGCAGCAGGAAGCAGAGAAGACAGGGTTTGCACTACCCTTGCTTGGTGGCTTTCCAGCCCTGCTGGAGACCCTTCCTGTCCTGCATGTGTGTGCCTCCATCTAGCCTTGACTCCCCTGTTCCTCTCAGATTTAGTCTAGCTCCTGGGGCTCTGCCCTTGCCACAGGGACAGCACAGATCCTGCTCTGGGGAAGCCTGGGTGTGGAGGGTGGGCTGCAGTTATTCAAAAATATTATCCCAGTGGTGGCTCACACCTGTAATCCCAGCACTTTGGGAGGCTGAGGTGGCAGATCACTTGAGGTCAGGAGTTTGAGAGCAGCCTGGCTAACATGGTGAAACACTGTCTCTACTAATAATACAAAAATTAGCCAGGTATGGTGACGTGCACCTGTAATCCCAGCTACTTGGGAGGCTGAGGCACAAGAATTGCTTGAACCCAGGAGGTGGAGGTTGCAGTGAGCCGAAATCACATCACTGCACTCCAGCCTGGGCAACAGAGCGAGACTCTGCCTCAAAAAAAAAAAAAAAAAAAAAAAAAAATCCCAGTTTCTCAAAGCAGTCAACTAAAGCAATCCAGCTCCCTAATTAGCTTCTTTCTGAACCACAAAATAGATCACCCTCCGGCCATTGCCTTAGAGTAAGGGATGACCACCCTACCACCAACCATGTCCAAGTCCGTAATCTACCCCCAAAATGGAACCCAGTGTGAGAGAAAAACCAGGAAGTTAAAGGTCCCAGAACCCACTTCACACTCACCAGGCTGGGCACACTCAGAAAAAGATGCCCAAGAACAATGTGGGTGAGGAAGTGGAAAAGTCAGAACTCTCCCACATTGCAGGTGGGAATGTAAGATGGTGCAGCTGCTTTGGAAAACAGCTTAGCAGTTGCTCAAAAAAGTTAAACATAGAGTTACCACATGAACCAGCAAACCCCAACCTAGGTATACACCCAAGAGAATTGAAAGCTAATGTTCATAGTAGCATTCATCATTAAGGCCAAAAAGTGGAAACAAACCAAATATCCATCAACTGATGAACGGACAGACAAATTGAGGAACAGTCATGAGCAACTGAAAGACTTTTTGGTCAATGACACATCACAAATACCACAGTGGTCCCATAAGATTATAATACTGTATTTTTAGTGTTCTTTTCCTATGTTTATATATAAGAATACCATTGTGTTATAATTACCTACAGTATTTAGTACAGTAACATGCTGAGTAGGTTTGTAGCCTAGGAGCAGTACTCTACCATATAGCCCATGTGTGTAGTAGGCTATAGCATCGTATACTCTACCATGTTCACATGACATATTTCTCAGAATGCATCCGCATTGTTAAGCAACTTATGACTGTATTATGTACAACAGAATATTATTCAGCCATGAGAAGGAATGAGGTACTGATACACAATACAACATGGATGAACCTTGAAAATGTTAGTCTAGGTGAAAAAAGGCAGACACAAAAGTTTTCTTATTGTGTGATTCCATATATGTGAAATGACCAAAATAGGCAAATGGGTAGAATTGGTAGAGACAGAAAGTAGATTGGTGGTTTCCAGGGTCAAGGGGAGCTGGGAGAGGAATGTTAATGACTACGGAGTTTTTCTTTTGAGTGATAAAAGTGTTCTGGAATTAGTGGCAATGGTTGTAGAATATGCTAAAAACTTTAAATGGGTGACTTTTGGGGTATGTGACTTATGTCTTAATTAAAAAAAAGATTAATCAAAGGGTACACGGCCTTGCAAAGCAAATACAAATATTACAAAAATAACAACAAAAGTCCCAGGGAGGATTTCTTTTTAGCAGAAAGGAAGTCTCTGTTGTCATCAATCATATGTAGCAAAGAAGAAAGCTGAAGAAGATTAAGCAAAACTGGAAAAATAATGCCACTTTTCCCCCAAGAGTGATGGAATTCTTAGCCATCACCTTCCTGACAAGTTTTTAGTTTCTCTTTTAAGAGTTAGGGGCCAGATACATTGCCTTCCCAGCATGCCGAGGCAACTGATGGAGAAGATTCAATCAGTTGTAATGTACTATACTAGATCACAACAATAAAAGTTAACATTTGGGCCGGGCGTGGTGGCTCCCAGCACTTTGGGAGGCCGAGATGGGCGGATCATGAGGTCAGGAGATCGAGACCATCCTGGCTAATGCAGTGAAACCCCGTCTCTACTAAAAATACAAAAAATTAGCTGGGCGTGGTGGCGGGCGCCTGTGGTCCCAGCTACTCGGGAGGCTGAGGCAGGAGAACGGTGTGAACCCGGGAAGCGAAGCTTGCAGTGAGCCGAGATGGCGCCACTGCACTCCAGCCTGGGCGACAGAGGAGACTCCGTCTCAAAAAAAAAAAAAAAAAAGTTAACATTGTACTTTATGTATGTCTTACGTAATTTATAAGCAATCCCTCATTTCTGGCCCTGCCTGGCCAGAAGGCTGGGGAGGTATTGAGAGGGCTGGGAATACAGCTTGCTGGACCAGTATGGTCAGCAAGACCTGAAAGAAGTCACCAGCTCCTCAGTCCCATGGTTGAGAGCAAGTTTGCTGAGAGGCCCAGGGTATGTCCAATGAAGTCAAGAGGTCAAGGGTGGATCACTTCTGGGAGCAGATGATTACAGATGCTCTTAAGGGAACAAATGACCCAACAGAAGACCCATCTTTGAGAGTAGATGTAGGGCATATTGGGTGCAGAGAGCTTGTGCTCTTAGAGAGCAGGGCCTTGTATGTATGAATATTGGCTGTGAGAAGCCAGGACTGAGGCTGCTGCAGAAACTGCCATGTCAGCACAGGCAGCAGTGGCAGAGCATGTTTCACAGGTAAATCCTCACTGTGGATAATCCAGTGCTCAGCTGTGCTGGGGGTGGGCTGGAGGTGTATGGGTGAGCTCATGCTCCCAGGCATTATGGGTCAGCTTCAGGTTCCAGAGGGAGAGCATGCAAGTCAGGACAGAAGGTAGAGAACTCAGCAAGGAGAACCAGGTCAGGCCAGTGACCTCCAGCTCCTAGGGTAGGGAGAGGGGTGTTTGTTGTTGGTGTTGTTTTTTAGTTTACCAATCTCTACAGAGGATGACTTGGCAGTTAGAGGGACAAACTAAGGGAAGGAGATGACACATCTGAGGTCTGCTTTGTGCCTCACAGGTACATGATCTCCATGGCTCATTACAAATAGATACAATTAGGCCCTGTTTCTAGAAGACTGAGGCACAAGGAGGATCAGCTGACCTAACAGGGAGGCTCAGTAACCAGCCTGCGATCACAGGGTGGAGAAGTGGTGAAACCACTGTTCCAGTGAGGTATAAAGGACTACACTTGCCTTATTTGTAGTCTATAGCCCTTCCTCTTAAAAAAAGTGCACCTCATCTATTAAACATATTTGTAAGCTAAGTTCTCTTTTTCTTTCTTTTTTTCTTTTTTTGATGCAGTCTCGCTCTGTTGCCAGGCTGGAGTGCAATGGCGTGATCTCGGCTCACTGCAACCTCCACCTCCCGGGTTCAAGTGATTCTCCTGCCTCAGCTTCCCAAGTAGCTGAGATTACAGGCGCCTGCCACTGCACCCGGCCAATTTTTGTATTTTAGTAGAGACGGGGTTTCACTATGTTGGTCGGGCTGGTCTCGAACTCCTGACCTCAGGTGATCCGCCCACCTTAGCCTCCCAAAGTGCTGAGATTACAGGTGTAAGCCACCGTGCCCAGCAAAGCTAAGTTCTTGAGATATCATTAAATCAACCTGTATATGGTCCACTCACATTCTTTCATGTTTTATGCATTGTTTTCTTTTGCCGTTTCTTTGGCCCAGAATGAAAGAAACAGCTCTTGCAGGGATGATAAACCAAACACCCTTGAACTGGCTGGGTCCGGCTGACCACACAGTCATATATTCCAGGATAAAAAGGGAGCTTCCTTGACTTAGGGAAAATGCCAGCCCCTTAGTGACTCATGGTAGTTTGGAAACTCCATAGATGATGGCATGAATTCTAATTTATTACATGAAAATGCTATAGAACGAGAGACATTTACAAGATCTCAAACATCTAAGGCAATCTTTTTAACAACAAAAGAGTCATTTTAGTACAGTTCCAGTATTCTTTCTCTCTATAAATATAATCCACAAATATTGCATTTAGTGTCGGGAAGTGGGAAGCGAACAGTGTTCGGCCCATCCTCAGACCCAGTCCTAGCCCAGGCCAGGAGGGCTGGCTGAGTCTTGGAAGGCTGCCAGGCCAAGGGAAAAGCATGGGCAGCAAGTGGCCCTGAGTGGTTGGAGAGGGTTGTGAGGGAGGAGGAACAGAAGTTCTTCCTTTGGGGATGGAGAGCCCCAAAGGGAGAAAATGAAGAGGCCAAGGGGTGAGGGTGAGGGGCCCACCAAGGGTGGGGAGAGATGCTTAGGATAAATGTAGGCTGGGTATCAAGGGAAACAGAGAACAGAGACATTCTAGCTGGTGGGAAGGGTGGGTGTTCCAAGACTTACTGGGTCGCTGGGCTTTTCACCTGTAGGACACCTCCAGAAGAGCAGCTGTGACCTATGAAAGGGAGGTGGTGGTGAGAACACAGTGGAGGAAGTGAGTGGTAGATTAGATTGCTCAATGCAATTCAGGGGTGGAGCTCCTGAGGGTGCGGGTGATTTTGATAACTTTGAATAATTAGTTCCCAGATCAGCTCTCGGATGCATAGTCATTTCATAGACTCGTAGAGTTTATATTGGGAAGGGACCTGAGGGGTTTTCTACCTAGTCTTTCCATTTTACAGATGGGGAAACTGAAGCCCAAAGGAAATGGCTTGCCCAGGATTGCATGGATTTCTTTCATCTTTGCTGTATCTCAGAGCCGCTGGCTCCTTCAGCTGCCTTGTCTGAGTCTCCTGGCATTCCAGCTGCCTCAGGCTTCCCCATCATACCATTGGCAGTACTATAGCCTTCAATGTCTTTCACATGTCAAAGGGAGCAGTGCATTAAAATGACAGAGATGGACTAAAGCTTCTGGTGAGTCTGGTGGCGTTCCTCCCTGGACCTGATGCCTCTACTTCTTGGCCCCACTCCTGCCTCTTGTCTTTCCCCTCACTCCCCAACCATCTGCTCTGACCACAAGTCCATCTCTGGGTATTGATATTCTTTCTTGTTTCGCACACTTGGCATTGGGTCTGAGGACACCAACTCTGCAGCAGCTTACCACCCTTGGAGCCAAGACCCTCTAATTTGGAAAGAAAGCCTTTTGGTAAAAGGGAAGATTCCACCAAAGTCCAAATGCATTTTTAAAAACAATGTTAAGTGACCCTAAGAATGTATTTTATCAATTTGCTATTGATTACAAATGAATGAATTAATCCAGGCAGAGCCATGAACACTAATTCTGCTGTCTCACAAGTGCCCACCCCAGTGAACAACACCTCAATCCCCTCCATTATTCCTTACCCTATCTCTTGCTCCATGCATCCCAGGGCCCAGAGGGGACTCAATCCCTGTGGCAGACGCACTTAAATTGCCTGCCTACCCCAAAGAAAGAATCTTTGAGTCCAACTGTTCAGCAAATGTTTCTTAGTCTTTGTCACCTCTCTTTCCCAAGCTGGGGAAGAATGCAATGCCACCTGGCCAGTTGATGCTAAAACCAGATAGAGGCTTATTACATATGGAGAGAGGCAGATGACACCAGGGCTAGCTGAGCAATTCTGGGCAAGTGACTTTTCCTTTCTGAGTCTCAGTTTACTCATCTGTAAAATGGGGCCAATACAGAATCCAACTCATGGGGTTGTGGTGAGGATGAAATGAGGGATTGCTTGTAAATCACGTAAAACATACATAAAGTACAATGTTAACCTTTATTGTTGTGATCATTATTACTGGAATAGTTTATTCACTGATAACATGCTGCCTCTCTCACTACATCCCCAGTCAAGGGAAAGCAGTCGGCAGTGGGTCTGCTTTCAAGGCTGACTTTGATGACATCTAATTTACTTTGACCTGGATATTAATTGTCATATTAGCTGTAATGTTGAGTGTCTACCAGGTTCTAGCTTCTGGGCAAAGTGCTTTCCAGAATTTGTATCAATTAATCCTCAGGATAACCTCACGAAGCAGGCACTTTCTGGAAGAGGAAATGAAGACTCTGAGAGGTTAAGCAACATACCTAGAGTGACACAGCTGAACTAGGTTTTCAGTTTAAAAAACTTCTAAAAATCTGCTCTCAAATCCTATCTCCTGTTCACTGTAATAAGGAGCAGGATCCCAGCCTAAAGTTTCTGAGCTCCATTAGGTACCTCCCTGTGTCCCAGAAAGTCAGATACAAAGGATGTAGAGAGGGGAGCCCAGATTTGACATTTCCCAGTCAGCCTCCTTCTTCATGCTCCTTAGGTCAATTTCATTTCCATGGAGATCACTGCGGTTATATGCAGGGTGGAGTGAATTAAAAAACTGGCTTCTGGTGCGGTGGCTCATGCCTGTAATCCCAGCACTTTGGGAGGCTGAGGTGAGTGGATCACTCGAGGCCAGGAGTTACAGAACAGCCTGGCCAACATGGTGAAACCCCGCCTCTATTAAAAATGCAAAAATTAGCCAGGCGTGGCAGCGCACGCCTGTAATCCCAGCTACTCCAGAGGCTGAGGCATAAGAATTGCTTGAACTCGGGAGGCAGAAGTTGCAGTGAGCCGAGATTGTGCCATTGCATTCCAGCCTGGGCGACAGAGCAAAACCCTGTCTCAAACAAAAACAAAACAAAAACCTGGCTTCTAATCCTGCTTGGAGAAGTCATTCTTTCTGGGCCTTGTTGTGTGCCTTTGGAAAACGGGAGCTTCTTCTAATTCTATTCTGTTCAGCATGCTAGCTACTAGCCATGTGTAGCTATTTAAATTAAAATTAATTAAAATAAAGGCCAGGCAAGGTGGCCCATGCCTGTAATCCCAGCACTTTGGGAGGCCGAGGTGGGCGGATCGCTTGAGCCCAGGAGTTTGAGATCAGCCTGGGCAACATGACGAAACCCTGTCTTTACAAAAACAAAAACAAAACAAACAAACAAACAAAACCCAAAAAATTAGCTGAGTGTAGCGGCACATGCCTGTAGCTGCAGCTACTTGGGAGGCTGAGGTGGGAGAATCACCTAGACCTGTAGGTTGAGGTTGCAATGAGCCAAGATCATGCCACAGCACTCCAGCCTGGGCATTGGAGTGAGAGCCTGTCTCAAAAAAGAAAAAATAAAATAAAATAAAATGAAATAAAAATTGAGATCCGCAGTCACACTAGTCACATTTCAAGTGCTCCGTGGCCACGTGTGACTAGTGGCTACCATACTGGGCAGGGCAGGTCTAGGACATTTCTATTATTGCAGAAAATTCTTTTGTGCAACACTGTCTAGGTGAAGACTTAGTTGTCTTTAGCTCTAAGCTTCTACACTTCATCACCCCAGTTCTCAGGGGCCTCAGAGGAGGCTGAAGTTTCCAGATCTCTTCCATTAGAAATATGTTGCCAGCATCTCAGACTGAACAAGTCACCTACCTGCTGTTATTGGAGTGGCCACCGATGTCTTCACTGTGCCTCAAGGTTGGGTGGTAGTCAGAGCTGTTAGACAGGAAAAAAAAGATGAAACAACCTTGACGATGAAACTTCTGACCTGGGTTGCAAGGGGGAAATCCAGGATGCCCTCCTGGGGAGGTATTCCCACAGAGGAACAATGAGGTCTGTCCTGGGACTTTGGCCCAGGACAGGTGCCACTTAGTGATTCTGGGATGAGTGCTGGGGATTTTCACATCTTCCTGTCTGATGGCTTCTGGAGGAGCCTACCAGTCTGAAGGTGGAGATTTGTCTATCCACCTTCTGTCTCTGAATGTTTTGAACCTGCACTTCCTTTTTTAACAAGGAAGATGCAGGCATCCCAGCCCCCGCCAACGGACTTGTCTGAACTCGCACGCAGTTTCTTCCTTCTTTCCGGGGTCAGAGTGAGAAGCGTCCCTCCTTCTGTTTCTGTTGAATCCCCGCACCTGACTGTGGGACCCACTGCCTCTCTGGTCCTTGAGGATCCTGCTTTCTCTCCCCTCTGTCCTGGCTCTTTCCCTTCTACCACATCTTACTTATGGCTTTATCATGCTCCCTCTGTCCTAGCACCCTTCAGCCACCACAGCTGCTCTCTCCACTTCCTCACCTCCCCTCTGCTGCTCAACAAAGACACTGCAACTGGCTTCCTTCCTACTGCTCCACTGAAATAACTTTCGCCAAGGTTCCCAATGACCTCTGGGTTACTAAACCCAGCAAATCCATTAAAAAAAAAAACAAAAACAAATTGCTTTCTTTCCCCCCAAGACAACAGATTGGAGGCAGCATTAGCATGCCTCTCCCATCTGGAAGGACAGAATAGCGTGTAGAGATTCACACTATAATTTTTTTTTCTCCAGGAACGAATGCAGGAACTGAACAGGAAAGCTGAAAGAATCCACAGAACTTTTGAAAGAAGTGGCAGGCTGCAGCCTACTCTGTGAGACAGGCAAAAACTCACCTCTAGGCAGAATAGCACTGTACCCAGGAAGGAGAAAACGGCTGCATATTCTCAGCTATCACCACTGCTTACAACACCCTGGCTAACCAGAAGTCCTGCGTCTGTCCACGTGATAAGTTCACTATAATTATAACCAGCATTTGAGAAAGTCAATACTCTAAGTCTATCTACAACCAAGGAATCTTGCAGAGTTTGCATCACTCCCCTCCCACTTCTGTCAGAGATGGTGCTGGTATTCACTGCTGGGAGTCTTGAAGACAGGTAACACCACTGGATCCCTTGCAGACATTCCCTAGCACCAGCCCAGAGTCTGGTAGGCCCACTGGGTGGCTAGACCCAGAAGAGCACTGTAGTCTGGCTTCCAGGAAGTCCCATTCCTAGAGGAAGGGGAAGAACATCACATCAAGGGAATACCCTGTGGAACAAAAGAATCTGAATGGCAGGGCTTGAGTCCCAGATCTTTTCACTGGTGGGAAGTTTCCTATTGCAGAGACAATTGCTGTGCTGGGCAGAGTGGGGGAAAGTTTGCACCTCTACCCAATAGGCAGGCAGCCTCTGGTATTGTGAAGGGTCTTAGAGAAGGGATCCTTGTTCCCCCTGGTACGCCACTGCAGACAGAGCTGGGGCTTCTCCCAAAGGAACGCAGCATTGATGCACCTATAGACAGCCTTCCTGGAACAAATCAGGGTGATTGCATCCCCACGGGAGGAGCACTCCCCAGATTCAGGTTTGCATGACAGGCAGTCACAATTCCTCTCTACTTGGAACATCAACATTTCTACAGATGAAAATAACTGCCTGTCTGATCTGAATAGCTGGAACACTGGGAAAGGAGTGAAGCTGGGAGGTGGATAGCTTTCCAGCTGGCCTAGTGGGGGACCTGAGGTAGCTCCTACCCTTCACCCTGACAAAACCTCAGCACATCTAATTGAGAGCTCTCCCAGGCACTCTCATCAAGGCTGGGATCTCTGCCCACCTGCTTTAGCTACAACCGGTGCCTACCCACCTACTTTAGCTACATCTGGTGCCTACCCAGGGATACTTCCCCTACTGGTCCAAAGCCTGAATCAACTCAGTAAGTAAAATACTGGGGAAAAATTAAATAAATAAATAAAGAGTACCCCACGAGAGAATGAGGTAAGCTTAAAGAGATTCCTGCCATTCCAACCCTGTAGGAGACAGTAAACCTTCCCACACACCAAGTACGTAACTGCTACAACCAGGATCTGGGAAAGCCAGCACACAAGGACTGTCTCTAACTAACGAACTCATACAGAGTCTTCACTCCTAAAATCCAAAAGTCTTCACTCCTAAAAACCAAGGATCAAATTAGGCTAAAATAAACTATAAATATTAAAGTCAGATCCTTAAGAGGGAAGAAAAAGAAATAAAAAAAAAACATAGTTGCTGGGCGTGGTGGCTCACGCCTGTAATCCCAGCATTTTGGGAAGCTGAGGCTGGCAGATCACCTAAGGTCAGGAGTTCAAGACCAGATTGACCAACATGGAGAAATCCTGTCTCTACTAAAAATACAAAATTAGCCGGGTGTGCTGGTACATGCCTGTAATCCCAGCTACTCGGGAGGCTGAGACAGGAGAATCACTCGAATCGGGGAGGTGGAGGTCACAGTGAGCCGAGATCAGACATTGCACTCCAGCCTGGGTAACAAGAGCGAAACTCCATCTCAAAAAAAAAAAAAAAGTCAAATCAAAAATAAATTCAAGAATAACTTGAAGAAATAGTCTACCCAAATGAGAAGGAACCAGAAAAGTAATTCTGGCAATATGACAAAACAGGGTTCTGTAACACCCCCAAAAGATCACACTAACTTTCCAGCAATAAATCCAAACCAAGATGAAATTTTTGTAATACCAGACAAAGAATTCAGAAGGTTGATTATTATTATTATTATTATTGTTATTATTATTATTAATAATATTTTGGGACAGATTTTCACTCTTGTTGCTCAGGCTAGAGTGCAATGGTGTGATCTCGGCTCACTGCAACTTCTGCCTCCCGGGCCCAAGTGATTCTCCTGCCTCAGCCTCCTGAATAGCTGGGATTACAGGCATGTGACACCATGCCCAACTAATTTTTGTATTTTTAGTAGAGATGGGGTTTCACCATGTTGACCAGGCTGGTCTCGAACTCCTGGCCTGAAATGATCTGCCTGCCTCGGCCTCCCACAATGCTGGGATTGCAGATGTGAACCACTGTGCCCGGCCCAGAAGGTTGATCATTAATTACTTAAGGAGATACCAGAGAAAAGTAAAAACCAACATAAAGAAATTTAAAAAAACCAATTCAGGATATGAATGAAAAAATTTCTGGAGGGTATATATCGTAAAGAAAAACTAATCAAAACTTCTGGAAATGAAAGCATACTTAGGGAATACAAAATGTGGTGGAAAGTTTCAACAATAGACTAGAACAATTAGAAGAAAAAATTTCAGAGCTTAAAGACAAGGCATTTGAATTAACCCAATCAGACAAAGATAAAAAAAAAAGACCAAAAGAAATGAACAAAGTCCCCAAGAAATATAAAATTATGTAAAACAGCCAAACTTGAGAATAATTGGTATTCCTGAGGGAGAAGATAAGTCTAAAAGTTTGAAAAACGTGTTTGAGGGAATAATTGAGGAAAGCTTCCCTGACCTTGCTAGAGATCTAGATACCCAAATATAAGAAGCTCAAAGAACTTCTGGGAAATTCATTACAAAAAGATTATCACCTAGCCACATAGTCATTAGGTTATCTGAAGTCAACAAGAAGGAAAGAATTTTAAGAACTGTGTGACAAAAACATCAGGTAACCTATAAAGGAAAACCTGTCAGACTAACAGCAGATTTCTCACAGAAACCTTGCAAGCCAGAAGGGATTGGGGTCCTATCTTTACCTTCCTTAAACAAAATAATTGTCAGCCAAGAATTTTGTATCCAGCAAAACTAAGCTTCATAAATGAAGGAGAGATAAAGTCTTTTTTCAGACAAACAAATGCTGAGAGAAATTGCCACTACTAAACCAGCATTATCAGAAATGCTAAAAAGAGTTTTAAATATTTAAACAAAAGCTTTATGTGCACCAAATTAGAACTTCCTTAAAGCATAAATCTCACAGGGCCTATAAAACAATAACACAATGAAAAAAACAAAGTATCTAGGTAACAACTAATATGATGAATAGAACACTAACTCACATTGAGAGGTGAAGCCAGCTGGATTTTTGGGTCGGGTGGGGACTTGGAGAACTTTTCTGTCTAACTAAAGGATTGTAAACACAGCAATCAGTGCTCTGTGTCTAGCTAAAGGTTTGTAAATGCACCAATCAGCACTCTGTAAAAATGGACCAACCAGCACTCTGTAAAATGGACCAATCAGCAGGACATGGGCAGGGCCAAATAAGGAAATAAAAACTGGCCACCTGAGCCAGCAGCGGCAACCTGCTCGGGTCCCTTTCCATGCTGTGGAAGCTTTGTTTTCTCACTCTTCACAATAAATCTTGCTGCTGCTCACTCTTTGGGTCTGCACTACCTTTATGAGCTGTAACACTCACTGTGAAGGTCTGCGGCTTCACTCCTGAAGTCAGTGAGACCACGAACCTGCCAGGAGTAACAAACAACTCTGTATGCACCACCTTTAAGAGCTGTAACACTCACTGTGAAGGCCTGCAGCTTCACTCCTGAAGTCAGTAAGACCATAAACCCACCGGAAGGAAGAAACTCTGGACACATCTGAACATCTGAAGGAACAAACTCTGGACACACCATCTTTAAGAACTGTAACACTCACTGCAAGGGTCCGTGGCTTCATTCTTGAAGTCAGCGAGACCAAGAACCCACTGGAAGGAACCAATTCTGGACACATTTTGGTGACCATGAAGGGACTATTGCCTATTGCCAAGTGGTGAGTACCATCAGACCCCTTTCACTTGCTATTCTGTCCTGTTTTTCCTTAGAATTCGAGGGCTAAATACCGGGCACCTGTCAGCCAGTTAAAAGCAACTAGCACAGCTGCCGGACTAAAGACACGGGTGTCAGGCTTTCTTGGGAAGGGCTCTCTAACAATCCCCGACTCTTCGGAGTTGGGAGCGTTGGTTTGCCTGGAACCAGCTTCTGCTTTTCCTGTAATACTGGGCTGAGTTGAGGGTCAACAGAGAGGAAAGCCATTCAGCTCTGGGGTCCTGACAACAAGTTGGTTGAACCTATGGCCATGAGCGGAGCTCTCAAAGTCATGTCGCCCAAGTGAGACTCGCCCATCTATCCTATCTATCCTGACCGTTGCCTCCTGGGTCCTAATGCCTGTCAGACAAACTTCCTCTCGCCTCTCTTCTCCAAGGCTAGTCCCGCTTCTAAAAACCACTCCCTGTCTCTGGTGCTTTTCTAGTTTCTTCTGTAAGAATGATTTCTAGTATAAACTTCAGGACTCTGTTACCTTCTTTAGGCACCCTGGCTCACCAATCAGAAAGACATAATTTTTGCCCAAAGCACCATCATGGGGGGACTATCTGGAATTTTAGGATCCCTCCTCAGACAAGCAGGCCTAACAAAAGCTATTCCTGAAGCTAGGATATGGGGAGCCTCAGAAATTGTATCCTTACTATTCATATAAATAAGGACAAAAGGCATCACTCTTCCAACTCTGGAGATCCCTTCCCTCCCTCAGGGTATGGCCCTCCACTTCATTTTTGGGGCATAACATCTTTATAGGACACGGGTAAGATCCCAGTACTAACAGGAGAATGCTTAGGACTCTAACAGGTTTTTGAGAATGTGTTGGTAAGGGCCACTAAATCTGATTTTTCTCAGTCTTCTTTGGGGTCTAGGAGGACAGGCAACGGTGCAGGTTTTCGAGAATGCATCAGTAAGGACCACTAAATCTGATCTTCCTTGGTCCTCTTTGTGGTCTAGGAGGAAAACTAGTGTTTCTGCTGCTGCATCGGTGGGTGCAACTATTCCGATCAGCAGGGTCCAGGGACTGTTGCAGGTCCTTGGGCAAGAGACGTTTCTGCTGCTGTGTCAGTGAGTGCAACTATTCCAATCAGCAGGGTCCAGGGACCATTGCAGGTTCTTGGGCAGGGGGAGAAACAAACAATCCAAAACCACGGGCAGTTTTGTCTTTCAGATGGGAAACACTCAGGCATCAACAGGCTCGTCCTTAAAATGCATCCTAAGCCATTGGGACCAATTTGACCTGCAAACCCTGAAAAACAGGTGGCTCATTTTTTTCTGCACTATTGCCTGGCCCCAATATTCTTTCTCTGATGGGGAAAAATGGCCACCTGAGGGAAGTATAAATTACAATACTATCCTGCAGCTTGACCTTTTCTGTAAGAGGGAAGGCAAATGGAGTGAAATACCTTATGTCCAAGCTTTCTTTTCATTGAAGGAGAATACACAACTATGCAAAGCTTGCAATTTACATCCCACAGGAGGACCTTTCAGCTTACCCCCATATCCTAGCCTCCCTATGGTTCCCTTTCCTATTAATGATAAGCCTCATCTAATCTCCCTTGCCCAGAAGGAAATAAGCAAAGAAATCTCCAAAGGACCACAAAAAGCCCTGGACTATCGGTTATGTCCCCTTCAAGCTGTAGGGGGAGGGGAATCTGGCCCAAGCCGTGTACATGTCCCCTTCTCCCTCTCTGATTTAAAGCAGATCAACGCAGACCTGGGGAAATTTTCAGATGATCCTGATAGGTATATAGATATTCTACAGGGTCTAGGGCAAACCTTTGATCTCACTTGGAGAGATGTCATGCTATTGTTAGATCAAACCCTGGCCTTTAATGAAAAGAATGCGGCTTTAGCTGCAGCCTGAGAGTTTGGAGATACCTGGTATCTTAGTCAAGTAAATGATAGAATGACATCCAAAGAAAGGGACAGATTCCCTACCAGTCAGCAAGCCATCCCCAGTATGGATGCCCACTGGGACCTTGACTCAGATCATGGGGACTGGAGTCATAAACATCTGTTGACCTGTGTTCTAGAAGGACTAAGGAGAATTAGGAAAAAGCCCATAAATTATTCAATGATATCTACCATAACTCAGGCAAAGGAAGAAAATCTTTCTGACTTCCTTGAGCAGCTATTGGAGGCCTTAAGAAAATATACTCCCCTGTCACCCCACTCATTAGAGGGTCAATTGATTCTAAAAGATAAATTTATTACCCAATCAGCTGCAGATATCAGGAGAAAGCTCCAAAAGCAAGCCCTCAGCCCTGAACAAAATCTGGAGGCATTATTAAACCTGGCAACCTCAGTGTTCTATAATAAGGACCAAGAAGAACAGGCCCAAGAGGAAAGGCGAGATCAGAGAAAGGCTGCAGTCTTAGTCATGGCCCTCAGACAAACAAACCTTGGTGGTTCAGAGAGGACAGAAAATGGAGCAGGCCAGTCACCCAGTAGGGCTTGTTATCAGTGTGGTTTACAAGGACACCTTAAAAAAGATTGTCCAATGAGAAACAAGCTGCCCCCTTGCCCATGTCCACTATGCCGAGGCAATCACTAGAAGGCACACTGCCCCAGAGGTCAAAGTTTCTCTGGGCCACAAGCCCCCAACCAGATGATCCAACAACAGGACTGAGGGTGCCTGGGGCAAGCACCAGCTCATGTCATCACCCTCACTGAGTCCCGGGTATGTTTAACCATTGAAGGCCAGCAAATTGACTTCCTCCTGGACACTGGTGTGGCCTTCTCAGTGTTAGTCTCTTGTCCTGGACGACTGTCCTCAAGGTCCATTACCATCCAAGGAATCCTGGGACAGCCTGTAACCAGGTATTTCTCCCACCTCCTCAGTTGTAATTGGGAGACTTTGCTCTTTTCACATGCCTTTCTTGTCATGCCTGAAAGTCCCACACCCTTATTAGGGAGGGATATACTAGCCAAAGATGGAGCTATTATCTACATGAATATGGGGAACAAGTTACCCATTTGTTGTCCCCTATTTGAGGAGGGAATCAACCCTGAAGTCTGGGCATTGGAAGGACAATTTGGAAGGGCAAAAAATGCCCGCTCAGTCCAAATCAGGCAAAAAGACCCCACCACTTTTTCTTATCAAAGGCAATATCCCTTAAGGCCTGAAGCTCATAAAGGATTACAGAATATTGTTAAACATTTTAAAGCTCAAGCCTTAATAAGGAAATGCAGCAGTCCCTGCAACACCCCAATTCTAGGAGTACAAAAACCAAATGGTTAGTGGAGACTAGTGCAAGATCTTAGATTCATCAATGAGGCAGTAATTCCTCTATATCCAGTTATACCCAACCCCTATACCCTGCTCTCTCAAATACCAGAGGAAGCAGAATGGTTCACTGTTCTGGATGTCAAGGATGCCTTCTTCTGTATTCCCCTGCACTCTGACTCCCAGTTTCTCTTTGCCTTTGAGGATCCCACAACCACGTGTCCCAACTTATGTGGGTGAACTTGCCCCAGGCGTTTAGGGATAGCCCTCATCTGTTTGGTCAGGCACTGGCCCAAGATCTAGGCCACTTCTCAAGTCCAGGCACTCTGGTCCTTCAGTATGTGGATGATTTACTTTTGGCTACCAGTTTGGAAGCCTCATATCATCAGGCTACTCTAGATCTCTTGAACTTTCCAGCTAATCAAGGGTACAAGGCATCTAGATAGAAGGCCCATATTTGCCTACAGCAGGTCAAATATCTAGACCTCATCTTAGCCAGAGGGACCAGGGCCCTTAGCAAGGAACAAATACAGACTATATTGGCTTATCCTCACCCTAAGACATTAAAACAGTTGTGGGGGTTCCTTGGAATCACTGGCTTTTGCTGACTATGGATCCCCAGATACAGCGAGATAGCCAGGCCTCTCTATACTCTAATCAAGGAGACCCAGAGGGCAAATATTCATCTAGTAGAATGGGAACCAGGGGCAGAAACAGCCTTCAAAACCTTAAAGCAGGCCCTAGTACAAGCTCCAGCTTTAAGCCTTCCCACAGGACAAAACTTCTCTTTATACGTCACAGAGAGAGCAGGGATAGCTCTTGCAGTCCTTACTGAAACTCGTGGAACAACCCACAACCAGTGGCATACCTAAGTAAGGAAATTGATGTAGTAGCAAAAGGCTGGCCTCACTGTTTATGGGTAGTTGTGGCAGTGGCTGTCTTTGTGTCAGAGGCTATCAAAATAATACAAGGAAAGTATATCACTGTCTGGACTATTCATGATGTAAATGGCATACTAGGTGCCAAAGGAAGTTTATGGCTATCAGACAACCACCTACTTAGATACCAGGTGCCACTCCTTGAGGGACCAGTGCTTCAAATATGTATATGCATGGCCCTCAACCCTGCCACTTTTCTCCCAGAGGATGGGGAACCAATTGAGCATGACTGCTAACTGCCGAGACCAGTTCAGTCGGGGAGACCCTAACCCAGTGGTGCTAGAGGAATTAAAGACACACACACAGAAATATAGAGCTGTGGAGTGGGAAATCAGGAGTCTCACAGCCTTCAGAGCTGAGAACCTTGAACAGAGATTTACCCACGTATTTACTGACAGCAAGCCAGTGATAAGCATTGTTTCTATAGATTATAGATTAACTAAAGGCATTCCTTATGGGAAACAAAGGGATGGGCTGAAATAAAGGGATGGGTTTGACTAGTTATCTGCAGCAGGAGCATATCCTTAAGGCACAGATCACTCATGCTATTGTTTGTGGTTTAAGAATGCCTTTAAATGGTTTTCCGCCCTGGGTGGGCCAGGTGTTCCTTGCCTCATTCTGGTAAACCCACAACCTTTCAGCGTGGGTGTCATGGCCAGAACATGTCACAGTGCTGCAGAGATTTTGTTTATGGCCAATTTTGGGGCCAGTTAATAGCCAGATTTTGGGGGGGGGGGGCTGTTCCCAACATGTCCCCCTTCTTTGATTTGCAAAGTGATAAAAGCAAAGGCAGCTTTGTTATGGTGAGCTACTTCTTGTAAGAGTCAGGATCTGCATCTGCAGACTATACGAAGACAAACAACATAGATTAAAAGCACAATCATCATTGAAATCACAGAGCTTCCAAGTTTTTTTATCCATTTTAATGGGTTACTAGCTGCTAATCTGTCTGCATCTCCTTCAAGCACTCCAGTTCCTGGCATTAAGGTCAAATGTGCCTGGGATGCTTTAAATATTTATTCTTTTAATTTTGCAATATCCAAAAACAAGTTTGTAGAGTGTCCTTCTAGATGCTTTTTAAATTCTTTCTCAAATTTTGATCTTATTAAGAGCTATTAGTAGTTTCCACAAATCCTTATGTTAAGCTCCTAGAGCAGGCCATATCATTTGAGGTTGAGGGGCCACTATACTGCCATGGTTCCAGATAATAGGAACTCTTGCCATACTTCTTGGCATTTCTACCATCTGACCGTTTTGTTCAGACCAGCTGAACATAGTGTGGCCATGGCACACAGACTGAGAGGGGCAATTTAAGCTAAACATCCCCTTAGGGGACCAATCAATAATGATTCCATAGGAATCATTGTGCAGCACCTCTGCCTGTTCTGCAATGCAATTTTCCTAAACAAGTATGTTCATTGTTTCTGGCCAGGTTCTATTTTGTTTACAAATAGGTTTTTGAGGGTGGTATGCCTCAATTATAGGAGCAGATTTATTATGGTAAATACTGGGATCAGAAAGCATGTGCAACTATGCCATAGAGTGGTTATATCCAGGCATTATTGCCAGCCAAGATTGATAAATATGCCCAATAAGTATAATTGTTCCTGTGTCAGCCCTTGTTGAAGGAATACTCATGGCAATGGTGATCACCACTATCATAGCTACCATTAAATTACTCATTGTGACTGGTTGTCCTGCTTAACTCAGGTTTTCTTCCACCATCTGTGACAGCTTCTTGATCTGTCCCTAGGTGGGTGGCTGTGTTCGATGAGTGTTGCTCATGACAGTTGAGGTCCTTCTCAGCATCAGCCTAAACATGGCTGCAACCGGGGGTTCCTCGGGATCCTGGGGATCCTCCCAGAGTCTCTTCCTTGGCATCTGGCTCATGATAAGCTTTCAGGTGTCTTGATGGTATCCAAATTGGCTGTTGCTTTTGGCCTGGAGAAACACAAGCATAACCTCTACCCCAAGTTATTATTTTACCTATTTCCTAACTTTCTGTTATTGGATCTCTCCACCAAACCAGCTGTTCTGCTTTTGTCTTTGCAGCTGGTTTCTGTAGATGCTGTTCAGCTGCTGATAATATCTGGCATTTGGGCAGGCTCAAAAAATTTAAAGTTAATAATGCTAGATTCAGTTGTATATGGGCTGTTTTGTAATCCCTGTTTCTCCCCCTTTTTTGTTTTTGTCATCAGTTGTTCATCTGTATGAAATCATAACTGAGCATTTTCAATTAACTGTGTGGAATGAAACATGTATGAAGAATCAGAAATCACATTAATAGGCATATCAAAAGCAGTCAATACCTCAATTACAGCTACAAGCTCTGCTTTTGAGCTGAAGTATAGGAAGTCTGGAAAACTTTAATTTTTGAGCCAGAATAAGAAGCTTTACCATTACTAGACCCATCTGTAAAACAATGAAAACAGTTAGCAGGCTGCAGGTTGTTTACTGCAGGAATTGTAAATGCAAACCGTTTACAGTCTTGCTCAGCTAAGGGGATAGTAAAGAAATAGTCTTTTAAATCTATGACTATTAAAGGCCAATTTTAAGTCCTCTAAAGGCCCCAGTTTCTCTTTACTCAGCAGCCATTGTTCTATCCAAATTGGCTTATTAGTTAAC